>NC_000009.12:114470552-115095552 GCF_000001405.40 Homo sapiens
ACTTTGTAGAGATCCCCCATGAGAAGTGGTGGTCTTACGATGGTGGTGATGTAGGAGGAAGGTGGGGTTCAGATCAGGGACAGAACAGAGAGGCTGGCTGAGGACACAGTAGGCAGCTCCTGCCTTGATCCCCATTCCTGCCACGCCTGGCAGAGCCCCCACTCCATGCTGCACCTTAAGGCCTTGGAACAAGCCAGGCCCGGCCTGGGGTCTACACACCCAGGATCTAGCCCAGCTCCTTGGGTGACCTGCAGTCAGTCCCCCGCCCCACCCCACCCCGGGGCCCTTCCAGCTCCAGGACATGAAGATCCCAGCAGGGAGAGAGCCAAGAGAAGCTTGGGCATCTTTGCAGTCAAGCCCAGGAACACGCAGATGGCAGCCCATGTCTGCAGCAGCCCACTCTGAATACTAAGGATGAAAACAAACCTCCCCACCTCCCCGCCACCTCCCCATAAATTCTTTACATCAGAATAAAATGAGTCTTTATCACAGAACTGTAATAACAGTTCTATCAAGCACAGGGTAATCTGCCTCTATCACTTGCTGAAAATTCAACCACCATTTGGCATGAATCGGAATTCATCTATGGGAAAGCAAATGACACTGTGAGAAGCAGCCGGGCCCAGTGAAAATAACACCACTACTGCTAATAATATTAATAGAATAATAACTCAGGCAATTGGTCACCAAATGTACTGTTTCCTATGTCCCAGGCACCGTACTCAGCCCTTTATATGCATTACCTCATTGAATCCTCACTCCTCCTCTATGGTTTTGTTGTTATCCCCACTTTCCAGATGAGGAAACTGAGGCTCAACTCTCACTGAGGGATGAAATGATGGGGCTAAGATTCACATACCCAGCCACTTGGCTTGCCTGCAGTGCCTGGGCATTTAACCAATGCACCACACTGCCTCTCACCGGCCTGAGTTCAAGTCTTGGTTCTGCCCCTCACTCTTGGGCACCCTTGGGAAAAGCCCTGTTGCTTCTCGGATCTTCAGTTGCCCAGTCTATAAAAAGAATTGTGCAACCTGCCGGGGGCCAGCACTGCCTGTGGCCAAGCCAGCAGCCATCTCCCTTCCTGCCTTGCCACGGAGCCTCGACTAGGTCCAAGAGGCAGCCGGAGCAGCTCCAGGAGATGACACCAGCCTAGGTTATCCATTCCCTTATACCAGGAACTGGAATGCATGTAGGTAATTCTGGGCCAGTTTTGGCCAAGAGGCATGGTGGGGGATGTCTGCTAGGGGATTCTGGGTAAGATTCCCCACTCTGAAAAGACAGGAACACAGGAAGAGAAGGGCCTCCTGCTCCCTTCACCCACTCTGCTTTGGGCACGGTTGTGAGAGGCTGTGATGGCAGGTGCAGTGGCTGCCATCTTGCAGCTGTGAAGCAATGAGCCCAAGGCAAGAGCCAACAACAGGAAGGAGAGACTCACTCCCTAGCAAACCAGAGCTCGGGCTGCCCAGCCCTACACCTCTGAAGAGAACAGCGAACACCTGAATGTGTGTGCTCCTAAAATACAGGCTTTCTGTGATCCACAGCCAAAAGCACCCCTAACTGATAGCGCCATCCAGGGCTGTTGTGAGGATGAGGATGCGTGGGCTCCCAACTTCCACCCTTGCTCCTGCCATCTACCCTCCATCCAGTAGCCTGGACAGTCCGGCTGGAACCTCATATGCACCTGGTCCCTCCTCTGCTCAAAGCTCTGCCATGGCAGCCATCTCACTCAGAGGAAAGTCCCCAGACTCGGCCTGGTTGCCCATGCCTGCTGCCTCACTCCTCTGTAATCTCACAGGTCTTGCTGCTGCTCCTCAAGAGGCCCTGCTCACCTGCCTGAGGCCTCCAGCCACCTGGAGCACTCTGCCCAGATAGGACGGATCCGTGTATGATCATTTCCTTGTCAGCTTCAGATCCTTTCTTTTGTCACCTTCTTAGTGAGGCCGTCCCTGCCCCTTCTCTAACACTGCCCCACGCACACACCACCCTCCCATGCCCTTTCCTTGCTTGGTTCTCCCTCATTTTACAATAGACTGTATATTATTTCTTTTCATGCCCGTTACGGTCCCCCCACAACACACTAGAGCGTCAGCCCTTGACAGTGGCTAAGGTGTTGTCTGTTCTTTGTCTGTTCACTGCTGTATCCCCAGTACACACAGCAGGCCCATTATAGGTACTTGGTACATATTTTGGGGGAAAATACCAGTACCTAGTCAGCATTTAGTAACTGACGGTTGTTGCTGGAATTCATTACTATGTCCAGGCACTGTGCTCTGTGCTTATAAGCCTTGATTATTAATCCTCGAAACAGCCTCACATGGCTGGCATGACCATCCTCCAATCATGGATGCGGAAGCTTAAGTGACTCATCCAAGGTTAAGTGGCTTGCCCAAGGTCACACAGTCACGAAGTTTCAAAAACAAGCTTCAAACCCAGTGCTGCTGAGCCCAAAGCCCCTGCTCCTTGTGTTCCAGGCTTGTAGCAGCCTGAGCCGAAGGGCAGGTCCCATCTTGTTTCTGTGGCTGCTGGAGACACATGAGCTTGGCGGAGTGGCTGCTTCTGCTGCAGCAGGGTCTAACTGCTCACTGCAGAGTAAGGGGCCGTGGGACAGGGACACTGTAGTGGAATAAGACTTAGGAAGTTCTCAATAAAGCTCATGGGCAAATGACCGGGGAGGGGTGAAAGGGGCATCTGAGTTCTACAAATAGCTGTTCCTGCCCGCATCATTCCTCCGAGCAGATTCCAGATGCTGACCAAGATGACTGGTGCTGTGTGCAGGCAGGCTCTGCTGTCTCTCCTGGATGGAGCCACCACTGTGGCTGTGCGAGGGCCGGACCCAAAGAGCCAGAGCCAGGGGACACTGAAGGGACCAGGCATAAGCCTGAGATATGAGCCTGACCTGTCCCAGCCACTCTCTAGCTGTATGACCTGGGATAATTCATGCAGGCTCTCCAGGCCTCCATTTTCATCTCTGGAAAATCGGAATAATGACACTATCTGTAAGTATTTTATAGGACTTGCCTGCCAGTCAAATGACTCTACAAAACCACAGTGAAATCTGAAAACTGCAGTGAAGAGATAAGCCCCTGGGAAGCTGTGCTTCTATCACTCTGGATACTGGTTCATTGCCACATTAACAACCCCATCTCCAATAAATATGGGTGATAGAAGTGTAAGTGTGGTATGTGGAAGCAATAGAAGCAGGAGACGCAGGCCGCCTTCTGAAAGCCCATCTGTGAGTTTCTGTTGGATGCTCTGCAAGGGCCCCAGGCTGAGCCATGACACCTTCACAGTCAGAACTCAAGAACAGGTGATCAGTCCTGCAGCTCAGACTGGATCCTCTAGCCTGCAGGAGGCATGGAGAAGGGAAGGCGCCTGCCTCAGAGGAGGGTCTGGAAACATCATGCTTATTCCCTCCACCCCAAAGACCCCATGGCAACACACTCGCCCTCCCATCCTGATGCAGCCTCCTCCCCTGGGTCTTCCTTCCTTCTCTCCTGCCACCCCTGGCCCTGTAAGCTGACTCAACCCATCCTCCATTTCAAGCCATTTCAAAGAAATGAGTTCACCCCACTCAACTCAGGAACAATCTCATCCTGAATATGCACACAGGAGGGAGTACTGGAACCTTCCCCCAAGGTTCATTTTCCACCTTTGAAGTTCACCTTAACTAAAACAAGAAACATCATTACTGGCTCCAGAAGTTCTTTGTGTTTTTACTTAGCCATCCTCACCCCTCTTGAAAACGAGCTTTGCACACCTTCTTTTTCATGGTCTTGCTAAAGGTCTTTGCATACCTAGAATTGATTTTGCCTTCTTCCCTCGCCAGCTAAGAGAATGCCCAGCAAGTCTCTGTTGTCTACAGAAAAAAAGTGTCCCCCACCCACACACATTCCCAGCCCAGCATCTCAGCCTGCAGGAGCTAACTCCATTCTACTTCTCCAACCTTGTTTCACAGCCAAAGGAATCGCTTAGGAGCTGTCTTGCTCTCTCTAACCTCTGGATACTGTCATGCTGTACCCTCTGTCTGGGTCACCCTTCCCTTCCACTGCCACATGTCCAAACCTAAAATGCTGCCTCCTCCAGGAAGCCTTCCCCAATTTCTCTAGTGGGCAGGACCTCCCTTCTCTGCACACTACAGCACTCTCCCTGTCCCTTTCAGAGGACATGTATCACATTTATACCTCATAGAATGTGCCAGAACAAGTCCTGTGCCACAAACTTGCCTCCTCACACTGGGGAGGTGAAATAGGGGAATGGTTAGGATCAAGAGCTTAATAAGACGCAGAATTGACCTTGACCCTGGACACCGCCACGTCCCTGCTGTGACCTTCAGCACTGTCATCATGTTGCTAAGGCATCACATAAAGGCCCAAAGTGAAGACAGATCAGGAAAAAACTCATACTACCTCACACCCACGAGGACAGCTACTCTCAAAACAACAGAATAACAGGTGCTGGCCAGGATGTGGAGGAAGAGGAACCCTGGTGCACTGTTGGTGGGAATGTAACATGGTGCAGACACTAGGGAAAACTGTATGGTGGTTCCTCCAAAAATTAAAAATACAACCACCATATGCTCCAGCAAGCCCACTTTGGGGTATGTATCCAAAAAAATTAAAAGTAAGCAGAACCAAGGTTTGAACCCAGGCAGCCTGGGACCCAAGGTCTTACCATCCCTGCCACACTGATGCTATCCCACTTAGCCGCCCCCCATGACAAATTGATTCTAGTTTATGAGAGCTATAGAGGCTGCGGGTTAGAACAACATGGGAAGCCATACAGTGAGCACTCTGCACCCTGCCCCGTTCACTTCTGAGGATTTGACAGTGATTTAAGAGCAGCCACGTCTGACTCCCTAAGCACTACATCTGTTCTTCCCTCTGTACTTTGTCTTCAGCCTCACGGGACAGGTCTCATACCACGGCACAGAGAAGGACACTCCTGAAAAGGGCTATAAAACTATAACCAGCTCCAGGGGATGGCATAAGGATTTTCAGGGGTAACTTGGCTACATGTGTGATTTTTATGCTACTATTGCCCTGAGAACCCACTTCCTGAGAGGTATACTTCCTCTGTGGAGGTTATGGTTACGAGTCCAAGAGTCTGGCCGTGGCTTTTTGGACTATCAGAAGATGGGACCAGGCTGCTGGAGAGAAGAGAATCAGACCCCACCAGGCCCCTTACCCAGGATCCAGCAGCCAGGGATCCAGAGACATCAGCTCATGCCCCTTCCCAATAGGGAAATGGGGTTTCCACACTGTGTCAGGAAGAGGAGGAACAGGGAGGAGGGTAGATGCGCCAGTCTGGGGCTGTGGAATCTGGGACGGCCTGTCTCTGGGATGGTTCAGGGTGTCTCCTGCCTCCTTCGGTATCTGGGTCCTCCCTGGAGTATGATTCATGCAGCCTTCACCTCTGCATTATTTTATTCTTGAGACAGGAGCTCACTCTGTTGCTCAGGCTAGAGTACAATGGGGCAATCACAGCTCACTGAAGCCTGAATCTCCTGGGCTCAGGTGATCCTCCCATCTCAGCCTCCCAAGCAGCTGGGACCACAGACACATGCCATCATACCCGGCTAATTTTTTTAAAAATACTTGTAGAGACAGGGTCTCACTACGTTGCCTAGGCTGATCTCAAACTCCTGGGCTCAAGCAACCCTCCTGCCTCAGCCTCCCAAAGAGCTGGGATTACAGGTGTGAGCCACTGTGCCCAGCCCCACATTCTTATATGAGTTATTGAGACTCCCAGAGGCACCTTACCTAACCCCCACCCTCCCATCTGCTCAATCCTTGCAGACACTGGCCTCAGTCTTACTTCAGGGCCTTTGCACATGCTGTCCTTGCTGCTTGGGATTTTCAGTCCCCGAATGGCACATGGCAGCTCCTTCTCCCTCTCTAGGTCTCAGCTCGGAAGCCGTCTCCTCAGAGAAGTCCTCCCTGATCACCTCAATCAAAACAGCCCGTACCTCCCTGGCACTTTCTACCCGGCTCCTGATTTCACTTCCTCCCATCAGTTTGCACTGTCTTAATTATCTTGCTCACTGGTGCTCATTTTGGGATTATTGTCTCACTCTTCCCACCACCTCCAAACTCTGGATGCTTCCCAAGAGCAGGGCCCCAGTGCTCTTGTCCACTCCCATAACATCGTCAAGCACCCAGGTGCTCAGCAAACACTAGGAGACTTGCTGGCTGGGCTGTGGTTGCCACAGCGCTGAGCCTCAGGTTCCTCATCTGCAAAATGGGGATGATGACACCTACCTCCCAGTGTGGCTGCGAGGAGGACTCAGGAAGACACTGTGAGCACAGGGCTGGGCACACAAGGGCTCTCCATCAATGATAAGCTCAACTCACCCCATGCCCTGCATAGAAAAGGGACTGAGAAAAAGATAAAACAAGTTCTGTGCCCAACACTAGACAGCTGCCCTTGATCATGACTCAATAACCACTGGCAGCATTCTCTCAAGATTGTCAGAGAACAAGTTCCCTGGTGGGGAGAGGGTACGAGCCCACCCAGCCCTGGCAACCTTGACGCGGCCCGGGCTGCTGTGGTGCATACCAACAAGCTACCTGCTGCCGCTCACCTCCAATAGAAGCTGCTGTGATCTCTGCCGCGTCCTGCATATTGACGTTTCAGCAAAGAACACAAAACACATTAAATAAATGTTACAGTCTTATCGACAGGAAAAGGAGAGCTGAGAAAGAGTTTCCAGAGGCATGGCACTTGGCCCAGAGCCCCAAGCCATGTGGCCTCCTGGCAGTCAGTGTCAAGGTCCTACACACCAGGGAGCTGCCTGCAGGAGCTATGTTCTTGGTTCCAGGAGTAACCAAGGGGTGCAATGCAAACAGCACCCAGAGAGAAGGGTAAGATATCAGGGACCATTTCAGCCTTCCTGTGTTTCAAGAAACAGTACAGGTCTGGGGTCAGGAGGGCTCCATAGGGGACATCTATTGGTGTCCCTGCCCCCTTCTGCAAGTTAGAACACCCCACAGTGCTTTGGGCAACCACCCCTCTCCCACTGGCTACAGTCTTGGTGGTCTTGTCAATCAAAGTCCCTAGACATCCCTGCCAGCCCGTGAGGTGCTCCCTCTTTGGGAATCTTCAGGGGAAGGACACTGAGAACGGAATGGTGGACATCCCCCTACTGCAGGCTGCACCCTGAGATTCTCGGCTTCAATTCTGGGACTGCCCCTGTCCTTCCAGTACATCCCTGCTCTGTAAAATGGCCAGGGCTGGTTTCTGTTACTTATGCCCAAGATTCACACTGCACAAGATTCCCTGTGGAGCAGCAATCCTGGCCACATTCCTGGCAGCTATGTGTGGCCATGCACCTGGGTCTAGGCCAGTGGGAAGTTTGGTGATCTTGAAATTAAAGAGATGCCTCTCTTTCCCTTTCCTGGGAGGTAGAAAGGGGACCTGATGTGGCCCAGCTTCAACCACGAGAAGGGGCAAGACCCTGGGGGATGGAAGATGGAGGGAATCTGGGTCCCAGGATAAGTCCTGGAGCAGAACTGTCCCCCAGATGAGACTGTCCCTCTATTCTGTTACATGACGGAGAAAAAAAAAAACTCTCATTTAAATCACAGTATTCAGCCAGGCATGGTGGTGCACGCCTGTAATCCCAGCTACTCAGGAGGCTGAGGCACAAGAATTGCTTGAACCCTGGAGGCAGAGGTTGCAGCGAGCCAGGATCTCGTGACCGCATTCCAGCCTGGGCGACAGAGTGAGACTCTGTCTCCAAATAGATAAATAAGCCAATCAATAAATAAATCACAGTATTTAAGCTCTTTTATTGTGGCAGCTTAGCCTGTATTATAACATACACTACACAGGTCAAAAAGAAAAGCAAAGAAAAAACACCACCCTTCAGTACAGACTTGAGGGAAGACAGAGCCTGGACAGAACCAGCCTCTTCTTGCGGCCTCCAAGCAGCTCTGCTGTTCTGGGTTCGGAGGGAGAATACGGTGTCTGAGAGGCTGGCCTCCTTTCCCCACCCCACTCACCTTTTTCTCATCCCCTCCTTGCAGGAGGTGCAGGGTGCTCCTCCGGTCACCCTCCTGCTGCCTCAGGGCACCACCGTGGGGCTGGGGCAGGCCCGAGGGTGGGGAGATGCTGCGGCCCTGCGGGTCCACCCAGGTGTAGATGTGGTTGGTGACGTAGCCCCCAGGGATGCGCCCTGCTGAGTACACAGACAGCACCAGCTTCTTGGAGCCCTTCAGAGCCTAGGGAGAGAGGGATACAAAGGTTAGAGGAAGGGAGGTGCCGGGGGTGTGGAGGAACACCCTCCCCTGGCCCAGACCTTGGTTTTTCTCAGGAGCCCCACATGGAAGAAGAGGCCAGCCCTGAAGTCCCTTTCCTTCTCTAGCCCTCGATTTTGTCCTGTGAAAACAAGAACATCTGTCCCACCCCCATCCTGAAGTGGTCCAAATACAAGAAATATGATCTTTTAGGATACCTCTGCGGAGGAGTTTGCATTGCAGGCCTGACACTGTTATCCTCAGGAAGGCTCGTTTACAAGGCCGGCCTTTGGCTGGCATCTCGGAACTTGGATTTGGGGAGTGTCCCACCATTCCCTGACTGAGAAATGCGGCTCATGTGCTTAGACTGTCTGTAAACAGTAATGGTTTATGCTCAGCCTGCTTTCCTCCTGGGAGTCTGGAAGGTGGGTACAAGTAGACAGGGTCTATGTCTACCAGCCCCCAATAAAAACTGTGGGTGCTCTCTAATGAGCTCCCCTGATAGACAACATCCCACACCTTTGTCACCATTTGATGCTGGAGGAATTAGTGTGTTCTGTGGAACTCACAGGGAGGGGACCCGTGGAAGCCTGTGCCTGGTCTCCTCTGGACTCTGCCCAATGCACCCTTTCCCCGTGATCATTCTGCTCTGTATCCTTTGGATGTAATAAACCCTAGCCACAGGTACAACCATATGCTGAATCCTGTTAGCCTTTCTAGAGAATCACTGAACCCAGGTGTCATCTTGGGGACTCTGATAAAATACCAAGCACAGAGTCGACAGATAAAAACAATGATAGCAATCGCTTAACATTTATAAAGGGCTTGTATGTGTCGGCCACTCTGCGCTGCACCTGATATGCATTATCTCATGAAATCCTAATGAAATCCAATGGGGGAGGGGGACTGCAGAGGGGAAGGAGGATCTCATTTGTCAGATGAAGAAATGGAGGGAAACTGCCTGCCCACACAGTGAGTAAGAAGTTCCTTTCTCAGCCGGGCGTGGTGGCTCACGCCTGTAATCCCAGCACTTTGGGAGGCTGAGGCAGGCAGAGCACCTGAGACCAGGAGTTCAAAACCACCCTGGCCAACATGGCAAAATCCTGTCTCTACTAAAAATACAAAAATTAACTGGGCGTGGTGGTGGGCACCTGTAATCCCAGCTACTTGGGAGGCTGAGGCAAGAGAATCACTTGAACCCTGGAGGTGGAGGTTGCAGTGAGCTGAGATCGTGCCACTGCACTCCAGCCTGGGCAACAGAATGAGACTCCTTCTCAAAAAAATAGTAATAATTAATTAAAAAAAAAGAAGTTCCTTTTTTATAGCAACTAATTCTGAGTGTGGAACACCATCTTTATTGTACATTTCCCAGTCTTCAGATGGAACCACCGTGAGGAGAGGCAAGCCCAAAACTCTACAGCCTGGGGTGGAAGCTGAGGTCTGCCATATTGCTTCACCACAAGACGCTTGCAGCTGAGATGAAGACATTGACCCAAGGAGACACTCACTAAGCACTAGGATTAACAATAAACATAGCCTGTGTTAGGGACTGAATGTATTTCCCTCCAGATCCATACGCCGAAGCCCTATCCTCAATGTGATGGTACTTTGGAGATGAGGCCTTTAGGGGGTAACTGGAGTTAGATGAGGCCATGAGGGTAGGAACCTCATGATGGGATCAGTAGCTTTGTAGGAAGAGAGAGTTCTGGTCTCTCTTCATGTGGGGACACAATGAGAAGATGGAAGTTTTCAAGTCTGAAAGTGGGCCCTCACCAGAACCCGAGAACAATGGCACCCTGATCTCAGACTTCTGGACTCCAGAACTGTGAGAAATTAAATGTCTATTGCTAATGCCACCCAGTCTATGGTATTTTGTTATGGCAGCACCATCTGGCTGTTTGAATAAATGATAGAATTCACACACACTGAAATTTTATGCTGCCATTGAAATCCTATTTACAAAGGTTGTAATGCCATGGAAATGTGATATATTTTAATGTTAAGTGGGGTTAAAAGGCTATAAATCATGTCTTATAGTATGAAGTCAGTTATGTTAAGAGAAAAATCATACTGGAAAAACAAAATGAAACAAAACTGAGAAGTAATGTGCCAAGATGCTAGCAGTGCTTCTCTCTGGGTGCTAGGATTATGGGTGATTATTATTTTGCTCTTCCTGTTTCTCAATATTTTCTAAATGTTCCACAATGAGGTCACATTGCTTTCAATATCAGAGAAAAAAAAACAATATGCCTAAGAAGGGGGGTGAACACTTAGCTCTCTGCGTCCCCCAAGCTTGCCCCAATTTGCACATACAGCTCTACCAACTCCCCAACACTCTCAACAGACAAACTAGACCCTGGGCTGAGCTTTCAAAGACAGGAGGGAGCCCTGGCTAGGCAAGGCCTGCGGGAAGAGGCAAGTCCCTGACATTTGAGCCTCTCTCAGCAGAGGAAGGGTGAGCCAGGAGGCACCCAGGCCCTCAATTCTACAGCTAAATCCCAGTCTCCAGTGGAGGGATAACGAGGATGGCGTCTCTCCAAAATTCTGCTTTTATAAAAGATTTTTGTGAAGATGCACAGGGTAAGATTTACAGTATTCTTTTAGCATTCCCCAGGGCTCCCCTGGCAGAACAGTCAGGAAAATCAAATCCCTGTTAAGGTGAAGAGGCAGGATGGAGAAAGCCTGAGACCAAGTGGGCTTCCCCCAGAGCAAAGTGGAAAGTGGTTCAGGGCACAGGAGACGTCAGCAGAAGCCTCTGAGGCCACCACATCCTCCATGGCCCCTGTCTTCCTGACCTCTCTTTCCTCTCCCTCTCGTCTCTGCCTCCTGCTCCCTCTTCCATGAGGGCACAGCTCCCTGCTCCAGTGCTGTTCCGCCCGGCCTGCCTCCTTCTCTGCTCCTTCCTAGACAGACTGCAACACTACACCACAGCATTCATTCAACAAGGGCTGACCAAACGCCTACTGTGTGCCAAGCCTAGAGGAGACAAAGTGGGTCTATCCTCATGACAGGCTGCAGCCTGGTGAGAAACAAGGAGGCATCACCCAGCACACATCAGGTCCTCATGACACTTATGCCTGGTGAGGAACAAGGCATTGCCTGGCACACAGTAGGTCCTCATGACACTTGAGCCTCGTGAGAGACAAGGCATTGCCTGGTACACAATAGGTTTTCATGACACACGCCTGGTGAGAGACAAGGCATCGTGTGGCACACAGTAGGTCCTTATGACACTTGAGCCTGGTGAGGGATATAGCATTGTCCTGCGCACAGTAGGTATTTGTGAAACTTGTGCATAGTGAAGAGCAAAGCATAGCCAGGTCCATAGAAGGTCTTCACGACACATGCCTGGTGAGAGACAAGGCATCATCTGGTGCACAGTAGGTCCTCAATGATGCTTGCAGCCTGGTGAGAGATAAAGAATCATCCGGCACACAGTAGGTCCTGAAAAAAGACTGCCTGATTGATTAAGAAAGTAAATATTGCCCCCAAAAGAAACCGTTAACATCCACAGGCATTCTCCTGCACCCACATCTAGTCTGGAAGGTTATGCTCAGGTCAGGAACAGAGGAGTGCAAGTGGAAAAATCACACGTGGATTGTGGAGACAGAGAAAATGGGATTCCAGTCGCACTGGTGGGATTCCAGTCGGCTTACCAGTGGACAGTCCTTGGGCCGGTTGCTTCCCCTTGCAAAGCAGCATGTGTGAACTGGGGAGAAGGACAATGCTCACCTCCCAGGGCACCGTGGGTTAAATGAGACAATGTGCATAAAGTTCAGAGCCTTCTTGGCCACACAGTAGGAGCTCAGCAAATGGCAGAGCCCACTCCCCTCCCCCTCAGCATGTCTGCATGGAGATCGAAAACCATGCGGTAGCAAAACGTTGACCAAGGAGTTTAAAAAAAAAAAGGGAAGGAAAGAATAAAGAACAATGCGCAGAGCATCATTTGTATTCTTTATCACCAGCAACAGTAGAATCCTCTTGGTCAGTTCTATAAATAGGCCAGCAGCAACCTTGCGAACGGAGAGGTTAATGCCCTTGATGAGAACACCACAGAGAGCCAGCGCCGGAGAGGGCCTGGGCCAAGTCGCTGAGTCTCCCACAGGCTGCCCACCCCCAGTATTTTACAGAAGGGGACCCTGAAGCCCCAAGATGGGAAGGGAAACATAGGGTTCAGGAGTACAACAGGCACAGCCCAGGACGCAGGAGGCCAGCCCTGGGTCTCCTTCCCCTCTGCACCTCAGTTTCCCCATCACAGGACTCTGAGATTAGAAACTCAGACAGCCACTCAAGCGTAGACCATTCATCTACCTCTGATAATGACTATTCTTTAGGGATAAATATGGGCTTTTTCTGGGTGTTGGAGAGCAAGAAAATCATCATCCTCTACTGCTTTTTTATATTTCTGGCGAAACTGATGATAAACAAGATTCCTGAGACAGACTTTCAATATCTACGCAGGCTCTTGGGATATGGTCTTGGTGCAGTGGCCATCAGAATCCTGCAGGAACAGCTCCATCCATTGCTGTTTAATGCCACTAAAATGTGTGTGGGTCATGCAGGGAAGGGGAAGAGGACGGTCTCTGCTCCTACTGCCTTCTTGTCTCCATTTCTACAAACCATTGCTTGCTTATTTTAACGGGCATCATTCAACAGGAGAGTTATTTCCTAAACAAAGCTGGTCATGTTTTTTCCCCTGTAGCCACCCTGCCAGCCTTTCAAACTCACCCACCATTGCTACCTTGATCCCTGAGGCTCAGGCCACCTGGGGGATCGCGAGATCCTCACCCATGGTTACGTGCACCAGACCACTCATTTTACTTCTCTCACCAGAGCAGCCTACAGAGTGAGTAGCCTCAGGCAGCAGAGCTTGAGCCTGTGAGACAGAGACCCAGCAGGTCCCTGTTGTGCCATTAGCTTGGTGGGTGTCCTAGGGTTACTTCTCCCCTTGCTAGGTCTTGGTTTTGCCCTCTGGCAATGAGCAGGTTGGACCTGTTTGCTAAGATCCTGTCCCAAGTTAAACTTCTATGTCTTTCTGATTCAGGGCTGTATTTAGAAGGAAAGACTGTATTTGCTCTCATGGTGGTCACAGGTCATTAAAGCAGAGAGATCAGGGGCTCTGGGACACCCAGGGATAACTCCAGGCAGGCTGAGGGTTGCACCTATGGGCACCTGACTTCTGGGCCTGGAAAACTGTCCTCAGTTTCTCCCATCCCAGCAGTGAGCACTTGAGCTATGCTGGCTGGTGTTGCTACCAGGTCACTGAACCAGATCCAGAGCCTGGGGGCTCTGAGGTTCCACAGGGTTTAAGAAAACACCAGAAGGACAATTGGAGCATCTCAGTTATGGCAGGATACGCACCCCAACTCGGCACTATCAGCAGCAGCAGGAGATTTTGACAGGACTTGAAGGCCAGAGGGCTGCCCCTCCGAGGCCACGGCTGTGTCCTTGCTCTTTGTAGGAAGCTGCCTGCAGGTGGTAAGTCACATCCAACACATCCATCTGCACGCTAGTGACTCTCCATCAACCACACCCCTCTCTAGCCATGACAGCTCCACAGGATCCACCAGTCTTCCTGAATCAATGGCATATTAGCTGTGCCACCTCACACAAGTTACCAAACCTCTCTGTTCTTCTGTTTTCTCTCCTGCAAAATGAAGATCACCATTCTCCTTTCTCTTTACTTAGAGGAGCCCTATTAGCACAATGCCTATCACTGAGGAATTCAATGAGCTACGGCTGAAAAGGAAAATTGCAAGATCTGGGGAGAGCCCACCGCATGCAGGGATGGTCATTAGAGTGCTGTGTTCCCATACCTGTTATCACGTGTTTACTGGTGAAACTTGACCCTGGGGCATTCCACCAACTCAAATCATAGAGAAATCTCGATCTGACCCAGCAGATGGCACGACTAAGATACTATCCATCACCAGATGACTATTCTGGCAGCACGTTATGATTATGGAAATGTAAATTATATGTGTATGTCTTCAAACTTAATAACTTGCTACTTGGATTAATGCTCTCAGGAGGCAAATTTGCCTCACTCAGCTCTTTGGAGCCAACTCTGAAACCCCAAAATCATAGACCAGGCTGACATGATTCTCTGCTTAGCAGAGGAGTGAGAAATAGACTGGAGAGGGTCACAGTGTAGGGGGCTAATGGGATGTGTTAACATGGCAGACGCACACATGCTTCTGTGTTCAAAACCATACACCAAAGGCAAGCATGGGGTGGACCTCAAGGTCACAAGACTATCAGATCACTGTGCTGAGGAGCACGTGCAACAGAGGTATTCCAAAAAAGTCTCAAGCAAGGACACGTAATGATGAGTCACCCAGCTTATTTCAGGGTGCAGACCTCAAAGGGCAAGGTTTTCTCTTTTCGGAAACAGAGACTCAACAACAGGAAGGAGAACTGGTCTAAGACCCATCTTAGTGACCCAGAAGGGAGGAAAAAATTATGCATGCCTGCTCTTCGCAGCCGCACCTTGCCTAGCTGGGGCTTTGTGTGTTCAGACACACCGGACAATGGTGTTGGCTCTGTAGATGACTTGCTGTGTGACACTGAGCCAATTGCCTAAACTCTCTGTGCCTGTTTCTATATTTAAAAAGCAATTGCTGGTCAGGCGCAGTGGCTCAGGCCTGCAATCCCAGCACTTTGGGAGGCCGAGGCGGGTGGATCACCTGAAGTCAGGAGTTCAAGGCCAGCCTGGCCAACATGGTGAAACCACGTCTCTACTAAAAATACAAAAAATTAGCCAGGCATGGTGGCGGGTGGCTGTAATCCCAGCTACTCAGGAGGCTGAGGCAGAAGAATTGCTTGACCCCAGGAGGCGGAGGTTACCATGAGCCAAGATTGCACCACTGCACTACAGCCTGAGCTACAGAGCGAGACTCCGTCTCTAAATAAATAAGTATATAAATATCAATTGTTGCCTGGGCACAGCAGCTCAGGCCTGCAACCCCAGCACTTTGGGGGACAGAGGCAGGAGGATTACTTGAGGCCAGGAGTTCAAGAGTAGCCTGGACAACATGGTGAGACGCCACAAAAAAAATTTTTTTTTTAAAATTTAAAATTATCCAGGCATAATGGTGTGCACCTGCAGTCCTAGCTACTCAGGAGGCTGAGTTGGGAGGTTTGCTTGAGCCCAAAAGATCGAGACTACGGTGAGCTATGATCGAGCCACTGCACTCCAGCTGGGGCAACATCGCAAGATTCTGTCTCAAAATAATAATAAAATTAAAAGCAACTGTTGAAAAGATTTAAGAAACTGTAAACTGCGTATACAGTACCTAGCACATGGTAGGTACTAAATGCATGCTAATTCCCTTCCTGAGGCTGCCAGTTCCTTCTCCCAAACAGAGGTCCCAGAAATTCTCTAAACCTCGAATCTATATGGACACAAACACGTGTCCCCCAACTTTCTTCTTTTTAAGAAACATCCTTCTTTAATCCACATTTCCTCGTATCTGCGCTGCCTTCAACACTCAGCTCCTTTCCCACGACCTCCAGAAAAGCTTCCCAGATTGTGGCTGACTCTGTCCTCCAAGAGCATCCAGCACACTTCTGTGATTGTGCTGCCGTCTATACCACAGGCTCTGAGTCACATTCGTGATCTTGTCTTTAAGACTACAAGACAAGTTCCTTGAGGCACATTACATGTTCTGTTTCCTTTAGAACCTCTCCCTGCTCCTTTTCACTCGTTTAGCCAACCATCCATTCATTCATCGTTGAACAAGATATTCAATGAGTTTTCTATATGCCAGACAGCCTCAGGAATCTGTTCAAATTAGGACACAGAGCAGTGCTCTTTCAGATCAGTAGTCAGGCAGTCCACACTTCTCCACTTTAATGTGAGCATAGACACATTAGATACACATGGAATTTGGAGAGACAAGTGAAGAAAGTGTGGTTAAGAGCCACAGCCCTGGAGGTAGGCTGTGGGAATTCCATCCTAGCTCTGCCACCTGCCAACAGTAACCTTGGGCAAGTTACTTACCCAATCTGTGCCCCAGCTTCCCAGGCAAAAAAAAAAAAAAAAAAAGAGAGAAATAACATAGGTATTATCTCACAGGGTAGTTCTGATGATTAAATTAGTGTGTGTGTGTGTGTGTGTAGAGTGTGTGTGTGTGTGTAGAGTGTGTGTGTGTGTTGTGTGTGTGTGTGTGTGTATATATATATATATATATATATATATATATATATATATATATATATATAATATATATAGTGTTTAGCACCTG
The DNA here is from genome assembly GCF_000001405.40 of Homo sapiens. NCBI lineage: Eukaryota > Metazoa > Chordata > Mammalia > Primates > Hominidae > Homo > Homo sapiens. Next base: position 114,487,033 of record NC_000009.12, read on the forward strand.
GAACCTAGGTAAGAGATACCAAAAAAAAAAAAGAGAGCGAGAGTGAAAGAGATAACAGAGGTATTATCTCACAGGGTAGTTCTGATTATTAAATTAGTCAATATATATATAAAAGGTTTAGCACCTGGAACCTAGGTAAGAGATACCAAAAAAAAATTTTTTTTTTTTTTTTGTCTAACAAGAAATTCTGGGTACTGTAGAGAACTCAGTACCCAGAACCCAGAGTGGAAGTCTCAACCCACCACCCATGGTAACGACTGATATGTGTTGATGTCTGCCCTTCCTGACTTGCTCTTGTACTTTATAAACACGTATATATACATATACAAGCTTATCATCTGATTACATAAATCAACTCACAACTGAACATTTTCTGCTCCATCTTTTTTTCCACTAAAAATGTATTTTGAAGATCTTTTCTTACCAGTTCAATGACATAAAGCTCATCTCTTCCAATACTCCATCCCATTCCCTGGAAGGGACTCACCACTACCGAATTCTCATTCTCCTATCAATGGACATTTAGGGTGTTTCTCATTTTTTGCTAGCACCATCACCTGCGATGAACATCCTTGTATGTGCCATCTTGGGGCATTCATGCATCTAATTCCCTAAACTAGAGAAAAATGGAATTCCTGAAGCCATAGGCAGTGAGTCTTTATTCACAGACAATCACATTTCCTTGCCAGTGTCCCCTGGGGCATGCCTTATCCCTTTTGTAGTTCCTGTATCTACCTGCAGGGGGAAGCACTATGCCATCTGGGCCTACAGAGGACCTGAATTCCCCTGACAATGTGGACAGGGCTGGGTGGAGGCCTCGCAATGTCCTTCTCCCAAGGGAGTGCTCACTCTGGTGGAGAGATCCACACTCCTTCGTGCTTTCTTCCACAGTTTCCAAAAAGCTCCCAGTTTAGGCAGATCTTGGCTCTATCTTCCAATCATCTGGGGGCTAAATCTTGGGCCCTAAAGCACTGCAAAGCACCAAAATGAAAACGGTAACCTGGTGGTGTCTTAGGGTGCGAACTCCCTCAAAAGTGTTTTCCAGTGGAAGGTACAGTTGCTAGAAAGCCATTCTCAAACAGTGTTCAACCCCTTCCTAGCTATGAGACTTCAGACAAGTTACTTAACTTCTCTGGCCTCAGTGTTCCCACCTATTAAAAGGGGCCATAACGCCTATGCTCATGGAGCTGTCATGTAAACTGAATGAGGGCCAATGAGAAAATGTGCATAAAGCATCTTGCACTGGGCAGGGCGCACAGGAGGTGCTTGGCAAATAGTGGGTAGCATTAGTAACAGCAAAATTACAGCGATGATGCCACATTTTATTCTTCCCACTGCACAGATGAGGAAAGCGATTCTAGGTGGTGAAGTGTCTATGCACGGTCACAGAAGATAAAAGGCAGGGCTTTTATACCTCTCTCCTCGCTTCTCTCCATTGCCCTCTCACCAGCAGTTTAAGGGGATTCACACCCCCTTAAACACCAGGCCAATCCTACACCTTGGCCCAAGACAGACAGGGGAGGGTTTTTAAAAAGGACATGGGCCTCACAGGATGTAAACAAAAGAAAGTCCCTTAGGGTCTTGAACCCCGAGCAGGTGCTGTGTCCAGCCACATGGACTGGAAAGTCCCTTCCCATTTAGCCCTGCTTTGAGGGAGGACAGAAATTGGTGATGCGGACTCTGCCCCAGTAGCTTATTTTAATGTCATGAGAAAGTAAAACCCTAATTAGCACTCTGTCTTCCAAGCTCCTTCCATCTGTACCATTTTCATCTGTGTTAATTACCTCTTACAGGGACCACTAACTGCAACAGCTTCCCAGCCTCCTCTCTCAGCCCAGTCACTGCAGAGCAACCAGAGAATCCTTATAAAACATACGTGGACTCTGACCCTTCCCTGCCCCAAACTCTCCCCATTGCTTCTGCTATAAAACTCCCCACAGTGCATCTTGGGCCTGTGCGCCTGGTCCTGATGCCTGGCCAGCCTCATCTCCTGCCCTGCCACCTGAGCTGTCTTATAGGATCAAGTACTCCAAGCTCTTCTCCACTTCAGGCCTTTGCACGTGATGCTCTGTCCCTGAAAGTACATATCTCAACATACTTACTTATGCAAATGATTATTTTATTATCTACACTCTTCTCAGTTGACCAGGAAGGCAAGAAATTGTTGTGGCTTGATCAGAGATGTATCAATAAATAGAAAACATAGGAGATGGTAAGAGATTCCACATAAAGAGACAGTGAAGAAATGAAAGGATGCTTTCTTCTTGGAATTGAACACCAATAAGGAAATTTACCTCTCCTGAAGTTACCAATGATTTCTCTAGTAGAATGGAAATAATCCATTAATTTCTCCTTTTGCCTTGGTTGCTAGGGGGCTCAGAATTCAATTTCAATATAAATACTGTTCCTATCAAAGGCACCACACACACATACACACACACACACACGCACACACACGTACACACACACACGCACACACGCGTGCACACACACACACACACACACTTTCCAAGATCACTTCTGATTCCTCTACCTTTTTAATGAAGTGCTTTTCAGGTTAACTCACTCCATTACTTTTGACTTAAGTAAGAATCTTAATTATAAATGTATTAGTAAATAAGCAAATGAGATATGTAAAGTTTAAAGCGGGGGTTAAACTACACCATTCACATGGTAGATGCTCAATAAAACCACTGCTGAGTGAATAAACACTAAAATCTAAGCACATTTCTAGAATTAGATACCTTTTCTATGCAGCTGGAGATGGAGATCCTTTTTACAGATGCTTGGGCAATCATTCTGCTTTCTCCTCCTACCTCTCTCCCTCCACTCTATAGAAAGGCTCTGCAGCTACTGAGTTTGGTCTAAGAACACATGTCATTTGTAAACATTCTCTTAAACAAAAGTCCAAAAATTGTTATTCTTATATTATTTTGGAATGATGACATAACTGGGCAATGGTGTGGTAAGAATTCTGTTTCTCAAAGAACTGTGGCTTCACAGTAGCATCCTCAACATCTGTGTGCTCATCAGGGAGCCAGGACCCGCGACACAGCCATGCCACGACACGGTCCATCTGCTCCGGCTCTGTGCGGCCACCTCGCTTCCTTGCGCTGCTGCATCCCAGGGTAAATCGAGTGGACCACAGAGCATTGGTGTGAACTCATCCAAGACCCCATCCCTGAAATGCAGCCCAACATAAGGATCATTAAACGCAATGACAACATACGTCAAAAAGAAATGCAAGGAAGCAGGTGATTCGACAATTGAGGAAATGTGAATACACAAGGATAAAGGCCAGGGGAGATGGCAGAGAAATGTATGATGTCCAGTTAGAAGGATGGGAACGTGGGTGTCTTCTCCCCTTTTCTGGTTTTCTTTAGTGCTATTTAGATATGCCTTTAATTTGGGCCTCACGAAGTAGGTTTTTAAAAACCAACGGCTGGATAGGAGAGTATTTAAGGAAAGAAGAACATTTAAAGAAAAAGTTTTTTTTAAAAAAGATATAAAAACCAACTGTTCATTCCTTCCACCCTCTTTTAAGAGTTTGACCTTCTCTGAGGGTTCAATGTAAGGATGCAGAAGGAAACCTTTGCTTCCATGCTGCGAATGCCGGGATCTCAGAGGCTGGAAGAAAGACCTGACATTTTAAAGTCCCTGCTCTCCACTGTCATTGCTTCTAAATGTTTGGGTGAGTTAAGGCTGTGTGAAAAGAAAAAAACATAAACCTTCAAAGAGAGGGATAAAATCCTGACCTTGGGAATAATGCTACAAGAAATTTGCAACAAAGTGACAGATAGGCTGTCCACCCCTTTGCAAAACAACTCATAAGGACAGAACAGATTCCAGAAAGATATTGATTCCTCTTTAATGCAATTCTTCAATTATCCTCAAAGCCTGGCTTTTAGTCTGTTATAATTTAAGTAAATTGCTTTATAAATGTTCTTTTAAGTTTTGTCTGTTTATTCTTTTTTTTTCTTTAAGGAAGAACAAGATTCTCAGAGTCATAAATATATTCACTCAAGATGAGCCCCAATGGGTTTGCAATGGCACATTTTGTTGTCTGGGATCGATGTCCGAAGCACAGAGATCCATCAGGAATATCTGTTTATATCCATATCGTTTTCTCATTCCATGAATAGATACGTTGATGGGATTTAGTCTCCTCCCAGACTCTTGACATCCCTGTGCCTCATCACTTTTTGACAATTCTCAGTTGAAAAGGTGATGGGCTTCCAATTTAATTCAAGCTCAGATGAAAAATCTGAATTCAAGGTGGATTAATCAGCCATTTCCTAAAAACCTACTCGGCCGATGTCTGAAAAATAATGATAGATTTGATGACACTGAAATGCAAAACTCTTGTGATAAATGGGCACAGGATATCAGTCAGTTATGCACGAAATATATACGTGTAAATACATGAACACACACACAAACAATAAACATGCAAAAGAGTTTAACTTCACTGCAACATGGGACAGAATGAGGGGATGCAACGGAGGCAGGTCGGAGCCGCTGCCATCACCATGACCTGTGGTAACCAGCAAGAGCTCCCCACCAGAAGAGTATGAAAAAGCAGAGCGCGCCTCGGTTAAGGGAAAGCACCAAGATGACAGGCTTTTTGCCGCCACCCGCAAGCAGAGGGACTTGGAGATCATGCAGCAGAAGGAGAAAAAGGCAAACGAGAAGCAGCAGGAACCCAAGTAGCTTTGTGCTTCGTGTCCAACCCTCCCGCCCTTTGCCTGAGTGCCTGGAGCCAGTCCCACCATGCCCACGTCTCCTCCTGCAGGGCCCACAAGTCCCAGCCCTGATGGCTTCCCTTTGCCCTGAGTCTGCAGCGGGTCCCTTTTGTGCTTCCTTCCCCCATCAGGTGGCCTCTCTCCTCCTGGGTCACTCCCGGGGTGACAAGGTTACCCCTTCCCAGTGTTTTTTATTCCTGTGGCGCTCACCCCAAAGTATTAAAAGTAGCTTTGTAATTTGAAAAAAAAAAAAAAGAGCTTAACTTCACTATTTAAGTTATGTAAATTAAAACAGGATACCTTTTTGTCTAACAGATTGATAAAAATGGAAAAGAAATATAATACCCAGTGTCGGCATGGCTGGAGAAAAATGAAGAGCATCAACTGCTGTTAAACGCTGGTGGGAGGGAATATACAAAACAAATTCCGTCCCAGGGGCAGTCTGGCAACAGTTAATCAGAAGCTTTAAAATTGCGCCTCTCCCCCGAGCCAATGCCACCTCTAGAAAGACAGCCCAAGGAATTATTAGAAATGTGCTTAAAGATGAATGTGCAGGGATGTCTAAAGCAGCAATATGGATAATATTAAAAAACAAACTGTCTAACAAGAAGAAATTAGTTAAATAAATCATGTACCTCTTCACTACGATATATTATGCAATCATTAAAAAATCACAGTGTAGAAACATTTATCAAGGTGGGAACACAGTCATCATACATCGCTTGGTGTAACGAATAGGCTAGATAACGATGCTCAGAATGGCAGCTTTGGGAAGAATTCCCAATACAAATGCATACACAGATGCACACAGGGTACTCTAATTGTCAATAGTGATTATTTCTGGCAGGTGAGTGGGTACAATTATTACTGACTTGGGGAGGGTCTTTTGGCGTTTTTCTGAAGTTTTCAAGTTTTAAAAATTAAGTCCAGGCTCAGCGTGGTGACTCACACCTGTAGTCCCAGCAGTTTGGGAGGTGGAGGTGGGTAGATTGCTTGAGCCCAAGAGCTCACGACCAGCCTGCGCAACATGGTGAAACCCCACGTCTACAAAAGAAAAAAAAATACACACACACACACAAATATATATACACACCATGCTGGGCATGGTGGCGCAAGCCTGTAGTCCCAGCTACTCGGGAGGCTGAGGCAGGAGAATTGCTTGAGCTTGGAAAGTTGAGGCTGCAGTGAGCCAGGATCGCATCACAGCACTCCAGCCCGGGTGACTGAGCAAGGCCCTATCTCAAAAAAAGAAAAACAATTAAGTCCATATATGTTAGGTAATTAAAATAAAGAGGCTAGGCACAGTGGCTCACGCCTGTAATCCCAGTGTTTTGAGAGGCCGAGGTAGGAGAATCGCTTGAGCCCAGAAGTTTGAGACCAGCCTGGGCGACATAGTGAGACCTCATCTCTACCAAAAATAAACACAATTAGCCAGGTGTGGTGGTGCACACCTGTAGTCCCAGCTACTTGGGAGGCTGAGGCAAGCAGATCACTTGAGCCCAGGAGTTCAAAGCTGCAGAGAGCTGTTATCGCGCCACTGCACTCCAGCCTGGCCAACAGAATAAGACCCTATCTTTTTTTTAAAAAAAAAAAAAAAGTGGGGGTGGGGGGGTGGGGAGAAAAAACGTTTTATTTAACAGCCTAGACAAATTCCTCTATTCCATTTGTTTCCTATGACCAAACAAAATGCCCCTTTAACTTGTCCAGTCTGTGACAGCAGAGTTAATGACCACCAGCCTTTCACATGAGGCCCAGGAGAGAGACCCTCCTCTCATCCTTGAAGTGTGCTGATCAGGCAGTGTAGACAAATTCAGAGACTCCACCATTCAATGAGATAATTTCACAAGTCACCAGTTATCTATCAGGGAATTTCCACAGACAACGTACAAAATAAAAACCTGACAAAGGTCAAGGCATGGTGAGAGAGATAAGAGAGAGGAAAAAGGAAAAAAACAAAAAGGAAAAAGTGCCCAATGCCACCTCTGTCCCTGAAATCTAGTCAATAAAATGCATACAGTGTGCCCAGGGGAGAACAGGGAAGCTGCAGCCTAGGTTTTCTCATCAAATAGCTACAAAGCCATTTCCACAAGGAAAAAACTCAGGGAGGAAACGCACATTTACTGAACTCCTGCTCTTGCCAGCACCACGCTGGGCTGTATGCCGTGCTTCTCCGTTAGCAGCCAGCCGAGAGCCCTGGCAATGAGCATGCACTTTGGAGGCCAGAATACCTGGGTTCAAATCCTAGTCCCACCACCCCTGACTGTGTGCCCCTGACTGTGTGCCCGTGATGGGTCACCTCCTCTTCCAATTCTCAGAGTCCTCTCCCGGGGGGGTATGGTGAAGTGTCAGTGGGGGATTTACATGAAACCCACACAGAGCTTGTGATGTCACAGAAGATTCCCAGTGGTGGTGATATTTTTTAGTGCGCTAAGTACTGTAAACATCTTGTGCGTGTTATCTGTTTTGTACCTTCTACACTGCCAGGAAGAGCAGCATCTGGTAGGAAAACAGATCCCAACACAGGAGTTTGAACATGGTAAATGATCATCAAATGTTCAGACCAATAGATGCACCCAGTGCTTTAACACATTGTCTGCATAATCATCAGTATCCCCATTTTAGAGATGAGGAAACCTGAACAGAGAAGGTAAGTAACTTGTCTGCTACTTTACTATTATTCCCATTACAATTTCACTGAAGAGGAATCTGAGAATCAGAGACGTTAGGAAGCTGGTTCAAGGCCCCACAGCTAGAAAGTGGCAGAGCCAGTCTTGGAAACCCAGGGCTTCGGAGCTCAGGCTCGAGCACTGTGGGGCATCCCTTCTCTCTGCTGTTGGGGCAAAGACGCAACCCCTCAAGTCAACAAAACCTAGGTGTAAATCCTGGCTCTGTCACTTTCCACCTTTGGGATGACTGGCAAGTGACAAACTCTTGGCAATTTTGGAAAACAAAGTGATGAAAATGATACCTACTTGAACTTCACAGGGTGATTATGAGGCTTAACTGAGTTTATACACGTACACTGAAAACAGTGTCTGGTTCATTCTAAGCCCTCTATCAAAGGTTATTATCATACAATGAGCAACAAAGAAAAGAAAACACCAAGAAATGCATTATCTGTGTCATGACAGAAGTGAGAAAGGCCATGACACTGGGGGGGGGAGCGGGTTTCAGGAGGGAAGAGCAGGCTCCTCAGGGTGGGGACAGCGGCAGAGGTGAGCAGGCAGGTCCTCTGGAGAGGACGTACTGAGGTTGCACCTAACAGGATAAGTGGTGTCAACAGGTGGAGAGAGTGAAAGCCTTGCTTCAGAGGAGGGTATGTTGCTTGCTTGGCCAAGAGTGGACACAACTTGGGGAACAGGACTGCTGGTAAAGATCAGAGCATGGGCAGCCCAAACACCAGGTTGAGGAGCTTGGCGTCTGCCCTGCAGGCTCCCAGCTCAAGAGCAGGGTTGTAGACAGGGCACAGCTTGATGAGATATGTATTTAGAGAGTGTACCCGGTCAACAGGATGGACATCAGACCGGTGGGCAGACGAGCAAGACAGGAGACAGACAGGCTGGCCAGGAGGATGCTACAGTTCGGCAGTGCTGGTGGCAATGGTGGTGACGGGGAAGAGGGAGGTGTGGTCTGAGAAGTGCTGGAAAGAAGTAAAGCCTGGAGAGTCCAGCCTCCCTGGGGCTGGTGCAATACTCAAGTGGGAGAAAGTGGGGAACAAGAGCAGGGGAAATATCCACAATTTAAGAGCGAGAGAAAGCACAACGAGAAGGCAATTAAAAAATAGATAAATACACTAAAAGGAGGCACAGATCCTGTGCAGAGACAACAAGGCTAGAAGATGGGTGGAGATGCAGACATTTGGGGAAAGAGGAATTTGAGGGAGAGCTGTACATGTATATGGACCTGAGAAGCAGACTTAAAAATCTCAGGATTGGAAGGACTTGCAGGAGGAGAGGGGCTCAAGAGAGTCAGGGAAAATTTGGGAGAAATGTATGATTCTCTAAAGAGAAAGAAGAGGGAGGCAGAAGGAAAGAGATGAAGAAAAGGAAAAGGGTACACTGGGTCCAAACACTACAAAGGATGCCACCCCTCCGTCCAGGGACAGGAGGATGGACATGGCAGAAGGAAAATCCCTCCCCTGACTTTCAAAGTTTTCCTATCCACATGGGAGGTTAATTTCTGAAAGCTGGACCACGTTTCTTTTCTTAATCAGAAACCTCTTAATGAGACTTTGTACACCTTTTCAGATGTAGCTCAAATAAATTACAGGGTTTTTTTTTTAAGTGCAGAAGCCCATGTTAACAAATCACCAATTTCACCTGCATTAATTGCTTTAATGGGCTCTAAAAACAGCCACCTCCTCTCCCTCCTCATCAGGGTCCCTGGGGAGGCCATCAGGGAAGGTTGCTGGGAAACGAAGTTATGGATGCAGCTGATCCAGGGGACAATGCTGTCACACTCTGGGTCATGCAACTGTCTGGTATGCCACCCACATTGCTATAAGGCCTCACAGATCATCAGAAGGGACGGTGGGGGGACACAGAATTCTATTCAACCACCAGGCTTTATTACTGCTATAAAGCAAAAATGCCGATGCCAAAAGCCAGATAGGAGCAATTACGTTTTTAAAGAAACTCTGTCTATGTGGGGATATTGACTACATTCAGTAAATGACTCTGCAATTCAAACAGCTACAGTGGATCACATGGGCCCTGAGTCCAGTATTTTCTTCCAATGCCACCTAAAAAAATCCAACCAACCAACCAAACAAACAAACAAAAAAACTAAGCAGGCATAACAGAAGACTTTCAAAGACAAGCGAAGGCAGTCCATACCATTTTTCATTACAATGCTTGCAGCAGGACCTCCACTGCCATATTTTCCAGATTTCTGATGTTCAACAGCAACAATGACATGTTTGTGAGGACTATGGGCCAGGTTTGGTGGTAGGATATCTGAGTAACAGAAAGGCAAAGGGACCTGCCCAAGGTCACAGCCAAGTTACACTGTCAGATGAACCCAGGTCCATCTCCAAAACCCATCTCTAACCTCTTGGGTACATACCACCCTTCCTCAGATTTTCCAGTACGTCAGTTGACCTTACACAAGTGGAATCTTGCTGCAAGATAGTTAAGGATGGGGACAGGAAAGGTTCACCTCTCTGGTCAAGCCTTTATGGGGATAAACAGTGTTGGGGATGGAGGAATCCTAAAGGAAGACAGTGTTTCCCAAACTTTAGCATGGTTAAGGCCTGGCTGGGGAGTTTGTTAATTCCTAAGCAAGCTAACATTGTAAATTACCACTTCTAAGGCTCTAACACACAGGTATTTGGGAATATCCTTTTTTACATCATTTTACTCTGTTCTTCCCTGCAGCCTACAGCTTTAGAATCCAGGAAAGAGGACATTTGGGGACCTGTTTATGGAAGGCTGATATATTTGCTTTGCATACAGAGTTGAGAGGATGCTGATATTAGGAAACTCAGGTGGAGAGAAAAAAAATCATGACGAAACTGGCTGCTAACTGAAGCAAAGCCACAGCCAATTTAGCAAAAGGAACACAAATTCTCAAACGGGGAAGGAGCCAAAGGTGCTGGGACTGTAAAGGAAGAAAAAATAAATCCATTTATGCATGCTCAGAGAATAAAGCAGCTTTTAAGCATATGTGTGGTTACTGGAAACTTGGCCTTCACCCAAAATGCTGGGTTTCTAGAAACCTGGACAGTTTTTGTTTTTTGTTTTTAAAAAAAAAAAGAAAAGGAAAAAAAAAAGAAAGAAGCCCAAAAGCCAGAAGATATATCTCACCCAAAATTGGTTCATTGATTGCTTCAGAATGCATAAATAATTCTATTTTGGAATCAAAGACACAATCAGGCTGCTGAAATAACCCACTTCTGGGGATGTGGTTTGAAAATTAAGAGCAAAGTGACAAATGAACTAGCTGAAAGGGTCTTGTAGAGTGGCTCTGGGCTTCAGGGGAGGAGAAAAGCCATTGAGTATCCAGGCACAGACCACATTTTTTTTAAAGGCTTTACACTCAAATAGCAGAGGGTTCCAAATGTTGCCACACCTAGTAGTCATTTGCTCCCCACAGCCACCTGGGAAGGAGGCAGGTGGGAGGTAGTTATGCCCATTTCACAGCTCCAAAGACTGAGGTTCAGAGATGTCACGTGAACTGCCCACGGCCACAAAGCCAGCTTGGTGGTAAAGCACACACTAGAGCCAGTGGCTTTTTTCAGTGTTTTTGTCTAGCACCCACAACGCTGCCATACACAGACTTCCATCAGATCTCACTCTCAGGAGCTGGGGAATTCTGAATTCACTAGCGCTGGATTAGGAGCAAGATCATTCCATTCATTCGGCAAATATTTATTTATATATTAAAGCACCTACTGTGTGCCGGGAGCTGGGGATGCGTGAATAAGCAAGGCAGATCAAATCTTGGTTATCCTGGAGCAAACTTGTAATGGGGGAGGCAGACCATAAAAAGACATACAGAAATTTCCTTTTAGCAGTGACAAATGGGCTGCAGGACACTAAAGCCAGGCAAAAGGATAGAGGAGTGGGCAGGTAGGGGTACTACTTCAGAGAGGGTGGCAGGGATGCAGAGGCATGAGAATGTCACAGCACTGTAAATGCTGGGTGACCTGTGGCCACGGATGGGTCTCTATCCCCCAAGGACAGAGGTCATGTCCTATTCATCTCTGATGTCCAAGTATCAGCCACAGGCCTGTGTGTGGTAAGCACTGCTCAGAGAATGTATGGATGCATGTCTCTACTCGACGATGGAACAGGCTGAAATACACCACTCTCCCTTGATATGTAGGTCTCAGACCGCCCCCCAACCTTAGTAAGGTGAAGTCTCTGGGTGGTTCTTAAAAGGCCCTCAAATGTCAAGTACAAAATGTGACATCTGCCACACTTTCTAGTAAGCGGACTGGCTGGCATTGTCTTCCAGGAGGCTGACTACAAAATCCTTGGGCTGGGGTCCAAGCAAGGAGGCCACTTGGTTCCTAATCCCAATGGGGACCTTAAGCTCCCCAGTTCCATCTCCTTGAGCATGACCCTCCTCGCCTGCCTGCCTCCCCTGGGGAAGGTTAAAGGGAACAGGAGGGACAAAGCACCCAGCACATAGTAGGTAATCGTTAATGTCAGTCTCCCCTGTTCCCAACAGGCTTCCAATAAAGTAAAGTGCAAGTGCAATGTAAATTACATACTCCAGGTGACAATGATGTGTCAATGTAGGTTCATCAATTGTTGATAATGGGGGCGGCTAGCATGTGTCCACTATATGGGAAATCTCTGTATCTTCTGTTCAATTTTGCTGTGAACCGAAAACTGCTTTAATAAATAGTCTATTGAAAAAATAAATAACCACAAGTGCACTTGCCCCATGATGCTGCTTCCTGCAGCTGACATCAGGAATGCACGGAAAAAGAATGGAGAGAAAGTGATTCCTATTCTCTGCACCCTTTCCGCTTGCCAGGCTTTAACAGTAAAAGGCCAATGTCAGCAGCACAAAATCTTAAAAATCACCCCTACCCTGGGGCATGATTAGAAGTCTGCGTGAGTTCAGAGTTAATATCAGATTCTTCCTCAGGAATTTAAAAAAGAAGTCAGTTTTGAAAGATTTGTATTTCAACCTCCAGATACCTCCAGCCATTTAATGTCATTCTTTCCAATCAGATTCGCTGGTCCTGGCTGAGGATTAGTCTGGGGTCCCTGAGAAGGGTAAACCAAAGGCTTCCCTTCCAGGTCATAAAAGAACCTTGCAAGAAATCACCAGTTGGAGCCTAATCCCCTATGGACGCCTGCTTCGGTGCAAAGCCCTTTGCAGGATGGAGGGGGGATTATGACTCTGAGGAGACTGTACATGTGATTCAAGCTTGAGCAGTCAGGCACATGAGCGAGGGGCTGCAGGCACTGACAGGTGCAGGCAGGCTGTGTACCGCTGGTGCGGCTGCCGGCAGGCAGAGTTGGAAAGCAGCAACACACGGACAATCCAATTGGTCGGGGGGTTAAAGAATCACACTTATCTTTGCAGCTCCAACCAACTGATGAATTGATGGCAAGTAATAAACAAAGCTGGGTTTGTCAGCAGAGGAGAATGACAGGAAAACAAGACACTAGCGCTGGTGTGGTTCTATATCTCTTTCATGTCCAGCTTCAAGTCAGGAGGCAATAATTTTCTATAAAAATACCGATTTTTTTAAGGGCATTCTCTTCCATCCTACAAAATGCTTCTTTGATTTAAAGAGTAAATAACCAGATGAAAGAGGATTTTGTCCTACCTAGGCATTAAATTTTCTAAAACCTTGAGCGTCAGCTTGAGCCTACTAAATATACAAGACTAAATTAAAGAAATGGATATGCAGCAGCCACAAATCTACTCAATAATGGGCTTATTAATAAGTGAGCTTTTCTACATGTCATTGCTGGCAGGACTCACAGGACCCAAGAGTGAAAACAGGGCCAGAGGAAGGTCTGTGCATGCCATGGTGCCACGGTTTCCAAACTGGACACAGGAACAAGACCGGGGCAGAAGCTACATTTCAGACATAAAGTTGGAAGAGGTAATAATTTGCAATGGCTTCAGCTAACCATGCACAATGGGAAAAGGACAATTGTGTCATTTAGAACGTGCTGGACTAAATATAATGTCTTATATTAACATGGACAGATTCTTTCCAGGTTATTATGCAAAGGGAGGGAGGGTGCAATCACTCTAATTAAATGAAATTACCGGCAACAGTTTTTAACTTCTGGAATATTTCAATTCTAATATGCTCCTTGAATCCACCCATGGGGGTGCTGAGGCCATAAGGAAGCCGTTTAATTTTTATTGAGATGAAACACACACATATATGCACATATCCCAGCAGTGCCCCGCTACCCTGTGTTCTGCTACCGCATAACCAGGAGATTCAGAAGGCAAGTGAGCAAGTGAATTTGATTTTGAATGCTCCCAGGGCGGTGCTGTTTGTGCCAGAATCCTATTGTTTCCTCATTTGCTCCGAAACAGCACCAGGGTTGGTGTTTGTGGGTCAAGAGACAGCAGTCAAGCTCTCGTCAGTACAGTGTATAACCCATCAATTTCCTGATATAGTAGGATGCTACACAAGAGTGCCAAGATCCTCATCTCCCAATCCTTAGCCAACTTTCCTTATTCTGCCTTAAATGAAAGCAATTTCAAAAGAACAAGAAGACATCAGATTAGACATTCTAAATGCCTCCTGTGTAGCACATACCAAGCAAATCACAGACTGTCCAAGCTGGAAGGGATCTTGGACAGCTCCTGGCCCATCCACCCTGGAACCCAGAGAGGGTCAGTGACTTGCCCAAGGTCACACAGGAAGTATGCAGCAGGGCCTAAGGCAGCATCCCTGGTCTGTGGACTCTCTGGCCAATTTATCAAGCACATTTGGCTAAAAACCTTTGAAAGGTCTACTTTTTTATTATTATTAGTTTGGCTCCTGTTCAAGATATTTTTTCAAAAATCAAACATTTCAACATAATTGCAAATAGTCCATGGCTTACCTTATCTGGACCTGTCACTGCTGATTTTGCAAATGGGTTTCAAGAGAGGGGTGGAAGCCCCAATGGATATAGGATCAAATCCTCACTGAACTGCTTCAGGTAACAATGGATGCTTGATTTATCAGAAAGAGAAGTGGAAAAAACTTTGCTCGACCCACTCTTTAAAAAGCTGCAACTTTCCTTTATTCATAAATTATTAGGTAACTTGATTCCTAAAATTTAATTTAATTTAATTTTTATTACACACACACACACACACACACACACACACACACACTGAATCTCTCCGTTTGGGAAGCTCAGAGGATCTCCTCCCCCTCACCCCACCTTCCATCGCAGGAAAAAAAATATTGTTAAGACTGAAAACACATCTTCTACTAAATGCAATGTGGTATCCTAGAATAAAATAAGGACATAGGCAGAAAAACTGGTGAAATTTGAATGAAGTCTGAAGTCCAGTTAACAGTAATGTACTTTTACCATAAAATCCCCGACATGGTGACTCGCAGCACTGCAGTTTACAAAGAACGGCTCCCCGTGGAGAAATCCTGGTTAAGGGCAGTCTGTGCCTAGTAGAAAAGCTGGGGCCTCTTTCAGCTTTCAGTTAAGGGGCTTTTCGCTCTTAATTTTGTGGAAATGTGTCAACAGTTCTCCAGGTGTTCTTTTAAACTGTCCCTGAAACTACACGAGGAGTGCCATGGCCTCAGGGAAGAAGTTCCGCCTCCTCCATTTTAAAATTCCACCCACCAAAGAAAAGTCTGTCCTCTTTTCCTCCTGGGGTTAATGTAACACAAAGCAGCCATCATTTTGCCTGTTGCTTCTGAAGGGTCCAAAGGGTCCATGTCAGGCAGGTTATGTGTCCCGCCATGGCTAGAAGTGGGGTGACCCTGGGGCAAGAGCTCATTTTGCCAATGTAGCCACCTCTGTTGGGAAAATGACAGTCAAGAGACAGAGCTGCTCAGCTCACACAGGCTCCTGCACCACAGGCTGCCACACTTAAAGGACAGCTCTGCTCCTATCAACCTCTCCCTTGCCAGCAAGGGTTTATTCTCAGGCTTCAAAAACTATGACATGGAGAGTTTAGGTTTTACTCTGGAAGCAGCAAGAGTAAACAAACAAGCTAAAGGCTGGTGCTGCTCTGAGTCACAGTTTAACAGCACCATGGTGTTACTGAGGGAGATTCAGAGAGAAGATCTGGAGCGGGCTCAATGAAATGGTGGTGGGGGAAGGCGGGGGTGGCAGGCGGGGAGCACTGCTGGTAAACTGAAACTCACAGCCAAGCAGCTTGACCTTTATGGCACAGCTGAGTCTGGGGTGCAAATTGAAGGGACAGTCTGCGTTTTGAATGCCCAAGGTAACTGACAGCCTTTCCAAAGCATATCACCTTATCACCTTGTGACCGTTAAGTTACCCAAGTCTTTTTAAATTGCCACTAAAACTGAATCCACATTTACAAATGATCATTTGCCTCAAGTATCTTTAGTGCATAAATTTATCATCTGGGAACTCCAGACCATTTAAGGCCAAGGCTAATGGACTACTTCTTTATAAATATATGGAATGCTAAACAAAGGGAAAAGATTGATAGAGGGGGAAGAGGAATTGTTGCATGGAAACTCACAACGAGCTTTGCCCACTGCACCCTGATGCAGTATAAACCGATCGGCCTTTTTCCAGAAGCTACAAAGAAGTTTCTGAAAGCCTCAAGGGCTTCCTCCAAAGGGGTTGATGGGCTGGGAAGCAAATGAGGGAAGCCAACATCAGGTGCACAGCCAGGGAGACGGCTCAAGACTCACCTGGACACAGGCCACTGAACGGCACTCAGGAGGAAGTAGTCGTGGGCCTCTGCTGCCTAGGAGTTTCCCAGCAGCCAGCAGGCCCTCAGCTGGAGTTCAAAACACCTGCGCTGGCGGGGAGTGGGGGTTTACAGAACAGTCCAACCCCCTGAGAAGCATTTCTCTGCAGAAGCAGAGCATGTGTCCCTTTTCCCCCAAACTCTTCACTTCTTGTACGCAAAGGAGGTCGGGGGAGGGGGGAAGGGGGAAAAATGCCTGCAAAGGATCCATGAATCCACCCTGGACCCAACACTATCCATCATACTCCAACTGGTTTTCAGTAGCCCTGGGCTGTAGATCAGTAAGCACACACACTCCTTTAAAAAGCATGATTAAATCCCTGGAAGCCTGTTGTCATGAGGTTATATTTCTCAATTAACAAATGGCAGAAAGGACAAACACTCTCAGGGGCTAGGGAATTTATTTTTTACATTCAGGCAGGAGTCTCATTTCCAAAAAGGTTAGGGACCGCTTATTTGGTCCAGTGGCCCCATTTTCCAAGTGGAGAACAAGAGGTCCTGAGAGGGCAAGTGACTTGCTTCAGGATACACAACCTGGTCCAAAAACAGCAGCGTCAAGCCAGTGCACTGTGGATCACACAAACGGCCTCCTCAGGCCACTTAAGAGCTAACAAAACTGTTTCAGGGAAAAACAAAAAACAAAAAACCACAGAATGGCAGTAGCAAAGGCCACCTAATTATGCCAAGCAGAGATTTTATCTCTTTTAATGCTCATAAGAATCCACAGCCCTATTCACACATTGTAACCACACATTTGCTCAAGTATTTGTTACTATCACCTGCACTAGCTTTTAAGCCTCACAAAGGCAAGGGCCATGTCTGTGCAGAACTACGTTCCCAGTGCCTGAGAGCTATTTGCTCTGTAAGCTATACATTCCTGTTTTAAAGTATTAAAAAAAAAAAAAAAGCCCAGAAAGGCCAAGTGATTCATCTAAGGACACACAGCATGGAGTTACTGAAAAAGCTGTGCCACTCTGTCCATACTCTGCCCCAGACTCTCTCCAAACCACAGCCTTACCTTGACGGCCTCCGCGTGGGTCACCCGGGCCAGGGATTTGTCGTTGACGCGCAGAATCTGGTCCCCGACCCGCAGTCCTTCCTTCTCAGCTAGAGAGCCTGGTTCCACCAGAGACACGTAGATGCCCACGCCGTGCTCCGAGCCCCCACGGATGCTGAAGCCCAAGCCCTCGTGGGCCTTGGCACGCCGCAAACTCACCAGGCGCACCTCCCCTGGCCCCGCGCTGTCGGGGCCGCCCCAGGCGGGCTGCCTGTAGGGGGTGGTGGCGGGCAGGTAGAGGCCCTCGGCCGTGTATTGGTCGAAGAGCAGCTGGTCGGAGCGCGGGATGACCAGACGAAGCATGGGCAGCAGGCGCCGCTTGACCGGACTGTCCAGCAGCACGCGCAGGGTGCGCACCAGGTCGAAGACGTTGCGGCGCGCGTGGTAAGCGTTCAGGCAGTGGGTGAACTGCTCCCGCTCCGCCTCGCTCAGCAGCGCGGTCAGCGCTTGGTGCAGCTGGCGCACGTTGGCAGACAGTAACCGCAGCCCCGCGCCCCCGCCGCCGCCCGCCCCGGCCGCCGAGCCCAGCGAGCCGGTGGAGGACGAGCTCACCGACAGGCCGTCCAGCGGCGCGTTCATCTCCACGCCGAGGCCCGGCCGGGCTCTGAGCGCGCGGGGTGTGGGCGGTGCCGCTGTCCTCGCGGGTACTGGCGCGACAGCTGGATCCCCGGGAGCGCGGAGACGACGGCTGGAGCCTGGGTTTGGGGAGCACGGGTACAGTGGCTGGATCCTAGGGGGTCGCGGAGACCGCTGCTAGAGTCCCGGAGGCGCGAAGACGGCGGGGGTCGCGAACCTGGAATCCGGGGGACGCGGAGACGTCGGCGGGTTCCTGAGAGACACAAGAGTTGGCTGCTGGAGCCCGGAGGTGGCGGAGACTGCTGCTGGAGTCCGGGGGGCGCGGGGTCAGCAGCTACATTCTGGAGGGCACGGAGACGACGGGTGGCTGGAGTTTGGGGGCGCCGCAAAGCTGACCTGACTGCCCCGTCACACCATGCCCGGGGCTCCCCCAGCCGGGCGCCCGTTCCTCTAGGGCTGGGGGACCCCAAAGTCAGAAGTTGGGGCGGAGGGCGCTCTAGTCCCAGAGCACTCCGGGGAGTGGCAGCCGGTGAAGCGGCGCGGGCGTCCGACAAGGGGTGCGGGGCATGTCCGGGGCAGCCCCGGGATGCAGCCGCCCGGGGAGCCTCCGCGCCTCTGCGCCGCCCGGCCGCAAGCCCGGACTTTGCGAACTGTTGAGCCACCCGGGCCGAGTCTTCCAGCGAGTTCCGACGCCGTCTCGTTGCCAGCCCGGCCCGGGCCCCGCCCCCTCGTCCCTCCTCCTGCCCGCCCCCTCCCCACGGGCTCCTCAGGAAATGACGTCCCGCCCGGTGCGCCTGGCCGTTGCCTGGAGACGGGGTGAAACAGTCCAGCCCCAGGGAAGAAAGGGGTGAACGCGGCGGTAGGGGTGGGAGGAGCCCCCGCGTCCCCTACCCCGCCGGCAGAGCCGGGAGCGGGGCTCAGAAACAGCGCTCTTCGGCGGTCGCAGCGAGTGCCGACACCAGGATCGCTTTGGAGTAATTAGCCGGCTAGCTAATTCACAATTCGGGGGGAAATCGTCAAGTTTTTTGTTTGTTTGATTTTTGCTTCCAAAATACTGGGCACTTCAGTCTCGGTTTTCTTCCTTACAATGTGGCGCTCCCCTCCTGCACGCGCCCTGACATGACAAATTCCAGGGTTTATGTGGACGGTCGTTGGCCACCTACTGTGTGCGAGAGACGAATACAAGCATAGACTGCTGTCTGCCGGAGTCAACTCCGTGGCAGGGATGGATCAGGCTGGACCCCTTCCCAGTCTCCATTGCAAGGGAAAAGCCACTTTCAGAAATATTATATAAAGTGTACACCCCACGCTCGCGCACACACGTACAAATGAGCGCATATAAAACTGGTGAAATCTGAGTAAGGTGGGTGGATTTTATCAATGTCAATGTCCTGGTTGCCATCGTGTCAACATCGGGGGAAACTGGGTGAAGGGTACATGGCATGTCTATGTATTATTTCTTAGAACTGCATTTGGATCTACAATCTCAAAATAGAAATTAAAAATATACATATTTGAAGTGGCTTGGAGAAAAATCTCTTCTATGCTCTCCCATCCCTAGGCAAAATGGGAAGATACACCCAGGTGTGCCCTGGAGTCGGTCGTCACCCACCCAATCCCCCAAATAAGATTTAAGTAAAATCCTGTGCTTTTATTCTAATGGGGAGCTTCATAGTGCTACACACACACACACACACATACACACACACACCCTACCTCACACACATCCCTTCCAACCTGAGCTGCCTCTCCTAAGCTACTCTTCTATGTATTTTTCGTAAAAGTCTTCCAGAATTTCCATTGCAGAGCCAGCTGACATCTATCCAGGGTAGGGCAAGATGGAGGATTACCTGGAGGATTTGGTTTGTGGTGGACCCAGAAGGATAGATCATTCATTTATTTATTTATTTATTTATTTATTTATTTATTTATTTATTTGGTCGCTTTTCATTCAACGTTTTTGAAGCATCTGCTCTGTGCTGGGTCATGTGCTGGGTGCTGGAGACCCAGGGGAGAAAGATCAAATAAATAGAGTTAAAAACCAGTGTGATACCTGTTGTAATGGCGAGGGAGCCCAGGTTTAGGAGAGGAGAATATGGTAAGGACTTTACTGAAGAGGCGACACCTGAATGAAGAACCTGTAAGGAAAACGGACTTTCTCCTCTAGACAATGGGGAAGAGTGGAAAGGTTTTCAACACTGCTGACTTAATGCATTGAGGCTAGGAATGGAAGCTGTGTTTTCCCTAAAGATCTTCAATTCTTTACTTCCCTAAAACAGACATAGGTTAAATTAATGCCCAATAAACATATTTAACAGTGTGTCTGAGGAAGATTTTTTAAAAAATAGCCAATTAGGCTACCTTTGGCCATCTGTCTTAAAGCTCTAATCTTAGCAGTTAATGGTGTCTATCCTTATTCCTCCTTTGTAACTGTTGTTGAAGCCTTTCATGCAACTAGACCAAGATGTTTAAGGAAAAAAAATCAATCTTCTCCACCCCAAAAATGTATTAATGACATACCTCAAAATGCCACCAAGCAGGGCTTAATTGTATGCAGTTCAGGTTTCCTGCTAATGTGTTTCATGCTCAGCTCTCACTTAGTTTGTTTTAATTATAATTACTGTGATTGGTTTGATAAATGCATCCCAGGAGCTAAGATCCCCAGTCCCAACATTTTATTTCTGTGCAAAGGATGTTTTCAAGAAGGTGTTTTGCTTTAGGCAGCAGAAACCAGGCTGCATGCAGTCTTAGTAGAAAAAGAAACACTTTCTTCTGCAAACATCAGAGACCGTCTGAAATGCTGTGCTGTTGTTTAATTTCATAGAGGACGGTTTGGGAGGGCAGATGATAGAAAAAGAAATCGTTGGAGTTTCTTCCATCCATCTTACATAACCACCTTAGTATCAGTTTGCACTGTGTCCCCTCAGGCAAGAGGCAGTGTGTAACTGTGCTCAAACCTCCAGAATCCTATTTCATGTATGAAGATGTTTGTCATTCAGAAATAAGCTCTTGGAAATAAATGCTTCAGCTTCTGAGGGCTGCACTGCAAGACCTGGGAGAAAAACCTGAGTACACAACTTGCCCTTGGTTGCATACTGCCCTCTTCAGAGGGAAAATATTATTCTCCCATGCATGCAGCAGGCTTCCGTTTGCTTTCTTCACCAAAGCCACTTTTAATTGTTCATTAACGCTCCCCAGCTCTGGCCAGTGAATGCCCTTCCCTTCCCTTAGGAATGTTCCTGGAAACTTGAACACACTGGAGCAGTTGAAAAGACAGAAGGAAGAAGAATAAATTGTGTTGGGCGTTTTTCTTTTTCTTTTTTTTTCTAGACGGTCTCATTCTGTCACCCAGGCTGCAGTACAGTGGCATGATCATGGCTCACTGCAGCCTCCACTACCAGGCACAGTATCCTCCCACCTCAGCCTCCTGGTTAGCTGGCACTGCAATGCCTGGCTAATTTTTTGTATTTTTCATGAAGACAGGATTTCACCATGTTGCCCAGGCTGGTCTCGAACTCCTGGGGTTAAGCAATCCATCCACCTTGGCCTCCCAGGGTGCTGGAATTACAGATGTAAGTCACCACAGCAGGCCAGTGGTTTAGTTCCTATGTGTTGATTTTAACCAAGAAGTTGAGCTGCACTCTGGATACCAGGCAGAAAACCATTATTCCAGTCTCAGAGCTTCCCTTTAACTAGTTGTGTGACCCCACAGCAAGTGGCTTCACCTTTCATTTGTAAAATAAGGCTCCCAAACGTCCTGCCTCCCCAACATCCTGCCTCCCCAGAAGACAACTGCAACCTGTATGTTTCATGTTCTGTGCAGCAAATGAAAACATGTTGCAACTCATGGAGTAACATAGAGTTATTTTCCCTCTTTGTTATGTCAATCTTAAAAAGTCTTTTGCTAATAAATATTTCATAGTCATTGGAAGTGTCTCTCCTTTCCCTTTATCTGCTGGAATGTACCTTTAAAAGCAATGGAGATGAATTTGAGGTGCCTTTGCCATGGGACATACAGAAAAATAAAGCTAATGTTTATTGAGTGTCAAACTGTTTTAGACGCTTGTATTTTAACTCATTGTGTCCTCCCACTACTCTGTAAGGGAGATACCATCATCATCACCACCATCATCATCATGCTCCTGGTGAAACAGACAGGACATTGAGACATAGGGAAGTAACCATACCCAAATTTACAGAAGTAGTGAATGGAAGAGTTGGGATTTGAACCCAAACAGTCTGGCCGCAGAGCTCCTACTTTGAACCCCTGTGCTGTGCGATCCCCCCAATGTTTGGCTCAGAAATGCTGAACTGTCTCAGTATCTCTGCTGGGGCTGGTATGAGGACCACATTTTCCCATGGATGGGAATGGTATGAGGGTCACTCTTTCTCTAGAAAATTTGGCTGGGAATATCAAAGGTTAAAAACAAGCTACATATGAACGATTCCTGTTTCATAAGCTGACATTTTGTGGTGGAAGGAATGAACAGGGGTTTAGTCAAGAAGATGTCACTGGGAGAGATGGAGAGGATCTGGGGATGCCTCAGGGTTCTTAGCCTGATAGCAGGAGGAAGAAGAGGCTCAAGGTTGTCTAATGCCGGGTGTCATAAGGAACCTTTTCCAGCTCTGGGATCCCTGGAGAAAGGATGTTAGCAACTGGAGTTATCACTTCTGCTCCAGGACCACAACCTTCCTCTTCCTTGCAATGTCAGTGGGAATGATATCAGCAACGAAAAGAGAAGCAGTCGCCTCTATGAGTAGTAGATAATGCAGACAATATTGATGGAAGTGCAGGGAGATAAAAGAAAGGCGAGAAAAAGAGAAAGCACAAAAATATCGGGAAAAGAGGAGAGATACCGGTATTTATCTTGGCCTAAGTGTAATCTCCTGAGTCTGTCTCATCATTATGGAGAATCGTATTATGTTTGTGCAAGAAAGGGAGTTAGAGCACAGAGTTGATCTCCAGGTTCAAATCCCATCTCTGCTATTCACAACCTTTGTGACCTTGGGCAAATCACGGAGGGCTTTTTTGTACCTGAATTCCCTTACCTCTAAAACAAGGACAGTTGTGCTGTCATCAGTGTTATTGCAAATATTGATTTTGCTCTTATATGGAAAGTGTTTTTCAATATGACTTGCACATACCAGGTGCTCCTACAATGCTTGACACACTTCTCAAAGCTCTTACCACACAAGAGCACCTCAAGGGCGAAGCCACAGCTCCTTTATCTCTCTGTGCCCAGTGTTCAGCCCAAGGATGAGCCCACAGTAGATCCTCAGCAAGTATTTGCTGAATGGTTCCTTAGACTCCTCCCTCTCCCATTCTTGTATTACATATGGGACGCTCAGGGGCCAGAGAAGGTTGCTGTCTTGCCCATAGCCCTGCCGGTAGCCAGTGGTGCCTGTCCCAGGCCTTTTCCTCCAGGAAAATGTGTTGAGTGATTGCAGAGGGCTAAGCACTTTATAGGCATTGTTTCTCTTAATCCCCAGAATCCTGTGAAAAGAATACTATTATTACCACCACTGTACAGATGAGGAAACTAAGTGTCCAAGCTATGAGTTGTTTCTCCAAAGTCTGCTCTCACTACATCTTATAGTAAGACAGGTGGAACTGATGCCAATTTCTCTTATACAGCTTTGGGGGAAATAGCAGACTATTATGATAGCAAAAATAAGTTGCAGGGAGCTGATTTGTGGGCTGGAAAGAGGCAGAGCAGTGGAAGCGACCTTATCAGGCATGTCGTGCTGTAATCCAATTGCTACGAAGTCTGTTAAGAGCGTCTTAAATCAGGGGATTAGGTATTGGTTACACTGGGACACTCACTCCAACACCAGCTCTGTTCTGATTAGAGAAGCCCCTAGCAAAATCATCCTTGCCATGTACACATCAGCATGGTTCACTGGGGCATCCATTCATGCATTCATTCCTTTCATTCATTCAGATGGTACTTAGGTCCCTCTGCTCTGCCAGACTACATTCTGGGGATTCAGCAGGAGCAAGACCGCCATGGTCCCTGCCCTCCTGGAGCTGATGGTCAGGAGCTGTCTCATTGTGTGCATCAAATGTGATGATGGGTGACTGGATGCAAGCCCTGTGAGGTGTGAGGTAAGGGTCCCAGGCAAGGCTTCCCAGCTGGCATCCTCTTATCTGAGCCTCAGCCTCCAACCCATTTCAGCATCAGAGCACTATGGTCAGTACTGCAGATGGACTTGGTTAAATAATCCCTGCTTATTAACCTTGGAGGAATCGAATAATCTCCCTGAGCCTCAGTTTTTTCATCTATTAAAAAAAAAAAAGAGCTTGGCCGGGTGTGCTGGCTCACGCCCGTAATCCCAGCACTTCGGGAAGCCAAGGCGGGTGGATCACCTGAGATTGGGAGTTCGAGACCAGCCTGACCAACATGGAGAAACCTCGTCTCTACTAAAAATACAAAAATTAGCCGGGTATAGTGGCACGTGCCTGTAATCCCAGCTACTCAGGAGGCCGAGGCAGGAGAATCACTTGAACCAGGAAGTCAGAGGTTGTAGTGAGCGGAGATCACGCCACTGCACTCCAGCCTGGCGACAGAGTGAGACTACTCCATCTCCCCACAAAAAAAAGAGCTTAAAGGGGGTGGATGGAAGGTTAATGAAGAGAACACACGTAAAGCACATTGCACAGTGGCTAGGAAGTGCTTAATGGAAACTTGGAAAAGGTGGGAACATGGAACAAGGGGCAGCTCTGGGCTGGTTATAAGAAGTATGGTACTTTGAGAAAATCGCTCCTTTGCTTTGCCTTTCTATATAGCTCCCATCAAACATTTTTTTAATAGTGAGATGTCTCACTTTCCATGGAATTGCCTCATTTTCTCACTGATCCTTAAGGAAGCTTTTTTCTTTGTTTTGTTTTTAACTTTAGCCTTCAGGGCATTATGAAAATGTAATGCTGTTCTCGGACCCTCTGTATAGTGTTGGTCAAGTTCATTCTCTCCAGCTTCAGCCTTCCCATTTGTACAATGAGGGGATTGGAGGTGGTGGTCTGCAGGCCTCTCTTGCTCTAAGGATTATGTTTTTGTTTCTATAGCAGAGGAAGAGGTAGGGGAAAGGAAGAAGAGGAGGACAGGAGGTGGGGGGTATGAAACGTTTTCTGGGAGTTCTGGGCTGAGACAAATTGAGAATTCTGTCCCTGGCTCCACAGCTGACTGATGACTCTTCCTTTGACTGGTTTGTGGCTCTTAATGTCTCTTTGTCTCTGGGTTTCAAATAGCAGCTAATGGTCCTAGCTGCCTTTCAGCCAGTTGGTGATTTTTGCTTTTGACTTTGACCATCTTCAAAGACACTCGACACACATTTTTATTACATTTACAGGGCCCGGCACGCCCAACTACTTGGCAAATTGTGTCAAAGAATCTATAACTGTTACGGAAGAATGCTTTCTGTCTGCATTCTTCTTCATTCTTTGGAAATATGATATTCTCATTGACCTTCTATGAAGGTCACAGTAAATGACGTTTCAACATCCTAAAATTATAGTCTTTTTTTCAAAGCCATGTGGAACCTTAAAGATCTATTCATCTTTTTCATTCGACAAACAGTTTATCAAGTGCCTACTGTGTGCCAGGCACTGTGTGTGGGCTGAAAAACTGAACTCTAGTCATTGTTCTTATGGCTCTCATCTAATTGGTAGTAACATATAAAGAATAATACTGGCTGTGTGCTGTAATAAAGTGTATTAGTAACCTGTTGCTATGTAACAAATTGTTACTCACTTGATTGCCTAAACAATATGCATTTATTACATCCTGGTTTCCATGAGTTAGGAGTCAGGGCAATCGTTAGCTGTTTCCTCTGCTCAGGATCTTGCAGGGCTGCAATCAAGGTGTTGGCAGGGCTCTGTTCTCATTTGAAATCTTCACATGGGGAGGATCCACTTCCACGCATGCAATCAATGGCAGAGTCCATCTCTGTGACAGTATGACTGAGGGCCCACCTTTTTCCTGGCGGTTGGCTGGAAGCCTCTCTCTATTTCAAGAAGTTACTCACGTTTCACCATGTGGTCCACCCACGTTAGTTGACACCTCGAAAACCACAAGGGGGTCTCTCTATCTGCTAAGATAATGCCTTGTACAACATATTGTAATCATACGAACAACATCCCATTGTTCTCATTGACCTTCTATGAAGGTCACAGTAAATGATGTTTCAACATCCTAAAAGTATAGTCTTTTTTTCAAAGCCAGGTGGAACCTTAAAGATCTATTCACCTTTTTCATTCAACAGTATATCAAGTGCCTACTATGTGCCAGGCACTGCGTGTGGGCTGAAAGAGCTGAACTCTACTCAGTCTACTTTATGTGGCAAAGATGCATAAAGTAACCTAAGCAAGGGAGGGCCATCCCATCACCTTTACTATATTCTATGGGTTAGAAGCCTGTCTGTCTACACTGAATGGGAGGAGAATACACATGCGTGTGACTCACTGGGCGGGGGGGGTCCCCTTAGGGTGTGTCCATCACACAGAAAATGTCAAAGTATAACAAGTGACCAGAGGAAGAAGCAACAGATTCTTCCAGGAGAGGTCAAAAAGACTTTCTGAAAGAGGGAACACTTGAAGGATGACACCTGAGTGAGTAAAGGGTCACCAGGTGGGCAAAGTGGGAAGGACACTCTAGGCAGAGGAACAGCGTGAGTGATGACACAGAAGCAAGAAAGAATGCAGTATGTTCAGGAAACGAAGGAAGTCCGGCATAACTGAACATAGCAAGTAAATGGCCGGAGATTTGGCTGTAGAGGAAGTGGATTATGACAGACATGGAATGCTGGGCTAAGCAATTTTGACCTTATTCTAAGAGCAACGGAGAACCATCAACTGGCAGGTGCAGGTTCTGATTTTTCCTGGAGGAGTATCAGGCACCTTCTCTAACAGCCCTGAAAGATTTATAGATGCACTTGGACTCCATAAAGATCCACAGTGACAGTAGCACTTCTTCAACAGCATGATAGACATCAGAGCTTGCTAAAAATATGTCTGAGCCACCACAGCGTACCAAACCACAGACTGTTTATGTAGGAAGGGGCTGTCAAAATCCATATAGGCCAATGACTGCCTTTTCTCCTCACTGCAGTTTGATGCAGTTTGGCAGATGTGGCAGGCATCAGAGTCACACTGCCGGGGGTTTAAATCCTGGTTCTGCCACTTGCCAGCTTGAAAGACCTTGAATGACTGACCCCTCTGGTTCTGTTTCCTCAGTCATTCAATGAAGGTAACAGAGGATGCAGTGAAGAGGAAATGCAGTTATATATGCCAAGCACTCATTTGGCATACAGTGTGTGTGTTAGTTTGCTAGGGCTGTGTATTAGTCTGTTCTTGCACTGCTATAAAGAAATACCTGAGACTGGGTGATTTATAAAGAAAAGCGATTTAATTGGCTCATGGTTTTACAGGCTGCCCAAGAAGCATACTGGCTTCTGCTTCTGGGGAGGCCTTGGGAAATTTACAATCATGGTGGACAGCAAAGGGGCAGCAGGCACATCTTACATGGCTGGAGCAGGAGGGAGAGAGAGGGGGAAGTTGCTACACATTTTTTTTTTTTTTTTGAGATGGAGTCTCACTCTGTTGCCCAGGCTGGAGTGCAGTGGCGTGATCTTGGCTCACTGCAACCTCCTTCTCCTGGGTTCAAGCAATTCTCCTGCCTCAGCTTCGTGAGTAGCTGGGACTACAGGCACACGCCGCCATGCCCGGCTAATTTTTTTTGTATTTCAGTAGAGACAGGGTTTCACCGTGTTGTCCAGGCTGGTCATGAACTTCTGAGCTCAGGCAATCTGCCCGCCTTGGCCTCCCAAAGTGCTGGGATTACAGGCATGAGCCACCGCACCTGGCCAGTGCTACACACTTTTTAACACCCAGATCTCATGAGAACTCTATCACCAGAACAGCACCAAAGAGATAGTACTAAACCATCTGCGAAGGATCCACCCGGATGATCCAATCACCTCCCACCAGGCCCCACCTCTAACATTGGGGATTCCAATTGAACATGAAGTTTGGGTGGGGACACAGATCCAAACCATATCAGGCTGCCGTAACAAAATACCATGGACTGGGTGACTTAAACAACAGACATTTATTTTCTCACAAATCTAGAATCTTGAAGTCCAAGATCAAGGTGTCAACAGGGTTGGTTTCTTCTGAGCCCTCTCTCCTTGGTTTGTAGACAGCCTTCTCCCTGTGTCTTCACATGGTCTTTTGCCTGTTTATGTGCCCATGTCTGTGTCCAAATTTTCTCTTCTTATAAGTCATATTGGATTAAGGCTCACCCTAAAACATCATAACTACCTCTTTAAAGGCCTTATCTCCAAATATAGTTACATTCTGAGGTCCTCAGGATTAGGACTTCCACATATGAATATGAGGTAAGGGAGGACATAATTCAGCCCATAATAGTATGTATATTCCCAACTAATGTTAGATGCTTCCTCCTCCAGCTCCAATTGGTGAAAATCTTTATGTCCCAATTCCAGGCACGACTTCTCAGGCTCTCCTATCCTAACTATTCTATGAGAACTAGTTTGTGTCATGAAAAACCTTCCATAAGGACGTGCATTTGTTCCTTGCTCTGTGCATGACAAAAAACAAAAAAACAAAAACAGCAACAACAGCCCTGGTGCTATCCTAACACTGTTGGAATGTGCCTAACGAGTCACTTGAATAACCTTTCTTTAATTTAATCCAATGGCAGTAATTTTCTGGAACACACCGTTACAAGGGAGCAGTATGATCTCCAGGGCTTTTTGTTGTCTAATTAAAAGGCACTGTAGCAAGAAGGAGTTTGCAGTTGCCTTTCAGAATCTGATTTTGGAGTTGGAGAAAATGAGGATTTTTTACTGGACTGTGAGGAGGTTAGGAAGGGTGGCCGGCCCAGGGAGACTGTGGAAGCTTTTGCTGGTCATGTGGCAAAGGCTTTGTGCCATTGTTTTTGCTTGTCAGAAAAAGCCAAGGTCACTCCACTGTCTGGGAGTCCTCTTTCCTTTTAGGTGATGGACAACGAAAGCCTGACCATGGGCTAAGAGCCTCACTGGCTGAGGAATTTCATGGGGCAGGGGTGGCTGCTGATCCATTTACAAAATTAACTCATTCATCAGCACTGTCTTACTGAACATTTATTAGGTGCTAATGGTGGGCATAAAGGTAAAAATAATTGACATTTATAAATATCTATAGATTACAGGTTCTTAATGTGGGGATCATGACTTCAGAGCACCTGTGACGTCTCAGAAATTGTGCACCGTATCTGTGCTTGTGTGCGTATCAATGTTTCATTTTTCTAAATTCTGTGGTCCATGACCAAAAACATTGAGACCTCCTTATTCTAAATAATACTTGCTTCAATTTACTGAGAGCTTACTTTATCAGATACATTATGTTCCTTTCTTCATTTAAGACTCATGTCAATTCTCCAAGAATTCCTGTATCATCCCCATTCAACAGATGAGGAAACTGAGGCTGGGAGGCTAAGCTTTTAAAAGGCAAAGCTTGGGTTTCATCCAGTCATACAACAAACTTTTATTGAATATCCCTGCTCTAGAGGAAGAGTTAGACAACTGCAATACAATGAGGTGGGTGCTCCAATAGAGGAAGGTAGATGGGGCACAGAGGGAGCACCTGACCCAATGTGGAGGTTGGAAGTCAGGAAAGCTTCCTGGAGGAGTGAATGCCTGCACTGAGTCTTAAGGAGAAGGCAGGTAAAATAGTTGGGAAGGGGACTCCGGAAGTGAAGACTAATTTGTGTCTGGGAGTGTGCCAGTTCAAGAAGGGAGAGAAACACAGAAACACAGATCTGACCAAGGTCTTCTTTTTTTTTTTTTTTTTTTTTTTTTTCAGAAACCTCATTCAACCAGTAAACCTCAGAAATGATATTCAGCCTCACTTGTGATCAGAGAGTTGCAAGTTAAAACAACATTGAGATACCATTTCGCACATACCAGATTGGCAAAATCAAAATAACTGACATTACCAAGTATTGGCAAGGTTGTGGTGCAAAAGGAATGTGCTTACAGGGCTGGTGGGAGTATAAATTGGCAGGACCACTGTGGAGAGCTGCTTGGCAGCATCTAGTAGGCTTGAAAAAATGCCAACTCTAGACCTGGTGGCTCCGTATCTTGGTATATTTCCTGGAGGAAACTCTTACACATTTGTACCAGACATGTGTCCGTTGGTTTCTGCTATGTAACAAACCATCCCAAAATGCACTGTCTAACCATCACCGGTTTAGCTCACACTTCTGTGAGTCAGCTGAGCTTTTTCATGGGTCTGCGGTCAGTTGGAGGCTCAGCTGGTAGCTGAATGATCTAGGAAGCCCTTACTCACTTGCCTGTCAGTTCGCTGGCAATTGGCTGGGGCTACGGGAGCAATTGGTCTACACATCCCTTGTCATCCAATTGATGTCACAATTAACACCTTTGCCTGGGAGATAGGAGATGCCTCGAATAAATGGGAGCTGAAATCACACTTTCTGCAGGATGAACTGATAACATGAATTAGAAAAACGCAGCCTTCAATTGCTTTTCTTTTCCTTGTAACAGTTTTATTGGAGTATTGTTCAAGTACCATACAATTTACTCACTTAAAGTGTATAGTTATATGGTTTTTGATATATTCCCAGTTGTGCAATCAATTCTAGAACATTTTCATCACCCCCAAAAGAAGCCCCATACCCTCTAGCCATCATCCCCCATAATCAACCCCCAGCCCTAAAATGCCACTTACTTACTGTGTCTAGAGATTTGCTTATTCTGGACATTTCATACAAATGGAGTGATTCAATATGTAGCCTTTTGTGACTGGCTTGTTTTTTTTGTTTTGTTTTGTTTTGTTTTTGTTTCTGTTTCTGTTTGTTTGTTTTGAGATGGAGTCTTGCTTTGTAGCCCAGGCTGGAGTGCAGTGGCATAATCTCAGCTCACTGTAAACTCTGCCTCTCAGATTCAAGCCACTCTCCTGCCTCAGCCTCCCATGTAGGTAGGATTACAGGCCCCTGCCACCACATCTGCTAATTTTTGAATTTTTTTATTAGAGATGGCTTTTCACCATGTTAGCCAGGCTGGTCTAGAACTCCTGACCTCAAGTGATCCCAAAGTGCTGGGATTACAGGTGTGAGTCACCGAGCCTGGTCTTTTCCTTTTTTTTTTTTTTTTTTTTTTTTGAGACAGGGTCTTGCTCTGTCACCCAGGCTGGAGCACAGTGGCACCATTATGGCTCACTAGCTCACTGTAGTCTCTACCTTCTGGGCTCAGGCAGTCCTCCCGCCTCAGCTCCTTGAGTGGCTGGGGCTACATGTGTGCACCACCACATTCAACTAATTTTTTTACTCTTAGTAGAGCCAAGGTCTTGCTATATTGCCCCGACTGGTCTTGAATTCCTGGGCTCAAGCAATCCTCCTGTCTTGGCCTCCCAAAGTGCTGGGATTACAGGTATGAGCCACTACATCTGGCTGTGACTGGCCTCTTTCACTTAGCATAATGTCTTCAAGATTCATGCATGTTGTAGTATGTATCAGAACTTGTTTCTTTTTCATGGCTGAATAATATTCCATCATATGTCTTTGCCACATTTTGTTTATTCATCAGTTGATGGACATTTGGGTTGTTTCCACCTTTTGGCTACTATGAATAATGCTGCTATGAATATTTATGTATATGTTCTTGTGCAGACAAATGTTTTCATTCCTCTTAGTTATATACCTAGGATTAGAACTGCTGAGCTGTTTAACCATTGATAACCATAGACACCTCTATGGTTAACCATTTGAAGAACTGCTAGACTGTTTTCCAAAAAGGCTGCAATAAGTCTTAGAGTTTATAGCCTTCAAGAGTCAACCTTTTGAGGCCTTTCAATCTAACATCTGCTTGTGTTACTTTCAGTTTCTTCCTTGTTGTTATTGATGGTTTCATTTCTTTGTCAGCTTTCTACCAACCAGCATTCAGATGCGATGTGGCTTCAGGCCCAGAAAACTCACAGTTTTGGGGCAGCTCTGTCTATTCCACCCTTTGGACTCTGAGGCCCTGACAAGATTGAGGAACTGCAGCTCCCTCGCCTGCACACTTTCGCTGGCTCATGGGGAATCTTTCTGTTCCCAGTTCCATTTCATTCCTGTTCCCTCTACTGTAGAGCCTTCCTTAGCTCCGCCCTCTCCTCCACCCAGCCAAGGGAGGGGGGTTCCTGGGGGTCATCCAACCAACTCTCCATTTCTTGCTGGGGACTCTGAGGCAAGATAGGGTGGTTGTGGTGTCCTAGGTTAGAAAATAAGTTGATGGCAGAATTTGACAGAATTCCAAGTTTCTTTTTTTCTTCTTATTATAGAAGTAATGTGTGCTTATTGTACAAAAATTT
The DNA here is from genome assembly GCF_000001405.40 of Homo sapiens. NCBI lineage: Eukaryota > Metazoa > Chordata > Mammalia > Primates > Hominidae > Homo > Homo sapiens. The sequence continues at coordinate 114,519,164 of NC_000009.12, forward strand.
GAAAATAGATGTAAATAGATGCAAAAAGAATAAAAACACATTTTTTGGAAAAAGATCACCCCTAATTCCCCCCACTATAGAAAATAAATGCAAACGTTTTGGGTGTATAGCTTTTATTTATGTAATTATCCATTCATTTATTCAGTGTGATATTGTGATTTATAATAAGAAATATATTTTTTGGTCTTTGACCCCAATTCCTGACACAGAGCTGCTAATCCCTTGGAATTTCCTGGATGATAGAAGCATATTTTGTTCTAATGAGGCAGCTCTTAGTGGGTTCCTGAATGGAGGTGGTCGCCAGAAACATGAAACCGTGATTAGAAGCTCAGAACTTTCAGCCTCACACTGCCTACCCGTATCCCCCAGGAAGGGAAGAGGAGCTGGAGACTGAATTAATAATCTACCATGTGATAAAACTCCAAAAAATCCCTGAACTATGGGGTCCAGAAAGCTTCTAGGTTGCTGAACACAGGAAGGTTCTCAAAGGGTGTCAAGCCCACAGAAGACGTGGAAGCTCTGCACCCCTTTCCCACATACCTTGACTTGCGTACCTCTTCCTCCACTATTTGTCTATATCCTTTGTACCATCCAGTATAATAAACTGGTAAGCATAAATACATGTTTCCCTGAGTTCTGTGAGCTGCCCTGGCAAAGATCAAAACTAAGAAGGAGGTTGTAGGAACCTCCGATATACAGCTGGTTGGTCAGAAGCGCAGGTGATGGCGTGGACTTGTGATTGGTGTCTGAAGTGGGTGGCAGTCTTGTAAGACTGCACCCTTAACTTGTGGGGCTTGTGTTAACTCCAGGTAGATAGTGTCAGAATTTAATTGTATCGTACGACACCCAGCTGGTGTTGGAGAATCCGTCTGTGTGGGAAAAAAACTCACATATCTGGGGCCACAGAAGTGTTAACTGTGAGTATAAAGAAAAATTCATTTTTCCTATATACATTCAGTAAAGGTTTATTGGGTGTCTACCAATTGCTAAGTACTTTATCAAACCCTGGGGACTTTTTTTTTTTAATATACGTAGGTATGTAAATATATACATCTTTCCCTACAAAAATGGAATCATCATTATATAGATATTATATATAATTTGAATTTCTCTATCATACCAACAATATGTGGTCAGTCTTTTTCTATGGCAATGCAAATAAATCTACGTCATTCTTAATGACCATTTAGAATTTACCATGATTTCTTTAAGCAATCCTCTGTTATCAGACACTTCAATATTTTAACTTTCTCTTATTGTCAGCATAGCTATAATAAACAATCTTTTGTCTTCTTAACTCTTCAGATAAATTCATAGAGACATAGTAGCTGGCCAAAAGTATATTCTTTTCTAGAGGCTATTATTGATACTTTTTGCCAGCACCTATCAAAAAGACTTCATAGGTAGCGTCTCCCATCAGGAGTATGTAAGAATGCCTATTACCCACTCCTTGTGAACATTCTGCTAAGCCCTGGGGAACTTATTCTTTTTATTCTTTTCCAATTTGAAAAGCAAAAAAATTGGTTGTATGTGTTTCCTTGGGCTACTGTAACAAAGTATCACAAACTGTGTGCTGAAAAGAACAGAAAATGTATTCACAGTTCTGGAGGCTAGAATTCTAAACTCAAGGTATCAGCAGGGCCATCCTGCCTCTGAAACCTGCAGGGAAATCATTCTTGGTGTCCTTCTGGCTTCAGGTGTCTTCCTAGCTTCTGGTGGCTTGCTGGCAATCTTTCGTGTGCCTTGGCTTGCAGCTGCATTGCTCCAATCTCTGCCTTCATTGACATTCGGCTTTCTCCCTGAGTGTCTCTGTCTTCACATGGCCAGCTTCTTATTAGACACCCATTGGCCAGGCACGGTGGCTCATGCCTGTAATCCCAGCACTTCGGGAGGCAGAGGCAGGCAGATCACCCAAGGTCAGGAGTTCAAGCCCAGCCTGGCGTACATGGAGAAACTCTGTCTCTACTAAAAATACAAAAATTAGCTGGGTGTGGTGGCACATACCTATAATCCCAGCTACTTGGGAGGCTGAGGCAGGAGAATCGCTTGAACCCGGGAGGCAGAGGTTGCAGTGAGCCAAGATCAAGCCACTGCCCTCCAGCCTGGGTGATGAGAGTGAAACTCCTTCTCAAAAACAAAAAAACAAAAATCAACAAAAAATAAAAAACACGAAACCCATTTTGTTGGATTAGGGGCCAGTTCTACTCCAGTAGGACCTCATCTTAACTAACTGCATCTGCAATGACCTTATTTCCATATTTCCAAATAAGGTTACATTCTAATAAGATACTGGGGGTTCGGATGTCAACATACCTTTTTCTCTTTTTTTGGCAGAGGAAGACGCAATTCAATCCATAATATTGGTAATGCATGACTTTAACATTTGTTTTCTGTCCCAGCTACTCAGGAGGCTGAGGTGGGAGGATCATTTGAGCCCAGGACTTTGAGGCCAGCCTGGTAACGTAGCGAGACCTTGACTCTTTAAAAAAATGTTTTTTGATTCCTGAAAAGATTAAGCATTTTTCCATATATACCTTTGTTCATTTTTCTACAATAATCTTTGTCTTTATTTACTTTTAAGAACTCTTTACAAAATAAAAATATTCACAACTAAACCCTAGGCTCTTTTCCTCTTTTACTCAATCTCAAACACAGCAAAATGTGTCCAGACTTTGGAGTATTTTTAAATTGTCAGAGTATAGCTTGCCTTGGGTGCTGCTCTCTGCCTACTGGCATGGGGAGAGAATCCTCTTCTTATGGCCCCAGCTGGGGAATGTGACATTTGTGACTTCTGTATTAATCAAAATAGGCTAGATTATGCCACATTAAAAAAATGACCCCAGAAATCTTGGTGAGTCACAGCACAAATATTTATTTCTCACTCAGACCACATGTTCACTGCAGGTTGGCTAAGACCCTGCCCTGCACCATTACTCCAAGACCCAGGCTCCTATTGGAGCTCCCATCTGGGACATTAGCATCAGGAAAACAGAAACTATACTGTGACTTTAACAGAGAGAATTTAATATAGGAAATTGTTTTCATGAGCACTAGAGGAATGAAAAGTCAACAGAGAACAGTGAGGGAACACTAAGAGTTAACTGCAGGAAGGAAAGACCAATCCTAAGCAAAGGCCACCCCTAGATTTGGGGGAATGAAGGGAATAAATTGGGATTATCAGAACCTAGCGACTTAGAGGCAGGGCTGGCCACACAGAGCTGGTACCCAGATCTCTGAAGAGGTGGAGCTGCTCAACTGGTCTCACAGGAGGTGCAATAAGGCTGGCTTTGGGAGGGCTGGGAACTGGAACCAACTACTAGTGCCAGGAGCAAGGGCTGTTGCTATGGAGACACTGACAGGATCGGCAGGCAAACAGGAGTGAACAAGACCCTTCTCCCCTCTCCTTTGCTTGCAGCCTCTCCCCATGCTCACTGATGGCAAAACCAAAAGGAACATCAGACAAAAGAGCCTCAGCATGGCAGAGTAGAATATAGAAGAGTGGACAGAACTAGCTATATGGTGGAGGGAAGGGGAGTGTGATGAACCAGGCACTATTCAGCAAGTGTCATCAGAAGTGACACCATCCACATCCCCTTGGCCAGAATAAGTTAGGAGGCTAAGCCCTGTTGTCATTAGGCAGGAGAGTATTATCCTCCTCCATAAAGGGGCCTCTAATATTACGAATGGTAAATACAGAACGGTCTACCAAGATTTCAATTCGGCCCCCAGATTCAAACAGGCTTTCACCTGGTGAACATCTATCTGGTCAGCTGTAGTTGGAGCTTCCTCCTTTGGCCAGTGCCTGGTCAAAAGTACTCTAAGGTTTTGTCACTCAAAATATGGTCCAATAGCAGCCGCCTTACCTGGAATCTCTTGAGAAATGCAGATTCTCAACCCCACCCCAGATCTGCTGAATCAGAACCTGCATTTGAACAAAGTCCACAGGTGATTTGTGCACATTCAAGTTTGAAAAGTTCTTCTCTCTTGAACCTGAACCAAAAGGAGAGTATGCCTTGCACATAAGCCTGGGTAGGGTTTCTTTGTTTGTTTGTTTGTTTGTTTTCCAACCACCTGTATCAGCAGCCTTGAATTACACTCAGTCTCTGTTAGGTTCTGGAGTTAACTTGAGGGCCCATCTTAGTTTCCTACATTAACGAGAATTTTCTTTTTCTCTTTTTTTCTGCCTAGTCATAAGGATTTAGTGAAAAGCTGGGAGGGACCACATCGGGGGTTGCTAGTCATTTGCCACTTTTTTGCAATTTCTCAACTTCCAAGTCCATGGCTGTAACTTGCCTGGTCCCTGGTTTGTAACTTCACTTGAATGCCATTCCTTTAATCCTTTGAAGAGGCTCAGGGTTGTGTTAATTTCCTAGGACTGCTGCAACAAATTACCACAAACTCAGCCACTTAACACAGCAGAGATTTATTCTTTCACACTTCTGAAGGCTGGAAGTCCAAAATCAAGGTGTCAGCAAGACAATGCTTCCTCTGAAGGCTCCAGGGAAGAATCGTTCCTTACATCTTCCTAGCTGGTGGCTCCTGGAAATCTTTGGCTTCTCTTGGCTTGTAGTTGCATCCCTCTCATCTCTGCATCAATGTTTACATGGTCATCTTCTCTATGTCTCTGTGTGTGTCCTGTCCTCTTCTTATGAGGACACCAGTGATTGGATTTATGACCCACTCTAAATCCAGGGTGATTTCATCTCTAGGTCTTAAGCTAATTATATCTGCGAAGACTATATTTCCAAATAAGGCCATCTTCTGAGGTTCCAGGTGAACACAAATTCTGGGGGTCCCTATTCAACCTGCTACAAGGTTGAATGCATGTAAGTCCTAGGTCCCTATTCAACCTGCTACAACGGTGAAAGCATGTTGTCACTGGGACTTTCTCCAAGACCCAAACCCCAATGTTGGCACCATGGTTCCACCATAGGGATGCCTCTGAGTACCCTGACCTCTCACTGTAATTCTATGTGAGGCATGGCAGTGACAAGAGCCAAATGTTTCCCCTGCAGCTGGGATTGCACTAACCACAAATCCAAATGCTGTAAAATAAGTCAGAACAAATCTCTTCGCCTTTACAGCACACGCAAATCCACGGATGTCTGCAGCAACTGACTGTACAAAACCAATTATTCTGAAACAGTGCTTTCATTTTTCATATGCTGTGGATTCTCTTCAACGCAGCAGCCTTAGGCAACTTATAGTAGCAAGGCAGTTGAGGCCAGTGATTTGAGCATTAGGGTGAACTTCTCCCTTCCTCAGGGCTACACCCAGGGAGACACAGTTATTTGCAGACAGAGGGTCCAAACCATGTGGTCCCACCAGACTGTGAGCTCTTGGAGAGCAGAGACCGTGACTTATTCTGTTTTGTATATGCAGAACAGTTTCCAGGACACAGTAGTTACTCCGTCATGTTTGGTCAGGTTTCCCATAAATGAACCCTGAGTTGAAGACTCGCCAGCACGTGGTTTATTATAGAAGTGTTCCCAGGGAAACCCACAAAGGAATAGGGGAAGCAGACAGGAAAGAAAGGGGAGACCAGCCAGCAGGGCCAGAGCTGGAGGTGGGGGGGAGTCAAGTGAGGGGCCTACAGTGTGAAATGTAAGGAGGTTTGTGCCTGAACCTGAGTGTTAAGCGTCTCCTTCAATTTTGTGCCCTGGTTGCCTTACTCGCCTCTCCCTGCCTAGTCCCAGCCCTCTGGTCACGGATGTGATTTCAGACAAAATCCCTCACAGGGCAGCTTCAGCCTGATCCTGGGGGAACCCTGGAGTGTAAGTTATGCCTTAGACTTTTCCTGGTTAGGGGCTAGAGGCCTGGGGCTTTCTGACTCCTGTACTCCCTGGGCACTGGTTAAGGACACCTTGAGAATCAGGATAACGTAAATTCCCAAGAACAGACCTCCTAAAAAGAGCCACAGGTGCTGGCTGTTGGAAGGGAAAGTGCACCTAAGGAGGGGGACTTGGGGCACATGATCAGTAGGAAGGGATCTGGGTGAGCATCGATAATACGTCTCACCAGTGTTTGTTGAAAGAATGACTGAATGAAGGAAGAAGTATATAGGTGAATGAACAATTGAATTAATTGAACAAATGAAGGAATGAACTAAAAGTTGAGAGCATTAAAGTCTTGTCTTTGACCAACTTTGAGCTCCCACCCCACCCAGCTTGCATGCGGATGCTGGATGACGAGCATGGTGGTGGATGTCCTCATAGCAAAGTTCATCTCTCCTTCACCAGGAAGTTTCCCATCAGTAGTGGATACATAGAACGTCCACCGACATGATCCAAATGCTGGTAGACCTAATACCCAAAAAGAGAGCAGAGCAGAATGTCCTTCTTTTCCCTGGAAACATCCCCTAAGAGACAGCAGGGAAATGAAGAAGAAAGTCATTGGTTTACTAGTGACCTGGCTGACAGGCTCTTGCTCTCCCAATCCCTCCATCCTACCCATTAACCAGAGCTCCCCAAAGCAGCCCAGTATACGGTGTCACTGCTTAAATCCCATCACATCTCCCTACTGACTCTTATTACATTCCAAAATATTTACGCATTTGATGACTCAGAATAATCATCTCTGTCCCAAGCCTCTGAGACTGGCAGTAAGAGCAGCAGAGAATTCTTACCTTGCCTGGCTTTCCTGCTACCAAGAGAGATATGGTGCTAACACCGGTCATGGGGACAACATAAAACACTCAACACTGCCCAGCATGGCCCCTCTCACCCCAGAGGACTTTCCTTGTTCACACTCTCATTTTCTGTTGGGGGAATCATCATTGTCCTAGGAACCCAAGCTTAACACTCAGAGTCAGGCCAGGCTCATACCTGTAATCTCAACACTTTGAGAGGCTGAGGCAGGAGGATCACTTGAGATCAGGAGTTCGAGACCAGCCTGGGCAAAATACCAAAACCCTGTTTCTATCATATTAAAAATGTAACATGTTTAAAAAGCTCAGAATCATCTATTTATTCATTCACTTATTGAGCACTAACTTTGGGTGAAGCCTTGTGCTGAGTCCTGATCCTTTAGCAGTTTGATAGATGACCTTACATGAATATCTGTACAGTTCTAAGCATATAAGCTCCAAGGAGATGCTTGTTAGATGGACAAATGGGTAGGCAGAGCTCTGGATGGATAAGTGGGTGGATGGATGAATAGATGACTGGTAGATGGATGAATGGATCTGTGAGAGGTTGAATGTATGGGTGGATGGATAGAAAGATGGATGGATGGATAAATAGATGAATGGATAGATAGATAAATGAATCTGTGGGAAGATGAATGGATGAGTAGATGAATGAGTAGAACAGTGGAATCTATCAGTTATGTTTCTTTGGTATCCTTTCCCCCTCTTCTGGGAATAGAATCCTTCTTTTCTAAAGAGTACACATTTCCTGTGACTGTGTGGGGCTGAACTTGACTTCTCACACTCTCCACCCTGGCCATGTGTCCTAGGCCTAGCTAATCAAACTATCCAAAACCTCTGGCCACAGAAATTAGTTTTAGTCCAGGACATGCAAGCCAGACCAGCGTTCTCCCTGGGACTTTTTGGCTGGTGCCAGCAGTAGACACCCTCTCTTGCCTGGGTTGCTAAACTGTTAAGAGACTTGTTTAAGGCTGCTGGAGGCTGTTTTACCTGCCACAAGGAGAAAGCCTAAATGAGGATGGGAAGATGAGAGGTGGGAGAAGGAAAAAAGAAAATGAGAGAAAGGGGAGGAGGGAAAGGTGGAAGATGAGAAAGAAGATGAGAAGTAGGAGGAGGGGTACTAGAAATAGTCAGAGACGTAATTTAAGCCTCCAGTGTGGGGAGCCAGTTGAACTCTTGGACTTTCCAGGTACATAAGTCAATTTTTCCTTTCTCTGACTTAAGATAGCTTGAGTTGTATTTCTTTTACTTATAACCAAGAGAATCTTATCAGTGCAGAGTGAGGGAGTAAATAAATGAGTGAATGCATGATCAAATGAATGAATGAGTTCCATAAATATCAAACTAGTCGATGTTTTTTCCTCCCTTAAGAGCTAGACCTGCAAATATAAGGATTTAATGAGATGTTCCTGGTTTCTACTGGGGCCTGTCTGATTGCTTCCGTTATGTCTGGTGTTGACTCTAACTCTTGAAATGTAAATGAAAAATGAAAAGGAAAAAACAGCCAACTAAAAATAATAAATCTCTGGAGCTGACATTCAACTGTGGCTGCAGATTTCAAGCTAGGAGTTATTATACAAGAACGACTGAAACAAAAATCAATACAATTTAAAATTCTCCCAAAGTCTTCTTCTCCACCTTCCCATCCCCATTCAAGCTGAAGTAGTGGGAGCAGGTGGGCACGCAAGTCTGACTACACATACATATTCCCCCTCCCTTCCCCATCTCCTAGAGCTTTCCCTTTATCCAGAACTTTCCAACAGCTTTTCAATGATTGATAACAAGTACCACCTGGGGGTTCATGGAAGTCTTTCCAGATGAGGTGGATGCCTGAGCTGCATCCTGTAGACTGGGAAGGACCCAGGTACAGAAAAGTGAAAAGGACTCTCGGGACGTGGAATCAGCATGAGTAAAGTCACCAAACAGTTGTGGGCAAATATAGGCAGTGGGAATGGTCATAGTTGAGGTTGAAGAAGTTGCAGAGGTCAATTATAAAATTCCTTGTAGGCTGGGCACAGTGGCTCATGCCTGTAATCCCAGTGCTTTGGGATGCTGAGGTGGGAGGATTACTTGAAGCCAGGAGTTAGAGACCAGCCTGGGAAACACAGAAAGACCTCATCTCTACAAAAAATATAAAAATTAGCTGGGGAGTTGGGGGTGGCTGGGTGCAGTGACTCACAACTATAATCCCAGTACTTTGGGTGGCTGAGGCAGATGGATCATTTGAGGCCAGGAATTCAAGACCAGTCTGGCCAATATGGCGAAAGCCTGTCTCTATTAAAAATACAAAAATTAGCCAGGTATGGTGGCAAATGCTTGTAATCCCAGATACTTGGGAGGCTGAGGCATGAGAATTGCTTGAACCCAGGAGGCGGAAGTGCAGTGAGCCAAGATTACACCACTGCACTCCAGCCTGAGCAACAGTGAGAATCAGTCTAAAAAAAAAAAAAAAAAAAATTCCGCTGGTGGTGGTGGTGCACACATGTAGTCCCAGCTACCGAGGAGGCTGAGGCAGGAGAATTGCTTCAGCAATTCAGGTGTTCAAGGTTACAGTGAATTGTGATTGCGCCACTGCACTCCAGCCTAAATAACAGAGTGAGGCCTTGTCTCAAAAAAAGAAAAATAAATAAAAATAAAAGTATTTGTAAATCCAGAATTTGTGTGTTTCTCTAACTGTCCTCCGTGGAACATCTATAAGGGGCTCTACAATGGGCTTTTAAACAATACCAGTCACAGGACCCCACTGCAAACCCACTTAGGAGAGGATCTGTTGGGGCGGGGTCACAGCTCTGAATTTGCATTAAGTGTCCCGAGGTGATTCAGATGCTCCTCGAGGTTTGCAGGAGGCTGAGGCTGCTCCTGTAATGAAATAGAGATTTCTTTTCCCAGCATTAACAAGAAGTGTGGGGCTAGACAGTTCTGAGTTACTGTTGGCTGCTCGAGGAAGTCCTCAAAAAAACAGAGTCCTTCTAGCTTACTCTTCCACCAAGCTTAATGCATGACTTTCAACTTCCTGGTGTCAAGATGACTTCTCCAAGTATCAATTTGTGTGTCAGACAGAAAGAAAGAAGGATGCACAAAAGGGGCTGTGTTCTGGTTCAGTCCATCCCTTTTTATCAGGAAAACCATAAGTCCCAAGAAGCCCCAGACAGTAGATTTCTGCTTACGTCTCACTGCCCCAAGTAAAATTGGAAATCTATTAGAAAATAAAAAGGAGAGATTGGATATAAAGTGAATAGAAAGGAGGTGGTATAGGGAGCTATGAATGGCAGGCCACGGATGGATTTCATTCATCTCCACTGCTGATAGAGGTTCGACAAGGAGCAAGGCAGAAGCAGAGGGAGCAGTGGGGGGCTGCTGCAGCCCATCAGGGAAAGATCATGATGACCTGCAGACAACGACCTGCGGACGATGACCTGCAGACGATGACCTGCACAGGGTAGTGGCTGTGCTGAAGGATTCAGGACATACTTAGCAGGTCAAACTGACAAGATTTGATGGATTGTACGAGAACAGAATGAGGGAGGGAGCATAATGGGGAAAGATGCACAGTGAAGAAAAGGAGGAAGCGGTGACCTTAAAGATGTCTGTAAGATTCTGGCTTCAGTCCCTGGGAATATGATGCCATTCATAAGTGAGCTTGTAGCTAGAGAGAGAGAAGGAGCTGGAATTGCTGTGTCATCTAGAAATATGAAATATCAGCATCTCATGTCAGAGCTCAAACTACAGGGGTGAATGTGACAGTCGAGAAGTGTAAGGTGGCTGGGTGCAGTGGCTCACGCCTGTAAATCCCAACACTTTGGGAGGCTGAGGCAGGTGGATCACCTGAGGTCGGGAGTTCAAGACCAGGCTTACCAACATGGAGAAACTCCGTCTCTACTAAAAGTACAAAATTAGCCAGGCATGGTGGCACATGCCTCTAATCCCAGCTACTCGGGAGGCTGAAGCAGGAGAATCACTTGAACCCGGGAGGTGGAGGTTGCGGTGAGCCAAGATTGCACCATTGCACTCCAGCCTGGGCAACAAGAGCAAAACTCCGTCTCAAAAAAAAAAAAAAAAAAAAAAGTAAGGTAAGACAAGCAATGGACCACAGAGCTCTGTGTGCCCCACACCACAGCTGCTCAGGTCACCAGATAGATGAAAGTAGAACCATTTCAAATTTTCCTTGAAAGCTTTCACCTGCTGGAAGTAGAAGTAGAATGCTCCAGTTTCCAAAGCCCACCCTTTCCCTGGTCCAGGGAGCCACTGAGTTGTTCACTACCACCCTCTCCCTGGAACACCATCTAAGATCTTCTCCTCTGGACTAAAAAAACAATTAATAACAATAGCTAACACTGATTGAGTGCTGACTCGGAGCAATGTATTGAGTATTTGCAAATCACATCTCATTTAATTCACACAACTGATCTCATAGCTCCATTTTACAAATGAGGAAGCCAAGACTTGGAAAACACAGCTAGTCAAGGTCAAAACCAGTAGGCAAACCCAGGAGTGACTCCAAAGTTCTAAATCTCAACCACTATGTGATACCACTTCCTAGCTTCTAGCATTTTCTGCCCTGAGTTTCAATTATTTACTGCTTGTTTTATATCCCCTATTTAACTGCAGCCCTCTGAGATTAGATTATTTTAGACCTTTTCTTAATAACTGTTGAATAGGCTAGGTGCCATGGCTCATGCCTGTAATTCCAACACTTTGGGAGGTCGAGGCAGACAGATGGCTTGGCTCCAGAAGTTCGAGACCAGCCTGGGCGACATGGTGAGACCCCCGTCTCTACAAAAAAAATGTAGCGGGGTGTGGTAGTGGCACGCAACTGTAGTCCCAGTTACTCAGGAGGCTGAGGTGGGAGAATCACCTGAGTGCAGGAGATTGAGGCTGCAGTGAGTCGTGATCGCGCTACTACAATCCAACCTGGGCGACTGAGTGAGACTCTGTCTCAAAAAAAAAAAAAAAAAATTACTGTTGAATAAAAGAATTAATTCAGGCCCCAAATTATGGCCCTAGGTTTAAGCATAGACATGCTCCCTGATTGTCATGAATCCTTTCCTAGTTGATCAACCTTAATATTCCCTTTAGGACTAGACTTAGTTCTTTTCAGTGTATAGATATTTGTGAAAATTCCGTTGGTGGTGATCTTGATTTCAGAGATGACAACAGAGCAAATGTCAATCGTTAATGAACTGCAAGTACCATTATGAGAAACCGGTGTCCGAGTGGCTGCTGCTGATTTGGTTGTAAGAATTTTTGTTCTTCATCTGTAATCCCAGCACTTTGGGAGGTCAAAGTGGAAAAATTGCTTGGGGCCAAAGATTCAAGAATAGCCTGAGTAACATAGTGAGGCCTTGTCTCCACAAAAAAAATAAAAAGAAAATGCTGGGCACGGTGGCTCATTCCTGTAATCCCAGCACTTTAGGAGGCCAAGGCGGGAGGATTGCTTAAGCTCAGGAGTTCAAGACCAGCCTAGGCAACATATCAAGACCTCATCTCTACTAAAAATCAAAAAAATTAGCTGGGCTTGGTGGCAGGCACCTGTGGTCCCAGCTACTCAGGAGGCTGAGGCAGAAGGATTGCTTGAGCCTGGGAGGCAGAGGTTGCAGTGAGCCAAGATCTCGCCACTGCACTCCAGCCTAAGTGACAGAGTAACGTCCTGTCTCGAAAAAGAAAAAGTTCTTTATGACAATAAAACTACTTCTCTTAAACAAGATACAGCAGTTGAATAAACACAAGTAGACTCCTGCTTCTAATGACAGTGTTAGGGACATTAATGAGCCTCTGAGACTAAGTCCTTGCACTATCCAGGCAGAGATGGACCAGTGGGAAGCAGACCCTCTTTCTGTTTATGGAAATCAGGGGAAGGGAGAGATAAGGAAACTGAAGTGTAGACTTTGTAGGAAGCTGCCATGGAGCACATCCTACTTGTTCAGGTGACTCTGTAAGCCTCAAACCACTGGCTTTCTCCAGGCCTCCAGGAGAACCCAGGCAGATGTCTGGACCACAAAGAGTGGTGAACATCTGATACCAACTGCATCCATCCCGAGGGAAGATGTCTGAAGGCAAGAGTAGGAAATTAAGTGGATTGAGGGACTAGGACCACCATTTCTTTCTTTTTGACGACATATTTCAGATAGGTTTCTTTCTTTCTTTAGAGAACTGAGTTCTCTGTCTTATTTGCGCAGATGGTTAGCCTGCGGGAAAAAAAAAATTGGAATAAGCTTTCTTTTCTGCCCTGAATTTCTTCAGCAGACCCGCAGACCAGCCTCCAGATTCATATGAATTAAACTCCGGTTTGCTCTTCAGGATACCCTTGTTATATTAATTTAGGGAGCATAATAAATCTGGAGTGAAATATATTTGCTGCAAATGCTAATTCGCTCGATGGGCATATCAATTAGATCTTTGAGGCATAGAAATTACGGCTGTTAAAGATCTCAAAGGTCATTCTTAGCCCTCTCCAAAGTAAAAAGGCAAGTGATTATCTGCTGAAGGGGTTGGCTGTAGAGGGGTTAAGGTACAAATATTTAACACCAGTGAAGTGTTAGGCACCGTGCAGGGGACCGAAAATTCTGGAGTCCCAGAAGCTCATCTATAGACCCAAAATTATTTGCTGACAATAATAATAATAACAAGAAAATAATGTCAATAACAACAATGATAGCTTCTATTTATTGAGCAATTACCATATCCTAGATGCTATGCTAAGGGCTTTACAAATATTAATTTATTTAATCCTTGCAACAACTCTATAAGGTACTAGGTACTATTATTATTCTCATTTTGTAGGTGAGGAAATTGAATCATAGAGGATTTAAATAACTTTCTATTTCTGGCTAAACTGAAAGAATAGGGATTGTATTTACTCTCCCTCCCGAAACAACTGAAAAACTAAACAACAGTTCCCAAGACATTGGACATGAGTCAACAAAGGACAGTGATCCTTGAGAGGTGGGAAACAAATGAGGCAAGTCTCATGATCATCCCGGCATAATTCCTGGAGAAAGTTTTCAGTTCTCACTGCTGACGGCGACGGCGGGGGCGGGGGGCGGGGGGAGGGCGGGAATGCAGGAAGAGCCCAGCCTACCCCTTGAGTTGAGGATATAGAACTGGGTGTCCGAGGAAGTCAAGGCAGCCAGAGTTTGCAAGGCAGAGCACCACAAAGAAGAGAGCTTAACAGAGAACTCTGGAACTCTACAGAAGGTCACTCACAATTATTCAGATTACTGATCCGTGCGTGGGGAAACCACCCAAGGCCAGGGAAAGAACCACCTGAAAGAATTGGAGGGAACATTGCTCGGAGTTCACACAGAACTAGGAATAGTGCCTTTCCCAACAGCCAGAGTGGAAAACACTCCTAATTTATTAGTTTAGAGGACCACTATGGGTCCTGTAATACCAGTAAGGATATTTTTAGTGTGAAAAATTAACTCTAGCCTAATGCTGCTCATGCCTAACAAAACTTAAAAGGAAGCCCTGAAATGATCAAACATCCCTCCAAAACAGCTCCAGAATATATCTGAGAAATATAAACTGTGACCTGGCCAGATAAAATGTTTAAGTGGATGAGCTAGATGTGTAAAAAGTTAAGAAAAAAGATATACATTCTATCATTTTTGTTTATAAGTAACAGTGTCTTAGTTCATTTGGGCTGCTATAACAAAATACCATACTCTAGGTAGCTTATAAACAACAGAAATTTATTTCTCACAGCTCTGGAGGCAGGGAAGTCCAAGATCAGGGCATCAGCAGATTCAGAGTCTGGTGAGGACCTGCTTTCTGGTTCACAGATGGCACTTTCTTGCTGTGTCTTCACATGGTGTCTTCACATGGGGCTAGCTAGCTGTCTGGGGTCACTTTTATAAGGGCACTAATCCCATTCATGAGGACTCTGTCCCATAACCGAATCAACTCCCAAAATTCTCGCCTCCAAATACTACCCCCTTGGGAGTATTTCAGCACATGAATTTTGGGGGGTAAACATTCAGACCATAGCATATATGAAATTAAAATGGTCTCTTATTTATTTATTTTTTATTTGTTGAAGGAATACAACAATGTACAGCACACAGCAAGGGAAAATTTAAAATGTCTAGCATTCAATTTAAAAAAATGACCACACATGTAAAAGCAGGAAAATAATGAGAAAAACCAATCAAACCTGACCCAGAAATGACATAGGTGATAGAATTAGTGGCTAAGGATTTTAAAGCGGTCATTATAATTCTATTCCATATGTTCTAGAAGATAGAGAAAAAAATGAACATGTTAAGTAGATAGACAAAAGATTTCTTTAAAAAAACAAATAAAAGTTCTAAAGATGAAAACTGTAATATCAGAGATAAAAGAACATCAAATGAGACTCATGGCAGATTAGGCAGCAGAGAAGATTAATGAACTTAATGAAATAGCAATAGAAACTATCCAAAATTAAACACAGTTAAAAAAAATCCTTTTGGCCTGGCACAGTGGCTCACACCTGTAATCCCAGCACTTTGGGAGGCCGAGGTGAGCAAATCACAAGGTCAGGAGTTCGAGACCAGCCTGGCCAACATGGTGAAATCCCGTATCTACTAAAAATACAAAAAATTACCTGGGCATAGTGGTGGGCGCCTGTCATCCCAGCTACTTGGGAGGATGAGGCAGGAGAATTGCTTGAACCCTCGAGGTGGAGGTTGCAGTGAGCGGAGATCGAGGCACTGCACTCCAGCCTGGGCAAGAGAGTGAGACTCCGTCTCAAACAAAACAAAACAAAAAACCTTTTAAACATGAACAGAGCATTAGAGAACTGTGGAATAATTTTAAGTGGCAAAATATACATGAAATTCTAAAATCACAATAAGATACCACTTCATACCCACTAGGATGGCTATAAAGTATTACTTAGGAGGAATCTATAGCATTAATACCTATATTAGAAAAGAAGAAATGTCTCAAAAAACATTTCAAGAAAATAAAGCTATAGACCAATATGCCTCAGAAACATAGATGCAAACATTTTAAATAAAATTTTAGTAAACTGAATCCATTCACAAAAAAAAATGGCAAATAGATCATGACTAAGTAGTAAAAATAGTAAATAGATCATGACTAATCTCACGGAAATGCAAGATTAGTTTAACATTTAAAAATCAATCAGTGTAATTCACCAAATTAATAAACTAAAAAAGAAAATCATATGACCATCTCAATGCATACAGAAAAAAGTATTTGACAAAATCTAACATCATTTTCCTTTTTTTTTTTTTTTTTTTTTTTAAAGAGATGGGATCTCATTATGTTGGCCAGCCTGGTCTTGAACTCCTGGGCTTAAGCGATCCTCTTACCTCAGCCTCCCAAGGTCCTAGGATTACAGGAGTGATCTGCCACCTAGCATCCATTTCAGCCTAACATCCATTCCTGATTTAAAAAAACAAACAAACAAACAAACAAAAACCTCAGGAAATTAGGAATAAGTGAGAATATCCTTGTATGAGTCTGTTACCATGCTGCTGTGAAGAAATACCTGAGAGACTGGGTAATTTATAAAGAAAAGAGGTTAAATTGACTCACAGTTTTGCATGGCTGGGGAGGCCTCAGGAAACTTACAATCATGGCTAAAGGCACCTCTTCACAAGGTGGCAGGACAGAGAATGAGCGCCAGCAGGGGAAATGCCAGGCGCTAATAAAACCATCAGATCTCATGAGAACCCACTCACTGTCAGGAGAACAGCATGGGGGAAACTGCCCCCATGATTCAATTACCTCCCACTGGGTCCCTCCCATGACACATAGGAGTTATGGAGATTACAATTCAAGATGAGATTTGGGTAGGGACACAGCCAAATCATATCAGTTCTCAACCAGAAGAAAAGGGCGTCTATTAAAAAACCTTCAGCAAGTTAAAACTGAAATCAGTAACATTTACAGACTTCTCAGACAGAAGGCTTTAGAAGAGGGTGAACTTGTTTTAAACTAAATTTCTTTTTGTTTGTGTGATCTATGGATTTTGTTTATTCAGTTTCCTGCCCCTGCAAGCACAGAAAGCTGAAAACTAATTTGATTCACTTTTCCCAGATGCAATCTCATGTGTATTTTATGTTAGTTTTTAAAGTTTTAGAATTTTAACCAAATTCGGCACAAAGTGACTATGTTATATGCTCCCTGAACAAATATGCATTAGTCTGAGATTTTTCTTTTTTGTAAAGCAATTTAGACCTCTGTGTGTCTAATAAAATTCCATCTAGATTAAAAAAAATACCTTCAGCAAATATTGTACTCAATGATGAAAATATAGGACTGGGTGTGATGATGCACACCTGTAATCCCAGCCACTCAGAGGGGTGAATTGCTTGAGCCCAAGAGTTCTAGGCTCCAGTAAGGCATGATTGAGCCACTGCACTTCAGTATGGACAACAAAGTGGGTCAAAAGAAGGCAAGAAAGCAAGAAAGGAAGGAAGGAAGGAGAGAAAGGAGGGAAGGAGGGGGGAAGGAAGGAAGGAAAGGGAAGAAAAGGAAGGAAGGAAGGAAGGAAGGAAGGAAGGAAGGAAACATTTTTTTCTGATAATACTACAAATAAGACAAGTAAGTCTCTTCACTTCTACCCAACATTGTTCTAGCCAGTGCAATAAGGCTAAAAATAATAGGGGGTCAGATTGGAAAGGGAGAATTAAAACTGTCTTTACTGACAAACATCATGATTGTTTAAGTAGAAAATTCCACGGATTTTTAACTAAAAAAGTTTTTTTCTACCAAAAAGCTATAGAACTAATGAGTTTACCAAGGTTGCAGAATACAAGATCAATATACAAAAGTCAATGGTATTTCTACATATTAGCAATCAACTGTGAGAAACTGATTTTTTTTTTTTTTTTTTTTTTTTTTTTTTTTTTGTAGAGACAGGGTTTCTCCATGTTATCCAGGCTAGTCTTGATCTCCTAGACTCAAGTGACTTGTCCACCTTGGCCTCTCAAAGTGCTGAGATTGTATGTGTGAACCACTGCACCCAGCTCAAGAAATTGAATTTTTAAAATTACTGTTACAATATCATAAAATATGAAATAAAGACAAACCTGATTAAAAAATATGTAAGATTCATACAATGTAAGCATTGCCAAGAGAAACTAAAGACTTAAAAAAAAGAAAGCTGTACTATGTTCATGGATCAGAAGACTCCATATTAACATGCCAATTTTCGCCAAAATTGATCTGCAGGTTCAATTCAACCCCAGTAAAAAATCTCTTATTTTTTTAAATTTACAAATTGACAGGCTTACTCTAAAATTCATATAGAAATACAAAGCACCAAGAATAGCAAAACAACTTTTTAAATGAAGAACAAAGTTAGAGAACTTACACTACCTGACTTCAACATTTACAAAGCTATAGTAATCAAAACAGAGTGACACTGATATAAAGACAGACAAATCAATGAAACAGAAAGCACAGAAACTGGCACCTATATACAGTTAATTGATTTTTGACAAAAGTGCGGAGGCAATTTGGTAGAGAAAGGGTCATCTTTTCAGCAAATGTTCCTGGAACAAATATATATATATGAAAAGTGATGAACTTCAATCCATACCTCATACAGTATACCAAAATTAACTCAAAGTGAACTATAGACCTAAATATAAAACCTAAAACTACATAATTTTTGGAAGAAAACATGGGAGAAAATTTTTGTTTCTTATTGTATTGGATTGAGTAGTGTACTCCCCAAAATCATGTTCTTCTCAGAACTTCAGAATGTGACTTTATTTGATATTGGGCCATTGCAGATGTAATTAGTTAAATTAAGATGAAATCATACTGGAGTAGAGTGGGTGCTTAATCCAATATGGCTGATGTCCATATAAGAAGAGACACAAGACACACAGGGAGAATGCCATGTGAATATAGAGGCAGAGATTGGAGTAACGGGTGTATAAGCCAAGAAATGCCAAGGATTGCAGATAACCACCAGGAGCTAGGGGAGAGTTATGGAGCAGTTTCTCCGTTAGAGCCTCCAGAACCATGAGAGAATTAATTTCTATTGTTTTAAGCCACCTGATTTATGGTTCTTTGTTACAGAGAACCCTAAGAAATTAATGCACTTATCTTAGGCAGGAAAAGATTTCTTAACTGTAATACCAAATGCACGATTCTTTTAAAAAATGATAAATTGGTGTTCACGAAAAGTTAGAATTTCTGCTTGTTGAAAGACATTCTTAAAGCATAAAAAGATATGCCACAGACTGGGAGAAAATATTTGCAAATCACATATCTGATAAAGGACCTACAGTCAGAATACATAAAGAACACTCAAAAAGAAAATTAAAACTCAAATGTTTAAAATGAATGAAGGATTTGAACAACTGCTTCACTAAAGAAGAAATACAGATGGCAAATGTGAACATGAAAATCTACTCAACCTCATCAGCTATTAAGCAAATGCAAATTAAAACTAAAATGAGACACCACTACACTCCTACTACAATGTCTAAGATTTAAAATCCTGATTGCTATGGTTTGAATGTGTCCTCTCCAAAACTCAGGTGTGAAAACCTAATGCCCAGTGTGGTAGTATTAGGAGGTGGCGCCACTGAGAAGTGATTAGGCCGTGAGCTCCTCCCTTGTAGATGGGATTATGACTCTTATCAAAGAGGCTTCCTGTAGTGTTCAGCTCACTTGCGCTTCTGCTTTCTGCCACGTGAGGACATAGCGTTCCACTCCTCCAGAGGGTGTAGCCCTCACCTGACAAGTGAACCTGCTGGCATCTTGATCTTGGACTCCTCAGCTTCCAGAACTGTGAGAAATTAAAGTTCTGTTCTTAATAAATTACCCAGTCTCAGGTATTGTGTTTCAGCAGCACAATATTAAAGAAGACGCTGACCATATTGCTATGGTCTGAACGTTGTGTGCCCCTGCAAAATTCCTACTTTGAAAACTGATTTACCAATGAGTGATATGAGGAGGTGAGGCCTTTGGGATGTGACTAGATCATGAGGGCTCTACCCTCACAAATAGGATCAATGTCCTTATAAAAAAGGCCCCAGATGCCGGGCGCAGTGGCTCACATCTGTAATCCTAACACTTTGGGAGGCCAAGGTGGGCAGATCACCTGAGGTCAGGAGTTCGAGACCAGCCTGGCCAACATGGTGAAACCCTGTCTCTACTAAAAATACAAAAATTAGCTGGGCGTGGTGACACATGCCTGTAATCCCAGCTACCTGGGAGGCTGAGGCAGGAGACTCGCTGGAACCCAGGAGGCAGAGGTTGCAGCGAGATGAGATTGCACCACTGCACTCCAGACTGGGCGACAGAATGAGACACCATCTCTAAATAAATAAGGATTGCTTGAGCCCAGGGGTTCAAGACCAGCCTGGGCAACATAATGAGTCCCGATGTCTACAACATTTTTTAAAGAAATTAGCTAGGCATGGTGGTGCATATCTATAGCTATTTGGAGGCTGAGGTAGGAAGATTGCTTGAGCCCAGGAGTTTGAGGCTGCAGTGAGCTAGGATTGTGCCACTACCCTTCAGCCTGGGTGACAGAGTGAGACCCTGAAAAAAAAAGTTTCAAAAACAGACAAACAAAACAGGTTCTCCAAGGTCATATATCTAATAAATAGCAGTCTGCCTCCACATGCTAAACACTCAAGCACTACTTTATTTATGCAAGGTACATATTATCATTCCCATTTTATAGATGAAAGAGTGAGAATCCAAGGGATGATGTGACCTCTCCAATGTCACTATTAAGTGACAGAGCTGAAATTTATAGCCATGTCTCTTTTACTCCAAATCCAGTGTTCTTTCTGTCACATGCACCAAGATTTTGCTGTTTATTTGAATGCTTTGGACACCATGCACACAGCCTCTGCTCTCCCAAGGGGGTCTGGCTACCTCCTCCTCACTCCACACCTCTTCCTCCAGAAATAAAGCCCATTCTGGACTCCCTATCCTCACCCATGCATTATTACTCAGCTGCTTACCTTCTATACCTGATGACATGGGAACAAATCAATTTGTAAATGCCTAGAAGAGAACAGGACTCTCAGTAATTGCCAATGCATCTTTGTGAAAGCAAGAGCTTGCTGGGCACTTGGAATGCAGCCCCTGCCTGTTTTAAAGAAATAGGCACTTCGAATGGAGACTAATAGACCAGCATGCAGGCAGCACTTAACAGTTTCAGAGCCCTTTCTTCTCTCTCATCTCTTTACAACGACTCAGTAAGCTCCGTGTTTTTACACCCTTCCCCTACATTTTTTTTTCAGATGAAGCAACTGATGTTTTGAGGCTTGAAAAAAACTAAATAGCTGAGCCTGCATTCAAACTCATCCTTTTGGGAGGAGGGAGGTTGTTTTGAATTCTGGGTCTTATTTAGGTCATGGCAGAAGGAACACCTGGCCACTTTGTTCAATATGAGCATGAACTTTATACAGTCAGCGTTGTTGAAGAAAAAAAAAAGCAAAACACCTGGGTTTCTCAAGGGAGTGGTTTCTGTCATAAGAGGGTCCCAGCAGAGGTCAGACGGCTGCTAACCAGAATTATGCAAAGGAGGCCGGGTGCGGTCGCTCACGCCTGTAATCCCAGCACTTTGGGAGGCCAAGGTGGGCAGATCACCTGAGTTCGAGACCAGCCTGGCCAACATGGTGAAACCCCGTCTCTACTAAAAATACAAAAATTAGCCGGGCATGGTGGCGGGCGCCTGTAATCCCAGCTACTCTGGAGGCTGAGGCAGGAGAATCACTTGAACCCGGGAGGCAGAGATTGCAGTGAGCCGAGATCGCGCCATTGCACTCCAGCCCGGGCAACACAGCAAGACTCTGTCTCAAAAAAAAAAAAAAAAAAAAGAATTATGCAAAGGAGACCACTACACAAGGTAGAAGCTGGGCATGACAACTTCTGAGGTTCAGTCCAGATCTAAAGGTCTTTGAATAATAGGGGTACTAGGTTCACTCTTATTTTATTTTATTATTTTTTTTAAGATGGAGTCTCACTCTGTCACCCAGGCTGAAGTACAGTGGCACAATCTCAGCTCATTGTAACCTCCACCTCCCAGGTTCAAGTGATTCTCCTGCATCAGCCTCCTGAATAGCTGGGATTACAGGTGCCCACCACCACGTCTGACTAGCTTTTTGTATTTTTAGTAGAGATGGGGTTTCACCATATTGGCCAGGCGGGTCTTGAACTCCTGACCTCCAGCAATCCACCCGCCTTGGCCTCCCAAAGTGCAGTTCACTCTTTAATATGAGTTGGACGTTTGTCCTCTCCGAATCTCACAATGAAATGTGATTCCCAGTGTTGGAGGTGAGGCCTGGTGGGAGGTGATTGGATAATGGAGGCAGATCCCTCGTAAATGGTTTAGCGCCGTCCCCTTAGTGATAAGTGAGTTCTCACTCAGTTAGTACACAGGAGGTCTGGTTGTTTATTAATAAAATCTGGGGCCTCCCCCACCTCGCTCTCTTTCTCCCACTGTCACCATGTGACATGCTTGCTCTCCCTTCTCTTCTGCCATGATTGGAAGCTTCCTGAGGCCCTCACCAGAAGCAGACAGCGGCACTATGCGTTATATAGAGCCTGCAGAACCATGGGTCACTGAAACCTCTTTTTGGAGGTTGCAGTGAGCCGAGATTGCGCCACTGCACTCCAGCTTGGGTGACAAAGCGAGACTGTCTCAAAAAAAAAAAAATTAAACCTCTTTTCTCTAGAAATTACCCAGTCTCAGGTATTCCTTTACAGCAATGGAAGAACAGCCTAATACATGCTTAGAGCACTGGTGCTGTGAAGTGTGAGGTTAGGGCTGAAAAATGATCTCTGCTTTGTCCCCTCTCCTGACTAATTCAGCATTTCTCAACCACTGGACTCTATTTACGTGTGTGGTGCAAACCTTTAATCATTATGCAAAATTGTTTTTGCTGCAGCAAAGAAAAGATGGCAGTCTATGTTGTCCACTGGATAGAACGTTGAGATGCAGGGCAAAGCAGGGCACAGCTCTCCCTCTACACCAAGGACACGTTTTACGTAAGTCTGAATTTTGTAAACTATAAATAGAGTGATATAAACCATATTAATTAAGCATTCATTTTGTGTGCAAAATTTGAAATAATGCAAATTGTCCTAAATTTAAAAAAAGAGGCTGGGCATGGTGGCTCATGCCTGTAATCCCAGCACTTTGGGAGGCCGGGGCGGGTGGATCACCTGAAATGAATTACTTGAACCCGGGAGGTGGAGGCTGCAGTAAGCCAAAACGGCGCCACTGCACTCCAGCCTGGGTGACAGAGGGAGACTCTGTCTAAAAAAAAAAAAAAAAAAAAGGGCATTGTGAAAAGAATCACTTCTAAACTGGCTGGAAAGGGGCTGAAATGAATTGCATGCTGGTTTTATGCTATTGACTCATGGCTGTGCCTCCGAGCAGGTAAGCTGAAGTACCCACTTTCCCTGGTCAGGGCCTGTCTTGAATCATGTGATGTCTTCAAAACCTTGCATTGCCCTGTTAAGGGGTAGGGAGCAAAGGAAAATTAAACCAATGAGGCACATGGGAAAACATGGCCTCTAGAGCAGTGCAGTCCAATAGAAATATAATGTGAACTACATACGTAATTCTTTCTTTCTTCTTTCTTTCTTCCTTTCTTTCTTTCTCTCTCTCTTTCTTCCTTTCTTTCTCTCTTTCTTTTTCTTTCTTTTTTTTTTTTTTTTGAGATAGGGTCTCACTTTCTCACCTGGGCTGGAGTGTGGTGGCACAACCATGGCTCACTGCAGCCTCGACCTTCTGGGCTCAAGCAATCTTCCCACCTCAGCCTCCCAAGAAGCTGGGACTACAGGTGCATTCCATCATGCTTAACTACTTTTTAAAAAATTTTTTTTGTAGAGACGGGGTCTCACTATGTTGCCCAGGCTAGCCTTGAACTCCTGGGCTCAGGCCATCTGCTCACCATCTGCCCACCGCAGCCTCCCAAAGTGCTGGGATTCAGATGTAAGCCACTGTGCCCAGCTTAATTCTACATTTTCTAGTAACCACAGTTAAAGAAGTAAAAAGAAACAGGTGAAATTAATTTTAATATATTTTATTTAACCTAATGTACCCAACAAGTTATTTCAATGTGTAATCAATAGAAAAAATATTTTTGAGATTTTTTACATTCTTTCTTTTAAACTAACTTTTCAAAATCTTGCGTGTATTTTACACTCACAGCACATCTCATTTCTGACCAGCTATGTTTCAAGTGCTTAGTGGCCACATGTGGCTCATGGCTACAGTATCGAACAACACAAGTCTAGAATATCAAGGGACACAATCAGCACAATGTAGAAGTTACTTTGTAATCCCAGCACTTTGGAGGCCAAGGTGGGCGGATCACTTGAGGCAAGGAGTTTGAGACCAGCCTGGCCAACATGGTGAAACCCCATCTCTAATAAAAATGCCAAAATTAGCCGGGCATGGTGGTATGCACCTGTAATCCCAGCTACTCAGGAGGCTGAGGCGGGAGAATCGCTTGAACCTGAGAGGCAGAGGTTGCAATGAGATGAGATCGCCCCACTGCACTCCAGCCTGGGCAACAGAGCGAGACTCTGTCTCAAAAAAAGAAGAAGAAATTTACTTGTGAGGGCTTAGTTGAGGGAGTGGCTTCTTCCCAGGAAACAGTATAATACCTGCCTCCTATAGTGATGCTCTAGAATGTTCCCCCATCCTCGCAGCCCTCAGACCATACTTATTGCTCCCTTTATCTTCTTTTTTTAAGTCTTTTAATTCCCCAACCTCTGTAAAACTCAAGTATTCAAAGGCATCTTTTCACTCAAGAAGGCTGAGACTGTGCGTATTTGGACAAGTCATAATATTGAACATTTAACTAGTTTTTACAATAAATTCCCCATTTTTAGAATATTGATATACAGGAATACCAAGAGGATAAAATGAGACAGCCAATGTGAAAGTATTCCAGGTAATTTTTATTCTTTATCATCATCTTGGAAAGATATGAGTGGTGTAAGTTGATTATTGTTATGAATGGTTAGAATTATATTTCTTGGCTATATTGCTATGTGTATGTCTGTGTATGATTTTATTTATTTATTTATCTATTATTTATTTTGTTGAGACAAGGTCTCACACTGTTGCCCAGGCAGGAGGGCAGTAGCAGATCATAGCTCACTGTAACCTCAAACTCCTGGGCTTAAGCAATCCTCCCGCCTCAGCCTCCTGAGTAGCTCGGACTACAGGTGCATGCCACCATGCCTGGCTAATTATTTTTTATTTTTGTAGAGATGTGGTCTTGCTGTGTTTCCCAGGCTGGTCTTGAACTCCTAGACTCAAGCTATCCTTTTGCCTGAGCCTCCCAAAGCTCTAGAATTACAGGCATGAAACACTGTGACTGGCCTGTGTATGACTTTAAATTTCATCCTATCTTCAAAGCAGGTATTTGAACTTAAAGCAAGCAAAACAAACCTCAACAAACAAACAAATGAAAATAAACTACATGTATTTGTTGAACCTCCAGCAAACCAAATCCAAATACTTTTTAAAGTTTACCTGAAAACTAAATGAATCCCAAGCAAAACAACAAAATAAGCCAAAGACTCAGTGAGTTATTTCTAACTAGTCTGGTATTTTTTGGTCCATCCTCTTTGGTGCCTGACCACAGTTTCAGATCCCAGCCCAGATTCTCTGTAGTCATCACAGGGCTTCTCTAAAACACAAAAAACATGGCTCTTGGCGGGGGAAGACAGAAGGAAGATGCAGAGAGGCACGAGACAAACAATCATTGTGTGTTTCCTTATGATGTCAATGCAAAGACAATGAGGCTTGAATGTTTATTTTACAGAATGTGCGAAAGGGAATCATTTACAATGAACTTCCAAGCTGCCAGGACAGGGCAGTCTGTCCCCAGTCAAGCATCACAACATGCCCACGTACTCTGATTGAGAACTTGCTTAAAGAAAATTGCCCTGAGAATCCATTCAGGAACCTGTTCCACTGTGTCCCGCTTGGAATCAGATGTTTTTCCCCTCATTTGAATGATAGTTTATTATTATGTACCTGGGGAAACATTTGAGGCTACTGAATGTGGATGTCACACAATATTTCACTCAATGCAGTTTAATGAAGGGCAACCAGAATCGCTGTGCTTAACCTCCTTTGCTTAAACAATCAATGGTTCATCCAAGTGCAAAGCTGTTAAGGACTCGTTTACCATGCTGTAGTGGAGATGTTCATGGGCTTTGGAATGGAGCAGACATGGTTCGTATCCTAGTTTTGTTTCTTACACTGTACCTTAGTTTTCCATCAGAAAATAGGGATAATTATGGCTACCCAATGAGAGATAAAATGAGATCATATAAGTAACTTCTTGGCATATAGAAGGTGCTCAATAAAATACTTTCCCTTCCCACTTGGCAAGCCAGGATTCATCAATCAAGCCAGGATTGATCTTTTCAGTAACTGTTGGGTCTTTTCCAAAGTGGACAGCAGATGATGAACTTGTTGACTCAGCTTTATTACAACTCCAGAAACGCTTCCCACAGGTCGCCAGCCAATAATCAAACCACCATCAGATCATAAAAATCTTTCACTTTTACGAAGGTATTTTCTGCTCTTGTCCTTAAGTTCGTGGTAAGATACTATCATCTCCTGTGACCGTAATGTCAGTCTGTTCTGAGGGGCAGAGCAGTCAATCAGGAAATAATGAGGAATTAGTGAGAGCTCTATGTGAAGTTGTGTATGTATTACTGGTTAGCTCCTTGGAATAAACATTTTAAAAAGGAAATAGTTGAATAACAGAGCCTGCACATTTTAAAGGCTTTTAGAACATATTGTAAATTTGAGCTCAGGGATGTGCGACCAGAAGTTCATGGGAGTATCTCTTTCCCTACAACCTCATTAAATCTAACCGTTGCCATTTCTCTTTATTTTTACTAATATGAAGGTGAAATGGCATGATGTCTAATTTGTAATGCTTTATTGGACATTTTTCCATATATTTATTGGTCCTTAATGTTTATTCTTTTTTGTTCATGTGTTTAGCCTATTGCTCTTTGGAGGTTAATTTTTTTCTTATTGCTTTATAAAAGATCATTGTAGTGTAGATGCATTAACTCTTTTTTGTTCTGTTTTGTTTTGTTTTTGTTTTGAGATGGAGTCTTGCTCTGTAGCCCAGGCTGGTGTGAAGTGGTGCGATCTCGGCTCACTGCAGACTCTGCCTCCCAGGTTCAAGAGATTCTCCTGCCTCAGTAGCTGGGACTACAGGCATGCGCCACCTTGCCTGGCTAATTTTTGTATTTTTAGTAGAGATGGGGTTTCACCATGTTGGCCAGGCTGGTCTTGAACTCCTGACCTCAGGTGATCCACTCACCTCGGTCTCCCAAAGTGCTGGGATTATAGGTGTGAGCCACTGCACCCAGCTAATGTATTAATTCTTGACCACATATTTAACAACTGTTTGAGTTTGTTTGTTTGTTTGTTTGCTTTATCCAGTATATTATTTCACTTTTAAAGTTTATTATACTGTTTTAGAATTGCCTAAAAAATAATGAGCAACCATTTGTCCTATCCAATATAGATTTACTGAATGCCAACCAAGTGCCAGGCTCTGTGCCAGGCATTGGCATTAGAAAAGGAAAAAAGCTCAAATCGCTGCCCTCTAAGAGATCACAGTCCAGTGAGGATAGTGAGGAACAGTCATCAAAACCAGTGCTAGCAACGCAATGCAATTGTTGTGATAGTGAAGGGAAGTACTGGGGGCTGTAGGAGTATCCTAACCTAGTTCAGAGAGGATGAGGGGAATGAGGAAAGGTTTAGACAGAGCAAGGAGGGCATCCTAGGAACATGAAAGAGTGTAGGAAGAGGAAAGATCCCAAGGCATCAAAGAGGCTCAATCTTTTCAAAGATTCCAAATAGTTCAGTGACTAAAGTACATGATATAATGGGTTGGGGTAGCCTCATTCAAGGGGAGAGATTTGACAGTAATGAAGTTGGACACATAGTCAGGAACCAGATCATCAAGGTCCCCAGCTGTCAGCATAATGAGACCGAATGTCATCCTAAGAACCAAGGGTTGCTACTGGGGATTCTGGGCTCAGAAGGGACCTTGGTCAGAGTTAGGTATAAGTGTAAAGGCATAGACTAAAAGTGAGAATCCAGTTAGTTGGGTAAATGAACAAGCCAGGAAGAAAACTTGGTTTCTAATGGTGCAGGCTACTCAATCTTCTCTGGGAGGGTGCTGGGGCAGGATGGTATTGGGCCTCTGCATGCATAAGCCCTTCCTGGAAAGATCAGCTCCTGTTGCTCATATCCTGGAGTCAAGTTCAAGAGGCACAAGAAAAGGGTTCATTGCTACAGCCTCCCATCTCAGCTTTGGCCAGCCAGGGACATTGCAGCCCTGATTCCTGGGATTTGCCTATCCTGGGGAGGCAGGAAAGAGGGGTGGCAAGGAAGTTGAGGTCCATAATTCTGTTGACTTCAATTCACCAGGCTCTTACCAAAAACCCTCTGTATGCAAAGCCACAGAGAGGAATGAGGTTTGGTCCCTGTATTTGGTACAGGGATGAGAAAATAACAAAGCATAAAATAAAAAGCTGGCTTAAGCCTGACACCATATGATAATAACTACACAACTAGAGTCTAAGAATTAGGAAGAGCATCAAGGGGCTTTTGGGAACTGGCCCTAAAAGGCTGAGTGATGTTTCATTTGTAAGAATGGGAGAGAGAATTAGAAATTTTGGGCAAAGGATGTGACTTTTCAGCTCAAGGCAGGGCATTTCGAATAAAGTATTCAGAAGTAAGCCTGGAAAAGGAAGTGGAACCCTGTCTGGGGTTTTGTTCTCCAGGCAGTGGAAAGTCAGTGAAGATATTGATCTAGGAAGCACTAGGGAGAGAAGCATTCTAGCAGGATAACTTTAGAGTCACATTTACATAGACTGGAAACCAAGCAACTAGTGAAGAGACCATTGCAGCTCTCAGGCTGTTCTGAATGGTGACAGTGAGAAATGAGGGGAGGCATGGATTGCAAGGACACTATAGAGGTCAAGGACCTCAGAGATCAAGGTATGGGTTAGGGTGATGCTCTTTTACAGAGTCAGCTTAGGGAATTAGCAAGAAGCTGCTGGTATCCAAGGCCGACTATTGAATCTTTAAAACCACAGGACACCTGAACTGGCAGAGTCCTTGGAGTTCATGATTTAAGTGGAAGAGACACAGTCCCCACCTATAGGAGGAATGTCAAAACTTGAATCTGGGTGGGCTCCGCAACTGCAAAATTGCAAATCTGCAATTTGGTCCACTTCTTTTCCAGCCTTCCTTCTGAATATTTTATTCAAAATACCCTCCCTTGAGCTGAAACATCACCCAGCCTTTTAGGGCCAGCTCCCAGATTCAAGGCAGTGATGCTGCACTCCAGGAAGCATCAGCTGGGGAAGCTCAATTGGGGCAGGACGATCCACTTCCAAGATGGCTCACTTCTGTGGTTGGCAAGCTGGGGCTGGCTGTCAGCTGGGAACTCATCTGGGGCAGTTGGTGGATTTCCAATAATGTATGGTGACACTGTGCCAGTTTCTGAACCCTGGCCTTGAGACACTGACAGCCTCTACCTCTCATCTCTTGGAAAATTTACTCTTAGAACACAGCTGCCATACTGTGGGGAAGCCCAGGCAGCCCTGTGGAGAAGTCCACGTGAAGAAGTATCTTCCGGCTGATTTTTTTTTTTAAACAAAAACCAGTGGAGTCCCAAATGTGGCTGTCTAGCTATAGTTTGCCACCCTCTGCTGGATGACTGTTCCCTTTAACTATTGCTATGTGATAGGCCACTAGAAAATTTGGCAGCTGCTGGGCACAGTGCCTCATGTCTGTAATCTCAGCACTTTGGGATGCTGAGGTGGGATGATTGCTTGAGTCCAGGAGCTCAAGACCAGACTGGGCAACAGAGTGAGACCCTATCTCAACAACAACAACAAAATTTAAATTAGCTGAGTGTGGTGGCATGCGTCTGTAGTCCCATCTACTCGGCTGAGGTGGGAGGATCCCTTGAGCCCAGGAAATTGAGCTGCAGTGAGCTGTGATAGCGCTACCGCACTCCAGCCTGGCTTACAGAGAAGAGAGACAGAGAGAGAGAGAGAGAGAGAGAGAAGGGAGGAAGGGAGGAAAGGAGGAGGGAAGGAAGGAAGGAAGGAAAGAAAGAAGAAGGAAATGTAGCAGCTTAAAATGACAGTTTTAACAGTCCTTGCCATGGTCAGGAAAAAAGAATAACAAAAATACAAATAAAAACAAAAAGCAAAAAAACCCAACAGCAATCATTTACTTTGCCCATGAACTGCCTATTTCTATTTATTTGAACACAGCAGTGCCCACTTGCTCATGTACTGTCTTTGGCTGCTTTTGGGCAGCAGTGGTGGAGTTGAATGTTCATGACCGAGACCATATGGCCCACAAAGCTTAACATATTCACTATCTGGCAATTTACAGAAAACGTTTGCTGACCCTCATCCAGTGCATTAGAAAGAGGCCGAAGGAGAAGAAAGCACTTGCTCAAAGGCTGCACACAAGTCTACACATAGAATCCAGACAGAAACTCAGAATTCTCTAATCCCAGTCTTGTGCTATTTACCCCATCTAGTAAGACTTATTAACCACCTCTGTAAATCTGCAAGTTTAAAGATGATAGAGGTCACAGCTCCTGCCTGAGAGAGGATACATAACCAGCAGGGAAGACATGCAGATAAAGAAATGACCACCTAGAAAAATCTGTAATAGAAGTGAGCTCAGCACATGACAGAAACAAGAGCAAGTGCTTTTCACTCCTGCCGCAGTGGCTGGGAAGAGCTCCTGCGTGCCTTCCCAGCATCTCGCCTCCTTCTAATAACAGCATCCTAATTCTCCCTGAAGAAGCCACTCTGTCATGTCAGTTTCTGCGGTCTGAGTGAGGCACACCTCATGGTTCGGCTCCAGGCCTGGCCACTGTGCTCTGTTCAGGGATGTCCAGATGTCACAAGCCTGCCCCTGAGAGTCCACCCTCAGACTTTGGCTGGCTCTTCTGGGACAAAGAAGAATTCTTTCCCTGCAGTAGCTAAGCCGGAACCATTGGTGGCCACCTGTGTTGCCACTTTGTGAGGGCCTGGCCAAGACGGAAGTTCTCACAGAGGAAAGCAGAACCAGGGGCTGCAGAGAGACTCTGTAAGACACAGAGTCACTCTGAGCTCTTCCATGACGCCAGTAAATCTCCTTTTCTCCTTCAACCGCCAAGAGTTGGGACTCTGTCATTGTAACTCAACAGTTCCAACCAACATTGTTCTTTTCCTAGCAACCGCCACCCAACTCACTTGTGAATCTTTCCCTCCTCCAATCCCATCTCGGCTGCCTGCTTTCTGCATCAGCATCCTCCATTTAGGAATGCAAATTTCAGAAACCTATCATGCCTGAGGCACGCCTGAAAGGAGTGGAGCCAAGTCTGATAATGAATTTGTGTGCACTGTGTGAGCCGTTCTGCAGCTATTCAAAATCCATTCAATGTTTTTCTCTAGCGATTGTAAGTACACTGTTCTTGGTATTGCCTCTGTCACCAGCTAAATGATGGAGATATTTCCACTCAGGATCTCGATAGACTTGTGGCTCTGGCAACAGATGTGTGTGAACTGATGCACTTGGAACACCTGGAAGCAGGAGGTCGGCTGCTCTTGGAGGACCTGCTGAAGTCTGGACCCCATTGTTCTTCTTTTCTTTTCTGTTCTTTTCCTTTCTTTTGAGGTGGGGGCTGCCTCCTGGAATGGGCATCTCCACTGTGGCCAGGGGGCAACTGGGAAAGAGGTGGTCAGCAGCACCTTGACCTTGAGTGGGCCCAGATCTTAGATCTCCAGCCCCTGCTACTTTATTTCTCCTTCTCCCTCTTCTACAGAGATGGGGTCTCACTATGTTGTCCAGGCTAGAGTGCAGTGGCTATTCACAGGCACAATCTCTGCTGCTTTAGAATGTCCTGGAGAGCTTTCTGAAAGTCCAAGTTCCAGTCTCTATCCCTGCAAGACTCTGAATCAGTAGGTCTGGGGAAAGCAATTCTGATTTTACAAAGCTCCACATTTCTTTTTAAAAAAATATCGATGGGGTCTCACTATGTTGCCCAGGCTGGTCTCAAACTCCTAGGCTCAAGCAATCCTCCTGCCTCAGCCTCCCAAAGTGCTGGGACTACAGGTGTGAGCCTGGCCAAAGCTCTTCACTTCTAAAGGGCAGCCATGCTGCAGAATCCCATCAGCATGAAATGTCCAGAGGCCAGTGTCCTTCCTTTTCCAAGGGGCCCTCTCGTTTGTCCCCCAAGGCACCTCTCCTCCTAGTCTCTAAGGCCCCTCACTGGGACCCTTCCCCTCCATGGCTTGCCTAGGGTTACCTTTGTGGAGTCAGAGGTTGTTAGGGAGGAATATGTAGAACCACTGACCTAGTGCAACCCCTTAACTTTCTATTAAGGAAACCAACGGAGGACCAGGGAGGCCAAATGAGTTTCCCAAGATCACATAACAAATCCAGGGCTTACCGACCAGGGTGCACACCTTGGGAGCTGGAAAACTGTCCCGGGCCTGCTCTCACACAACAATGTGTGGGTTGTTTTTTGTTTGTTTGTTTGTTTTTGTATTTTTTAAATTTCATTAATTATTATTATTATTTTTTTTTTTTGAGACAGGGTCTTGCTTTGTTGCCTGGGCTAGAGTGCAGTGGTCCAACCACACAGCTCACAGCAGCCTCAGCCTTCCAGGCTCAAGCAATCCCTCCCCCTTCAGCCTCCCAAGTAGCTGGGATAATGGGCACAGGCCACCAAGTCCGGCTAATTAAAAAAAAAAAATTTTTTTTTGTAGAGATGGGGCAGAGGAGGGGGTCTCCCTGTGTTTCCCAGGCTGGTCTCAAACTCCTGGCCTCAAGCGATCCTCCCACCTTGGCCTCCCAAAGTACTGGGATTACAGGCGTAAGCCACTGCACCCAGCCTCACACACTCTGAATTATGTGGGGTGGGGTCCTAACTAACTCACTGAGCCTCCCAAGCCAAACTCAACCGCAGCTATTCTCCATCCCAAAAGTGGGAAGGAGCTGCCTATTGAGGGAGAGGTGGGCCTTCTTCCCATTCTCCATCTTCACCTACAAGCTATCCACTATGCAGGGGCTGCTTGGAGTTTTAACACTGATCCAGTAGCTCACCTGGCTCTTGCCTAAGTAAATTACCTTTCTCCCTTGGGGTTGGGGAGGTGTGGGTCTGGGTGGTGGGCACTGGCTTTACCTCCAGCTCAGCTCCTTCTCTTTGGTCCCGCCTCCCAGGGTTTTATGTGTCCATATAACCACTGACTCAGGGTCAGCTTTTTCCAGTCTAGTGCGTCAGCACAAGTGAGTGATAGAGCCTGAAGGCCATTACTCAGGGGAGGATGGTGGTGAGTCATCACGAGAGACTCCTTCCCTAGTCTGGCCACTCTGCTCCAAGCTGTGCTGGGAGACAGAGAATAATAACACCTTTTGGACTGGCCTTTTAAAAATAGAAACAATGGAGTCTGTGGCTTTAGGAGGAGAGGTCCTGGGAGTCAGAAGCTCAGTCCTGCTAGCTTGTCATTCCTTGGAGGATGCTGGCTACTACTTTGCCCACCGGTAATTGAGGGTGTTGCCCTTGGCCATTTGGGGTGGGCTTTCTGAGTCTTTTAGAGGTTGCAGAATCTTACATGTGCTATAAACCAAGGACACACCCTACCCAAAATTTATATACACATTCATGCAAAATGTGTCATGCAATCTCAGGGTTTCATGGAACCCGCTGACACCCAGTCATGGGCTCCTGGCAATGAATTCCTGATCTCTGGGCTCTATTTGTCTAATAATTCTATGAAATATGTTTCTTCCAAATTCTATACTCCCCACACCCTCCATAAAATCATTTTTTAAAACATTTTTTTGTCTTCATTTATTTAAGAAACATTTATTGAGTGCTACCCACTCCTGTGGAAAAGTCCAGTATTGCTGGGAGAGAGAAAAGAGGAAAGGCCTCCACCTGGGGTGTCTGCAAGAAGGGCACGGACATTGGAGGTGCAGATGCACTGAAGAACTGATGGGCAAGCAAGATAGATGGTCAAGGTTGGCACTCAGAGGGGTGACCGTTACCCGCCCCTCCACCCCTTTCCCCGGCTTGTTGTAAGGGCAAGATCCTTCCCTCAACTCCAGAAATGAGTCATCATGTGTCTATGCCAGCCCTGGCAATCCCATTCCCCTTTTTGAGTGTTTCCAACCCCAGTTTTGGACAAAGAGACCTAAGGGAAGTCAGTGTGCGACCCTCAATTCCTAGAAAAAAGACAGAGCCTCAGAAAGAAAAGGCTTTTGGGCTGGATTACAGGTGGCTCACACCTTTAATCCCAGCACTTTGGGAGGCCAAGGCAGGTGGATCACTTGAAGTCAGGAGTTCGAGGCTAGCCTGGCCAATGTGGTGAAACCCCATCTCTATTAAAAAAAAAAAAAAAAAAGAAAGAAGAAAAAGAAGAAAGAAAAGACTTTTGGACCATGCCTGTTCTTTCTGCTTTGGAAGGTTGGTAGCAGAGTTTATGCCTAATTGCTATCTTGTGACTTTGAGATGACAAGTGTGAACATGAAAAACTAACAGCTTAGGCGGAGCCAAAAGATAGGAAGAAACTGGGCTGTTGATCCCAGTGCTCATCACCTCTGAGCGGCCCTGCATCCTCTGGCTCCTAGTCTTCTAGGAGACATAATAAGGTCTATTTCATTTAAGCCACTATTGGATGGGTTTTGTAACTTTTAGCCAAAACCATTGGTCACTGATTCAGGTGAACAGTCCCAGAAGTACGGGGTATGCACAAAGGACTGATGGATTTCTAAGCAACAGGACCATTGTGGTGACACGTCAATCAAGTCACCCACCTGATAGTATTCCCTTCTCAGAGCATGCGTATTCTCACAAGGCTTACTGAGAAAAAATGAAATTGGTCCACACCTTTCCCAAAAAATATTAGAGGTCATTGGCCAGTGGGTAGTACGGTGTTCATCCAGGGATACCCCTTTGTCTTTTCCCTAAGGCCAAGACAGACATAGGGCTCAAACTGGGGTGTCTGCAAGAAAGGACACTGGTAGTCTGTTCCACCGTTGGACATCTGTTTAGCCAGCTGATTTGCAAAACTTCTCATCTACTACTTGAGCTGGGGAAAATACTTACGAAATGGCATGGCGGAGGCTGATCAGGTAGAGAGGGTGCCAGAAAGGTCACCTTGAATTCTTACTCCCTAGGAATTAAAAAAGATGAACTCCACACCTTCACATAAAATACACTGTGAATGGTGCCTGAGGAGGTGGGCAAACATGGTGGTCCTGTTGCACTTCAAGGGAAGAGCTGGGAAGTCCATGGCCGAGTATCACCACCTCTAATGTTGAAGGGGATGGTAATACTCAGTCTGGCATCTGTTACTAAGATCTGTCCCCAGACCATTTGTCTTCTAGAGGGGGTTACAATTAAAACTTGATGGACTGTCTCTGATTCCCATGACACCAACTAGGTGTACAACAATCCGATCCTATTCTGACATCGACTAACCAGAATTAGTGTCAGACTCCATAGGTTTAAGGGCTCAGTGCCACAAGACAGCCCTCACTTGGGACGCCAGCCATAAGTCCTGGGTTTCTGGGCTACCTGCACTTTTGTCCAATTTGGCTACAAATTCAGAAATCCCCATGGCCCATGCCTGCTTCAGGTACTATAATTTGCTAGAATGACTCACAGAACTCAGGAAAATACTATACCTACAGTTTATTATAAAGGATACGAATGAACAGCTAGATGAAGAGGGGCATAGGGTAAAGTCTGGAAGGGTCCCGAGTTCAGGAGCCTCTGTCCCTGTGGAGTCAGGGTGCACCACCCTCTCCATCCATGGATGTGTTCATCAACTCAGAAGCTCTGAAACCCTTCTGTCTCCTTTGGGGGATTTTATGGCAATTTCATTACATAGGCATGGTTGATTAAATCATTGGCTATTGGTGATTGAGCTGAAACTCCTGCCCCTGTCCCCTCCCCAGTGGGACTGGATGTTGCATCCCTGTAATCACATGATTGATTCCTCTGATGACCAGCCCCATCCTGAAGTCATCTAGGTGCCCAACAAGATTGACCTTATTCACATACACTTTCATATATGGCTGGAGACAGATAAGGACCCAAAGTCTCCTTTGAGTAACAAAAGACACTCCTTTCACTCAAAAAATGTCAAAGGATTTAGGAGCTCCTTGTCAAAAACCAGGGACAGGACAAGGACCAAATTATATATATATATATATATATATATATATATATACACACACACAATACCACAGTGTGTTTCACCAATTATTGATTAAGAAGTGTTAACTTTTGGAGTATAAATAGGGTTACTAGGACCCTTCTGAGGACGAAAAAGGATGCATAAACCAGGAGTGTCCTGGGCAAATTAGAGTGTGTGGTCCCCTTAATATAGAAATTGCTTCCCCTCTTTCAGTAGGTGCACTAACTAACACATACCTCCCCTGTTTCCCTGCCCCCCCCCCGCCCCCACTTTGCCTTTCCCATTGAATAATGAGTTCCATGATGTCATCTTGGTAAGGTTCCTTAATTTACCTTCACTTTTGGTCAGAGGTATCCAATTAAGGTGCCACAGCACACTGAACTATTAAGGTGCAGGACAGATGGAGAAATAAATCCCTTAACCCTCTGAGTAGCCTGGGTAGGGCCTGGGGCTGTCAGAGCTCTTGGCCAGTTGCCTTGGCCGAGTGGTCAACAAATGTCATCCTTTTCTTTGAGATTTGGAAGCACTGTTTTAGGCTGTTAGTAAAATCTCATTTTGACATTTATGATACAATTCTGTTTGTTCAATTATTTCACTTCAATTCCAAATGCAATTAAAACTCTTTTTCTCCTCTTTTGTGTTATGAGCTAGGAACAGGAGCTCCCTCTGGGTGGACAGAGAATGTGATGGCTTTGGCAGGCAGAGTAAGCATTGGATCTCAGCCCCTGTCCACATCTCAGCTGCGAACCCTTGTGCTAGGCACAAAACATTCATGGTCCTATGGGCACACTCCACAGAATACACACCACAGAAGATGCCATGTAAACACTGTCCCTGGAGTTGTGCAGTGCCATTACCCTGGGCTGCTTCCTCTCCTAAGAGCTGACTGTGCTGCAAATAGTCAGTTCCACTATAAGATGACTTATGTGTTCCTGAAAATCATTGTGCTATATAAAATTGTGTGATTAAAAATCACAGGGTAGGCCAGGTGTGGTGGCTCATGCCTGCCATCCCAGCACTTTGGGAGGCTGAGGCAGGTGGATCAGCTCAGGTCAGCAGTTCAAGACCAACCTGGACAACAAGATGAATCCCCATCTGTACTAAAAATACGAAATCAACCA
The DNA here is from genome assembly GCF_000001405.40 of Homo sapiens. NCBI lineage: Eukaryota > Metazoa > Chordata > Mammalia > Primates > Hominidae > Homo > Homo sapiens. The sequence goes on from NC_000009.12 coordinate 114,556,148, forward strand.
GGCATTGTGCACACCTGTAGTCCCAGCTACTTGGGAGGCTGAGACACAAGAATCTCTTGAACCCAGGAGGCGGAGGCTGTAGTGAGCCAAGATTGTGCCACTGCACTCCAGCCTAGGCAACAGAACAAGACTCTGTCTCAAAGTAAAATAAAATAAAATAAAATAAAATAAAATAAAATAAAATAAAATAAAATCATAGGGCTTATGGAAAAATGGAGTTAAGGCACACTCAAAAGCATTGTCAGTGACACATTAAAAGAAAGTTAGGAAACTAATAAAAATGGTAGCACAGTCTCACACATATTAGATGGTTAAGAAAGACATAAACGCCATACTATTGTTTGAATGTGTCCCCCAAATTTCATGTGTTGGAAACTGAATCCCCAAATGCAGCACTGTTGAGAAGTGGCACATTTTAGAGGTGATTAGGTCATGATGGCACTGCCCTAATGAATAGATTAATGCTATTATCACGGGACTGGGTTAGTTATTGTGGGAGTGGGTTCCTGATAAAAAGGATGAGTTCAGCGCCCTTCCCTTCTTTCTCTCTCTTTTTCACTCATGTGCTCTCTTGCCCTTCAGCATTTCACCATGGCATGATGCGGCATGAAGGCCCTTGCTAGAAGCCAGTGCCATTCTCTTGGACTTCCCAGCCTCCAGAACCGTGAGCCAAATAAATTTCTGTTGATTATAAATTACCCAGTTGGTGGTATTCTGTTGTAGCAACACAAAACGGACTAAGACACACTACAATAAATGTGGCAGTTTATCTTGAATAAAACCTGAAGTTTAAAGTTCAAGAAAGAGTGACAGCTTGTGAGATACTGTGCAGTGGCAGAAGTGTTACCAGAATGGAATCCCAATCCAGACCCCAAGAGAGGGTTCTTGGACCTTGTGCAAGAAACAATTTGGGGTGAGTCCATATAGTAAAGTAAAAGCAAGTTTATTAGAGAAGTAAAGAAACAAAAGAATGGTTACTACATAAGCAGAGCAGCCCCAAGGGCTGCTGGTTGGCTGTTTTTAATCATTATTTCTTAATTATATGCTAAACAAGGGATGGATTATTCATGAGTTTTCCAGGAAAGGGGTGGGAAATTCCCGGAACTGAGGGTTCCTCCCCTTTTTAGGTCATACAGACTAACTTCCTTTTTTTTTTTTTGACATGGAGTCTCCCTCTGTCACCCAGGCTAGAGTGCAGTGGCGTGATCTCAGCTCACTGCAAGCTCCGCCTCCTAGGTTCACACCATTCTCCTGCCTCAGCCTCCTGAGTAGCTGGGACTACAGGCGCCCGCCACCACACTTGGCTAATTTTTTGTATTTTTAGTGGAGACGGGGTTTGACCGTGTTAACCAGGATGGTCTCAATCTCCTGACCTCGTGATCCACCCACCTTGGCCTCCCAAAGTGCTGGGATTACAGGCGTGAGCCACCGTGCCCAGCCATAGGGACTAACTTCCTGATGTTGCCATGGCATTTGTAAACTGTCATGGCACTGGTGGGAGTGTCTCTTAGTAGTATAATAAGTGTATAATGAGCAGTGAGGACAACCAGAGGTCACTTTCATGGTCATTTTGGTTTTGGTGGGATTTGGCTAGATTCTCTACCACATGCTGTTTTCAAGCAAGGTCTTTGTGACCTGTGGCAACTTCCTATGTCATCCTGTGACTAAGAATGCCTAACCTCCTGGAAATGCAGCCCAGTATGTCTCAGCCTTATTTTACCCAGCCCCATATTCAAGATGGAGTCACTCCGGTTCAAATGCCTCTGACAGAAGGAGGGTCATCTGAAATCGGAACATCAGCTGTAACACCATTTGTAGGGAGGTATGGCTTATAACACACCCACCTGGAGAACTGAGACAGCTAGTAGGTGTTTGAAGTGTATGTATTTGTATGTTTTGTTGAATTCCTATTCAGCATTCCTGTGGATGCTGTTGAATTTTATTGGAGTCCTCTTATCCCGGAAGACAGCAATAGGTAAAGAAATCCTGTCACCCTTCTGTGTTCTGGAAACAGCTTACTACAAAGAGTGACACTTCACATGTGACTTAGATAAGCCTCATGGAAGCCCCCTTGTTAACCTATGACAAGGCCAGACACAGATCCTCCAAACTGCTGTTCTCATAAGCCTTGTAAAATGCTTAGCTGAACTGGTTTGCCCCACTGATCAATCAGAAACAAAATCCTTGTTAACTAAACTCAGGTTAAGCTCCTCTCTTTCCCTGAGGCTCCTGAGCCTTGGCCCACCCTCAACCTCAGCCAGCAGACAGCCCCTCCCTATGAGAGATCCTCCTGGGAGCAGGCTGACATTCTCTGATCTGCTCTATTTGATCACACACGGCCTTTTATCTTAGTGTTCACACTGGTTCTTTCTAGCCTTGTTTACTTCTCTCCATAAAAGAAAAACTGGTTTTGCCTAACCCTGGAGATGCTTACAAATCTCGTGGTTAAAGTGTTCTTTCTTTTGCAATAGTCCACTGACCTTTGTGAAAAATCTTCAAATAAAAGTTTTCTTACCTTGGTCTAGATTTGTTTTTCACTTGACACTGTATGGCTCAGTTCAGCTGGAAGCAGTTTTCTGTTTTCACCTAGTGTCCTGTGGATGAAATCACACGTAAACAAATGCAAAATTTGCATTATGCTCAAATTGTTCTTCAATATATCAATTGCATTGGAACAAATTTGCATTTTCAAAACAAATGTTAAAGCAGAACAGACTATAGATGTCTGGTCCAGACATTTTGAACCTCAGTGGTGGACACAAATTATTTACATGCCAGGGTCCCTGTTAACGTGACAGTTTTTTTTTTAACTTATGGAAAGAGAGATGCTAGGTGAGCGTTTTGGTACTTGGCAAAAATCCATGACATCTCAATCGTCTCTCACCCTTATCTTTGTCTTTAAGTAAATCCTTTATTTATTTATTTTGAGACGGAGTCTTGCTCTGTTGCCCAGGCTGGAGCGCAGTGGCACGATCTTGGCTCACTGCAACCTCCGCCTCCCAGGTTCAAGTGATTCTCCTGCCTCAGCCTCCCAAGTAGCTGGGACTACAGGCACCCACCACCATGCCCAGCTAATTTTTGTATTTTTAGTAGAGACGCGGGTTTCACCATATTGGCCAGGCTGGTCTTGAACTCCTGACCTTGTGATCTGCCTGCCTTGGCCTCCCAAAGTGCTGGGATTACAGGCATGAGCCACCATGCCTGGCAAAGTAAAACCTTTCTTCATGGGCTTCTTCTGAGAATTGACCTCAGATTCATACAAATGGTAGAAACTCAAGGTGAGAAGGAATTTAAAAATCGTGTACTCTGACATCTTCATCTTACAAAGAAAGAAAGCGATGTTGCTGACCATGAGCTCCCTGAGGCAGATCCTGGGCTAGATTCACATCTGAGACCCTCATGCCTAGCTCTAGACCTGGTACAATCAGGTACTCAGGTGTGTGTGCTGTTTTGAATCGAAATGAATTACCCAAAGGGAAAATAAATGAAGGGCACCCAAGAAGAGCTTGCTTCATGGGCTCTTTTTTTTTTTCTTAATGAGGGTTTCACTTTGTCGCCCAGGCTGGAGTGCAGTGGCATGACCATGGCTCACTGCAGCCTCAACCTCCTGAGTCCAAGCGATCCTCCTATCTCAGCCTCCCAAGTACCTGGAACCACAGGCACACACCACCACAACCGGCTAGGTTTTAATTTATTTCTTTTTACTTTGTAGAGACAAGATTCTCCCTATGTTGTCCAAGCTGGTCTTGAACTCCTGGACTCAAGCAATCCTCCCACCTCAGCCTCCCAAAGTGTTGGGATTACAGGCATGAGCCACTGTGCCTGATCAATGGCCTCTTGAATGACACCAACTGGTCAAAGTCTTCCTTCCAAAGCCAATCAACAATTCCCATTGTTGTCAGTCCCACCCTCCAGTTGTTTCCTAAACCACCAAAAATACAGAGCACCTTTGTGCTCAGGGAAGACTGAGTTGAACCTGTTTTCCCTCTTTGATTGTTTTTGGCTGTATCAAAGTGGGTGGTGTGGATTATAAATGGTCAGACTACACATTCTAAAATGTGACTCCTTTGAGAGTTTTTAATCTATCCTAGACACAGGCACAGCACGAAAAGAGAAAACATCCCAGCTTCATTAGGGGAAATTTATAGCTTGCCTAGGGTCACCATGGCAACCAAAAGACAGGAACTATTTGTAGATGCCAGTATCTGCAGAAGAGCTCAGGTAAGGGACGGAGCTACATTTACTGACAACAAACTATGCATCAGGTTGCTTAGCACCCATTGCTTTATTCAATCCTTAAAAACACATGTGAGATAGTGTTCTCCCATTCAGAACTGAGGAAATTGAGGCTCAGAGGCTGAAAGCCATTCATTGAAGACCACACAAGACTGATCTGAACTGAGGTCTGTCTGACTCTAAAGTCTCCATGAGTTGGGCCTTTTAAGATTGTGAGAGAAGCTGTGCTCAGGTTGAGGCAGATGGTGGAAATTGTTTTAAAAGTGCACAGATGGCCGGGCGCGGTGGCCCACGCCTGTGATCCCAGCACTTTGGGAGGCCGAGGCAGGTGGATCAGAAGGTCAGGAGTTCAAGACCAGCTTGACCAACATGGAGAAACCCTGCCTCTACTAAAAATATAAAAATTAGCTGGGAGTGGTGGCGCATGCCTGTAATCCCAGCTACTCAGGAGGCTGAGGCAGGAGAATCTCTTGAACCTGGGAGGCGGAGCTTGCAGTGAGCTGAGATCGTGCCACTGCACTCCAGCCTGGGCAATAGAGTGAGACTCCGTCTCAAAAAAAAAAAAAAAGTGCACAGACATATTGGCACCCTCAGGGAAGCGCATCAGTGGGATGGTATAGTCAGGACTCAGGAGGACACTATCCTCCCCCAGGATGCCACCATTCCCAAAAGCCAGCTCATTTGTTACTCTTCCTTTTTCCCACTTTAGTTTCTTCCTTCTGTGCTCCCTGAGAAAAAGTTGGGTTGCTTTCCTAACCATAATCACGTACAGGGCAGAGTTGTGGCCAACCACAATGGCTGTCTTGGGTCAAGGCTCATTCCTTGTCTAATCAGTTGAGTCTGGTGATTAGTATGGGTTCTCTCAGAAGAAAGGATTTGAATACAAGTTTGTCTTTGGAAGGTGCAGGGCAGACTGGTAGGTGAGTGTGGAAGTGACACAAAGACTGCCAGGCGCAGTGGCTCACACCTGTAATCCCAGAACTTTGGGAGGCCAAGGCAGGCAGATCACCTGAGGTCAGGAGGTCGAGACCAGCTTGGCCAACATGGCGAAAACCTGTCTCTACTAAAAATACAAAAAATTAGCCGGCTGTGGTGGTGGGCACCTGTAATCCCAGCTACTCGGGAGGCTGAGGCAGGAGAATCTCTTGAACCCAGGAAGCGGAGGTTGCAGTGAGCCAAGATGGTGTCACTGCACTCCAACCTGGGCGACAGAGCGAGACTCCGTCCCCCCACCAAAAAAAGAAGTGACACAAGAAGGGAAAGTGCGTTATTAAGCAAGCTACCATAGTGGGCAACTAGAGTTTACTTCCCTGGGGGGAAACCCACCATGAAACATATGCTTCAGAATTATCCCACCAAAAGGAGGAGGGAATAGATGTATTTATATACCAACTTCCTACTGTTACTGTTTGAAGGCTGCTCTCTGAGGATGCTAATTCCCAGACACTTTCACCCTCCCCTGTGTCTGGGAAGAGCCACCTTTCTCAGTTCTGCGGAAAATAAAAAAGCCTCTGGGCTAAGAGTCGTAAATACCGGAAGTTGGGAATGGGCTGGAGCCCACTAAAAGGTCACAGGGAAATAAGTGGAGCAATGACAGCTCTGCTACTTCAGGGCTACAGGTCACATGAGTAAAAGCATGGCAACCCGTGTGCAAGGATCTGCTGCCTCTGACCACTTGGCTCATGAATGAACTGAGGGAGTGGCAGACGCTGAGTGTGGTCTCGATTCTTCGGTCAACCCAAATAACAGAGAGAGAAGCTCTCCAAGAGAAAATGATGTTTGTTACTGAGGAATGAGCATTGCAATGGGAGTACAGGTGGGTATATTCGGGGAAGTAAAGGAAGACAATGATTGTTTTGTTTTGTTTTGTTTTTGAGACAGAGTTTCACTCTTGCCGCCCAGGCTGGAGTACAATGGTGCGATCTTGGCTCACTGCAACCTCCGCCTCCTGGGTTCAAGTGATTCTCCTGCCTCAGCCTCCCGAGTACCTGGAATTACAGGCATGTGCCACCACACGCGGCTAATTTTTTATTTTTATTTTTAGTACAGATGGGGTTTCGCCATGTTGGCCAGGCTGGTCTCGAACTCCTGACCTCAGGTGATCCACCCGCCTCGGCCTCCCAAAGTGCTGGGATTACAGGTGGGAGCCACCGCGCCCGGCCCGCAGAAGTAGTTTTTGTGGGCTATTGTAGCAACTTTTGTGCAAGGTTGTTTTTGTAGTCCCTTGTGACTGTTCTTGTTACCAGGTGCATGTGCACGAGATCCCCCCTTCGTGGCTTCATTTGTCAATTTGGTTTGACACAAGTGATTCCATTTTGATTCTGATAACTTTTGTACTTTTCTTTTTTGATCAAGATCTTTCTCTGAAAGCATCTTTGATTAATTATCTTTTGGTTAGCTTTTGACTGTCTGTTGGTGTGGAGGTAACCTGTCCTGAGTTGTTAGTCTGGTCCCACATCAGAAGGAATTAACTGGCAACTAGGAGTAAGTGTCAAAACCCTTTTAGCCACATTTGAGTAACAAGGGAGGTTTGGAGGGGGTGCCTGTCAGGCGAAGTCTATCTAGAGTCCATCGTCAAGTTTAATTTTGTCTGTTCCGTAGGCATTGGCTAGCATTCAAAGCCCTGGGACAGCATTATTGTTAGAAGTCCTACTGCTGCAGAAATTTAACAGACAACAGATACAAAGTTTAAAAAGGAAAACACAAAATATCACTGATACTACTATGATAATTTCAGCTTGCCTAATAGTTTTGAACCATGAACGAAGGTTTAAAGGCAACCGACTAATAAATCAAATGACTATGTCGAATTAGGTGAGACCTATTGCTTCCATGTGGCCTGTTTTCTTATTTTGTGTATTTGGGTCTCGACTTCCCCAGAGGAATTTATCTGAGTACAGCATGTAGTGTTAGCAATAGCACAGACACTGCCTTTTTCAGCTGGATAATCAAGAGCAATTCTATCATCTATTATCTCATGACTGGGTTGAGTTAAAGCAAAGAGTGACAGTTGTATTAGGGATTTTGTTAAAGTTACCTATTGGATGCACTAAAGGATTTTTTTTTTTTTAGGCTATGTAAATACTTAGGATTGGCATGACAGATACAACATTTGGTCAAGTTCCCTGCAGAAGCTGCTGAATGTGAAATTTTAATTACATCATTATTATGCCAAGTGAAAAAGTTAGGCATAAGCAAGGAAAAATTCAGAGGGGCAAGAGTCTCATTATGACGGGAAATCTTATTCCATCATTTTAGGAACAGCATGCCCACAGCATGAAGATGTCAACTGCTCATTCTGGTTTGTAGTTTAAATGTCTCTGGTTATGGCATTGGGTGGTTTGGTGAACTTTTGATGTGACCCACACATCAGGCGTGAGTCTTGACCCTTGAAATTTACATCAAGTTGTCTAACTTCAGCTTACAGGGCTTCAGGAAAGAGCAGTTCCCATTCTTAGTAATTCCATGGGAGAAAAGTGGATTGGAGGAACCTAGAAGAATTTAAGATCCAGTTCAATCCACAGGTAAATAAAAAAACTCAAACAAACAAACAAAAATACCCCACACAGGGTTACAATCTAATAACAGGTATAGTCTAGCTTTTCTTCAGAAACATAGAAACACGATTTTTCTTTCTACAGTCATTCTGATTTCTACCAAAGATAATCCGAGTAAGACTAATTTGTTGTTATTTGTGTTTTATCAAATTTGGCCTGATAAATTCACACAAGCACAGCAGAAATAGTAATTGACCACATAGGAATCTCAGATTTGACTTTTAAAAATTTCTCAAGGCTAGAAAGCTAATCTACGGCAGACTTCAGACTTTTTCTGCTATACCTATAAATAACTTAAAATATGACATTCCATTTAAAAGCCTGGTAACGTAACCAATGTTTCCAACTATACCTTGTTATTTAAAAAGCAGCTTCTAATTAAACTTATGCAGACAACTTCATTGCCATAAAAATTAAGCATACTCACAAATAGTTTCCAAATTTTGGAGGGACAGAGAAAAAGTAAGTGTTGCCAGTTTTGTTCACAAAAGTATACTTTACCAAATTGTTGTAAACTATAGATATCTTGAGAGAGAAAGTCTCCTTAAATCTGGAAAACAAAACATGTAAGTAAAAAACCAACAATGTTTCAAATATCTGTCTTCATTAGATATTTAATCTCATGTAATTAATTTTTGTTCTGTTTAATCTTAGTTGTCAGTTTCATGAATTTATCAGTTTCTTCATGGGGGTCCTGAATATCTTTATTTAGTCCATTGATCTTAAACTTATCAGAAACCCATATTCAGGAGTACTTGCCAGAGTCTTTTCCATGAATCTGATTGCAGATGCATTTAAAGAAGAATTAAAACTGTGGAAGACAGAGGCTTAAAACAGCCATGGTTAAAAATCTGATGAGAGTTCAGCAATTGACAAGGAAACTCAGTTATGTTTATTGCATACAGCATTTTAAGACAACAACCAGAAAAATGACTAACAGTATCACATTAGGACCATCAAACATTTATAAATTTTACATAATTTTTAGATCTTTCACATCAATAACATAGCCATATAAATATAACTTAGAGAAGACTTAGTGTCACTTTGTTATTTGATCCCATCTGTGCCTCCAACGCTTCTCATACAACTCAATACATCAAACAAGCCTAATTAGTTTAACAGCTCTACAAGCTGAAAAATACATTGTTTGAGGCTCTCCAGGAGCCCAACTAGAAAATCTCAAAGATAATTCTAGGTTGAAAAGACTTCATTTAGAACTCTGATATTGAGAAAGCTGGCCAAATATGTCAAAAAGTATAAAACATTTAATTAAAACAGAATTGCAGATCATAGTGAAATAATAGTTGTTCACTTAACAAGAGTGACTGAAGATTTCAAGGTCTGAGGGTGGCACATCTCACACACGAGTGTGAACACTCAGTCATCATCCTTATGAACTACAAAAGGATCGTGACTGAAGATTTTAAAAGTAAGCTGAGCATGATGGTGTGCACCTGTAGTCCCAGCAACTTGGAAGAATGAGGTGGGAGGATCCCTTAAGTGTAGAAGTCTCAGGCCAGACTGGACAACATAGTGAGACCCTATCTTAAAGAATAAAAATTCCAAAGGCAAATGCAGAAAGTTGCATGTATGTTTTATTAAAAAAAAAAAAAGGCTAAAGACTCAGTTTTCCTAAGTAATCAAAAACCTGGCCGGGTGCAGCAGCTCACGCCTGTAATCCCAGCACTTTGGGAGGCTGAGGTGGGTGGATCACGAGGTCAAGAGATCAAGACCATCCTGGCCGACATGGTGAAACCCCGTCTCTACTAAAAATACAAAAATTAGCCGGGTGTGGTGGCACACACCTGTAGTCCCAGCTACTCGGGAGGCTGATGCAGGAGAATCGTCTGAACCCGGTAGGTGGAGGTTGCAGTGAGCCAAGATCACGCCACCGCACCCCAGCCTGGCAACAGAGCTAGACTCTGTCTCAAAAACAACAACAACGACAACAACAAAAAACCAATAAAGACAGCATGAAGCACAGGAAATTACCTTGATAAAACACAGAATCTTTGTTTCCTAGACCAATTACCAAAAAATAAATACTCCTGCAGTGTAATTGCTTCTTATAGGAAGTCCTTTTAGATAATCTGAAAATCTAACCTAATGAAAAGGTACTTGAATTCAAATTGACACTGGATGAGTGTGTGTCCAAGGTTATGAGTATACACTATATTATAGAAGAAGTAAACAAAAAAAATAAGTACCTTGAGCAGGGAAACATATGGCTCTTAGAAAAAGTGAAAGCACATTAAGTTTCCTTGTTACATGGAATAATTCAGACATTTCAAGAAAAGCCAACAGCACAGAATCAAGTTATTCTTGGAGGAAAACATTGCTTTTCTAGACCTTTAAGACAAACATATCAGCATTAGGCCTCAACAGCAGAGTTAGAACCAGAGAAAATAAATGCAGAAGCTTACCAAAATGTCAAGGGAGTGAGTCATTAAGTTGATTAAGAAAAAAAAAAAGTGTGGCCGGGTACGGTGGTTCATGCCTGTAATTCCAGCACTTTGGGAGGCCGAGGCAGGTGGATCACGAGGTCAGGAGTTCGAGACCAGCCTGGCCAACACAGTGAAACCCCGTCTCTGTTAAAAATACAAAAATTAGCCGGGTGTGGTGTCATGCACCTGTAGTCCCAGCTACTCGGGAGGCTGAGGCAGGAGAATCGCTTGAACCCAGGAGGCGGAGGTTGCAGTGAGCCAAGACCATGCCATTACACTTCAGCCTGGGTGACGGAGTGAGAATCCGTCTCAAAAAAAAAAAAAAAAAGTGTGCCTTCTTAAGGGGAGAAGGAGGAAGAGCAGAAGGCAATGGTGTATGACCTGCAAATCATGTGCAATGAGGTGCAGCAGAAGTTGAGCTTCTGAGACATAAATCTGAAAATCTTCAAGAGAAAGACTCTATTTTGAGAAAGTAACTTACTAATTTAAAAGATAGCATTCTAAACCTAGAATTAGGGAAATTAAACAGAAACCATAAAACAGGAAGAGGTTATAGTTCAGAAGATGGTAAAAAATTTAAAGAATCAGATTTCAGGGTTTTTGTTTGTTTGTTTTTTTAGAGATAGGGTCTTATTATGTTGCCCAGGCTGGAGTACAGTGGTACCATCATAGCTCACTGCAGACTCAAACTCCTGAGCTCAACTGATCCTCCCACCTCAGCCTCCTGAGAAGGTTGGGGGGTGGGGGAGGAACTAAAAGTGTGCACCATCATACCTGGCTAATTTTTAATTTTTTTTGGTAGAGATTGGGGTCTCATGATATTGTCTAAGCTGGTCTCAAACTCATGGCCTCAAGCAATCCTCCTGCCTCGGCCTCCCAAAGCACCAGGATTACAGGTGTGAGTCACCACATCCAGCCAGATTTCAGAATTAAAAACCAAAACCTGTGGTAATTTTTTTTTTAACTAAGAGCAATGATACTCCAGGAAACCCTTGCTGCTTTAAACATAGAGAACTAGTTTTGGGTTTTGTATCAGTATATTCAATTTTCAGAAAAATTTATAAACAATTTCCTTCTAAATTTAGCCAACTTGATTACATACAAAATTTATTTCATAAGATTCATGTTTCACAAACCTTTTGCAAGTTGCTCAAACCTCTTATGGCTTGCTTAGGCCTAATTTTGTTTTAGACTTTCTTTTTTAATATTGGAACAAATAATTATTCTACCTTAGGACAAAAATTTGCTTTTCTTTTTCTTTATCATTTTTACCACACAAGATTCTTTCTCATACAAAGTTATGTATCTTTTTCATCTTTCTTACCAAAGATACCTTCTCATATTTATAATTTTCTTTGCATGTCTCTTCCTACTTATTGATTTCTTTGCCTTGTTTTTATTTTCTTCTTAAATCTATATTTTGAAACCACCTTTAAATAATGTCTGAATTAGATATAATTATTATTTTTAAATTAAAAACATATATTCATGTTCTTTTTTAAAACAATTTTTTACTGGCTAGGTGCAGTGGCTCACATCTATAATCCCAACACTTTGGGAGGCTGAGGCAGGAGAACTGCTTGAGCTCAGGAGTTTGAGACTAGCCTGAGTAACATAGCAAGACTCCATCACTACAAAAAAAAAATTTAAACAATATTAAAGTAGCCTTATTCATCAAAGAATTACACAAAGATAATTTTGCTTTTAAGGCTGGATTTGTGGGTCTATGACCTTAGAACATCTAGCGGAGACAAATATAGAACTTTCTGACCAGTAAACTCAGGCAAAAATTTATGCTAAGAATTCTGAAGACATTTTTATTTTTATTTTACCAACAATTTTTTTTTTCTTTTCTTTTTTGAGGTGGAGTTTCACTCTGTCACCAAGGCTTGAGTGCAATAGCACGATCTCAGCTCACCGCAACCTTCACCTCCCAGGTTCAAGTGATTCTCCTGCCTCAGCCACCTGAGTAGCTGGGATCACAGGTGTGTGCCACCATGCCCAGCTAATTTTTGTATTTTTAGTAGAGTTGGGGTTTCACTATGTTGACCAGGCTGGTCTCAAACTCCTGACCTCAAGTGATCTGCCCACCTCGGCCTCCCATAGTGCTGGGATTACAGGTGTGAGCCACCATGTCCAGCCTATTTTACCAACAATTTTAAGATTAGTTTACTTACAAAAGATTTACCCACCAGGCGTGGTGGCTCACGCCTGTAATCTCAGCACTTTGGGAGGCTGAAGCAGGCGGATCACGAGATCAGGAGTTCGAGACCAGCTTGGCCAACATGGTGAAACCCTGTCTCTACTAAAAATACAAAAAATAAGCCAGGAGTGGTGGCGCATGCCTGTAATCCCAGCTACTCGGGAGGCTGAGGCAGGAGAATCACTTGAACCCAGGAGACGGAGGTTGTGGTGAGCAAAGATTGTGCCACTGCACTCCAGCCTGGGTGACAGAGCAAGACTCCATATCAGAAAAAAAAAAAAAGTATAGATTTATGTTCATGTGAACTTAAAAGCATTTGTGTTAATTACTATATTTCTAATAAATTACTTTTTAAGCACTTAATTATTTTCCTTCAAGCCAATTAGAGATCTCTGTAAATTTAAAATAATATACATAAAATATGTAGACACAAAAACGTAAAAACATATAGATGAAGAAAAACAAAAAAATTATAGTTTTTACTTTAAAATTCTAATCATCACACAGTAAAACAGTAATAAACTTGTCAGCTTATAAAAATACAGTTGGATCCAAATTATATCCCTAACAAAATGGGACAAGTTAGGGTCATGTTCATATGGCTAAACTTGAAAATTTTTATTTGTCCTGAGATGTAATATTATGAAGGCTGTGAACCAAATTTTGGGCAGTTTCCATAGCACTTTGGTTTTAAAAAGGCTTTTTTTTTTTAACCTTCTCCCCCCCTTTTTTCAGTTTCAAATGAGTTGTTCTAGTGAACTCTTGGATGTTTATATTTCATTTAGGGGTTGGAGGAAAAATGAAAAGCTCCAAGCAGCCTTTAGTGAAAGATTTATCTTGGCTGGGCGCGGTGGCTCACGCCTGTAATCCCAGCACTTTGGGAGGCAGAGGCAGACGGATCACAAGGTCAGGAGATCAAGACCATCCTGTGAATGGTGAAACCCCGTCTCTACTAAAAATACAAAAAATTAGCCGGGCGTGGTGGCGGGCGCCTGTAGTCCCAGCTACTCGGGAGGCTGAGGCGGGAGAATGGCGTGGACCCGGGAGGCGGAGCTTGCAGTGAGCCGAGATTGCGCCACTGCGCTCCAGCCTGGGCGACAGAGCGAGACTCCGTCTCAAAAAAAAAAAAAAAAAAAGATTTATCTTAATACAAGTGAAAAAATTAGCAGATTCAGAATAAACAACAACAACAAAAGTACATAGAGCGATCAGAAGCCTCTTCATGCATCCAACGTTTAGACTGCTTAACTCTGTAGTTGAGGTTTTCTGAGAAAAACAAGTTTAGAAAATTCAAATAATTCCCATAATGGCCATAAATTATCCTTGGTATAGATTGCCCATCAGTTTAAAAATGTGCATGAGATTAGGCCATCAATTTTGAATATCTTTCCAGCTGGAATGCCATCCCAGAAAGTCTGGCATGCCTAGAATTTTGAGAATCCTGTCCAATTTTTTATTAATCTTTTGAGAGCAGAAGAAACCCCTATAAGCCCTGCTGGGAATGTCAGGGGCTTGGACCCGTGTTTTTTTTTTTTTACAGTGTACCTGGCACAGAATACTTTTTTTATACCTGGCAGATGGCCTTTATCCGAAGTTGTCCAACCTGTGACCAAGTTTTTCCTAGTCACATGGCAATTTTCTTGAGACTGGCAGGCACCCCAGTAATAATCATACCTGTTTATCTTAACATGGGAGACTTTTTCTTCAGGGACAAGAGTCCCTCATAGATGGTGGCAACTACCCTAGTGGCTTTTATTTTTTATTATTTTGAGACGGAGTTTCGCTCATGTTGCCCAGGCTGAAGTGCAACGGCACGATCTCGGCTCACTGCAACCTTCATTTCCTGGGTTCAAACGATTCTCCTGTCTCAGCCTCCCGAGTAGCTGGGATTACAGGCATGCACCACCACACCTGGCTAATATCGTATTTTTAGTAGAGATGGGGTTTTGCCATGTTGGCCAGGCTGGTCTTGAACTCCTGATCAGGTGATCTGCCCGCCTCGGCCTCGCAAAGCGCTGGGATTACAGGCCTGAGTCACCACGCCCAGCCCCTAGTGGCTTTTCATTGGCCCACCTGTGCCCACCACTTAGAATGTTTATTTTTTGCCCTCAGAAAATGTTCAGAAACAAGCAGGGAAAAATAAAAGAACCCCCAAATCATTTGCAGATACACGTAACCAATCCAAAATGATATCAAAGTAAGACAGCCTCAAAAATTTTAAGCCAGGTGTGTGGACCACAGGAAATATTATATCAGGCATGCAGAAAAAAACAAAAGAGAATTCACCGGAAAAGGGGTGCCTCACAGAGAGAACATAAATTCTGTACAAACCAGACTTTGCTCTGTGATGATGCTATCCTCATAGGACGTGCTTGCCAGAAAAGACAAAAGCCTTTTATAGTCCCAAGAAGGATGCAAGGTCATTTATTAAGGAGGTCTTGGCCGGGCGCAGTGGCTCATGCCTATAATCCCAGTACTTTGGGAGGCTGAGGCGGGTGGATCCCTTGAGGTCAGGAGTTCGAGACCAGTCTGACAAACATGGTGAAACCCCATCTCTACTAAAAATACAAAATTAACCAGGAATGGTGGCGCATGCCTGTAATGCCAGCTACTTGGTTGGCTGAGGCAGGAAAATCGCTTGAGCCTGGGAGGTACAGGTTGCAGTAAGCTGAGATCGTGCCATTGCACTTCAGCCTGGGGAACAAGAATGAAAGTCCATCTCAAAAAAAAAAAAAAAAAAGGCCTTATTACCAGACCAGACCCCAAATAAAGTCAAAGAGCTTCTACAAAAAAAGAGGGAGGTTCAGCCTGAGAGAAGACTCACCAGAGGCTGGGCATGGTGGCTCATGCTTGTAATCCCAGCACTTTGGGAGGTTGAGGTGGGTGGATCACTTGAGCCCTGTGGAAACATAGAGAAACCCTGTCTCTACAAAAAAATACAAAAATTAGCCAGTTGTGGCGGTATACACCTGTAGTCCTAGCTACTTGGCAGACTGAATAGGGAGGATGGCTTGAGCCCAAGAGGCAGCAGTTGCAGTGAGCCAAGATTACATTACTCAAGGTGATCTTGACGTAGGTCTCACTTCTAACTCTAAGTCAGGGGTGTCCAATCTTTTTCTCTTCCCTGGGCCACATCGGAAGAAGAAGAATTGTCTTGGGCCACACATGAAATACACTAACACTAACAATAGCTGATAAGGTAAAAAAAAAATTGCAAAAAAATCTTGCAATGTTTTAAGAAAGTTCACGAATTTGTGTTGGGCCACATTCAAAGCTGCATACATGCGTGATGAGAACTCTCCCTTCATGGCCTTCCCCAGCCATATGTTTGGGTTTGACACAAGTAACTCCATTTGGATTCTGAAAACTTTCACACTTCTTTTTGTTTTGAGATGGAGTCTCGCTCCGTTGCCCAGGCTGGAGTGCAATAGCACGATCTTGGCTCACTGCAACCTCTGCCCCCCAGGTTCAAGCGATTCTCCTGCCTCAGCTTCCCAAGTAGCTGGGATTACAAGCGCCTGCCACCACACCCGGCTAAATTTTGTATTTTTAGTAGAATCGAGGTTTCGCTATGCTGGCCAGGCTGGTCAAACTCCCGATCTCAGGCGATCTGCCCGCCTCAGCCTCCAAAAGTGCTGGGATTAGAGGTGTGAGCCACCGTGCCCGACCTAACTTTCACACTTCTTATAGTAAAAGAAGAAAAAAAACTCTGCTCACATCATTTTTTACTTCTGACACCAAATGTGTGTGGGGTTTTCCTTCACTTTAAACAATTTAACAGCTCTCTGGCCACCATCTGGGTGTCTTACAATACAGTTATGACGCTATCCACCTAGAGTCAGACCTTAACCACAGGTTAAGGTCTCAGTCCCAGCAGACTGTCCCCTACTTCAGATATCAGTTGAAAGTAGTGAGTTCCCAAGTTACTCACTCCTCTGTCCAACGTGGCTACAACGTTTCACCAACTTCACCAACTTGGAAGCTCTCTGAACCTTTTGTTTTTTATTTATTATTTATTATTATTATTTTTTTTTTGAGATGGAGTCTTGCTCTGTCACCCAGGCTGGAGTGCAGTGGCGTGATCTCGGCTCACTGCAACCTCTGCCTCCTGGGTTCAAGCGATTGATTCTTTAGCCTCAGCCTCCCGAGTAGCTGGGACTACAGGTGTGCACCACCATGCCTGGCTAATTTTTATATTTTTAGTAGAGATGGGGTTTCACCATATTGGCCAGGCTGGTCTTGAACTCCTGACCTCGTGATCTGCCTCGGCCTCCCAAAGTGCTGGGATTACAGGAGTGAGCCTCCGTGCCCGGCCTGATGCCATTTCAAACAAGGACCTTTTCATTGATGTTTAGTATGAGAGATTCTTGGGACCTGAGATCTTTTTTTTTTTTTTTAAATCCAGAGTTTGCTAATCCAGACTTCACACAACCTACCCCGGAAGTTGTAGATGAAGTAATTCAGGATTGTCCTGTGAATGTCAGACATCTTCCCTGCAAGAATATTGTCCTCTCTGGTGGTTCAACTATGTTCAGGTACTTTGAATATTGCTTATGAGAGATTTGAACTCTAAGATGCCAGGAATTAAGTGAGGAATTGAGTAGCAGTAGATTGAGGCCAAAACCTATTGATACACAAATCACTACACAACACATGTAGCAATACAGTCTGATTTGGAGGATACATGCTGGCGTCTATGAGTACGCCATGCCAAAAAGGATTATGAAGAAACTGGACCTAGCATTTCTCATCACAATCCAGTGTTTGGAGTCCTGTCATAAAACTGACCTCATAGTTATTGGGGTTAGAGAGGTGGGGAAGAGATCAGCTTTCTGATTACCTGTTTTTTCTGGATGGCTGGTTTTGAGGTTTTATACCTGGCTGGAGGCTGGGTGCAGTGGCTCAGGCCTGTAATCCCAGCACTTTGGGAGGCTGAGGCAGGTGTATCACCTGAGGTCAGGAGTTCGAGACCTGGCCAACATGGCGAAACCTCATCTCTACTAAAAATACAAAAATTAGCCAGGCGTGATGGCGCACACCTGTAATCCCAGCTACTCTGGAGGCTGAGGCAGGAGAATTGCTTGAACCTGGGAGACAGAGGTTGCGGTGAGCCGAGATCATGCCACTGCACTCCAGCCTGGGCAATGAGTGAGACTCCGTCTCAAGAAAAAAAACAAACAAAAAAAACTGGCTGGAAACAGTAAGATTAAACATGATCATACAGGCGTATTTTTGTAAGTATACCACCATGCAGATGTAGAAGACAGCGAAAATGATTAAGTGTATTTCTTCAGACAGAATATTTGAATTTTATGTGTAACAAAAAAAAAGTGGGTTTTAGTTCTTTCTGAGCCTTGATATTTTTAAGGAATTGTTTAAGATTTGATGGGTTTTTTTTTTTTTTGGTGTGTAGATAGTTCCATGATGCTTGAATTGCACACACCTCTACATGTGCAATGCAAAAGCTTGTTTATATTTCATACTGTTTATACTTTGAGAAAAAAATTAAAAGAAAACCTGTGATATTTGAAGGGGGGAAGTGACCAAGTAAAGGATAAATTTTTAAAAATAGACTTATGAGGGCCAGATGCGGTGGCTCATGCCTGTAACCCCAGCACTTTGGGAGGCCGAGGTGGGCAAATCACGAAGTCAAGAGATCGAGACCAGCCTGATCAACATGGTGAAACCCCGTCTCTACTAAAAATATAAAAATTAGGTGGGCATGGTGGCGGGCACTTGCAATCCCAGCTACTCGGGAGGCTGAGGCAGGAGAATTGTTTGAACCTGGGAAGCAGAGGTTGCAGCGAGCCAAGATTGCTCCACTGCACTCCAGCCTGGGTGACAGAGAGAGACTGCCTCAAAAAAAAAAAAAAGAGACAAAATGCA
This sequence comes from Homo sapiens, assembly GCF_000001405.40. Taxonomy (NCBI): domain Eukaryota; kingdom Metazoa; phylum Chordata; class Mammalia; order Primates; family Hominidae; genus Homo; species Homo sapiens. The sequence continues at coordinate 114,574,477 of NC_000009.12, forward strand.
TAGGAAAATTAAGGATAAGATTTTATTAAGGCTATTGCAATAGGGAGAGCCATCTAGATGTGAAGATCAAAGTATTCTGGCAAAGTAGCTTTGCCTTAGACCTTTATAGTTAGGAATGGGCAAGTCACAGTTGCATAAGGAACAGTTAGAATGGTTTTGCAATCAGGGGAAGTCTCTACCAGCTGAACAGAAAATGTTTACTTTTGTCTCTAGTTTCAGGGGGACAGGCAATTCTAATCTTAATTGCTCATGAAAAAAGGAACTCGAAGTTGAAGGGTCTGCATTTGACCTTGTCACAAATACCTGGAAGTCATCTGTGAATCCTATAGAAGGGAGTCTTATCTAAATTAGTGGAGCCTGGAGCAGTGGCTCACACCTGTAATCCCAGCACTTTGGTAGTTCCAAGGTGGGCAAATCACCTGAGGTCAGGAGTTTGAGACCAGCTTGGCCAGCATGGTGAAACCACATCTCTACTAAAAATACAAAAATTAGCTGGGCATGGTGGCACACACCTGTAATCCCAGCTATTCAGAAGGCTGAGGCAGGAGAATCGCTTCAACCCAGGAAGCAGAGGTTGCAGGTTGCAGCCAGCCGAGATCGCTCCACTGCACTCCAGGCTGGGTGACAAGAGTGAAACTCCATCTCAAAAAAAAAAAAAAAAAAAAAGAGAGACCTCCATCTCTACAAAAAATTAAAAAGTTAGCCAGGTGTCCCAGCTACTTGGGGGCAGAGGTGGGAGGATTACTTGATCCTGGGAGGTAGAGCCTACAGTGAGCTATGAATGCACCACTGCACTCCAGCCTGGGCAACAAAGTGAGACCCTGTCTCAAAACAAAAACAAAAACAAAAAACAAACATAGAAGAAAAAGAAATAATTAATTAATTAATTAATGGGAGGAGCCAGTGGTTCTTACAGGTAAGCAATTTCCAGGAACACAAAAGGATGAGGGGAGTGTGAAAAACAAAAGGTTGGGAGATGTCTTAACTCTTGCCGTTTTCCAGGAGCATAGGGCTTAGGTAAAGTTCAACGTTGTTAATCTCATGAAAAAAGTGTGAAAATTAAACAAAAAGGGGCACACACACATAGGCTCTGGCTCCCTGCATCGGAGATGCCAGAAAGAGCAATCTCTTAAAAGGCATTCCTGCCATTCTCCTGCTGCCCTCCCATTGCTTGCTTGCTTGCTTGATTTATTTACTTTATTTATTTATTTGTTTATGATGGAGCCTCACTCTGTTGCCCAGTCTGGAGTGCGTGGCACTATCTTGGCTCACTGCAACCTCCACCTCTCGGGTTCAAGCAATTCTCCTGCCTTGGCTTCCTAAGCAGCTGGGATTACAGGCGCCTGCCACCATACCCAGCTAATTTTTGTATTTTTAGTAGAGACATATTTCATCATATTGGCCAGGCTGGTCTCACCTCCTGACTTCAGGTATCTGCCCACCTCAGCCTCCCAAAGTGTTGTGATTAGCAGTGTGAGCCACTGCACCTGGCCCCCATTGCTTTGAGATAAAGGCCAAAGTCCTTAGCAAGGCCTCCAGGCCCCACTGAGCTGGCCCCTGCCTACTTCTCCGGCCTCACCTCAGGGCCTTCTTCCCCTCTGTCTGTGCACTCCAGCTTCACTGCTCTTTCTGGAACACTCCATTCTCTCTTTTGCCTCAGGGCTTTTACTCAAGTTGTTCTTTCTGCCTCAAAAGCTCTCCAACCCTCCTAACCTCAAACCCTACCCCAATGTGGACACCTCAAGCTTGGTTAGTTACCTCTTCCTCATTCTTCAGTCTATATTGTCACCTGAAGAGTGATGAGGGTCACAAATTTCGAAGGCAGGGTTCTATTTCTCATAAAGGGTTGCAGCCTGCAAGTTGGGCCATTCTTTTTTTTTCTTTTTGTGACGGAGTTTCGTGCTTGTTGCCCAGGCTGGAGTGCAGTGGGGCAATGGGGCGATCTCAGCTCACTGCAACCTGTGCCTCCCAGGTTCAAGCGATTCTCCTGCCTCAGCCTCCCCAGTAGCTGGGATTACAGGCACCCGCCACCACGCCTGGCTAATTTTTGTATTTTTAGTAGAGACGAAGTTTCACCATGTTGGCCAGGCTGGTCTCGAACTCCTAACCTCAGGTGATCCACAAGGTGGCCATTCTGACAGGTTGGGAAGCATAGCCTGTGACAGAAGATGGGGAACAGGAGCTTCAAGAATGGGAAGTGTAGAGGCCGGTGCAGTGGCTCACGCCTGTAATCCCAGCACTTTGGGAGGCTGAGGCGGGTGGATCACGGGGTCAAGAGATCGAGACCCTCCTGGCCAACATGGTGAAACGCTGTCTCTATTAAAAAATACAAAAATTAGCTGGGCATAGTGGTGCATGCCTGTAGTCCCAGCTACTCAAGAGGCTGAGGCAGGAGAATCGCTTGAATCCAGGAGGCAGAGGTTGCAGTGAGCTGAGATCATACCATTGCATGCCAGCCTGGTGACAGACCGTGACTCTGTCTTCAAAAAAAAAAAGAATGGGAAGTGTAAAACAGAAATTTATGCTGAGCTGGTTGGCTGAGTATACATACGCAGTAAGCTATAGAAGGACTCATGAATATTTATGAAACAAGAAACATGCACATGTACAATTGAACTTCATGCCTCTTCATGGGTTGCATGTTCCAAAAACTGCGACATTAGCATGATCTGAGGGAGGTGTTTTCAGCCCTCTGATGTCAAAAGGTGAAGCAGAGGACACAGAGCTCACTGTCCCTCACTGCAGCCTCTATACCCTGCCCAGAACTGCTCTATGGTTGGTGACCTCTTAACAGGAAGGAGTGCTGGTCAGTTGCTGTGTGGAAACTGCAAAAGAGACGGGGAGTCTGGTCACGGCCTCAGGTGATTGACTAGAGGTGATAAAGGAATGAATTCTTTGTTTCTTGTTTCCTTTTTTTCTGTATTAATGTTATTTTTAAAATTTTTCTGTAGAGACAGGATCTCACTATGTTGCCCAGGCTGGTCATGAACTCCTGAGCTCAAGCAATCCTCCCAGCTAAGCCTCCCAAAGTGCTGAGATTACAGGTGTGAGCCACCACGCCTCATCTGTTTCTTGTTTTCTAGAGCTGCTCTCTGCTTATTCCTTAGGAAAGAATTCTGGCTGAGGTTAGTAAGGAAGGGGCCTCCTGAGGTGTGTCTGACCTCCTGTCCCAACATGACTGGGAGCTCAGCATTTAAAGATTTTCTGGGATCCGGTTGGCCAAGAGGGGGCCCATTCAGTTGGCTGGGAGGTTTAGGATTTTATTTTTATTTCTCATGATCAAGTTACTTTGTTAAAAAACCCTTGGATATCAAAATTCTGTTTTCTAGAGTAGCATCAACAGAAATATAATGCATACCACATGAGTAGTAATAAATTTTCCTGTTGGGCACATTTTTAAAAGTAAAGAGAAAAAGTAAAATAGATTTTTTTTGTTTTAACAATGTTTTATTTTTAATTGTAGTAAAATATAATATAAAAGTTATCATCCTGACCATTTTTAAGTGTACAGTTCAGTAACATTAACTGCATTCATATAGTTGTGGGATTAAACTCCAGAACATTTTCATCTTACAGAACAGAAACTGTCTACATATTAAACAACCCCTGATTCCTTTCTTCCCTACTCCCCCATCACCCGCCTTGCTCCTGGCAACCACCATTCTACTTTCTGTCTCTATAAGTTTGACAATGCTAGGAACCTCTTATAAATGGATTAATACAGTATTTGTCCTTTTGTGACTGGCTCATTTCACTTAGCAGAATGTTCTATTGTATGCATATATGTATATATATGTAGCTATCGAGCGCTTGAAATATAATAAATATTATTATATACATATATTGTGTTTAAATGTTAAATATATTATTTACATAATATAAATATAATATTAAACAATATCTGTAATAATTTTTTTTTTTTTGAGACAGAGTCCTGCTCTGTCACCCAGGCTGGAGTGCAGTGGCACCATCTCAGCTCACTGTAACCTCCGCCTCCCGGGTTCAAGTGATTCTCTTGCCTCAGCCTCCTGAGTAGCTAGGATTACAGGCGCACACCACCATGCCCGGCTAATTTTTTTATATTTTCAGTAGAGATGGGGTTTTGCCATGTTGGCCAGGCTGGTCTCAAATGCCTGACCTCAGGTGATCCGCCTGCTTTGGCCTCCCAAAGTGCTGGGTTTACAGGCATGAGTCACTGCACCCAACCTAAGAGTTTAAATATCTTAAATTTAAATATCTTTAAATATCCTAAATAAATTAAACACTTCATTCCATAAAATAGAATAAGTGTTCCAATGAGCCGAGCAGAGTCTCCTGACCTCGTGATCCACCCACCTCGGACTTCCAAAGTGCTGGGATTACAGGTGTGAGCCACCGCGCCTGGCGGATTGGTCATTTCAAAGTTCTCCTCTGCAAGGCAGGCACAAGGAAACAGAACTATAGAGAAATAAGTGATTGTTTTTTAAATTTCCTTTTCCTGTTTTTTTTTTAATTTAAAAACAATTTTTAGACTTCTACTTTTTATTTTATTTTTTTAGAGAGACAGAGTTTTGCTCTGTTGCTCAGGCTAGAGTGCAAGACTGGAGGCAAGACTGGGCTAAAATCCAGCCCATACTGTGACCATTTGGCCCAGAAGGTGCATCTTTTTAAATTTTTTTTTTTTTGAGACGGAGTCTTGCTCTGTCGCCCAGGCTGGAGGCCAGTGGCGCGATCTCGGCTCACTGCAAGCTCCGCCTACCAGGTTCACGCCATTCTCCTGCCTCAGCCTCCCGAGTAGCTGGGACTACAGGTGCCCGCCACCACGTCTGGCTAATTTTTTCTATTTTTAGTAGAGATGGGATTTCACTGTGTTAGCTAGGATGGTCTCGATCTCCTGACCTCGTGATCCATTTTAATTTTTTAATTTTAAAAAATTTTTGAGACAGAATCTTGCTCTGTCACCCAGGCTGGGGCACAGTGGCATTATTTCCGCTCACCGCAACCTCCGCCTCCCAGATTGAAGTGATTCTCGTGCCTCAGCCTCCCAAGTAGCTGGGATTGCAGGTGTGCACCACCACACCTGGCTAATTTTTGTATTTTTAGTAGAGATGTGTTTTGCCATGTTGGCCAGGCTGGTCTCAAATTCCTGAGCTCAAGCGATCCTCTTGCCTCGTCCTCCCAAAGTGCTGGGATTGCAAGTGTGAGCCACCACACCCAGCCACAATTACCTCTTGAAGCCACTTGCTACATAGTCTCTAGATCAACTGATGCCAAGTAGTCACCAAATGCCATATGCTGGATGCCATATCCCATACCCTATAGCTCAACGATGTCTAGCTGTTATAGTAGCTAGTCAGGCACACATGAGAAGACTAGACTGCAGTGGCTCGATCATATGGTAAACTATATATATACATAGCCATTCTTTTGGTCTAAGCTTCTGTACTAGGCCCCAGCAGACCAGACTAAAAATCAAAATGGAATCACTCAGGCTGAGGTTTCCATGCCACCAAACCAAAACTAATTTGTTATCTGACCTTCCCATAAATCAAGAGAGAGATAACAGCCTAACTTCCTGAACAGGCCAGTTTCAATTGGCATGATAATGAAGTTCTCTCTGCTTTAATCCTTAACAAAAAAGTAAACTGAGGTAAACTGATGTTAACCAATCACTTGGTTGGGCATGGTGGCTCATGCCTGTATCCCAGCACTTTGGGAGGCCAAGGCAGGTAGATCCCTTGTGTCCAGGAGTTTGAGACCAGCCTGGGCAATATGACAAAAGTACGTCTCTACAAAAAATACAAAAATTAGCTGGGTGTGGTGGTGCACACCTGTAGTTCCAGCTAATCAGGAAGTTAAGGTGGGAAGATGGCTTAAGCCCAGGTGGTCAAAGCTGCAGTGAGCCAAGATCACGCCACTTGTCACACCTAGTGCCAGGGAAAGGCAGTCTCCCAGTAGTTAGAAAAACCAGATACTAGTGATGAACAGCCTTCCAAGTTGGGTGAGTGGGCTCAGACATTCACACTAAGAGGCAAAATGGCAGAGTTTAACTGGTATATGACCTTCTAAGAGTATTTGACTAAGGGAAGAATGCCTCAAGTGAGCATGCATATAACTCCCGTAAACACGCTGCGCACGCAGCCCCTCTGAAATGCTGGCAGGCCACTGTACATGCGGACAGCCCACTCCAAGGGAAGAAGAATCAGGAGAGAAGTAATGCAAGACCCCAGAAAAATGCCAACATATAAAACCTCAAGTCAAAGGTCAAACTACACATTTGATCTCTCAAGTCACCCACTTGGCCCTCTTCCAAGTGGACTTTCCTTCCTTTCATTCCCACTCTAAAGCTTTTTAATAAACTTTCACTCCTGCTCTAAAACTTGCCTCAGTCTCTCACTTTGCCTTATGCCCCTGGGTCAAATTCTTTCTTCTGATGAGGCAAGAATTGAGGTTGCTGCAGAACCCTACAGATTCACTGATTCACCGCTACTAACATAGCCAGTTGCTAACCAATGTCATCTCTGTAAACCAGTGAGAATTCCTGTCAAACAACTTTGCATCAGCCCACTTCTTGCTTTTAAAACCCTGTTTAATAACAAAGGCCAAACAAAGCACTCTCCCAGTCAACTTGGAAGTGTGTCCTGGGCTGGAGTCCTCAAACTCTGCCCAAATAAATTCTCTGTATTAATTTTGCCTTAGTTTCTTTCTTTAGGTGGACAGGATGTTGAGAATTAATGGATGTTGAGAATTAATGCATAGCTAACCCTTCCTCTCCCTTGATTTATATGGAAGATAATTACTGTTAAGTAAAAATTATAGACGAGCCAGTCATGGTGGCTCACCACTGCAATCCCAGCTCTTTGGGAGGCCGAGGCGAGAGGATCGCTTGAGCCCAGGAGTTCAAGACCAGCCTGGCCAACATGGCAAAACCCGTCTCTACTAAAAATACAAAAATTAGCCAGATGTGATGGTTTACACTTGTAATCCCAGCTACTTGGGAGGCTAAGGCATGAGAATTGCTTGAATCTGTGAGGTGGAGGTTGCAGTGAGCAGAGATCACGCCACAGCACTCCAGCCTGGGTGACAGAGCAAGACTCTGTCTTAAAAATTAAAAAATAAATAAATTAATTTAAAAAATAAAATTAAAAAGATGCTCCTTCTGGGTCAAATGGTCCGGGTATGGGCTGGAATTTAGCCCAGTCTTGCCTCCTTATGCAGTAAACAGCCTATCCCACCATTTGCAGTGGCACTGCAGAGTCTCTGGAAGGAGTCCCCTTGTCTAAGGTGACCTTTCATTGACCAGATACACTAGGTCATTTCTTATCTTCTGTGGTGAAGTCCCCAAAAGCCAGTGGGAACTCGACCCCTGCTGGTGTCCAGGTTTTGTCACTGTCATGAGAAGGAATTCAAGGACTAGCAGAAAAATAGTGAAAGTACTGAGATTTATTGCAAAGTGCAGAGTACACACTCAAGAAAGGGAGGTGCAGGTGTTCTCAAGACAGAGAGCTATGCCATCGGGTTTGGGGTTTCTATCTTTATGGGTTTCCTTAGCCAAGGGGCAGAATATTCATGAAGGTTCCTGGAAAAAGGTGAAGATTTCTCAGAACTGTTGCTGCCCATTTTTTTTTTTTTTTTTTTTGAGACGGAGTCTCGCTCTGTCACCCAGGCTGGAGTGTAGTGGCGCGATCTCGTCTCACTGCAAGCTCCGCCTCCCGGGTTCACGCCATTCTCCTGCCTCAGCCTCCCGAGTAGCTGGGACTACAGGCGCCTGCCACCACGCCCGGCTAATGTTTTGTATTTTTAGTAGAGACGGGGTTTCACCATTCACAGGATGGTCTCGATCTCCTGACCTTGTGATCCCCCCACCTCGGCCTCCCAAAGTGCTGGGATTACAGGCATGAGCCACCGCGCCCAGCCTTGTTGCCGCCCATTTTTACACCAAATATGGGTGTTCCTGGGACTGTCCAGGTGCTGGTGGGTGTATGATTTGGTATGTTAATGAGCGTATAATGAGGTCCTAGGAGAAACCTAGGTCAAATTCAGCCCCAGATTGGGTCCAGTCGAACTTAGCCAGCTTGGCCTATACTCTGATTTTTCAGGGTTTTATCAACCCCTAGCTTATGCATCCATTTCAAAAGTTGCCTTTTATTAGTCATATGAATCTGCTGCCTAGAATTTTCCTTTTTTTTTTTTTTGAGACTGAGTCTTACTCTTTTGCCCAGGCTAGAGTGCACTGGCATGATCTCGGCTCACTGCAACCTCCGTCTCCCAGATTCAAGTGATTCTCTTGCCTCGCCCCACTAGTAGCTGGGATTACGGGCACATGCCACCATGCCCAGCTAATTTTTGTATTTTTAGTAGAGACGAGGTTTCGCTATGTTGGCCAGGCTGGCCTCGAACACCTGACCTCAGTTTATCCACCCTCCTCGGCCTCCCAAAGTGCTGGGATTACAGGCATGAACCACCGTCCCCAGCCTGCCTAGAATCTTCTATTCTCCTGCCACTGCCCTGTATTATTCTTGTGTCAACATGGGGTCCAGATATCTAAATTCTTGTGAGCAGTGAGTACATTGTAAGCTAGTTACATGTGTTAACTGATTTAATCCTCACAATAACATTATTATACTATTATTAGCTTCATTTTTTTTTTTTTTGAGACAGGGTCTCACTTTGTCACCCAGGCTAGAGTACAATGGCGTGATCACAGCTCACTGCAGCCCTCAACTCCTAGGCTCAAGCAATCCTTCTGCCTCAGCCTCTGGAGTACCTGGGACCACAGGCATGTGCCACCATGCCTGGCTAATTTTTTGAATTTTTTGTAGAGAAGAGGTCTCACTATGTTGCCCAGGCTGGTCTTAAACTTCTGGGCTCAAGCTATCCACCCACCTTGGCCGGCTAACTTCATTTTTAACATACGAGGAGTTGAACCCACAGAGTGGTTCCATTTGCTAAATTACAGGGCTAGGGATTTGAACTCGGGCCACCTGGCTTTCTTACCCAAGGTAGTGAGAGGCTCCACCTACCTTAGTTCTAGCTGAGCTGGGGTGTGTGAAGAACACCCTTGCTGCTTCTCCTTGTTTCCAGCCTGTGTTTGAATAACTACTTCTCAGAATGGAAACACTCCTTTCTTTGATATGCTAATACATTCCTTGGTCAGGGCAGCAAGGCCTGAGATCCACTCTGTTTCCTTCAGACGACTGTCTGAATCTACCCTACTGGCTCAAAACTTTCTCTCAGAGGGCAATGGCTTCACCTTTATTTCCTAGTTATTGTGGGACACCTCCCCAGGGTACATGAGTTCTGACAACAAACACCCACTCAGATCATCGGAAAATCCAAACCAGTCTAAAAATTTCAGAGGCGGGATTGTCTGATTTTTTTCTCTTTACACAATAAACTTTTGAAATGCTACAAGCAAAAAGAATTCTGGAATTTGTAGATATTTAGATGGTTTGAGGGACTGGACTGTTAGAGGAACCCTAATGTGAAGGCTTTTGTTAAGTGGAGCACCACATTTGTAATTCAAACAATCACCCCCTAGCCAGATAAAAATAACAGCTTCCATTTCCTGGCTCTTACTGCAGACTAGAAATTGCAAGGGCTTTACATCTGTCATCATCTCTCTCTAATAACACCTTTATAGAGGTATAATTCACATACTGTACTTTTAAAGTATGCAATTCAGTGTTGCTTTTTTTTTTTTTTTCTTTGGAGAAGGAGTTTCGCTCTTGTTGCCCAGGCTGGAGTGCAATGGTGTGATCTCGGCTCACTGCAACCTCCGCCTCCCAGGTTAAAGCCATTCTCTTGCCTCAGCCTCCCAAGTAGCTGGGATTACAGGTATGCACCACCATGCCCACCTAATTTTGTATTTTTAGTAGAGATGGGGTTTCTCCATGTTGGTCAGGCTGATCTCAAACTCCCGACCTCAGGTGATCCACCCGACTCAGACTCCCAAGGTGCTGGGATTACAGGTGTGAGCCACCGTGCCCGGCCGGGTTTGTTTTTGTTTTTGTTTACTGTATATTCACAAGGGTATGAAACTGTCACCACTAATTCCAGAATGTTTCCATCACCCGAAAAAGAAAACCCATGCCAATTAGCAGTCACTCCCCCATTCCTCTCCCCTCAGCCCCTGGTTAACCACTAATCTATTTTCTGTGTCTATTTGCCTATTCTGGATTGTTCCTATAAACGGAACTGTATAATATGTAGTCTTTTGTGCCTGGCTTTTTTCATTTAGCATATTACCAAGTTTCATCCACGTTGTAGCTTTATTTCCTTTTTATAACCAAATACTATTCTATTGTATGAATATGCTACATTTTATCTACTCATCAGTAGATGGACATTTGGGTTGTTTCCAGTTTTGGGGTACCATCATCTCTTTTAATCTTCATGCCACCTCTAGAAGTGTGTATTGCTGTCTTCCATTGATTGACTGAGTGAACTGTGGTTTCTTTCTTTTGTTCTCCTTTTGTTTATACAGATGGGGCCTCCCTGCATTGCCCATGCTGGAGTGCAGTGGCCATTTACAGGGGCAATCATAGTGCACTACAGCCTCTAATTCCTGGCATCAAGGGATCCTTCTGCTTCAGCCTCCCGAGTAGCTGGGTCTACAGGCATGTGCCACCATGCCCAGCTAATTTTTGTATTGCTAGTAGAGATGGGGTTTCACCATGTTGGCCAGGCTGGTCTGGAACTCCTTACCTTGTGATCCACCCGCCTCAGCCTCCCAAAGTGCTAGGATTACAGGTGTGAGCCACCACGCCCAGCCTTTATTTCTTTATTAAAATGTACTTTAACTGGCTGGTCGGGGTGGCTCACACCTGTAATCCCAGCACTTTGGAAGGCCGAAGCTGGTGGATCACGAGGTCAGGAGTTTAAGACCAGCTTGGCCAAGATGGGGAAACCCCATCTCTACTAAAACTACAAAAAAAATTAGCCAGGCACAGTGGTAGGCACCTGTAATCCCAGGTACTCGAGAGGCTGAGGCAGGAGAATCGCTTGAACCCGGGAGGCGGAGGTTGCAGTGAGCCGAAATCGCGCCACTGCACTCCAGCCTGGGCTACAGAATATCTAAAGAAAAAAAAAAAAAGAAAAAAGAAAAAGAAATAAGGTACATTTGCAGAAGTATAATCACTAACTCTGTCAGATGTTATCTTATGTGTAAAAGAGGCAAGGATTAGTGTAATTTATCCTTTAAGGAATATAGTAACTCAGGCAGGAGACATGTGGGCCCATGTGCTCTATTCTGTTTTATCTTCAAAACTCTTTCCAGTCCTGTTTCTCACATCAGAAAAGGATAGAAATTCTGTTCTTTCCAACCCCACCACGTCAATCAAATGAAAATGTCCTGAGCCATGAATCCAGCTCCTGGAGTGAAGAATCTTTGTATCAAGAAAAATTCTGGCATTATTTTATGTTCTCAGCACTCAGTGGACTCTAAGAGGTCACCTGGTCCTTTCCTCAGCCCAGAGGATTCCGGCAGAAAAGCAGTAGCTCAGAGGTTTTACTCTGCAGCCCTGACTGGATTCAAATACCCTGTCTGTGTGTTAATAGGGGCATGACTTTTGGCTCAGAGACTTTGCGACTCTCTGAGCTTCAGTTTGGTCAATATAAAATGGAATTAGTAACAGTATCAAAGTTAATGTGAGGAGTGAGTGAAGCGATGACAAGGGCCCGTCATACTGTAAACTCAAACCATGGCTTCCTATTTCCCTATTCACGGTGGATGGGGAGATGTCTCCGTGCCAAGTTGACCCCCTCCCCAACTCCGCACACGCTGGTCCTTTTCCCCTAATCATCTCCCACCGCCTCCATCCCCCACTATCCTTTCCTGGGTAACTTCTTATTCTTCAGATCTTATTTTATTTTTTGAGAATTTTTATTATTTATTTACTTATTTATTTTTGAGATGGAGTCTGCTCTGTCACCCAGGCTGGAGTGTAGTGACACGATCTCGGCTCACTGCAACCTCAGCTCCCAGGTTCAGGCGATTCTCCTACCTCAGCCTCCTGAGTAGCTGGGATTACAGGCGCGCGCCACCATGCCCGGATTTTTGTATTTTTAGTAGAGACCAGGTTTCACCACATTGGTCAGGCTGGTCTCAAATTCCTGATCTCGTGATCCGCCGGCCTCAGCCTCCCAAAGTGCTGGGATTATAGGCGTGAGCCACCGCGATTGGCCTATTTTAATTTTTTAATTTTAATTTTTTTGAGACAGTCTTGCTCTGTCGCCCTGGCTGCAGTGCAGCGTCACGATCTCGGCTCACTGCAGCCTCCGCCTCCCGGGTTCAAGCGATTCTCGTGCCTCAGCCTACTGAGTAGCTGCGATTACAGGCGCGCGCCACCACGCCCGGCTAATTTTTGTATTTTTAGTAAAGACGGGGTTTCACCACGTCGGCCAGGCTGGTCTCGAACTCCTCACCTGAAGTGATCCACCCGCCTCGGCCTCTCAAAGTGCTGGGATTACAGGCTCGTGAGCCACTGCGCCTGGCCTTCAGATCTTAAACACCACTTCCTTGGTACAGCATTCAGAGACACCTCCATATTCCTCTCCCCTTACTAAAGGTTCCTTCTTACGGCACCCTGCATTTTTCCTTCATGACTTTATCACAGTTTGTAATTGTCTATTTATTTTAATTAATCTGTCTGTGTCCATAAACTGTGAGCTCCGCCGGGACCTTGTTTGCCCTGCTCTCTGCTATGTCCTCAATATCAACAGTGGACTAGGATCACAGCAGGCTTTCATCAAATATTTATGGGAAACAGTCCAGTCCATTCCTGAACTCGGGTTCAGAAAAGGATAGCGACCTGTCCAAAATCACACAGGTTAGCGGCAGACTTGATCCCGAGTCTCCTAACTGGCAACCCAAGACTCTATCCCCGGAACTGGCAAGAATCTTCCTGAACTACCCCGATAAAATTTTGAGTGCCAAAGAAAGTCCCAGAAAGGGAGTGAGTAGAGCAGTGTGGAGAGTAGGAGGAAAGTGATTTGACTTGGCCCCTCCTCTCTTGACGTTGAGCATACTGCAAACAGACACTATACGTGGCAGGGCGGCTACAGAGTGAACCAGCGACAGGGTAGCCATTAAAAGAGGCCAGGGAGCGGACAGAGGAGTAGAGGGCAGTACTGCGCAGTAGACTGCACAGGCGCAGTCGAGGAGCTCCGCTCCTTTCTCCTCAGCCCCGCCCCGCCCCATTTCTGCCGAATCACAGAAGTTCAAGAGCGGTCAGCTGATGCTACGCTGTGCGGTCACGTGACAACGGGGGCGAAGCGCAGGCGCAAGGAGCAAGCGCAGATTGTGGGCGGCTGTGTCAGCTGACCCAAGGGGCCTTCGAGGTGCCTTAGGCCGCTTGCCTTGCTCTCAGAATCGCTGCCGCCATGGCTAGTCAGTCTCAGGGGATTCAGCAGCTGCTGCAGGCCGAGAAGCGGGCAGCCGAGAAGGTGTCCGAGGCCCGCAAAAGTGAGTTTCAGGGTGGGGCTGCCCGGCGTGGCGCGAGTCGAAGAAAGACCGCTGGGCCTCAGGTGGTGGGTAGATTAGGCCCGAAAAACTGCGGGGTGCGGGCGTGCGTATAGTCGCGGAAGGTTGTGTGTTTCGAAGCTTTGAGGAGCTGAGGCTCTGGAAGGCTTGCGGATCGCCTGGAAGCCACGATGTGAGATGGTAAATTGGGCGTGGAAACAATAATGGGTTACCGTCCTTGGGGCCTGGAGGCATGTGAAATGGGCTCTCCAAACGGAGCTCTTTGTTCTTCTTCTCTCCCACTTAACCGCTCTGGGGTGGTCAGTCTCGGTGAAGGGAGCCAGCATCCACACAGTTGCTTGGTCTAGAAACCTGGAGTCCTGCTTGCCTCTTCTCCCTCCCTCATTTAGTCAGTCGCCAAGGCTTGCGTATCTTTCACTTTTTCCCCCATGTCTACTACCAGCGTCTTAGTCCAGGACACCAGTTTCTCTAAAGGTACTGTAGTTGTCTAAATCGTTGGCGTGTGTGCGTGTGTGTGTTTCTGATATGTGGCAAGCGCAGTGTGTGTGTGTTTCTAACATGTGGCAAGCGCAGTGTGTGTGTGTGTGTGTGTGTGTGTGTGTTTCTGTCTAATATGTGGCAAGCGCAGTGCCCAGTGCATCAGTTGTCTCCCCTAACGTGGCATTCAGTGTCGCAGTGAAGGAAGCAGGTATTGGGTCAGTTAATTAATTGCAGGAGAGATGAGGGCTGGAGTGGAGAAATGTAAGGTTGCTAAAGAATTTAACAGGTGAGTTTAATCTAGACTGGGGAGTGGAAGAACCCGTTCTGGTCCCCTCCAGTCAATCCATTCTCCTCTCTGCAATCAGTCATCCTTCTAAAATGCAAATATGTGACTTCCTGCTGGTAAGGAACAAAATAAATAAATAAGTGCAGATATGATTTCCCTACCGCCTTTGTAGTCAGACGTTTAGTTCCTGCAGAAGAAAGCTCAAATTCCTTAATGAAGTTGGGGAGGCTCTTGTGGGTCAGGCCTGGTGCTTTCCTCCAGCTATACTGAATCGTTGTGGTCCCTCAGAAGCAGCATGATGTCTTTCACCTGCAGGTTTTTGCACACGCTGTTTCTTCTGACGTGAGAAGCCTTTTCCAATTCTCCTCCCCTTTGTTCTCTGACCCTTAGTCTTCCATCAGACCTCAATTTAGGAAACACTTCTTCCCGGGAAGCCTTTCCTGACTCATGCTTGTCCCCCGGACTAGGCTTGGAGTCCCTCCCAAGTGCTGATTTCTGCCACTGCCGTGCAATAACCTGTTTGTTTATATGGCTCAGTCACTAGACTAAGCTTCTGGAGAACAGAAACTATGTCTCATTTAACTTTATGTATCCAGTTTCCCGTCTGGTGAGAAAGATGCTTCTATCCCTATTTTACAGATAGTAAAAATGAGGCTCAGAGAGAAATGATTTATCCATACCCTGGGAAGCAACATAGTTGGGACTCAGAAGCCTCTTTTTCCATGCAAGGCGAAGATACTGATCTTAGTAATTCCTTGGTGTTTCTCCTAGTATAGGAGTTATTCTATCTGACATCCAACTAGATTTCAAGCATGTCTCCTCTACTTGTGCAGTTAGGGGTTGTGTGGTACTTGGAAAGCTTTCTTTGAGGGTGTTGGGAATGAGAAGAAGCCTTTTGTTCTTGCTCCGGTGACTGGAAAGTTCTTTGTTCTTCCCAGAATATTTCCAGTCATGCCCTTGATAGTGTATTTCCAGAATGACTTCTCACAGTTTGTGTTCTGATGGCTCATCAGTAACAGAAGTTGTATCTGTCGGGAGGGATAGGAGAATAGATTGGGGAAGTGCAGGAAAAAATGCTTGGAATAGGTAAGAATAATTCTGAGTGCCCTAGCCAGGTAGGATTTATGTTTTATACCTTTATCCTGTCAAGCCTGGTGCAGGGTTTTGTATATGTCAGGTAGCTGTGAATTGGTTTTAAAAAGTATTAATTTGGCTGGGCGTGGTGGCTCACGCCTGTAATCCCAGCACTTTGGGAGGCTGAGGTGGGTGGATCACCTGAGATCAAGAGTTTGAGACCAGCCTGGGCAATATGGAGAAACTCCGTGTCTACTAAAAATACAAAAGTTAGCTGGGCGTGGTGGTGTGCGCGTGTAGTCCCAGCTACTTGGGAGGCTGAGACAGGAGAAACGCTTGAACCCAGGAGGCAGAGGTTGCAGTGAGCGGAGATCTGTCCCACAGCACTCCAGCCTTGGGGACAGAGGGAGACGCCGTCTCAAAAAAAAAAAAAAACAAAAAACAAACCAAAGTATTAGTTTATGGCTTACATACTTCTCAGATTTTTTTTTTTTTTTTTGAGACAGAGTCTCACTCTGTCACTCAGGCTAGAGTGCAGTGGCACCATCTTGGCTCACTGCATCCTCCACCTCCAGAGTTCGAGATTTTGTGCCTCAGGCTCCCAAGTAGCTGGGATTACAGGTGCCTACCACCATGCCCATCTCTACTAAAAATACAAAAACATATAAATTAATACATAAATAAAAAAATAAATTTTTGTATTTTTAGTAGAGACAGTGTTTTACTATGTCGGCCGGGTTCTTCTCAAACTCTCGGCCTCCCAAAGTGCTGGGATTACAGATATGAGCGACTGCGCCTTGCCTGTCTCAGAATTGTTAATAGTTAGGAACAGAGAGGTAGTCAGAAGAACTGCAGTTTGAAAATTTGCCTTTCTTGATTTATAATTATGGTTGATTTGCCCAGTTAAGAGTTGGGAAGAGGCAGTATATAAAATGATCCCATCCAGTTTTTTTAATGAAATCATTGAGTTGGACCTTAAATTTTTTTTATTATTTTTTATTTTATTTTATATATTTTGTTTATTTATTTTTTTGAGATGGATTCTCGCTCTGTCGCCCCCAGGCAGGAGGGCAGTGGCGTGATCTCGGCTCACTACAATCTCTGCCTCCCAGGTTCAAGCGATTCTTCTGCCTCAGCCGCCCGAGTAGCTGGGACTACAGGTGCCTGCCACCATGCCCGGCTAGTTTTTGTGTTTTTAGTAGAGACAGGGTTTCACCATAGTGGCCAGGTTGGTCTCGAACTCCTGACCTTGTGATCTGCTCACCTTGGCCTCTCAAAGTGCTGGGATTACAGGCGTGAGCCAGCGCGCCCGGCGTGGACCTTAAAATTTTAAAAAAGTTTGTGTTAATGGCATATTTCATTGGAGTGAAACAAAACACTGGCTCCCATATGTAAGGCCCAAGAAGAACAAGATTTAAGAGAAATACGATTTTCTGTTTAAATATTTTTGATTTTTAGAGGCCCCTGTCAAAATTGAATGTTGAAGATGTTTGCCAAAGGCAGTAAATGGTATTATCCTGAGTTATAAATGCAGGGAGCCATGGGAGTTGGGAGGTGATGTCTTGTGAAATCATGCGGAGCTACTGCATAATGTTCAGGCCATGAGTGTTATTTATAGATTGTTGGTTTCGAAAGTATCTTTAGCTTTGAAATACAGCCCATTATAGCTGATGGGAAGATAGCATGTGAAGGATTGGGGTACAGGTGGCCGAAGCAGACAGTAGTAGGCCAGAAATAATACTGGAGTGAATGTGGACTTGCAGAAATAGTTCTTGGAGTTTTGAGAGAGAGACCTGTTAATTGTTTCAGACTAGCATCAGGGAATGTTGATGTCATGGGGTCATTTCATTACAGGTCCAAAGTTCTGTTCTGAATCAGGATGTGGAAGGTTAAGTTCATTTTCACTCATTCGCGTGGACTCTAGACAGTTGGTATACAATGATGTACAGTGTTGTATAACAAAGCTTAATTTTAGATGCAGGATGTCTTTTGCTCTCAAATAAATAGGTTGATGGTCTAGAACCTCTCTTTTTTTTTTTTTATTGGTGAGCGGAGACTCAAAGCAGAGATTATATGTTGGCTGTCCTTGTGGTCTGTTTTCATGTAGACTCTGACCAAACCTAGAGATTTTTTCCAGCTGTATGTTAAGCCACTCACTTCTAGAAACCAAAATACCTGTGTCTCCTCTTCTCTCAGCCACTTGTGCAGTCTTACTGTCCAGTACTCCTCATTCAGCATTCCTTCTCAGTCACCACTGTCCTTACTTCCTTGTGACAGGGACTGCTTTTAGTTTCCAGTGTTACATTATATAGTTGGTTCATTAGTTACATTATATGTTGCTGTCCCTTGCGAGCTTATTAGCCTTCTTGCTAAGCATCTGAGTAGGGTTGCACCTTTAATCAGCAGCATACTTAAGGTGTTTACTTCTGGAGAAGAGTTCCCTAGATGGTTAATGTTACTCATTTTATGTTGGTTCTTAATAGTTGAGATTGAGAGAATATTCTGACACATTCTACAATTTTTTTCCATCTTTTTAATGGGCTGTAGTTACAGAAGGTATTCATTTTTGTCTTGTCACTTCCTAGTTAAGTACAGCCTATAGGAGGGAGGAACCTGTACTGTTTGTTAGCTCTGAATTCCCTCTTTCCCATGCACATCTCTTCGGACTGTGTCATAATTTATTCTTGGCTTATTGTTATAATATACCATCTTGTCTCTGCTTGCTTTTCTACTTTTAACCACTTCCTGATATAGCTCTCTCCTTTGAAAACAGGAAAGAACCGGAGGCTGAAGCAGGCCAAAGAAGAAGCTCAGGCTGAAATTGAACAGTACCGCCTGCAGAGGGAGAAAGAATTCAAGGCCAAGGAAGCTGCGGTGGGGCACCATTTGTTTTTGTTACTGCTTTAGTTTCTGATCCCCTGTCCCGCCAAGGCTTTCAGAATATCCAGCATAGCTCAGAGATCCTGGTCGAAGTTTGAAAATGTGGTAGCTGTGTGTTTTATTGGCTGCTCAGGCATCTGTCTTTTAGGATGATCAGTTTTTCCATTCATATTGATTTCTAATTTTCATTTATTCACTCATTTAACACGTATCTGTTAAGCAGTTAACATGCGCCAGGTACTGTGCTAGATGCTAGGGATCAGTTGTGACCAGGAATAGACATGGTCCCTTCCCTCATGGAGTGTAGCTTACCATCCAGTGGTCAGGGAGACTCAGTAATACAGTGCAAATCATGCAGAGCTACTACTGAAAAATGCTGTGACGGTCATAAACATAAATCAAATGGAGCCCCACTTTAGTATATTGTATATAGTACAGACATTTACCAGTGATGTAGGCTATACTATGGTGCATACAATAATAGTACAAAAACAGATCACAGAAAGCATAGAGGAGGCAGGGACAATTGTGGAAAGGGGAAAGGATGGATAAGGGCCTCACAGAGAAAAGAAACTATCAGGACTCTTGGGTGCAGGTAACAAAATATAATTAAAACTGATTCTAAATGGGATGTATTGGCCTATATAATTAAAAACCCAAGAGCTTAAATAATATGCTCAGGACTTTCTCTCACCTCTGTGTTTGGCTTTGTATCATTCTCAAGTTCTACACTGTGGCCTCTAGTAGTTCCAGCATACACACTTCCAGGCCCAAGTCCAGTGAGTAAAGGCACATACCTCCCTCCTTGCATTAAGTAGCAAAAATTTTGATCAATTTTTTATTTTTTCTTTTTAAGAGACAGAGTCACACTCTATCATTCAGGCTTTAGTGCAGTGGTGTGATCATAGCTCACGGTGACCTGGAGCTTCTAGGCTTAAGCGATCCTCCCCTGCCCAGCCTTCTGAGTAGCTAGGACTGTAGGCATGATCCATCATGCTCAGCTAATTTTTTTTTTGTTTTTGTAGAGATAGGGTCTTGCTGTGTTGCCTTGGCTGGTCTCGAACTCCTGGCCTCAAGTGATCCTCACATCTCAACCTCCCAAAGTGCTGGATCATCTTTGTTCTTGGCAATTACAGTGCCATTAAAACGTGGCTGGGCATAGTGACTCACACCTGTAATCCCAATACTTTGGGAGGCTGAGGTGGGAGGATTGCTTGAAGCCACAAGTTCAAAACCAGCCTGGGCAATAAACCAAGACCCTGTCTCTACAAAAAAATAAGACAAATACAAATAAAACTTAACATGTTTCTTTGATTCTTGAACTGGGGCTGATAGGTGCTGTAAGTTGTCAGGCTGCTCATAAAACAATGTAGAAATACCCTTGTGTCAGGGCAGCCATCATCTTCATTTTTTTTTTTTTTTTTCTGAGACGGGGAGTTTTGCTCTTGTTGCCCAGGCTGGAGTGCAATGGCATGATCTCGGCTCACTGCAACCTCTGCCTCCCAGGTTCTAGCGATTCTTCCACCTCAACCTCCCGAGTAGCTGAAATTGCAGGCATGCGCCACCACATCCGGCTAAATTTGTATTTTTAGTAGAGATGGGGTTTCTCCTTGTTGGTCAGGCTTGTCTTGAACTCCCGACCGCAGGTGATCTGCCTGCCCCGGCCTCCCAGAGTGCTAGGATGACAGGTGTGAGCCACCGCGCCCAGCGCCCCCCGCCCCTTTTTTTTTTTTTTTCCTGTCCGAGATGTAGTCTTGCTCTGTCACCCAGGCTGGAGCGCAGTGGCGTCATCTCAGTTCACTACGACCTCCACCTCCCAGGTTCAAATGATTCTCCTGCCTCAGCCTCCCAAGTAGCTGAGACTGCAGGTGTGCGCCACCATGCCCGGCTAATTTTTGTATTTTTAGAAGAGACGGGGGTTTCACTGTGTTGGCCAGGCTGGTCTTGAACTCCTGACCTTGTGATCTGCCTACCTTGGCCTCCCAAAATGCTGGGATTACAGGCGTGAGCCACCACGCCTGGCCCATCTTCATATTTTTACATTCTTTTTTCTTTTTCGTGGCACAGGCCTAGGAGGTCCCAATGACATGTGCCCTCATATTCTTACATTCTGTGCTGTAGTTGATTATAGAGATGGTACTGGTATTGCACTGTAAAGCACAAGCTCTGATTCCTTTTTTCTTTCTTTTCTTTTCTTTTTTTCTTTTTTTTTTTTTTTTTGAGACAGTTTCACTCTTGTTGCCCAGGCTGGAGTGCAATGGCGCGATCTTGGCTCACTGCATCCCCCACCTCCCAGGTTCAAGTGATTCTCCTGCCTCAGCCTCCCAAGTAGCTGGGATTACAGGTGCCCACCACCACGCCTGGCAGTTTTTTTTTTTTTTGTCTTTTTAGTAGAGACAGGGTTTCACCATGTTGGCCAGGCTGGTCTTGAACTCCTGACCTCAGGTGATCCACCTGCCTCAGCCTCCCAAAGTGCAGGGATTAGAGGTGTGAGCTACCATGCTCAGCCAAGCTCTGAATCTTTCTAGCAGTGTTCCATTGTAACCTCTTTAGTTTTTGAGACAACTTAGCGGAGCTTGGCGTATGGTTTATATTCAAGAAACAGGTAATGGGGTTCTGAACATAAAAGAATGAGTTAGCAACTGAGCTGTTAATGAAATGCCCCAGGAGATTCCTGTAATATGAACAGTTATAGTATAGTATGAAGAGCCCTAAGGGCACAGTGGCTCATGCCTGTAATGCTAGCATTTTGGGAGGCCAAGGTGGGTGGATCGTTTGAGCCCAGGAGTTCAAGACCTGCCTGGGCAACATGGTGAAACTCTGACTCTACAAAAAAAATACAGAAATTAGCCGGGCATGGTGGTGTATACGTGTAGTTCCAGCTACTTGGGAGGCTCAGGTTGGAGGATGGCTTGAGCCCAGGAGGTGGAGATTGCAGTGAGCCGAGATCGTACCACTGCACTCCAGCCTAGGCAACAGAGTGAGACTCCATCTCTTAAGAGAAAATGGAGTGATAAAGTCAGGCACAGTGGTGCACACCTGTGGTCCCAGCTCTGCAGGAGGATCTCTTGAGCTTGGAGTCTGAGGCCATCCTGGGCAACATAGTGAGATCCCATCTCTTCGGGAAAAAAAAATGGAGTGATAGCCTCCTTATAGGTCGTTGTGAGGAATAGGTAATGGAGAGACTCCTTTGCAAATTAATATATTATGCAAATATGAAGGGATGTTATTAGCATATATATATATGTATATATAGTGAGGCAAGAACAGGTTAGGTGAATAAAAAGGGTCAGACAAAAAAGTTACGTCTTCCAGAACGTTATAGGTTAAGTTCTAATAAAGAAGGCACAGCAGTTAACAAAAAGCTGGCTGTATTGTGAAGATCATAGAAAGTAAAAGAAAATTCATGTCAGTGTGTGTGAAATTGCTAAGAGAAACTGAAGAGGTAAAATGTTTACGCTAAAAATTCAGGTAATAAAAAGGGGCAGGCTGAGGCAGATGGATCATGAGGTCAGGAGATCGAGACCATCCTGGCTAATATGGTGAAACCCTGTCTCTACTAAAAACACAGAAAAAAAAATTAGCCGGGCGTGGTGGCTGGCGCCTGTAGTCCCAGCTACTCAGGAGGCTGAGGCAGGAGAATGGCGTGAACCCGGGAGGCGGAGCTTGCAGTGAACGGAGATCGCGCCACTGCACTCCAGCCTGGACGACAGAGCGAGACTCCAACTCAAAAAAAAAAAAAAAAAAGTGTGGGGGCAGCAATGAGAAATTAGTTTTCCTCTCTCTCAGACCTGCAGTCCTCCTCAGAGCCAGTCACTGTTAACAGGTTTCTTTTTTTATTCTTCTAGAATATTTATATTTGCAAGAATAGATGTGACACACTGGTGAATCCACTGTTGAACTTAAGAACTAAAACACTAACCAATAATGGTGAAACTCCTTGTATATTCCTCCTAAATTGTATCTTCCTTGTGTTTGTTATTCTTGTTTGGAGATGGGGTCTTCTTGCAGTTTTGCTCAGGTAGGGCTCCAAGTCATGATCCTCCTGCTTCAGTCTCTCGAATAGCTGAGACTACAGGCATGCACCACCACGACTGGCTTGTGTTTATTATTATTTAGGAGTTTTTAAAAACCTTGTATCTCCCCACATTTAAAACCACAGGTACAAAAACATACTAACCACATTGATACTGTTGTATATCTTGCTTTTCCCCCTCCTTAAGCTGTATTTTACAGTTCACTGCAATTCCTGAATAGTTCTCTTGCACAGAAGCAAGTTGAGTTTTTAGGTTGATTCCTATCTTTGGTTAAGGCTATATAGCAGATTCTTTTTTTTTTTTTTTTTTTTTTGAGACGGAGTCTCGCTCTGTCGCCCAGGCTGGAGTGCAGTGGCGCGATCTTGGCTCACTGCAAGCTCCGCCTCCCGGGTTCACGCCATTCTCCTGCCTCAGCCTCCCGAGTAGCTGGGACTACAGGCGCCCGCTACCACGCCCGGCTAATTTTTTGTATTTTTAGTAGAGACGGGGTTTCACCGTGTTAGCCAGGATGGTCTCGATCTCCTGACCTCGTGATCCGCCCGCCTCGGCCTCCCAAAGTGCTGGGATTACAGGCGTGAGCCACCGCGCCCGGCCTATATAGCAGATTCTTAGAGGAGAGATGCGAATACATGTCTTTGGAATAATTTCCTAGCAGTGGGAATACTGTGTAGTTTACTTTTGGTAGATGTGGCTCCTGTTAACTCTGAGAATACCTCACATGTGCTCCAGCCATGAGGTCATATTGCCAGCTTCTGAGTATACTGATAGGTGAGCCTGGGTTTCTCCAAAAGTCAACAAGTAGCTTACGAAATGTACCTGACCAACCAGAGCATTGTTCTGATAATCCCTCCGTGACATCACTCCCCATCTCCAGGCATTGGGATCCCGTGGCAGTTGCAGCACTGAAGTGGAGAAGGAGACCCAGGAGAAGATGACCATCCTCCAGACATACTTCCGGCAGAACAGGGATGAAGTCTTGGACAACCTCTTGGCTTTTGTCTGTGACATTCGGCCAGAAATCCATGAAAACTACCGCATAAATGGATAGAAGAGAGAAGCACCTGTGCTGTGGAGTGGCATTTTAGATGCCCTCACGAATATGAAGCTTAGCACAGCTCTAGTTACATTCTTATGATATGGCATTAAATTATTTCCATATATTATATAATAGGTCCTTCCACTTTTTGGAGAGTAGCAAATCTAGCTTTTTTGTACAGACTTAGAAATTATCTAAAGATTTCATCTTTTTACCTCATATTTCTTAGGAATTTAATGGTTATATGTTGTCTTTTTTTCCTATGTCTTTTGGCTCAAGCAACATGTATATCAGTGTTGACTTTTTCTTTCTTAGATCTAGTTTAAAAAAAAAAAAAACCACATAACAATTCTTTGAAGAAAGGAAGGGATTAAATAATTTTTTTCCCTAACACTTTCTTGAAGGTCAGGGGCTTTATCTATGAAAAAGTAGTAAATAGTTCTTTGTAACCTGTGTGAAGCAGCAGCCAGCCTTAAAGTAGTCCATTCTTGCTAATGGTTAGAACAGTGAATACTAGTGGAATTGTTTGGGCTGCTTTTAGTTTCTCTTAATCAAAATTACTAGATGATAGAATTCAAGAACTTGTTACATGTATTACTTGGTGTATCGATAATCATTTAAAAGTAAAGACTCTGTCATGCATTTTTCCCCATTCTTTTTTTTTTCCCTGTCTCCGTGACAACCAGTGGTTCTTCATTTTTGATCATGCGAAATGCATTTTGACCCAGATGGTCTGCAGAACTTCACTTAGGACATTAGCACACAAATAGCACACATATCACATACCCATTTATATACATAATTAGAAAATGTTCCTGATACATGTGTCATGTGATTTCTTCCAACAAATGTTTTGGAAAACAGCAAGCAACTAGTCTGTAGGTTGTCTTTTCTCTAGAGATCCTTGTCCTGGGACAGCCTGGGGCAAGTTATTAAGCATATTTCCTTCCTGGTGGGCTAGATGATGTGCATTATACCTGTAGTACCTTCATACTAGCCCTTACAAGTTAAATGTCCTGTGGCCATCTTAGCCGAAAGTCTTTGGTTGCAAAATCTTATAGGTAAAAACAGTTGAAAGAACATTATGGGATTTCCTTGCTTGTTCTGATACAATACAACTAGATGACCTTAAAAACCCTCATATTTAATATGACTCAGGATTTTATTTTTCAGACCACTACTGTCTCTAGTTACTGTTTCATTTCTCTGTTCCTTTTTAATAGAATTCCTCAAAAGAGTGACTGGATGAGCTTTTCCTGTTTTTTTTTTTTTTTTTTTTTTTTTTAAACTGTTAAAACCCTCAAGGCTTGCTGTGCCACTGAAGCTGTATGTCAAGATCAGCAATGTGGTCCAGGTTGAGAAAGCTCATCCTCTTCCTCCTTGACCTTCAGTACTCTGACAGGGTTGACCATTCCTTCCTTGAAGCACTTTTTTTGAGACAGGGTCTCATTCTGTGGCCCAGGTTGGAGTGCAGTGGCCTGGTGTGATCTCAGCTCACTGCAACCTCCGTGTCCCGTGTTCAGTCGGCCCACCTCAGTCTCTCAAGTACCTAGGACTACAGGCACACACCACCGCACCTGGCTACTTTTTCTGTTTTTAGTAGAGACAGGGTTTCTCCATGTTCCCTGGGCTGGTCTCAAACTTCTGGGCTCAAGCGATCCTCCTGCCTTGGCTTCCCAAAGTGCTGGGATTACAGGTGTGAGCCACTGCACCCAGCCCACTTTACTTAGCTTCCATCGTGCAGTATTGTGCTTCCTTGCTTCTCATTCTCTCCCTCATTCTTCCTTCAACTTTTTTTTTTTTTTTTTTTTTGAGATGGAGTTTTGTTCTGTTGCCCAGGCTGGAGTGTGGTGGCATGATCTCGGCTCACTGCAGCCTCTGCCTCCCGGGGTTCAGGTGATTATACTGCCTCAGCCTCCCTAGTAGCTGGGACTACAGGTGTGCGCCACCATGGCCAGCTAATTTTTGTGTTTTTAGTAGAGACAGGGTTTCACCATGTTGGCCAGGATGGTCTCAATCTCTTGACCTCATGATCTGCCCACCTCGGCCTCCCAAAGTGCTGGGATTACAGGTGTGAGCCACTGCACCCGGCCTCCTTCAGCTTAATTTATTAGTCTTTTCACGCTGCTGATAAAGATATACCCGAGACAGGGAAGAAAAAGGTTTAATTGGACTTAAAGTTCCACATGGCTAGGGAGGCCTGAGAATCATGGCGGGAGGCAAAAGACACTTCTTATATGGTGACGGCAAGAGAAAATGAGGAAACCCCTCATAAACCCATAAGAGCTCATGAGACTTAGAGAATAGCATAGAAAGACACCCCTATGATTCAATTACCTCCCCCTGGGTCCCTCCCACAACACGTGGGAATTCTGGGAGATACAATTCAAGTTGAGATTTGGGTAGGGATGCAGCCAAACCATATCATTCTGCCTCTGGCCCCTCCAAATCTCATGTCCTCACATTTCAAAACCAATCATACCTTCCCAATAGTCCACCAAAGACTTACTTCAGTATTAACCCAAAAGTCCACAGTACAAAGTCTCATCTGAGACAAGGCAAGTCCCTTTGCCTATGAGCCTATAAAATCAAAAGCAAGCTAGTTACTTCCTAGATACAACGGGGGTACAGATATTGGGTAAACACAGCTGTTCCAAATGGGAGAAATTGGCCAAAACAAAGCAGTTACAGGGCCCATGCAAGTCTGAAATCCAGCAGGGCAGTCAAATTGTAAAGCTCCGAAGTGATCTTTGACTTCAGGTCTCACATCCAGGTCACGCTGATGCAAGAGGTGGGTTCTGCCCCTGTGGCTTTGCAGGGTACAGCCTGCAGTGGTCTTGGGCAGCTCTGTCCCTGTGGCTTTGCAGGGTACAGCCTCCTTCCTGGCTGCTTTCATGGGCTGGTGTTGAGTGTCTGTGGCTTTTCCAGGTGCATGGTGCAAGCTATCAGTGGATCCCATTCTGGGGTCTGGAGGACGGTGGCTGTCTCCTCACAGCTCCACTAGGCAGTGCCCCAGTAGGGACTCTGTGTGGGGCTCTGACCCCCCATTTCCCTTCCATACTGCCCTAGCAGAGGTTCTTCATGAGGGCCCCGCCCCTTCAGCAAACTTTTGCCTGGGTATCTAGGTGTTTCCATACATCTTCTGAAATCTAGGCGGAGGTTCCCAGACCTCAATTCTTGACTTCTGTGCACCTGCGGGCTCAACACCACGTGGAAGCTGCCAAAGCTTGGGGCTTCCACCCTTTGAAGCCACAGACTAAGCTGTACATTGGCCCCTTTCAGCCAGCCATGGCCAGAGGGGCTGGGACATGGTGCCAAGTCCCTAGGCTGCACACAGCACAGGGACCCTGGGCCTGGCTCACGCAACCACTTTTTCTTCCTGAGCCTCCAGGCCTGTGATGGGAAGGGCTCTCTAATAAAAATACAAAAATTAGCCAGGCGTGGTGGTGGGTGCCCGTAGTTTCAGCTACTCAGGAGGCTGAGATGGGAGAATCACTTGAACCTGGGAGGCAGAGGTTGCAGTGAGCTGAGATCACACCACGACACCCCAGCCTGGGCAACAGAGTAATGCTCTGCCTCAAAAAAGAAAAGCTGTTAGCAGTTGTAGCAGAAACATGGTTTTACCCGTGGAATATCCATGGGCTCTGACGTAGATATTCCATGTCCAGACCATGAAGGTCTCTGACATGGCCTGGAGACATTTTCCCTATGGTCTTGAGGATTAACATTAGCCTCCTTGCTACTTACGCAAATTTCCGCAGCCAGCTTGAATTTCTCCCCAGAAAATGCATTTTAATTTTCTATCACATAGGCTGCAAATTTTCCAAACTTTTATGCTCTGCTTCCCTTATAAAACTGAATGCCTTTAACAGCACCCAAGTCACCTCTTGAATGTTTTGC
Source organism: Homo sapiens (assembly GCF_000001405.40). Taxonomy (NCBI): domain Eukaryota; kingdom Metazoa; phylum Chordata; class Mammalia; order Primates; family Hominidae; genus Homo; species Homo sapiens. The sequence continues at coordinate 114,601,632 of NC_000009.12, forward strand.
TGCTTAGAAATTTCTACCAGATACCCTAAATCATTTCTCTCAAGTTCAAAGTTCCATAAGTCACTAGGGCAGGGGTAAAATGCTGCCAGTCTCTTTGCTAAAACATAGCAAGAGTCACCTTTGCTCCAGTTCCCAACAAGTTCCTCATCTCCATCTGAGACCACCTCAGCCTGGACCTTATTGTTCATATTGGTATCAGCATTTTGGGCAAAGCCATTCAACAAGTCTCTGGGAAATTCCAAACTTCCCCACATTTTCCTGTCTTCCTCTGAGCCCTCCAAACTGTTCCAACCTCTACCTGTTACCCAGTTCCAAAGTTGCTTCCACATTTTTGGTTATCTTTTTAGCAGCACCCCACTCCTGGTACCAATATACTGTATCAGTCCGTTTTCATGCGGCTGATAAAGACATACCTGATACTGGGAAGAAAAAGAGGTTTAATTGGACTTAACAGTTCCACATGGCTGAGGAGGTCTCAGAATCATGGCAGGAGGTGAAAGGCACTTCTTACATGGTGGAGGCAAGAGAAAATGAGGAAGAAGCAAAAGCAGCCTGATAAATCTATCAGATCTCGTGAGACTTATTCACTATCATGAGAACAGCACAGGAAAGACTGACCCCCATGATTCAATTACCTCCCCCTTGGTCCCTCCCACAACACGTGGGAATTCTGGGAGATGCAATTGAAGTTGAGGCTTGGGTGGGGACACAGCCAAACCATATCACCAAGGTTTTGTTCTTGGACTTCTCTAACATTCTATTGGTGAGACCACATTCATTTCCAGGCTTTATTACCTATACTGAAGACCCAAATTTCTATCTCAAACCCATTTCTCTTGAGCTGTAGTCATTAAATTGCTTATTTGATATTTTGACTTGGATGTCTGGTAAACATCTCCATCTTAACATGTCAGTTTGGAGGGCTTAACAAACTGTATCCAGTTTTGTTAAGGCTTTACTCTCCTTATTGCTAAGTGTAGCAACTCCTAATCTCTGCCAACTGCAAATACAGATTTCCCAAACTGGAGAAACATGAAGCAACACTCATGTTCAAGTGCTTAGACTCAATGTTTAAATGGGTTGCCAACAGTATTTTTATTCTGGATTAATGGAGTTGTGCTTATTTACTTAACTGCTTGACTATTAATACTGAGCCAAGCAACCCAACGTTGCCAGTCACAGAAACCAACAGCAGAGAGGTTTTATTTTTTTGAGACGCTCTTTCGCCCAGGCTGGAGTGCAGTGGCATAACGATCAGGGCTCACTGCAGCTTCAACCTCTTGGGCTCAAGCCATCTGCCTGCCTCAGACTCCAGAGTGCAGAGATTACAGGTATGAACCACCATGCCTGGCCGGGAGGGTTTCCTTTTGTACACTTAATACATTATAGGGCTTTGTAGCAGTGTCCCTGGCCTCTACCCACTAGATGCCAGCAGAACCCCTTCAGTTGTGAAACAAAAAATATCTCCAGATATTGTCAAATGTCCCCTGGGTGCCAAAAACCACCCCCAGATTAGAGAAGATAAGGCACTATACAAGATGTCTGGAACATTCTAGGTACTCAGCAAATGTTTCCTAATTTTCTAAAATTTGCTGTCCTTTTCTCAGACTAATCATTCTTGATTACAAGTTTAATAATAGCTGCATCGGTCAGGACAGGACAGGTTCTGAAATCTCTGTGGCTTAATGTAACAAAGGTTTATTTCTTACAAAATCTGATACAAGTTGGGTGACTTCAGGGTGACTGTTCTCCATGTGGCCGCTCAGTGATTTGGATTACTTCCAGTTTGTGTCTCTACCATCTCACCACATGGTTTCCATGAAATTTCAGTGATGGGAAGAAAAAGTTGGCAAGCATGCATCAGCTCTCACCTGCTTCAGTCCTCAAATGACACTTGTTCTCAGCATATTGGTGTAGGTCACGTGTCCCGACCCAACACAAGGGAGGCTAAGAAATAAGGGGAAGCCCATGGATATTCCATGGGTAAAACCATGTTTCTGCTACAACTGCTAACAGCTTTTTTTTTTTTTTTTTGAGACAGAGCCTTACTCTATTGCCCAGGCTGGGGTGTAGTGGCATGATTTCGGCTCACTGCAACCTCCCGCTCCCAGGTTCAAGTGATTCTCCCACCTCAGCCTCCTGAGTAGCTGGGACTACAGGCGCCCACCACCACGCCTGGCTAATTTTTGTATTTTTAGTAGAGATGCGGTTTCACCATGTTGGCCAGGCTGGTCTCGAACTGCTGACCTCAAGTGATCTGCCTGCCTTGGCCTCCCAAAGTGCTGGGATTATGGATGTGAGCCACCATGCCCTGCCTGCTAACAGCTTTCTATGTGCCAGCTAGTTGTAAGAACTTTTACATTTATATTGACTAATTTAATTCTTTTTTTTTTTTTATGGGATATGAGACTGAGAGAGGTTAAGGAACCAGCCCAAGGATGTGCAGTGATGGAGCCAAGATTCAAACTTGCAATCCGGCTTTTGCATCTGTGTTTAACCACGGTGTGTACTGAGTATTGAACAACTTCATAGCTATATACCTTTTATGTATCTTACCCATCTGATTCTTTTCCCTTTACCTCTCCCAAATTGTAGAGTGATGCTCTTCAGTTGCCCTCTGGGCAATTTTATGTCATGTAAACCTACAGAGGATGCCCTGATAAAAGGCATAAAATATGGCTCACACCTGTAATCCCAGCACTTTGGGAGGCCGAGGCTGGTGGATCATTTGAGGCCAGGAGTTCGAGACGAGCCTGGCCAACATAGCGAAACCCTGTCTCTACTGAAAATACAAAAAATTTACTGGGGCGTGGTGGTGTGCACCTGTAGTCCCAGCTACTCAGGATGCTGAGGCATGAGAATCGCTTGAGCCTGGGAGTTGGAGGTTGCAGTGAGCTGAGATCGAGATCGCACCACTGCACTCCAGCCTGAGTGACAGAGCAAGACTCCGTCTCAAAAAAAAAAAAAAAAAAAAGACATAAAATAGTTTACAGCAAGCCATTGTGTAACCTTGTGGTAACATCTCACAAATTCCCTGAAGAATTACCCCTTCCACTTTCTGAATGGGGGAGAGGAGAGGGAAACTTGTAGAAAAAAAAAAGTAACTTGTCAGAGGCCACATGTCCAATCTCTGCTTCTATCAAGGGAAGGCCATTATGTTCTATGCACATATATAAACACACAGCAGCCCTGCAGGTTAGACACTGTAATCCCACTTCCATGGATGAGAAAGCTGAGGCCCAGAGGCTTACAGAATGTTCAATGTCACAGAGCAAGGAAGTGACAGAATTGAAGTCCCATCAGATCAGCCTGCAGGCTGCAAGAGAAAACCTACCATGCTCTGCCTTCAGGCTTTTCTCCCAGGACATTAGTGGACTGGGTACTTGGCTTCCTGTAACCCCAGTAAAGCCTTTGAGCCTGATTGAGTAAGGCCCGTAACTAACATTCTGCATTTGTTGGTCTTTATTGTACTCAAGAAAACTGATGGTACCAGAAGTCAGCAAAAGCTGTTCAACAGAAAAGAAACGCTTTGATCAGTCTTGCGTGTTCCTTGTTTTTCCACCTGTTTAATTATTTTTCTCCCCTTGAGGGTCATTCTGGCAGATCTCAGAGTGTTTTTCTCTTGTCAACTGATCTCACATCACTTCAGTGGCTCTGAAATTACTGAAAAAGCTTCAGCACAGGCAGGCAGCTCTAGTTTTGCTTTTTTTTCTGGTTTTTTTTTTCCTTCTTGTGCAAATACATGGGTCTTAAGAGGCAGGTTAAGCACATTCTTTATTGAAAGATTTGGCCAGTGGTTCAGGGAGATCTAGAAGGTGAAAGATCATCAGGTCAACATAGATCTTCTCTGGCTTTTAAAAAAATTTCAGATGCCACTGGCTCCTGGGTCAGCTGTGAATTTAAAGCCATAGTTTACTGTGTTTGAAGGGATGATTGATAGGGATGGGTAGGCTTGAAGAGTTAAGGAGCAGGCAGCCTCCTTTTTTTCCTACTTGAAAATAACTTACGGCCGGGTGCAGTGGCTGACACCTATAATCCTAGCATTTTGGGAGGCCAAGATGGGTGGATCGCTTGAGCTTAGGTGATCGATGCCAGACTGGGCAACAGGGGGAAACCCTGTCTCTACAAAAAATACAAAAGAAAAAAATTAGTTGGATATGGTGGTGGCGCTGCCTATAGTCTCAGCTACTTGTGGGGGCTAAAGCAGGAGGATCGCTTGAACCTGGGATGCAGAGGTTGCAGTGAGCCAAGATTGTGCCACTGCACTCCTGCCTGGGTAACAAAGTTGAGATCCTGTATCAAAAAACAAAAAAGAAAAGAAAATAACTTACAAAGCAGGATGGCAGCATTCTAGATGCTACTGTTGATGATAAGTTTAGGAGAGAAACAAGGCTGGTTGTTCAGAGAGCATGACTGGGTTGTCTACAATTATCTTAGGTGGTTTTTAAAGATGAAAAGACCGATAGTCTAGTTACCTAGTTAAAAAAGCCCAATTGCCTTCAACTGCCCTTGCCTCTTCTCCACAGCCGCTAGAGGGGAGTTCTCCCTCTTCTGACTCTTCTGACCCTGGCACTTGTCTTTCTGTTCATAGTGTAGAAACAGATCCCTGACCCCTATCTGCCCCGGGGGGATTGCTGGCCTTCCTGATAGGAATTCAGAGGATTTTTTCTTCTGACTTAGGCCCGGTTTCCTGACAAACAGCATGTGATCTGTCTGACTTCCAGCACACCTCCTGCCAAGCACAGCTATGTATTTAGTCCCAAGCTCTCACGTACAGTTAGTCTACCTCTCCCATAGTGGAGTCCGTCATTTGAGGATGTGACTTCCGGGAGCTGAAATCAATGTAATGGAGCCACTAGCAACGGAACATTCTGTGGGACACACTTTCGGAAATAATTTCTAAAATAGCTCACATTTATTAACATCAACTTTATACCAGGTGGCATTCAAGGTACTCTATATACATAATCTAATTTTCCTACCATCTCTATGAGGTAGGTATTATCATTTCTATTTTGCAGATTAGGAAACTGAGGCTACAGGGTCACAGAGCCAATTTGTGGTGAAGTCTGGATTTAAACCCAGGTCTGTCTGAGTTCCCAGCCTGAATTACTAATACTGCATTCTTTGGTTCAATTTGTTCAGGCCATGGCAATGTTCCAAGTAGTATGTCTCCATGAAAAGTTTAGGAAGTTAGTGAATCTATAACTGGCACATGAGCTCCAAAAGAAAAAAAAAAAAACCAAAAAACACCAAGATGTAAGTTTTGATCTTTTGATCTTTGCCTTTTCACTTACTCATCCAGCAGTTCTGAGGTTCTCTCAGTACCATCTGCTGCAACACTAAGGTTCTGCCAGGCTGGAAAAAAGTTCATTCTCTTACTTCATCCAAGTTATCAAACAGTGTTGGCAGCTAGCCCTCAGCCCTGGGTCTGTAACCCTTACAGACACAACAGGACAGATGGAGCAACTGCTGAGTAAGGGTGGCTTTGGCTGGGGTTTGTGGTTATTTGGATTTATCTATAGTTGAGGCCCTGATGATTTCATTCATATTTATTCATTCACTACTTCATATGCATTTAACAATTACTGAGGACAGGGTTAGGGGCAGGGGGATAGCTATGAACATGGGTAGAAACAGCCCTATGCCCAAAAGGCTTACTCTCTTTTTGGGAAAGGGGACACTGAACAATGACAATACCATGTGATGGGTATGGGATGAGTGTAGGTTAAGCAAGAGTAGGGCTGGACGCAGTGGCTTACACCTGTAATCCCAGCACTTTGGGAGGCCGAGGCAGGTGTATTGCTTGAGCTCAAGAGTTCGAGACCAGCTTGGGCAACATGGTAAAACCCTGTCTCTACTAAAAATAAAAAATTAGCCGGGAATGGTGGTGCATGCCTGTAGTCCCAGATACTTGGGAGGCTGAGGTGGGAGGATCACTTGAGCCTAGGAGGTCGGGGCTGCAGTGAGCCAAGATCGCGCTGCTGTACTCCAGCCTGGGTGACAGAGTGAGACCCTGTCTCAAAAAATAAAAACACACAAAGCCAGAAACAAACAAACAAGAGTAACTATGAGAATGAACTATGAGAATGGGGAACTGGCCTAGGCCCAGGACAGGGCAGGGCTCCCAGAAGAAGGGCCCTTTCAGCTGAAACCCGAGAATGAGTTGGTTCGTCAGGTAGAACGATGGGGCTGGGGTTTGGAGACAACTTTCCAGATGGGAGAGAATGGCAACCACTGAGAACTAGAAGTGAGAGAACAGGGGGAGAGGGTTATAGGAGGAAATGAGAGATGCTCTGTATTTTTGGAGCATAGGGTTTTTACGTGTTGGGAGAGAGTGAGTAAAGATTAGTCCAGGGTAGGCTGTGGGTGGGGAGAGGCTTGGGCCCACCACAAGGACCTTGTGGATTCAAGATGATCACTACTGAAGTCTGCTTTCCAGCACACCTGACTGGATTTCACCCTACTTTCACTGGATTCTATTGTCCTTTCTCCATTCTACATGAGCACCCACTCCTCCTTGCTATGCCAGGACTGAACACTGGTGACATTTCAGAGATGCAAACACATGATACCTCGTTGTCCAAGAATGCACCACACTTTTACTGAGCATTTTCTTCTAAGCATTTCATCACTTCAATTAATTCTTGCAATCTCCCAGATTAGCAGTTATCTGCCTTTCATAAATGAGGGTATTGAAACTCAGAGAGTGAGCTGAGCTGCCTGCCAATGCCACATGCCAGTAAGTGGTAGAGCCTGGTGGGCCAGCTCCAAAGGCCCCTGTCTTCTGTGCCTCCCTGGTATAGGAGATTGATGTGTCAGCACTAAGTTCACGCTGGAGTGACCAGCAGTGAGAATGAAGAGTAAAGGCAGCCTGGCAGAAAGGGCAGGGGGACCACATCTGGCTTCATGGAGGAGGGCAACCTTGTTGGAGAGGTAGGGTTTAGATAGATGGTGATCAGGCCACACACCTGTTGCAGGATCCCTTTTAATATCCTATCATCAGTGAGTAAAGCTTCAATATCTCTTGAGGCTCTTGCTCCCACGCGTCTAAATTGTTTTTTGTTTTTGTTTTGTTTGGAAATCAGGCACACTAAATAGGGACCTGGTGTGTATTGTTCACTCTTGCTCAGTACAATGCCTGTCCCTTAGCAGGTACTGAATGTCCATTTGTGGATAAATAAATGAATGAACTTCATTTTTAGTAGCCCACTACCTGGATCCTTGTGAATGAGGGTGCCTGGGTGGTATCTACTTCTCAGGTTGCCAATTCCTGCTCCTGCCTCCAATCATGCTGTCTCTGAGGGCTGGCCGAGCATGCAGCCAGCTAAGTTCTGGGGTCTGAGAGTTTCCCAACAATTTGGAATATCTGTTAAAATAAAAAAATGCATGCATAGGCCAGGTGCGGTGGCTTACCCCTGTAATCCCAGTACTTTGGGAGGCCAAGGCGGGTGGATCACCTGAGGTCGGGAGTTCGAGACCAGCCTGGGCAACATGGTGAAACCCCTGTCTCTACTAAAAATGCAAAAATTAGCCAGGCGTGGTGGCACACCCCTGTAATCCCAGCTACTCGGGAGGCTGAGGTGGGAGAATCGCTTGAACCCGGGAGGTGGAGGCTGCAGTGAGCCAAGATCACACCACTGCACTCCAGCCTGGGTGACAGAGCGAGACCCCATCTCAAAAACAAACAAACAAACAAACAAACAAACAAACAAGCATGTACATTCTGACTCAGCACATCTACTTATAGAAATGGGCCAGGCATGGTGGCTTGCACGTGTAATCCCAGCACTTTGGGAGGCTGAAGTGGGAGGATCACTTGAGTGTAGGAGTTTGAGACTAGCTGGGGAAACATAGTAAGACCCTGCATCTACAAAACAAAAACAAAAACAAAAACAAAAACATTAGCCGGGAGTGGTGGCATGCACTTTTAGACCCATCTACCAGAGAGGCTGAGGTGGGAGGATCCCTTGAGCCTGAGAGGAGAGGCCGAGGCTGCAGTGAGCTGTGACTGCACCACTGCACTCCAGCCTGGGCAAGAGAGTGACCCTGTCTCAGAAAAAGAAAAAGAAAAAGAAAAAGAAAAAGAAAAAGAAAAAGAAGGAAGGAAGGAAAGAAAGAAAGAAAGAAAGAAGGAAAGAAAAAGAAACAAAGAGAGAAAGAAATGAAAGAAGGAAAGAAAAAGAAACAAAGAAAGAAAGAGAGAAAGAAAGAAAGAAAGAAAGAGAAAGAGAAAGAAAGAAATGCAGGCTGTGGCATGTTTGCGTGTATGCAACAATGCTGCTATGTGTATCAGGGCAAGGCCTGTCAGCAAGGCTGGAAATCACCTTCATGTCCACTAAGAAAGAAGGGTTAAGAAAACAAAGACCCTTTCTATTAGGTTGGTGCAAAAATAATCGCGGTTTTTGCAATTTTTTTTTTTTTTGAGATGGAGTTTTGCTCTTGTTGCCCAGGCTGGAGTGCAATGGCGCAATCTCGGCTCACCGCAACCTCCACCTCCCGGGTTCAAGCGATTCTCCTGCCTCAGTCTCCCGAGTAGCTGGGATTACAGGCATGCGCCACCAGGCCCGGCTAATTTTGTATTTTTAGTAGAGACGGGGTTTCCCCATGTTGATCAGGCTGGTCTCGAACTCCCGACCTCAGGTAATCCTCCCGCCTCGGCCTCCCAAAGTGCTGGGATTACAGGCGTGAGCCACCGCGCCCAGCCTGTAATGTTTTTAATGGCAAAAAAACGCAATAACTTTTGCGCAAACCTAATATTAATATAGGGACGTTTATGTGCCCCTTAAAAGGAAATGAGGCAGTGTGGCGCGTTCTGGCCGATGAGCGCCAAGGTACTTTGTCGAATGAAAAAGCAGAGTGCCCAACAGAATAGAAAAGGCCTTCCTTTGTGTAAACGCACACACGCACAGGTACATATGTGCTCTAAGGAAAAATACAAGGAAAGCACAAGGTTAGTGTTTTCCTCAGGGGAAAGGTTACTTACTTTTAACCGTAGACCCTTTGAAATTACGAAGGATGGCGATGGGAGTGAGCCCTTGTGAGTATAGCAATTGGGAACACGAGTGAGTATGTGTCTGGTAGCTGTGAACATTTCACACACACTATCTCATTAAATCTTCACACGACCTCATGAAGTAGCTATAATTATCTGCTTTTTACAGAAAACGAAGGCACAAAGAGGTTAAATAATTTACCAAAGACGATAATAAGAAGTGGAGAGACCCGAATCACAGCCTAGTCTGACCCCAAACCAATGCTCTTAACAATACAGCACATACACAATTTTCCATTAGAAACAAGTCCCCGGCCAGGTGCGGTGGCTCACGCCTGTAATCCCAACACTTTGGGAGGCCAAGCAAGAGGATCGCTTGAGGTCAGGAGTCCGATAGCAGCCTGGGCAACACAGCGAAACCCCCGACTCTAAAAACAACGACAAAACCAACCAAACAAAAACCAAACCCAAGTCCCCAATAAACTTCTGGTCTCAAATACTGCCTCATCCACGGGTTCCGTGATTGTGTGTGAGGGGGCTGGACCTCTGGAGTAAGCCGCTCCTTTACAGTGGGGAGACGGCGGGAACCCGTGCCCCAAGATGCCGTGCACGTGGTCGGCTCCGCGCGGAGGCTCCTTCCGGCGTCCCGGGGGGGCGCTCGGCTGATGAAACGCGGCCTCCAGCTCCGCTCCGCCGCGGGCCCGGGAGGCGCGTTCCCTCTTGGCCCCAAAGCGAGTCCGGCGGGCGGCTCCTCGGGGTTGGGCGACCGAGCGGGGCCGGCCGGGCGGGGGGCGGGCCCGTGAAGGCGGCGCAGCGCGGCGCGGGAGGCGTGCTGGGCGCGGGGCTGCGGTGCCCAGAGGCTGCGGCATTAGGGGCTCGGCGCCCCCGACCTTCCGCGTCCCGGGGTGGCGGCGGCGGCGGCGGCGGCGGCGCGGGCGGTGAGTGTGCGCGGGCCCGGGCGCGCGCCCGTGTCCTGCGATCCGGGCTTGGTGCTGTGGGGCTCCGGGGCCGGGAAGCAGCCTGGGCGCCTCCGCCTTGGCCTGCGTTCGGGCCAGACGGCCTGGGTTCGGCGCGGCGGGCAGCCTGCGGGGGGTCCTTCGTGCGCCCTGGGGCCCCTCCCCCGCGTGCCGGCCGTGGGAGCGGCTCTGACAAGCCTCCTGGGGGCCCGCGGTTGGGGAGGGCCAGACTGATTTATGGGGAGAAGGAGATCCCCCATCCTCAGCCGACCTGGACAGTTCCAGAGGGCGGAGACTGAGACTGGGACGAGACAGCTGCCCAAGGCCAAGGCCGTGTATGGCGAGACAGCTCCAGCTGGCGTGAAGGAGCCTGGGTTTCAATTCTGGCCCAGTCCAGGACTGGCTCCTTGACCTTGGATGGTACACTTTCTTTTCTGGGTCTTAACGTCCTCACCTGTAAAATGGAGAGCTCGGACTCATTGTGTCTCAAGGTTTTTCCGCCCCGAAACTTCTGTAACAGGCCCTCTTAGGGTCTCGTGTTGTGTTTTTCACAAACAAAACAAAACCTGACTTAGGAAACTGACGAATCTCAGTGCTGCACATAGTTCCCGGGGAGGCTGGGCACTCGGTGTCTGCAGAGCTGGGGGCCTTTGCGCAATAGGACTTAAGAGTATGTTCCTTTGCAGATGCTCTCTACGGGCTGAAAAAGAGGGGAGTTGACCTTGTGCAAGATGGATATCTGGAAGTTCTGGTTAAAATGCAGAATCAGCAGAGGAGACCCAGAGAAGCTCTAGTTTTCCTGCTTAGTTGCAGGGGCCTCAAGGCTGTGCTCACTCCCCCTGCTCTGCCTCCACCCTGCTGTCTGTCTGACCTTCTGTGTTATCCTCGGGCTGGTGCAGGGCTGAGCTGGATGGGGAAATGGGGTTCAGGACATATGATAGGCATCTGCCCTTGAGGTCTTGCCAGCACCCCTCCTGCCCTCTGCAGCTTCCTGGTTGAATGAGGGGCTGCAAGGTGACCACACAGGCTGCCCTGATGGGCATGTCCTGGCCTCTGGTCCATATCCCTTTCTGCTTGGCACTGGCCTCTCTTGGCTCTCACCTCCACCTTTGCCAAGCCCAGGAGCCTCCTTCCTCCAGGAAGCCTTCCGGAGAACCCTTCCCCCACCCCAACCAAGGTGCTCCCTCTCACTGCCTTGTTGCAATTGTTTGTTTTGTAATTGTCTTTCCCTGAGTTTGTCTTTCCTACCAGATGGTGATCCCTAGCAGGGAGGGCTGAGTAGGAACTTCAGATTTTATTTCCAGTTTCGTGCTCAAGATAGCACAGGGCCTGGCCTGAGAAGGTGCTTAGGAAATGTCTGTGGAGTAAAAATGATGGCAGCTATATTTCTTCAATGATTCCTACTTGCCCAGTGCTATTTTGAGTGATTTACATGTGTGAACTCTTTAAACCTCACAACCACCTGAAGTTACTGTCGTTATCCCCACTTACATGTAAGGAAACTGAGGCAGAGAAGTAACTTACTCAAGGTTACACAGGTGAGAAGCGGCAGGACAGGGCCGGTTACTTTTAGCTATTACAGGAAACAGCCTCCAGGTGAATGGAATAAAGCCTGCTGATTAGTACTTTGTGAGAGGCTGATGGGGCCAAGTAGAGTGCTGTGGTTTCTTCTGAAAGACATTGCCTCATGGGGGGATTTTGCAACAAATGGAACCTTCCACGCAGTCTGAAAGGCTACCTGTGCAACTCCAGCCTGGGCATGGTCCCTCGTGGCTGCTCGGTCCCCCAGGCCTTTTTGAGACTCTAGTACAGCTTCTCTGGGCTGTAGGCCCCTAGCTACGATGTCCCTTCGTTTCTTGTCTGGAACATGGATCTCAGAATTATATCTGCCTCAGGGGCCTAAGAGATGATCAAATGAAGGAGGGAAGGGCTTCAGTGATTATCAAGTGCAGGGCAGAGATCCTTGTGGCTATTTTTGTTGGTACAGGAAGAAAGTAAGGCGTGATGAGAGTGAGAAACACTTAGCATATTTAGGAGAGTCTCCTGCTGTGGGCCAGGTGAGGAGGAGAAGGCCCCTGCCATCCCCAGAGTAGCATCTCAGGGCTGACTTGCATTTGTTGCTTGATCTTGCCTGGGAAATGCAGTCTCCCTTGACTCACTCTTTTTTGTTTTGTTTTGTTTTGTTTTGTAAGGGTGATTTCATGAACATTCTCAGAGACAGTCACACTAGAGTGCAGAGGGGCAAGGGCATGGAAATTATGGGCTTGGACCCTGGAGCCAGATGGCTTGGGTTTATCTCCTGGCTCCATGGCTGGTAGCATAGCCTCCCAACCTTGGGCAAGTCACTTTACATCTTTGACCTGCGGTTTTTTCTCCTGTAAAATAGGAAAATCATGTTGAGGAAAGGGGCCTGTCTGGTGAGCCGAGTACTGGATATTATGCTTGCATTTCCTTCTGTTACATCCCCACAGCAGCTATAGGAGGTAGACCTCTCTATCCCCATTTTACAGATGAGAACAGCAAGGTTCGGGTTGTTAAGTACCTTGACAGCTAATGTCAAAGAGCATGTATGTGGCAGAGTGGGAATTTAAGTCCAGGTTTTCTGGCTCTAAAGTCTTCAATGTTTTCATAGTTTGCTGCTTTGTAGCCTTAGAGCCCAGTGCAGGGCAGATACATGATAATTGTTAAAGGCTTGTCTTTTACATAGTCTTGGTTGGGAGAGGGGGCTCCTAAGTGATCTTCCAGAGCTGAAAATCGGGGCCAGCTTCAGGTGCATGCAATCTGTGCAGTCACACAGGGTCCCCCACTTAGGAAGCCCCTCCCATTTGGTTTAATGCTGTGCTGTCGCCATCTTGAAATTCTTCATTATTTTTGTAGAAGAGGCCCCACATTTTCATTTCGCATTGGGCCCATTCTGTAGCTGCTGCTGTTTAAAGTATTGAGAGAAGTGAAAAATGGTGAGGGCATGAGAGCCCTGTTCCCCCTCTAGGGGGCCTGATCAGTGGCCATCAGCCCTTGGGCCAGCTTGGAATCATGAAGATGTGTGCTGACTGGCCACTTCATATCTTCACAAACATCTAGAACCATGGCAGCAAAAGACGATTCTAGTAGACCTTTCACCAAGATGGTTAGTTAGCAGGGCTGGTGTGTCATCCCAGGGGACATAAGCCTGATTTTCCTTGGTGAGGGGTGATTTTCAGGCCTGCTGGAGGACACATAACAGAGGTAAATGTGCAGGTTGCTGCTGGAGGGAGTGGCACTGGAAACTCAGTTTCTCATTAAGGAAACACCCATGACAGGTGTCACTGCCTTTTTTTTTTTTTTTTTTTTTTAAGATGGAGTCTCTCTCTGTCGCCCAGGCTGGAGGGCAGTGGCGTGATCTCGGCTCACTGCAGTCTCTGCCTCCCGGGTTCAAGTGATTCTCCTGCCTCAGCCTCCTGAGTAGCTGGGATTACAGGCGCCTGCCACCATGCCCGGCTAATTTTTGTATTTTTAGTAGAGACGGGGTTTCACCATGTTTGCCAGGCTGGTCTCAAACTCCTGACCTCAAGTGATCCGCCCGCCTCAGCCTCCCAAAGTGCTGGGATTACAGGCGTGAGCCACCGTGCTGGGTGGTGTCACTGCTTTTGCTGATGAACGTGACTGAGTGGTTCCTGCTACGCCTCTCAATGACCTGGCTGTAGGGGCTTTGGAGAGTGTCCTTTGTTCAGATGCTGTTGTATGTCCTTTATATGTGTCATCCATTGATCCTTTGCGGCAACCCTGTGGGGAGGGTACCCAGATTTGGAGAGCTGAAGCTGTCTAAGATTAAACCACTTGCCCAAGTTGACATAACTAAGAGGTGGTAGAGCTGGCTTAAAAACATTTCTTTTTTGAGGCTAGTCAAGTGCAGTAGTGAGAAGGGGAGAAAAGAGTAGAACAAGGAGTTTGGTCTGTAACTGACTGTGAACACACAATTGAGATAATGCACTACTTTCAGAGCAGCCTAGAACTGGCGTTTAAACTGGTTAGTCTGACTTTGGAGACCATGTTCTTCAAAACAAACCACCACTGTCTCTGCTAGGGAGCCTGATTGCTTGAATATCTGGGTATTTTTGTTCTCTGTGGCTGCTACTTTTTTCTTTTTTTTGAGACAGTGTCTTGCTCTCTCAGGCTGGAGTGCAGTGGCACGATCTCAGCTCACTGCAACCTCCGCCTCCCAGGTTCAAGTGATTCTCCTGCCTCAGCCTCCCAAGCAGCTGGGATTACAGGTGCCCACCACCATGCCTGGCCTAATTTTTGTATTTTTTAGGAGAGACGGGGTTTTGCCATGTTGGCCAGGCTGGTCTCAAACTCCTGACCTCAGGTGATTCGCCCACTTTGGCCTCCCAAAGTGCTGGGATTACAGGCATGAGCCACCGTGCTCGGCCTACTTTTCTTTTTCTTTTTTCTTTTCTTTTTTTTTTTTTTTTGAGACGGAGTCTTGCTCTGTCGTCCAGGCTGGAGTGCAGTGGCGCGATCTCTGCTCACTGCAAGCTCCACCCCCCGGGTTCACGCCATTCTCCTGCCTCAGCCTCCCAAGTAGCTGGGACTACAGGCTCCCACCACCACGCCTGGCTAATTTTTTGTATTTTTAGTAGAGACGGGGTTTCCCCATGTTAGCCAGGATGGTCTCGATCTCCTGACCTCGTGATGTGCCAGCCTCGGCCTCCCAAAGTGCTGGGATTACAGGTGTGAGCCACCGCGCCTGGCTTCTTTTTCATTTATATTTCCTACCATCTGATTTTGTTTGTTTGTTTGTTTTTGTTTTTGTTTTTGTTTTGAGACAGGGTCTCTCTCTGTCACCCAGGCTGGAGTGCAGTGGTGCAATCTCAGCTCACTGCAACCTCTGCCTTCTGGGTTCAAGCTGTTCTGCTGCCTCAGCCTCCTGAGTAGCTGGGATTACAAGTGTGCACCACCACACCCGGCTGATTTTTGTGTTTTTGGTAGAGGTGGGGTTTCACCATGTTGGCCAGGCTGGTCTCAAACTCCTGACCTCAGGTGATCCACCCACCTCAGCCTCCCAAAGTGCTGGGATTACAGGCGTGAGCCACCGTGCCTGGCTGATTTTTTTTTTTTTTAATGTGTATTTTGCAGTGTCTTACAGGAAGCTACTTGAAATCCTGTGTGTAAACAAGACTCCCTGTAATGAATATACCTGTCCTGTGCCTGGTTGCCTGGGGCATCCTCTGTAAGGGAACAGAAATCCCAACTGCCTGGCAGTGGGGCCTGGTCAGCTCTTGAGTTCCCTGTGGGCCCCTGGCTGTGCCTGAGCTGGAGAAGACCCAAGACCAGAAGGGAAGTTCTCAGTTTGGGCCTTGGAAGGTTTTAGTTTCTCTTCCTCCTCCTTCTCCTCCTGGGAATTTTTCTCAGCATGTTCAAAAAGGCCAAAGTTGGCAAAAAGAGTCCGGGTAACTCTCCCTGGCCTTTGGTGACTTTGGCCCTGGAGACAGCCCCTAGGAACCCCGGCTTGCCCAGGCTCAGGCCTGAAGTTCTTTTTTGTGCTGTTTTCTGAAGGCATATGATGCTGAGCTGGCTGCTCCAGAATGAACCACAGCTCTGAGAAGGGGAAGTAGAAACAGCTGGCGCCCTGCCATGGCCTGTGAACCACAGGTGGACCCGGGGGCCACTGGCCCATTGCCCCCCTCCTCCCCTGGCTGGAGTGCCCTGCCTGGAGGGAGCCCTCCTGGCTGGGGGCAAGGTAAGATCATGACCTTTCATTTTCCACCTTCTTTCTACCTCATGCTGAACTGGACTCACAGGGCACAGAAGTTCCTTTAGATAAGGTCAGGGGGAGGTGTCTTTGAGGCCATATTCTGTCATTTTTACCAGTTCTGTCTCTTGGCCTTAGACCAAGCCACCATCACTCTCTGCTGAGCCCCTGCTGTAGCTTGCTTGTTGGTCTTCTCTTTTCCATTTATTCTTTACATGGCAGCCAGAGAGCTCTTTATTATTTATTTATATTTCTGATTTATTTTTACTTATTTAGAGACAGGGTCTTGCTCTGTTATCCTGGCTGGAGTGCAGTGGCGTGATTGTAGCTCACTGGAGCCTGGAACTCCTGGGCTCAAGTAATCCTCCCACCTCAGCCCCCTGAACAGCTGGGATTACAGGCATCCACCGCTACATCCTGCTAATTAAAAATGTTTTTTGTAGAGTTGGGGCCTTACTTTGTTGCCCAGGCTGGTCTCAGACTCCTGGCCTCAAGCAGTCCTCTGGCTTTGCCTTCCCAAAGTGCTGGGGTTACAGGAATGGGGCCCAGAGGTTTTTAATTTTTTATTTTTTTTATTTTTTGAGATGGAGTCCCACTCTGTTGCCCAGGTTGGAATGCAGTGGCATGATCTCGGTTCACTGTAGTCTTCACCTCCCAAGTTCAAGCAGTTCTCCTGCCTCGGCTTCCCGAGTAGCTGGGATTACAGGTACCCACCACCACGCCCAGCTAATTTTCGTATTTTTAGTAGAGATGGGGTTTCACCATCTTGGCCAGGCTGGTCTCGAATTTCTGACCTCAGGTGATCCGCCCACCTTGGGCTCCCAAAGTGCTGGGATTACAGGCGTGAGCCACCACACCTGGCCCCAGATATCTTTTTAAAATACACATTTAGTCCAACCATGTCAGTTTCTGCTCAGTGTTTTCCATGGGGCTTAGTGTGAAGGCCTGCCTTCATATTCTTTGCTGTGCTGTTTTGCCTCAGGACCTTTGCACCTGCATTCCCTTCTGCCTGTTGTGCTTTTCCCTTGCCTCCTTTCTCCTGATGAATTTCTATTCATCCATCAGACATGGTGGCTCACACCTGTAATCCCAGCACTTTGGGAGGCCAGGGTGGGCAGATCACTTGAGGTCAGGAGTTCAAACAGTACTTGAGTACATGTTTACCTGGCCAACATGGTAAAACCCTTTCTCTACTAAAAATCAGCTGGATGTGGTGGCGGGCGCCTGTAATGCCAGCTACTAGGGAGGCTGAGGCAGGATAATCACTTGAACCAGAGAGGCAGAGGTTGCGGTGAGCCGAGATCACACCACTGGACTCCAGTTTGGGTGACAGAGTGAGACTCCATCTCAAAAAAAAAAAGAAAGAAAAAGAATTTCCATTCATTCTTCAGAACTTAGTTCAATATCCCTTCCTTGAAGAATCTTCCTGGTGGCTCAGCCTAAGTCAGGACCCTCTGATATATTCCTGTTTCTCCCTCTAGCATTTATCATAGTCTGTAAATAATTATGTATAAAGTGTTGAAGTCTGGCTTCTTCACTAGAGTGTAAGCTCCCTGAAGGAAGGGGCTTCTGTCTTTTTCATCCCTGTATCTATAGTACCTAGCACAGACCTTGGCCCATAGTAGATGCTCAATCAATATTTTGTTGAATGAAAGAATTAATGAGTAGCTGGATATGGGCAAGGGGAAACAGCATCCAGAATTGTGGGGGCCCACGGGAATGTGGAGGGTTTTTTAGAGGCTTTGAAATTTGACTGCTTAAAAACAAAGGCTTCTTTTGTTACTAGTGTTGTTAGGAAAGCAATGTGTGTGTATATATGTAAGGAAAGCAGTGTGTACACACACACAAAAGTAGAACAAGATGGAATGAAATAATTTTTCTATCAGAACTTTGAAGACATTGCTTCACTGATTTTTGGCACGTCAGTTCTTGTTCCTTTGTAGGAAACTGCTTCCCCCTCTGCGCGTGCGTGCACGCGTGCACACACACACACACACACACACACACAGACACACACATTTTTCTTTGGTAGCTTTACTTAGCCTAGGTGTAAAAACAAGTATTTTTAAGCGGAGGACTTGCTGTTCTCACTTTAAGGAACAGATGAGAGCTGGTATTGCCAAGAATCCAGGAACTCTTGGTTCGAAAGGCAAACAAAGACATCCTGAAGGATCTTTGCATTGCTTGGGCAAACACGTAATTCAGTGTACAACGACCTAGACCTGGGAATGGTTCTGAGTCTCCATGCGTGGAGTCCAAATCAACGTGGAGTTTTCATTCTTGCTGTGGACTGGAGAGCTGGTCTGAGACCGGATCTGCTTGACTGCCTGCATTTTTGCACTACCTTCCCTTCTTGCTTCTTGTTCTCACTTTCATTTTCCCTGTTTACAAGGGAGTTTCTTCACTTTTCAAAGGCTCAGTTTTCTTTTCCATGCTGATGGTACCAAGCTTCGGGGGCTCTTGGAGGATGAAATGAAATCATGAATGAAGCCCAAGCATAGTGCCTGGTGCTTAGTAAATGGCTCCACATCCAGAACCTGTTCTTATTGTCTGCCTTTTTTTTTGTTGTTTTTTCTGGTTTTCCTCATTTGCTTATTTTAAAATTTATTTTTAGGCTGGGCATGGTGGCTCATGCCTGTAATCCCAGCACTTTGGGAGGCCTAGGTGGGTGGATCGGATCACCTGAGGTCAGGAGTTTGAGACCATCCCGGCCAACATGGTGAAACCCCATCTCTATGAAAAATACAAAAAATTAGCCGGGTGTGGTGGCGCACACCTGTAATCCCAGCTACCCGGGAGGCTGAGGCAGGAGAATTGCTTGAACCTGGGAGGCGGAGGTTGCAGTGAGCTGAGATCGCACCATTGCACTCCAGCCTTGGTGACAAGAGCGAAACTCCATCTCAAAAAAAAAATTATTTTTATAGTTTTAGTTACTTACTTATTTTTTTTGAGACAGGATCTCACTCTGTTGCCCAGGCTGGAATACAGTGGCGTGATTTTGGCTCACTGCAGCCTTGACCTCCCAGGCTCAGGTGATCCTCCTACCCTAGTCTCCCGAGTAGCTGGGACGACAGGCACGTGCCACCACGTCTGGCTAATTTTTTGTATTTTTTTGTAGAGACGGGGTTTTTCACCATGTTGCCCGGGTTGATCTCAACCTCCTGGGCTCAAGTAATCCACTTGCCTCAGCCTCCCAAAGTGCTGGGACTGCAGGCGTGAGCCACCATGCCTGGCCAGTTTTATCTTTTCATATTTTATTTTTATGAAATAAAATATGGAACAAGGTGTGGGAGGGTAAAAACACAAATAAATCAATGTTGCTTGATTGTAACTTTTGAGTTGTGACAAGCTTGCTTTTAAATTATGAAAATAGCAGCCAGTTATTTTGTACCCATCTTGTGCTGAGCACTTTATTTTTATCACGTTAATTATTTGTAAAGTCCTTTGCAGTGGATGTGTACGTCCTCTAAGCAAGGAAACAGGCCCATGGGTTTAAGTTTCCTCCTCAACTTTACCATGTTAGTGAGAGGCCGAGCTCCAATTTGAACTCCAAAGCTATCTAGCTTGTGTTTTCACCACTCACCACCTCGCCTCCTTGTCCCCCACCACTTCCAAAAAAAAACAGGAGAGAGAGAAAAAAAGCAAAATAAATTTCTTTTTGGCAGGAGGTGGAATTTAGAATTCTGTGGAACCCTTGAGATCAGAGATGATATCCCAGGGTATGAAAAAAGAACCTTTTCCTCTCTGGGTGCAGTGGCTCAGGCCTGTAATCCCAGCACTTTGGGAGGCTGACATGGAAGCATTCCTTGAGCCCAGGAATTTGAGACCAGGCTGGGCAACATAGTGACCTCATCTCTACAAAATAAAAAATTAAAAAAAAAATTAGCTGAGTGTGGTGGTGCATGCCTATGATCCCAGTTACTTGGGAGGCTGACGTGGGAGGATTGCTTGAGCCTTGGGAGGTGGAGGTTGCAGTGAGCCATGTTAGTGTCACTGCACTCCAGCCTGGGTGACAGAGTGAGATGCTGTCTCAAAAAAAAAAAAAAGAAAAAGAACCTTTTCCTATCTTATTAATTTGTTTATACACCAAACGTGTATTTAATGTGCCTCCTGTTTGTATCAGATCAGGGGATTCAGTGATGAACAAACCAGTGTGAGAGTGTATAGTCTGGTGGAAAAGATAGATTTTATTCAAGTAATTTCATGCATATGTAATCAAATAATTGCATACATAGGTATTTAGCTTGGGCGAGTATTAAGGAGAAGAGCGTCAGTTATGGTAGGTTTAGCAGAGGATTTGATCAGTTAGGAGTTTAGAGTGTCAAGGAGGCCTCTCTGGGGAAAGTGAATCATGAGCTGGGATACAAATGATGCATGGGCTGTAACTGGGTGAAGCTAGGTAGACGTGTCCTAGAGAGAGGAACAGTATATGCAAAGGCCCTGGGGTGGGGGAGAACATCATGTTCAGGGACTGAAGGAGGCGGGTGTGGTGAGACATAGAACGAGGCTGAGGGGCTCAAGCTGAGTCTGGCAGGAGGCTAGTTTTCCTAAGGGCTGGAAGAACGTGGTAACAAGGTTGGCTTTTGCAAAGCAACAGGAAGCGATTGAAAGTTTTCTCAAGGCATTGGTGTCATCTGATCTGCACCCTGGCCACTGTGTGGAAGATGCATTGTAGAAGTAAAGGTAGGTTTGCAGCAGAAGCCACTTAGGAGGCTACTGCAGAGGGCCAAGGGAGAGGTGAGGATGCCAGGAGGGCACAGAGTGGACAGATGTTTTGTTTGCCTAGTTGGCAGGGCTTGGTGATACATTGGGGGAGCAGGGAGAG
The DNA here is from genome assembly GCF_000001405.40 of Homo sapiens. NCBI lineage: Eukaryota > Metazoa > Chordata > Mammalia > Primates > Hominidae > Homo > Homo sapiens. The sequence continues at coordinate 114,622,139 of NC_000009.12, forward strand.
AGAGGGTTTGGATAGGCCAGGAATTTCCTGGAAAGTGGAGTGAGTCATTTGGCTTTGAAGACTCAAGTACTGTTCAGAGCTAGACTGGGGTGACAGGAGTTTTGGATCAGCAGACAACACACTTATGCTTTAATCTCTTCTGTCCTGCCTCATTGTCTAAGCAGCCGCCATAGAGAATATGCCAAAATATCCAGTCCTCAGCAGTGCATGGCTGAAACCTGGGATCCTAGAATCCCAGGGCTGGAATCTCTCCCACCCCCCAGACCTCCTGGCTGCTGACCAGTGGCTCACAGGGCCTTGTACTGTGGTGCAAGGAGATCTCGATCCTTTTGTCCAGTTTCTCTACTTGGAACTGCAGGCAGGTAGGTTTGGCTTTGTGCTGCTGCCATTCCTCCCTGGTCTTGAGGGGATTTCAGTCCAGACTTTTCTCTCCAGCTGGTCTCATGGTCTGGCTTCATCCTACCCTTGGAGGGCGGGGGCTTTGGTAGCAGTTGTGAGCAGCCTGGGTTGATGCGTGTTTTTTGAGGGAATAAACACGTATTTTATGCTTTTGAAATGCGGAGTGTGTTGCAGCCATACGTAGGAGGGATTACAGTAAATCAGTGTATTAGTTTTCTATTGCTGCTATAACAAGTTACCACTAACATACTGGCTTAAAACCACGGATTTGGGCCAGGTGCAGTGGCTCATGCCTGTAATCCCAGTACTTTGGGAGGCCGAGGCGGGCAGATAACATGAAGCTGGGAGTTTGAGACCAGCCTGGCCAACATGGCGAAACTGTGTCTCTACTGAAATACAAAAATTAGCCAGGCATGGTGGTGCATGCCTGTAATCCCAGCTACTTGAAAGGCTGAGGCACAAGAATCACTTGAACCTGGGAGGTGGAGATTGTAGTAAGCTGAGATCGTGCCACTGCACTCCAGCCTGAGTGACAGAGAGAGACTCTGTCTCCAAAAAACAACAACAACAACAACAACAACAACAAGCCAAACCAACCACAGATTTGTTATTTATTTATTTATTTATTTTGAGATGGAGTTTCATTCTTGTTGCCCAGGCTGGAGTGTAATGGCGTGATCTCGGTTCACTGCAACCTCCACCTCCCAGGTTCAAGCAATTCTGCCTCAGCCTCCCCAGTAGCTGGGATTACAGGCACGTGCCACCACGCCCGGCTAATTTTTGTTTTTAGTAGAGACAGGGTTTCACCATGTTGGCCAGGCTGGTCTCGAACTCCTGACCTCAGGCGATCCATCTGCCTCGGCCTCCTAAAGTGCTGGGATTATAGGTGTGAGCCATTGCACCCAGCTGGATTTGTTATTTCATAGTTCTGTAAGTTAGATGTCTGACACTGATCTCACTGAGCCGAAATCCCCTTGGTGGCAGGACTGTTTTTCTTTCTGGAGGCTCTGGGGAGAATCCATTTCCTTTCCTTGTCCAGCCCCTTGGGGCCACCCACATTCCCTGGCTCATGGCCCTCTCCCTCCATGGTCAAAGCGATCGATGCCACATCCCTCCTTGCCTTTCATCCATAGTCAAATCTCCCTCTGACTCTACTTCTGTCCCGCTTTTCCACGTTTAAGGTTCCTTGTGATTTCATGGGGCCCACCCGGATGATTCAGGATAGTCTCCCTATTAAAGGCCAGCTAATGAGCCCCCTTACTTCCACCCTTTGCCATGGAAGGCAGTATATTTGCAGGCTCTGGGGATTAGGGTGTGGACATCTTTGGGGCCATTGTTCTGCCTACTGTGACCAGTTATTTCTTACTTAGACTCTCTGAGCCTACTGGGAATTTAACTTATTCAGCTGAGCATTCTTTGCAATGCTTAAATAAAGGTCCACTGCATCACCCCCCTCAATGTAGTTTTTCAGTCTCTGTTTAAATATTCCTTGTGTTGGGGAACATTTTTTTGTGGGGACAAAAAATGCCTATTTTTTATGGGGACAGCTTTTGCTCTTGGAAAATTCTTCCTTATATGGTCTCACATTGTGGTCCTAGGAGCCTCCTCCCTCTGGCCTTAATTCTGCCTCCTGGGGGCTTCCCAGTCAAATCCAGTCCTTCTCTCAAGAGGATTTGAGGATGGCCACCGTGTCCCTCCTTGTTGCGAGGAGGTTCTCATGGCCAGAGGTGTGATGCCGCCAGGCTTCGGGCTCACCCCACGAGCCTGGTATGGTTATCACTCAGCCAGATGAAGCTTCTGGTCTGCTTCCAGAGCTCCACAATGGCCAGGTCCTCACTGTTCTCCGGATTGACAATACCTGTGCACCCATCTCCTTCGACCTGGGAGCCGCAGAAGAGCAACTGCAAACTTGGGGCATCCAGGTGAGTGCTGATTTCCTTGAATCCCTACCATTTTCTCTTTCATCCATTCATCCCTCTATCTTTTCATCCAGTTTTTCACAAAATCTTTATGAAACAGTCTGTACCAGCTGTCGTAGGGTATATAAGGAAGGTATATTAGAAGTGCCCTCTCTTTCCTCTCTTCCCGGTTAACTCACTTAACAAATGTGTATTTTTTTGGGTGCCCACTCTGTGCCAGGCACTTAACTGGCTAAACATAATAGGGGTGGACAGGACACAGTACCTATGTCCACAGATCCCAGCGGGGAAGATGGACGTGTGTGGGAGAAATTGGGACAGTATCATATAAATGCCACAGAAGAGGAATGCACAGGCAGTGAAGACATTCACAGGAGAAAATGAGAAACTTGCCTGGGGGAAGAGGGCAGTGGTTGTGAAAGCTTTGCAGAGGAGCAGATGCTTGATCTGGGATCTTGAATAAATAGGAATATGCTGGGTGGAGAGGAGGAAGGGCATTTTAGGAGAGGGGACTGCATATACAAGGGAAAGTCCATATGAATTCATTAGATAATGATGCAGTACCTTCAAGCATAGTGATTTGAGGCCAGGCTTCACAGACCTGTGGAACTGGATGCAGATCTAGCTCCGATGCTCACTACCTGTGTGACTTTAGGAAGGTGATTTAACCTTTCTGAGCCTCAGTTTTATCATCTGTAAATGTGGATAATATTGATCCCTATTACAAGGGGTTTTTGTTAAGATTAAATGCAATAATGCTTGAGGAACCCTGGCATTGTCTCTAGTATATAGTAAATGCTCAATACATTGTAGCTATTATTGTTATGAAGTACCTATATGTATGGGTTTTACTCTCTTCCCAAAGCCCCCAACATGATCAGGCCTTTCCTGTGCTAGCCAAGGCCAAGGAGGATTAAGGATTAATTATGAATAGGGTAGATATACTGCTAATTTTAGCCTGAAGATTTTAGAATTTACTTCTTCTTCTTTTTTTTTTTTTTTTTTCAAGATAGAGTGTTGCTCTGTTGCCCAGGCTGGAGTGCAGTGGCGCAATCTGGGCTCACTGCAACCTGTGCTTCCTGGGTTCAAGTGATTCTGATGCCTCAGCCTCCCAAGTAGCTGGAACTACAAGCATGCACCACGGCTGGCTAATTTTTGTATTTTTTAGTAGAGACGGGGTTTCACCATGTTGGCCAGGCTGGTCTCGAACTCCTGACTTCAAGTGATCCACCCGCCTCGGCCTCCCAAAGTGCTGGGATTATAGGTATGAGCCACCACGCCTGGCAGATTGGGTTTTCTTATGGGTGAACAGTTTACGTATTGTTCTACCGTGTTCCTAAATATAATTTTTTTCAATTCAATTCAATTAATTAATTAATTAATTTTTTGAGACAGAGTCTTGCTCTGTGGCCCAGGCTGGAGTACAGTGGTGTGATCTCGGCTCACTGCAACCTCTGCCTCCCGGCTTCAAGCAATTCTCCTGCCTCAGCCTCCCGAGTAGCTGGGATTACAGGCACGTGCCACCATGCCCAGCTAATTTTTGTATTTTTAGCAGGAACAGGGTTTCACCATGTTGGCCAGGCTGGTCTCAAACTCCTGATCTCGTGATCCGCCCGCCTTGACCTCCCAAAGTGCGGGGATTACAGGTGTGAGCCACCGTGCCTGGCATTCTTTTTTATTTTTATAAAAAGAGACAGGGTCTTGCTATGTTGCCCAGCCTGGTCTTGAACTCCTAGGCTCAAGCAGTCCACCTGCCTTGGTCTCCCAAAGTGCTGGGATTACAGGTGTGAGACACTGCACCTGGCCTAAATATCATTTTAATGGTTAAGTTCTGTTTTCTTAGTTCTACTCTCACGGGGCCTTTATATTCTATAGACGCTTTTGTTTGGGCAGGAAGATGTGAGTGTTCAGTCTTTTGGACAGCATTAATAGATATTGATATTGCAGTATTGATAGTGGCAACTCTATATTGAGTGCTCACTGAGGGACTGGCCCTTTGCTCAGCACTGTACATGTATTATTTAATATGTACCTTAGTTCTACAAAGTGGGTACTTTTATTATCCTTATTTTACAGAGGAAAAAACAGGCTCAGAGGAGTGGGGTTACTTGCTCCAGGTCACACAGCACATGAGTGGCAGGGCCAGAGTTTGGGCCCAGGGCTGTCTGACTCCAGGGCCTATGCCTTAACCATCAGGCTGCCCTGTGTCTGCTGCAAGGTACTGAGTCTGAGGCTGTGTGGATCCTTCTCCAGATGTCATGATGCCTGTTCTTCCCTGAGCTGAGAGCTGCACCATGTGACTTCCACCCAGTGCTCCAAGCTCCTCATTCTGCCTTTGGGACAGCCCAGAATGTGCCTAATCCCCCTTCCACATGATAGTCACATGCACTGGAAACTGGCTGTCCTGCGGCTGATTGATCTCTTTCCCTGGGTTCCAAGCAGGTCCCGGCTGACCAGTACAGGAGCTTGGCTGAGAGTGCCCTCTTGGAGCCCCAAGTGAGAAGATATATCATCTACAACTCGAGGCCTATGCGGCTGGCCTTTGCTGTGGTAAGGGGGAGGTGGCCCGCACACTGACCCTGCCCTGACAGCTTATGGCACCACCAAATTCAGCACCGTGTCTTGGAGCCTGTTGGTGTGGGTCAGGGGCTTGGGGGCTGTTGGCCCAGGTGCCTGGAAACGAGCAGTACATATGGACATTGATTTGGGATCAGAGGAAATTTATGGGAGAGAGTTGTAACCAGGTCGTTGCATAAAGGATGGGAGTCAGGGTTTACTGTGGGCAGAGCTTGGGATTGGGAGTCTGCAGATCCACCCAGGCTCTGGGCTCAATATCTGGCCTTGGCCAAGACTTTCCTCCTCTCCGGAACTTGGTTTCCCCATCTGCTCAACAGATGGGTTATTTCAGCTCTATTCATATATACATGTACATATATATGTGTGTATACACATATGTATATATATATAAAATATATGTATACATCTTCATATTGATACATATAAACACTTACATACATAAATGACAGAGCCAGGATTTGAACCCAGGCAGTCTGGTTTCAGCGTCTGTGCTTGGAACCACTGTGATTTGCTGCTGTTTTGTATGTATAAATGGTCAAATAGCACACCTGACTCCCAGGTCCCACTTCTAGGGAGAAGGGAAAAGGGTGGGAACCAGCATTGATTCATTCCCTGGTGAGTGCTGGGCTGTTACTTATGTTGCCTTGTTAACCCTTATTACAATGCCGTGAAATAGGTGTTATTATCCCCATTTTACAGATGAGGAAACTGAGACTTAGGGGAGTTATAAATTGTCCAAAGCCATATAGTGCTTGAAGGATCATTATGGTCTTTGAACTGATATTTGTCTCACTTCAGATCCACCTGCCTTTTTCTGTTTTATTTAAAATTAAGGTAAACAAGGATTAGGAGTAGCTACTAACCCTTTTTGTCTACTTTTGCTTATAAACAAGGAACATTAGCTCATTCTCACAGATCCAGGTGACTGCATCAATCTCTTACTGGTGCTGTGAGCTGTCTGAATCCAAGGAGGGTATCAGTAGTGTCTGAAAGGTGTCCCTTTGAATGGAGCTGCTTTATGCAAGGACTGAAGTTCCTGACCATGCTCTCTGTCTGGCATCTTGCAGGTTTTCTATGTGGTGGTGTGGGCCAATATCTACTCTACCAGTCAGATGTTTGCCTTGGGGAACCACTGGGCTGGCATGCTGCTCGTGACCCTGGCCGCGGTGAGCCTGACCTTGACTCTTGTGCTGGTCTTTGAAAGACACCAGAAGAAGGTGAGATGTCTGGAGATCCCTGCCACACTCTCTCCAGAAGAGCGGTGCAGGCGTGAGAATCAGATTTTTCCCTTTTGCCTCCCTCAAAGAATTTCCCTGGCCATGAAAATTCACACTAGCCCGTAAGCCCAGTGACTAAAAGAAATCAAATTGTGTATGTGATTGTTCTCTCTGCTTTTCCTGTCTAATCCCTGTGGATTGTTTTTCTGGAAGCAAGCTGTGTTTTGGGAATGTGAGAGGAGAGCAGTAATTGCCCGTATCCTGACAGTACTTTAGTTAACTGAGCCCTCTCATGCACTTCCTCTCCCTGGGTGCTCACAACAGCCCTATGAACAAGGGAGGATTACTGAACCCACCCTGCAGCACAGGGTGCCTAAAGTTGACGTCTGGGGAGAGGTAATTTACATTATTCCCTCCTGTGACGGGCAGATGCCGACCTGGTGCTCTATTGACAGTCATGTCTCTAATCCCAGCAATGACCTTTGAGGCAAGGTGGGTGGTCCGAGAGTTTAGGTAACTTGTCCTGGATCCCACTGTTAGTGACAGAGCCAGGGTTCAAACCCTGAGCCCTCTGGTTCCTGATCATGTTCCGAAAGGAGGTGGATACCTCCCAGCTTGATGTATGATTTTAATTGTTTTCTGTCTCTTCAGTGTCTGTCTTTTGATATGTACTGAGCACATCATATGTAGTAGGTCCTCTGTTAAATGCTTACACATTAACTCATTAAATCCTTCGACATTAAATCTGGGTAGAGGCTGTTACACTCACTTTGCAGTCGAGGAACCCTAGACTCAGGCTCATAGAGTAGCCCTGGCCATGCTGCTAATAAATGCCAGAGTTGGAAATCAAGGCCAGGGCCTCAGATTCCAAGCCATGTTCTTAGCCACAACGCTAGAGAAAACTGTTGGTTTTCCAAAGCTGCTGTAACAAATTACCATGAACTTATTGGATTAAAACAACACCAATTTATTATCTTCCAGTTCTGTAGGTTAGATATTTGACATAGGTCTCACTGGACTAAAATCTAGGTACAGGCAGGGCTGCTTCCTTCTGAAGGCTCTGGGGGAGAATCTGTTTTCTTGCCTGTTTAGCTCCTAGTGGTCCTCTGCATTCCTTGGCTCGTGATCCTTTTCTTCATCTTCAAAGCCAGCAATGGCAGATCCAATCTTTTTCACATCTCCTTCTCTGGCTCTTTTGCCTCCCTCTTCTACTTTTAAGGACCCTTGTGATTACATTGGGCCAGCTGGATAATCTGAGATAATCTCCTAATTTTAAGGTCAGCTGATTAACAACATAAATTTCATCGGTGGCTTTAACTCCCCTTTGCTGTGTAACAACATTTGCACTGGTTTTGGCGAATAGGATTTAGACATCTTTGGGGACCATTTCTCTGCTACCACACCTATGTTGTCTTTCCACCTACTTGGGAAGCTCTTGTTCCTCCATCCCCCGATCCCTGGCACAGTGCTGGACTCTGATCTTGCCTGACTCAGAAAGAGGGGGCAGGATGTTGGGAAATGTAAATCAGCATTTGGGGTGTGAATTCCACTTAGTGCGTGTGTTCACGAGACAAACGGGAACTATATGGTGTACTCATTCTGTAAGGATCTTTGTTGGGCTTTGCCACAAGACTGACAAAATAATGCTGCCCTTGGGGTCTGTTGAAGCTTTCATGGCCCTTGTGTTTGGCCTATAAAACAAATCGAGCTGGCTACTCCTGCAGCAAGAACTTTGTCTTGGGGAGGGGAAGAAGCAAAGTGTTTTGTTTTAGTTAGCAGGAGCAAGCAAAAAAGATTGGCACCTGACAGGTGCTTCGAGGATGTGGATGTAATTCACATGGTGGAGGGAATGCCTGCTTTGGCTCTCTGCCTCTGTCTCTTCTTTCCTCCTTTTATTCAGCTGGTATTTATGAAGCCCTTGATAGTACCAGGACATACCTTGTCAGGGCCGCACAGCCAGGAAACAGCAGAGCTGGGCTCTGGCCCAGGACTGACACTATTGAATTTACTGTTCCAACAATATATATCTATCCATCCATCCATCCATCCATCCATCCATCCATCCAAGACAGGTCTTACTCTGTGCCAGGCACAGATCCCAGAAAATGCGCAAGGCTTGTGTGCAGCATGGAGGTCTCAGGTGCATCCTGGCAATGCCATCATCACTGTCTGCTCATTTAGGAGACTCCTTATTTTCTTCCTAATAATGTCCATCATTTCATGAGCACCTATTGTATGCTGTATGCTTGGGGCTTCACGTCTATGCCCAACAACAACCTTATAAGGAGGCAGGATACCGCCGCCATTTGCTAGCTCTGCAACTTGGGGTGAGTTACTTAATCTATCAGGGCCTCAGTTTCCTCATCTAAAACATGAGATAATAATTGTAGCTCCCTCATAGGGTTATTGTGAGAATTAAATGACTTAGACACACAAAGTGTTTATAATAGTACCTGGTGTAAAGTAAATGCTTTGTAAGTATTAACTGTTATTAACTCTGTTTGCCAGTGAGGAAACGGAAGTTCAGAGAGGTTAAGTAACCAGTCCATGGCCACACAGCCCTTCTCAGGTCTTCTTTTGGGTCTCAGCTCCAGGACCTCCTCCTCCCTGGATCCCTTGTCACTCAGGACTATGCAGATCCCCTCTTCCTGACCATTGTCACTCTTACTGTTAGCATCCTCTCTGTTGTTACTTGATGTCTTTGAGAGCATCAATGTCTGGCATAACTGTCTTGTTTTCCCTTTGGCTCACTGTTAGCCTTTCTCAGGATTGGAAGATTTGGGCCGGGCATGGTGGCTCACACTTATAATCCCAGTACTTTGGGAGGCTCAGGTGGGAGGATCACTTGGGCCCAGGAGTTTGAGACCAGGCTAGGCAACATTGTGAGACTCTGTCTCTACAAAAAATAAAATCAGCGGGGTGTGGTGGCACATGCCCATAGTCCTGGGAGGCTGAGGTGGGAGGATTGCTTGAGCCTAGGAGTTCAAGGCTGCAGTGAGCTCTGATGGCAACATTATACTCCAGCCTGCCTCAAAAAAAAAAAAAAAAAAAAAAAAGATTGGCTGGTTTGTAAAGGCAGGCAAGTCCTGGCACATTGCTAGGACACATGAGAAGTTCCAAGTTCCTACAAATATTTGCGGCTAATATGGCACAGTGAAAACACAATGATTTAAGTTCACTGTCATCCTCACTGTGATATTATCAGCTGACATGTGTTAAGTGTTCAATTCTTTCAATTATTCTACATGGATTAACTCATTTCATCCTTATTATACTCCTCTGAGGTAGGGGCATTATTATCTCCATTTGGGGGTAAGGAGATGGAGGCACAGAGATGTTTAGTAATTTGCCCAAGGTTATATGGGCAGTGAGAGGTACGTTAGGAATTGAACTATTGGTGATACAGATTTCTAGAAGGAAGAAATCCACATCAAATCCAAATCCACATCCAAATCTTCTTACTACAGATCTAGGCAAAACAAAATATAATTATTCCTCAATTTTCATAGTAGAGGCATTCCTGGAAAATTCAGTGTACATTAAACTCATGCAAACAATCACGTTAAGTGGCTGGGCGTGATGGCTCATGTCTGTAATCCCAGCACTTTGGGAGGCTGAGGTGGGAGAATTGCTTGAACCTAGGAGTTTGAGACCAGCCTGGGCAACATAGTGAGACTCGATCTCTACAAAAAATTTAAAAGTTAGCTGAGTGTGGTGGCATGCATGTGTGGTCCCAGCTGCTTGGGAGGCTGAGGTAGGAAGATCTGAGCTCAGGAGGTCAAGCCTGCAGTGAGCTGTGATCGTACCACTGCATTCCAACCTGGGTGACAGAGCGAGACTAGGTCTCCAAAAAAAAAAAAAAAAAAATCACTTTAGGTATAAATGTAAACTGGAGTTAGGTTGGCTGACCAGAGAATTCTAAGTAGATTTTTTTTTATCTGCATGTATGCTCAGTGGGACATTTGGAATCCAGGCAGCCCAGGGGACAGTCTTGAACATGCAGAATGGTTTCTAATAGGACATGTCTTTCAGTGGAAGGCATGGGTTCAGAACCCCTGGCCCTCATCCACTAAGTGCCAGCACTGTCCATCCCATCCCTGTGACAACCAAAGGGTCCTCCTTGCATTTCCAAAATCTCCCTTACAGGGTGCTGCCCCTTTTGAGAACTATTATTCTTGATCAGGCTGCTCTCTTCTAACTGAGTCTGAAAGTCCTCTTGTGCTTACTTCCCCAAACCAGCATTTGGGGTCCTCTTGTCCCTCCTCTTCTCCCCCACCTGTTTAGCATCCACTCTCCCAGCTGAATGCGTGGCGTCCATTGGTTTGGGTAGGAGAGCAGGAGGCTGATTCCCAGAGCCCCACCTGAGGGCCAGGCGCTGTGTTAGGTACTTTAAAGTAGGTGCTTTCTAGATGGAGTGAGTGCTTCACTTACACAACAGATTTGATGTGTCAGCTCAAACAGATCAAACCCATTTGATCTCCCATCTTCCGCAAATATCTTATGAACCTTGACAGAGTCCCAGGCCCTGGGTTAAGTACTTTACACACAATCTCAGTGAAATCTCACTCCATTCCTAGGAGGCAGACACATTCTTTTATTCTACAACTGAAGAAAATAAGGTTCAGGGAAGGGACATACCTTGTCCAGGGCCATATAGCTAGGAAGCAGCAGAGCTGGGCTTTATCCCAGGGCTGTCTGACACTATTGAATTTACTGTTCCAACTATCCCCCATCTCATTTTATTTTTCTTCCCTTATTTTTAAGAGATAGAGTCTCACTCTGTCACCTAGGCTGGAGTGCAGTGGCACAATCATAGCTTACTATAACCTCACACTCCTGGGCTCAAGTGATCCTCTCGCCTCACCCTCCCAAGTAGTTGGGACTACAGGTGGATGCTAACATGCCTAGTTAATTTTTTTTTTTTTTTTTGAGACAGAGTCTCACTCTGTTGCCCAGGCTGGAGTGCAGTGGCGTGATCTCTGTGCACTGCAACCTCTGCCTCCTGGGTTCAAGCAATTCTCCTGTCTCAGCCTCCCGAGTAGCTGGGACTACAGGTGTGTGTCACCACGCCCAGCTAATTTTTGTATTATTAGTAGAGAAGGGGTTTCACCATGTTGGCCAGGCTGGTCTCGAACTCCTGACCTTGTGATCCACCTGCCTCGGCCTCCCAAAGTGCTGGGATTACAGGCGTGAACCACCGCGCCTGGCCCCACGTAGTTAATTTTTAAACAATTTTTTATAGAGACGGCATCTCGCTACATTGTCCAGGCTGGCCTCAAACCCCTGGCTTCAAGAAATTCTCCTGCCTTAGTCTCTCAAAACACTGGGATTACAGGCATGAGTCACTGTGACTGCCTCCACCCCCGACCATTTAATAGGGGAGGAAATGGGACAGTCCTGAGGGTGGGGATTGTCCCTTGGCATCTGGGGGTGGGATGGTGTGTTTCTACTGCCCAGAGCCTGGGAGCTCCCCAGTAGCATGGAGGTCTGGTGATGGGCCTGGCGTTTGTCTTACAGGCCAACACCAACACGGACCTGAGGCTGGCAGCTGCCAATGGAGCCCTCCTGAGACACCGGGTGCTGCTGGGGGTGACAGACACAGTGGAAGGATGCCAGAGTGTGATTCAGGTGCTGTGTCTCATAGTTACCTCTTCCTGATGGCCCAGTTTTATGTTGGGCTAATGGAGAGCAGTGGCCTCATGTTCTCCCAGCCTACACAGTGTTTGCAGTAGTCTGCTAATGAGATGGCTGTTGGCAGCCCTTTCCTTCCTCCCTGCCCTGGTGTTTCTTCCTCAAGACACCTTCTCTGTGCAGTAACCAGTGGCCTGGAACCTCCACGTGGCAGGGCTGGAAGGGAAGCACAGATAATGTCCACACCTTGCTGCTCACCTGGCATTTATTCAGCAGACGGAGCCTCCTCTGTGCTGTGCCCTCGGTTGGACACTGGCGACATTGAGGGGCCCATGCAAGGTCCCTGTCCTGGCAGAGGATGACAGGCATACAGTGAGACAGTCAACAGTAGCCTCTCTGGCCTTATAGCAAACGGACAGCCCCCAACAAGGCTGAGAGGCAAGGTACACAGGGTCCCTTTGAAGGGCTGCATGGAGCTCACCATGGCTGGGGCTATACCAGAGTGACACAGCGGGGAGAGATGAGGCCGGAGAGGCAGGTCAGATGCTGAAGGCCTTGTTTGCCTGGCTTGGTCATTCTCTTTGCCCCGAAGGTTGGGGGGAGATCTGAAAGTGACTAGTATGGCGTGGCAGGGTGGGTCAGAACACAGTTAGGCCAGATCTCCTGATCCTGGCTGAACTCTCCTGTTCCTCCATCCATGCCTGATCTGCCCAGTGGAATTGCAAAACCTCCTTGGCACCACATCTGCATTCTCACCAGTCATGGCCCCTTGCCTGGTGGGAGCCCAGAGGTAGGTGTGCACGGGGGACCTGGGAAGAGGCTCCTCATGCACCTGCCTCAGTTCCTCCACGAATGTTTATTGAGAGCCTATTGTGTACCAGGCACTGTCCCAGGGATTGAGGCTGCAGCAGAGAACACATGCAGGTCCCTATGTTTGTGGAGCCTATCACACCCAAGATGGTGTAGGTATAAGATGATCTTGCCTATCATTGGAGTGAAGCAGATGACATCACAAGATTCTCGGCAGTTCAAGTGTGACATTGTAGACTGGGAGCTCCTGGAATGTGGGGGTCCTTTTTAGCCTCGTTTATCTTTGAATCTCCTTTATCCGTTGGCACGTAGGAGTGGCTTGACATGTGTTAGATGAATGCACGGATGGATAGATGACTAAAGAATGGGCTGGGCGTGGTGGCTCACATCTGTAATCCCAGCACTTTGGGAGGCTGAGGCGGATGGATTGCCTGAGCTCAGGAGTTCGAAACCAGCCTGGGCAACGTGGTGAAACCCCGTCTCTACTAAAAATATAAAAAAATTAGCAGGGCGTGGCAGTGTGCGCCTGTAGTCCCAGCTACTTGGGAGGCTGAGGCAGGAGAATCACTTGAACCCGGGAGGCAGAGGTTGCAGTGAGCTGAGATTGTGCCATTGCACTCCACACTCCAGCCTGGGCAACAGAGCGAGACTCCATCTCAAAAAAAAAAAATAAAAACAAAACAAAACAAAAAAGAGACACATCAGGTGGGCTCAGTGGCTCACCCCTATAATCCTAGCACTTTGGGAGGCTGAGGCAGGTGGATTGCTTGAATCTAAGAGTTCAACACCAGCAGCCTGGGCAACATGGCAAACTCTGTTTCTACAAAGAGTACAAAAACTAGCTGGGCATGGTGTCGCATGCCTGTAGTCCCAGCTACTTGGAAGGCTGAGGTGGGAGGATCACCTGAGCGCGGGATGTCAAGGCTGCAGTGAGCTGTGATCGCGCCACTGCGCTCCAGCCTGGGTGCCAGAGTGAGACCCTGTCTCAAAAAAAAAAGAATGGACACATCTTTTTAGACAACTTGAGTCTTTCAGTTTCTAAATAGTATCTTGGGATGAGGTGATACACTATCTGGCATGTCCTTCAGATTCACTGGGGGGTGCAGTGGAGGTTGGGGTGTTGGGGACGGGTACCGAGTGAGGATGGAGATGAACCAAGAGTGGCCATGAGGTGACCTAACAGTTGCAGCGGGAGGATGGGTTGCTGTCATCTACTTCTGAATATGCTAGGAAATTTTCATAGTAAAAAGCTTTAAAGGAACCATTTGAGAAATCCTCCCTTGTGGGTATGACATTGGGAGACTAGTTGGCAAGAAGGCTGTGACTTTGGGTCTCATGGGTCAGTCAGTGGGAGGAAGGAGGTCTGGGAACCAGAGGAGGTGGCCAGTGGATGGGAGTTTGGGGCAAGGGCCACCAGTTTCTCCAAGAACTTCAATTAGGATGTGTGGCAGCTGTGGTCTTGACAGGTTGTCGTAATGTGAATGTGGAAGATTTCAGCCTGGTTAAATTTAGCTTGGCCGGCCCCTGGGGTGGAAGGGGAGGCACAGGTGGGGTACGGACTTCTCACCCTGCTTCTGTCCCCACAGGCAACCAGGTTGATTACCTCAGACCTGGTTGTGGGCCACAGGTGTCAGCTCTGAAGGGTTTCACTCATTTGCATGTTCACGCCCCGCCCATTGAGGATGAAGGTAGCCTCAGGTGGACAGGTGATGTCCAGGAGGGTTCGGAGTCTGTCTGGGATGCTCAGCAGCTTGTGGGAAATGGGGCCGCAGCCATTTTGAACAGGGTTTAACTTTTTCTTTTCTTTTCTTTTCTTTCTTTTCTTTTCAGACAGAGTCTTTCTCTGTCACCCAGGCTGGAGTGCAGTGGTGTGATCTTGGCTTACTGCAACCTTCACCTCCCAGGTTCAAGTGATTCTTGTGCCTCAGGCTCCTGAGTAGCTGGGATTACAGGTGTCCACCACCACACCCAGCTAATTTTTTGTATTTTTTGTAGAGATGGGTTTCACCATGTTGGCCAGGCTGGTCTTGAACTCCTGGCCTCAAGTGATCTGCCTGCCTCGGCCTCCCACAGTGCTGGGATTACAGGTGTGAGCCACTGCATCTGGCCTAGGGTTTGACCTTTTCTAAACGTGCACACAAAGCCATTTTTCTACCAACCATACAAATGAGACATTGTCATGGTGCCAAATGGCACCTTCCTGCCAGACAGCAGGCTAAATAGGACTGTCTCAGGGAGGAAGAGTTCAGGGTTGGGCTGCCCTTGAGCCACGGTGGTCACTGCTGCTTCTCCCCACAGCTTTGGTTTGTCTACTTCGACCTGGAGAACTGTGTGCAGTTTTTGTCTGATCATGTTCAAGAAATGAAGACTAGCCAAGAGGTAAGATATCTTCAGTGAAAAAACAAAACAAAAACCAGGAGGCCAAGTTGTATCGATTTCATTATCTTAAGGGTGGGAAAATGTCTGAGAAAAAGTTACTTGGAAGAATACCTACGAGCAATCAGTGGTTGTTTTGCCTAGGGAATTATGGCTGCTTTTCTGCTTCTTTTTAATGCCTCGCTTCTTCTACATTTCCTATGGTGAGCATATATTTCTTCTTTTTTTTTTTTTTTTTTTCCTGAGACAGAGTTTCACTCAGTTGCCCAGACTGGAGTGCAGTAGAGTGATCTCTGCTCACTGCAGCCTTCGCTTCGTGGGTTCAAGCGATTCTCCTGCCTCAGCCTCCGGAGTAGCTGGAATTACAGGTGCCTGCCATCACACCTGGCTAATTTGTTGTATTTTTAGTAGAGACGGGGTTTCACCATGTTGGCCAGGCTAGTCTTAAACTCCTGACCTCAGGTGATCCGTCTGCCTTGGCCTCCCAAAGTGCTGGGATTACAGGTGTGAGCCACCACGCCCGGCCATATATTTCTTTATAATTATAATATTAATAAATTTTGGTGGATTCCAAAGTATCATGCATTGAGGCAACTTTTACTTGTTCACAGTGCCTTTCTACCGTTTATTAAGAAAATCAGAGGGATCTTGCTCTGCTTCTACAGAGGAGGAAACAGGCTCCGGGATGACCTGTTACCGGCCTGTGGTCATGGAGCTGGCTGGTGATGCCCAGGTTTGGAGGCCAGGCCTCCTGTCTCCAAGCCCTGGGCTCCTTCTCTAGGATTAGCCTTTTCTGAGCCCCGGCTGCAGTGAGTCTTGAAGTCAGAGTTGTGACTTAGCCCTGAATTTGGCTCATTAGTTCCTGTGTGGCCTCAGGCAGGGCCTTTGAGTCTCAGTTTATTCATTTGCAACATATGGATAAAGATACCCACATCCCAGGCTGCTTTGAGCAAGTGAGAGCATGAGAGGAAAAATATTTGTTTGTTTGTTTTGAGGCAGAGTCTTGCTGTGTCACCCAGGCTGGAGTGCAGTGGCGCCATCTTGACACACTGCAACCTCTGCCTCCCAGGTTCAAGCGATTCTCATGCCTCAGCCTCCTGAGTAGCTGGGACTACAGGTGCGTGCCACCACACCAGGCTAATTTTTGTATTTTTAGTGGTGACTGGGTTTCACCATATTGGCCAGGCCGGTCTTGAACTCCTAGTCTCAAGTGATCCCTCTGCCTTGGCCTCCCAAAGTGCTGGGATTACAGGCATGAGCCACCATGCCTGGTTATAAAAGGAAAAATATTTAGAGCTATTAATGACCATCTGTAGGGAATTATGTAATATCCCGAATGCGACCAGCTTTTTCTGAGGTCATCATCTGAGTCTGAGACCTCATCTTCTGCTCGGTCTGCAGCTTGGGGAGGGACTCAGCCTCGCAGATACCACCTGATTTAGGCACTCCTGAGCCCCTTCTCTGTTTCCTTTGCAGTCCTTGCTGAGAAGCAGATTGAGCCAGTTGTGTGTTGTCATGGAGACTGGGGTGAGCCCTGCAACAGCGGAGGGGCCTGAGAACTTGGAGGATGCTCCTCTCCTGCCCGGCAATTCTTGTCCTAACGAGAGGCCACTCATGCAGACTGAGCTTCATCAGCTTGTTCCTGAGGCTGAGCCGGAGGTAACAGGCACTGGGGCTTGTTGGGGCCATCTTCCCTCGGGGGAATTTGCATAGAGAAAGCCTATGTGGGGGCTTCTTAGATTCCCCAAGACATGCTTCTCTCAGTTAGTAGACACCACACAAATCTAGCTCAGGAGTTTTCAATCTTTTCATTCTTCACCCTAGCACTTAAAAAGATAGTTAACAGGAAGCATTTTATATTTATTGGGACTTTTTGTTGCATTATTTAATATCTTGGATATTCTTTTTGATGGTTGCATTGGATGGGTAGTTGCATGTTGATAGATTATAGCTTACTTAACCATGAACATACTGATGAACATTTGGGTCTCAGTCAATCAATTATTTATTCATCTATCCAACCATTCATCCATCTACTTTAATTGCAGTTAGACAGTTGACTCTTCTTTGAATTTTTTTTTGTTTAGAACAGGGTCTCACTCCCGTCACCCAGGCTGGGGTGCAGTGGTGTGATCACTGCTCATTATGGCCTCAACTTCCCAGGTTCAAGCAATCCTCCCACCTTAGTCTCCTGAGTAGTTGGGACTGTAGGCATGTGCCACCACACCTGGCTAATTTTTTGTATTTTTATTAGAGGCAGGGTTTTGCCATGTTGCCCAGGCTGGTCTCCAACTCCTGGGCTCAAGAGATCTACCCACCTCAACCTCCCACTTCTTTGCATTTCTGTTGAATTTCAGTTCCTGCAGCCCCAGAGTTCTGTTGGGTCCTGCCATCCACACTGTCTCTTGGCTATGGCTAAGCACTGGCAGACCAGAATTCTGAAAATGTGCAGCTTGTGCTTACCTTCTTCTCATGATGAGGACAGACCCACTGTCAGGGAGACAAGCAGTGATGGTGACCTCAGGTGACATTTGAAACTTCAGAAGAGCACTTATATCTTTTCAGCCAAGAGATTTGGGGATTCAAGGTCCAAACCAGTCCAGGCTTACTCTTTTGTGCTGGTGGGCAGTAGGAAGCCTGCAAGTAGTACTATTTAAAAGAGAAAATGACAGGAACATGCGGTGGCTCGTGCCTGTAATCCCAGCACTTTGGGAGGCTGAGGCGCGAGGATCATTTGAGTCCAGGAGTTCAAGTTGATCCTTCCGCCTCAGCCTCCCAAAGTCCTAGGATTACAGGCATGAGCCACCATGCCCGGCCTCTATTAAAATCTTTTATCTTTTTATATTAATTTTTAAATTTTTATTTAGAGACGGGGTTTTACCATGTTGCCAAGGCTTGTCTTGAACTCCTGAGCTCAAGCGATCCACCCGCTTCATCCTCCCAAAGTGTTAGGATCACAGGTGTGAGCACTGTGCCCTGCCAAAATATTAAAAAAAAAAAAGAGAGAAATGATAACTGTATTAACCTCTTCACTTTATCCTATTGACTTTTTTTTTTTTTAAAGAGAAGAGATTGATAAGGTTGTGTACTTTCTTGTGACATGCGTGTGTGGGTTTTTGTGCAATAGCCCTTTAAATATGGGTCTTTTAAGTGATTATTTTTAGATTTACTCAAACCAATAGTAATATAATTTCCTATCATGAGTATCAAGTGTGTGCACATGTTTTTAAAGTAGCTGCCCTTATAATTTAGTTAATGAAAATATAATCGATGCCCAAGTCTCAACCTGGGCCAGATGGTCACATTTCAGTAGGAACCTAGTGTCTGTAAAAGATGGAAAGATAGCGATAATGACCTCTTACATTTTTACAGATTTTTCTCATGCATAAAATTCATTAGCATACTCTTCGAGGTATGAATTATTTTCCCTTTTTCCTTGGTGGGTGAAATAAGGTTCCAAGAGGTCAGCTGACTGGCCCAAGGTTGCCAGAAAGGGAGAGTGCAGTAAGCCCATGGCAGAAGCCAGCCCTGCTGATTCTAAGTAGGCCAGTGTTCTTGCTACAGTTCCTTGCTTCTTACATTATTGATTTTAGAGTAAACTGGCGAGAAGACCAATCTGAGTTAGTGAGTGGTAAACTATTTGAAGTGTTTTATATTTTCTAGCACAAAGGATAACTTGAAACAAAAGCTAATCTTATGAACCATGTGGGGTTTCTGCTTTTTTGAGTGATAATGATGGAAAGATATTGATGCCATTTGTGGAGCACTAGGCACTGGGCTCAATGCTTTCTGTCTATTAGTCTCTCTCTCTCTCTTTTTTTTTTTCGAGAGGGAGTTTTGCTCTTTTGCCCAGGCTAGAGTGAAG
This sequence comes from Homo sapiens, assembly GCF_000001405.40. Taxonomy (NCBI): domain Eukaryota; kingdom Metazoa; phylum Chordata; class Mammalia; order Primates; family Hominidae; genus Homo; species Homo sapiens. Next base: position 114,640,933 of record NC_000009.12, read on the forward strand.
TGGTGTGATCTCCGCTCACTGCAAACTCCATCTCCCAGGTTCAAGCAATCCTCCTGCCTCAGCCTCCCAAGTAGCTAGGATTACAGGCGTCTGCCATGATGGCTGGCTAATTTTTGTATTTTTAGTAGAGATGGGTTTTCACCATGTTGGCCAGGCTGGTCTTGAACTCTTGACCTCAGATGATCCACCTGCCTCGGCCTCCCAAAGTGCTAGGATTACAGGTGTGAGCCACCGCGCCCGGCCTCTATTAGTCTCTTTAATCCTCACTGTAACTTAGAGGGGTCAGTGCCACTATTTTCCTTATTCTACCAATGAAGAAATGGGCTCAGTAATGTGAAGTGACTGCTCTGGGTTAGTCATAGAGTGGCTGAGTTGAAACTCCCTCTTGGCCTTTTTGACTTTAAAGCCTATCCTTAATTACTAACTCTACAGACATACCTAGCGTAACCCACACTTCATTTCATTACATTCAGAGTGGACACAAGTATTGCAAAAGAGCTTCAACCCCATGCTTAAGGAAGTTAAGCATTTCCCCTGAGATCCCATCTTCTAGACCAGTGAATGGATCTTTACAGACCAACTGTGTTAATAAGAATGTGCATTAAGGCCTAGCGCCGTGGCTCACGCCTGTAATCCCAACACTGTAGGGAGGCCAAGGCAGGAGCCCAGGAGTTCAAGACCAGCCTGAGCAACATAGTAAGATCACATGTCTTTTTTTTTTGAAACGGAGTTTTGCTCTTTTTGCCCAGGCTGGAGTGCAATGGCGCCATCTTGGCTCACTGCAACCTCTGCCTCCGGGTTCAAGTGATTCTCCTGCCTCAACCTCCCAAATAGCTGGGATTACAGGCATGTGCCACCACACCTGGCTAAATTTTTTTTGTGTTTTTAGTAGAGACGGGGTTTCACCATGTTGACAGGCTGGTCTTGAACTCCTGACCTCAAGTAATCTCTCCTGCCTTGGCCTCTCAAAGTGCTGGGATTACAGGCATGAGCCACTGTACCCGGCTGTACTGTGTCTTTAAAAAAGAAAAAAAAAAGTACATTACATTCAATTTTTTAATCCTTTTTTACTTAAAATTGTTTTATTGTGGCAAATATACATAATATAAAATGTACCATCTTAACCATTTTAAGTATATAGTTCAGCAGCATGAGGTACATTCACATCGTTATGCAACCATCACCATCAGCCATCTGCAGAATGTTTTCCTCTTCCCAAATTGAAGCTCTGTGCTCATTAAACACTAACTTCCCCTTCCCTCCTTCCTCCCCACCCTCAACCCCTAGAAACCACCATTTTACTTTCTCTCCCTGTGAACTGATTACTCTAGGTGCCTCCTATTAGTGGAATCATACAGTACATGTCCTTTTGTGATAAACCTAATTTTTATAAGCAATCTCTTTTTTCCCTTTTTTATGTTTTTCTTTCTTTTTTTTTACTGTCAGTGATCATATTTAAATGTAAGCAGTTTCTTTTAATATGTTAGGAGTACTTGTGTAAAGAAATCTACCAGGTACCTTGTATGAATTAACTAATTCTGCTATAATGGGAATATTCCTCTCCCCACCTCCACATTTAACTAGTAATTTTCTTCAAGTGAGTCACTTTGATCTCATGTACTTTACAGACTCATAGACATTTGAAAGTGGAAAAAATGTATTTGTGGCTGGCTAGGTTTACTTTCTTTTTATATTTTTAAAATATATTTTTAATTTTAATTTTATTTTTGTAGAGACAGAGTCTCGCTCTGTTGCCCAGGCTGGTCTCAAACTCCTGACCTCAAGTGATCTTCCTACCTCGGCCTCCCAAAGTGCTGGGATTACAGGTTTGAACAACCATGCCTGGCCAGCTAGGCTTAAAAAATTAGATAATTAGAAATTTGGTAATTTCTCTAGGGCTTCGAGGTTGCATATTTTTTTTGTGCGTATTATTATTGCCATTCAGCAGTTAGTTACTCACCTTGGCAACGAGGACATTGAGGCTGCAGGAGCCCCACAGGCCATGAGTTGCAGAACTGGGCTTCTGGACCAGGCTGGCATCTTCTGAGAGTCCTAGGTGCTGACCTGGCCTGGTTCTTCCTAGAGAGCATCACTGCTGGGTCCAGGGGCAAGAAAGCAGCATGTCCTTCCCCTGGTGCCTAAGCCCTTTTTCCTCAAGGGGCTCCCCTGTGGTATTCAATCTGCTTCCCTGCCTCTTCTAGGAAATGGCCCGCCAGCTGCTGGCAGTGTTTGGCGGCTACTACATCCGGCTTCTAGTGACCTCCCAGCTCCCTCAGGCAATGGGGACACGACACACGAACTCTCCGAGAATTCCATGCCCCTGCCAGCTCATAGAAGCCTACATCCTAGGCACAGGGTGCTGCCCGTTCCTGGCGAGGTGACCTAGGGATGAAGGTACTCATCTTCCTTCAAGACTGAGCAGTCAGGAAGGCTTCAGGAGCCCAAGATGGCCAATGGGGAGCCCCAGGTGAGGAGAGAAGCATCTGGGGGCACTCCAAAAGGGGCCTGTGATGTCAGCCACTGGGGTGTTGTGCTCACTTCAGGGCCCAGCACAAAAATCCTTGTTTGACATCTCATGCTGACCCCCTGGCCTTTGCAGAAGCTGATGGTTACAGAGCTAGTCCCACCAAAGCTACTCTCTCTGCTGCTTAGAACTGTGGACACGTATGGAAAGACTGGACCCCCATTGCTTTCATTGTTCAGAGAACCCAGGAGACATGAAGATGACCAGACTGGGCAAATTATGTGTCCAAAACTTGGCCTCAGATGATGTTTCCATCTCCAACCCCTTCATGCCAGATGGGGAAACTGAGGCTCAGAGAGGATACTGCTCTATGTGGCATTGCCTTGAACCCCTAAAATTATCAGACTTCCTTTTTCCAATATAAAGAAAAAAAGTAAGTTTTCAGAATTCTCTCAATTTTTAAGTTTTTCTCCCCCATATTTTGTGAAAAGCAGTGGTATGTGTACGTGTTGTCTACCAGTACACAGGCTGCAGAAGACAGAGACAGAAGAAAGAGATCAAGGGCAGATAACTGTTGATAGGAATATTTGAGAAAGATTGATCCTGTTTGACTTGAGGACTTATTTTGTTCACAGGCATGCACGCTTGTGGTTGTGGTTTTATATTACAGATGTAGAACAATGGTTATGTTTCCCGACATGAACATTGTCCTGGAATGAAGTGTGATCAGCCACTTGTGGAATTCTTTGAAGAGCTCAGAGGCTTCCAAGTGATCTGCTCCTGAACAAGTTTGAAGACCTATTGTTTCATAGACCCAAGACCAAACGCATCTAAAGGATCCCCAGCCCCCAAGACCTAGCCTTTGTCTGCGATTTTGGCTTCATCTCCCACAAAACCCCTTTATGAGTTCACGCTCTTTCCTGGACTGACATACCTATTCCTTTCCATTTGTTGGACTCCTATTCATGCTTCAAAGTCCAGCTTTCTTAAGCCCTTCTTTAGGAAGCCTTCCCACACAGCCAACCCTGCTGCTCTCTGCCTCCTTTAAATTCTTGATACAGCTGCTGCTTGTTCTGATGTTTTATGGTATTGATTCTGTTTTCCTGTGTATATGCCAGTTTTTCTAGCTAGACTGTAAACTCCTTAAGGACAGAGACTACACCTTGTACTTTTTGTGCATGACCTGGACCTGCTAAGGAAAAAAAAATCTTGTGGATTGATTGCTTTGCCATCCCCACAGCAGCTTTTGCAAATTGCTTTCCAAACTCACTTGAATGATGACATTGCTGTGGACCTGGGTTCTGGACCTGATCTGCCACTTCAAGCTGTGTAATTTTTGGCAAGTTGCTTTCTTTGCCTGGTCCTCAGTTTGCCCATCAATATAATGGGTGGATTGGATGATTTTTTTTTTTTTAATTGAGATGGAGTCTTGCACTGTCACCCAGGCTGGAGTGCAGTGGCGCGATCTTGGCTCACTGCAACCCCCGCCACCTAGGTTCAAGTGATTCTCATGCCTCAGCCTCCCAAGTAGCTGGGACTACAGGTGTGCACCACTACTCCTGGATATTTTTTTGTGTTTTTAGTAGAGATGGGGTTTCGCCATGTTGGCCAAGCTGGTCTTGAACTCCTGACCTCAGGTGATCCACCCGCCTCGGGCTCCCAAAGTGCTGGGATTACAGACGTGAGGCACCACAACCAGCCTGGATGATTCTTAAGGGCCCTTCTAGGACCAAAGTTCTGGGAATTTCTAGCTTATTCTGCCCCCTCATAGCCCTTGGCCTATCTATCTTTATCCACATGCAGAAACATCTGGCAACCCCACATGGCTGAGATGACCTGGTCCTAGGACACCCTTGGACAGAAGACTGGCCTACCTAGCAGACCTGGATTTTTCTTCCTGATCTGCTGCTTCCAAGTTGTGTGACCTTGGCTAAGTCACTTAACCTTTCTGATTGTCATTTCGCTTTTTAATAAAGTGGGTCTGGTGAACAAGAAATGTAATAAACACGTGGCTTGCCATTCAAGAGATGAGTCTGACCATTCACTTTCTGTGTGCCAGAGAAGAGAGATCATGGGTATAGACCAGCCCCTGGAAAGGCTGCTTTGGTCAAGGCTGAGAGCAGCTTTGCTCAAGGAAATTATTCACGAAGGTGACCACTGTCTTTCTGACCTGGCACAGAGGAAATGTTGGCTGTGAATGTGACCAATAGAAAGAAGCCCGTATTTCTCAGTCAGTCCTAGAACCCCGGTAAGTAATTAACAGAGAATAAAAATGTGTTTGTTAAATGACAAAGCAGCAGTTTTTCAATTGTAAGGTCTGCTTGAGAGCCTTTGATGTGTGTTTCTTTTCCTGACTTTTCCTTTCTTTAGAATTTTTGATGGTCTCACCTGGTGGGTGGGGCTTTCAGGGTATGCCCACAATGTACATTTCTCGGCATCTGTGCCTCAGTTTCCTCATTTATAAAATCCCTATGATCTCTGTCTCACCTACTTTACAGGGTTGCTGTGAAGATCGCATACTACACACAGGAATGCTCATCAGTTTTTAAATTTTATTTAATTTTTATTTATTTTTTTTTAAATGTAATTTTTTCAGAGAGATAAGGTCTTGCTATGTTACCCAGCCTAGTCTTGAACTCCTGGCCTCAAGTGATCCTCCTGCCTTGGCCTCCCATGCTGCTGGGATTACAGGTGTGAACTACCATGCCCAGCCAGCTCCTAAGTCTTAAGGCTCTGTGTTAGTGATAGATGTGGCCATGGTGTAGGCAGTGCAATGTCTTCGAGTGAGAGTGAAGGTGGTAACTCATTGCATGGATTCTAGAGTTCTGTTTATTCTAATCCAAGTTCTTCCACTTAAAAACAATGTTCTTCCTCTCATTGAGTCTCATTCCTCATCTATAGGATGGGAATAAGAGCATGTACCTGGCAGGTTGTTGTAAGGATTAAATGGTGTAAAAAAATGTCAAGTGCTTGCAACTTTGAATACCAAACTTGAGTGAAAGCTCAATAAATTGTTACTTAAAAAATTTTTTGTCTCGCATATTGTAGATACCTGATGTATATTTTTGTTGATCTAGCAGGTCATTAACCGTTAAGGTTATTCAGTCTGCCTCAGACCTCAGCTATTTCAGTGCCATGGGGTATATTTATGTCAATAAAGATTTTAGTCAAATCTCTGGAATTCAGCATCCAGAGATAATATAGCAAGGAGATAAAGAGCAAGCTGGTGACTTTGGGCCAGATACTCACTCTTACTGTACTTTCTGTACCTAATTTCCTCATGTATTAAGGGGGGAGTGTGATAATAAGGGGGATTAACGGGAGTGATTGATGTGAAGCACAAAGCCTGGTCCACAGTAAGGGCTCAGTCAGTGGGGGCGTTTCTTCTGCAGCTGCTGGCTGCTGTTGGCTCCTAGTTTATGTTATCCTATGTTATCTTATAGTTGAGTGTTTTTACACTTAGGTCTGTGATTCATTTTGAGTTAGTTTTTCTGAAGGTTGTAAGGTCTCCATCTGGATTAATTTTTTGCATATTGTTCCAGCACCATCTGTTGAAAAGACTCTCTTTGCTCCATTGTATTGCCTTTGCTTTTTTTTTTTTTTTTTCAAGGATCAGTTGACTATACTTATGTGGGTCTATTTCTGGGCTCTCTATTTGTTCCATTGATCTATGTGTCTGTTCTTTCCCAATAACACACTGTCTTGATTACTGTAGCTTTATAGTAAGTCTTGAAATTGGGTAGTGTGAGTCCTCCAACTTAGTTCTTCTCTCCCAATGTTGATTTGGCTATTGTGTGTCTTATGCCTTTCCATGTAAACTTTAGAATCAGTTTGTCAATATCCACAAACTAACTCACTGTTTATTTTGATTGGGATTGCATCAAATCCATAGATCAAGTTGCAAGAACTGACATTTTCACAATATTGATTTCTATCCACAAACATAGAATCTGTCTTCATTTATTTAGTTGTTCTTTGATTTCTTTTATCAGTTTTGTAGGGGTTTTTCCCTTTTCCTACAGTTTTTTTTTTTTTGGTAATTTTTCTTATAGATCTTGTACATATTTTGTTAGATTTATAAGATTTATACCTAAATATCTTATTTTTGGGGGTGCTAATAAAAATAGTATTGTGTATTTAGTTTCAAATTTCATTTGTTCATTGCTAGTTATGGGAAAGTGATTGAATTTTATCTACTCACATTGTATCCTGCAACCTTGCTATAATCTCTTATTAGTTTTAGGAGTTTCTTTGTTGATTCTTTTGTTGATGAGATAATCATCTCACCTGTAAACAAAGACAGTTTTATTTCTTCCTTCCTCATCTGTATATCTGTATACTTTTTATTTCCTTTTCTTGTCCTATTTCATTGGCTTGGACTTCCAGTATGATGTTGAAGAGTAGTGGTAAGAGGGAACATTCTTGCCTTGTTTATGATTGTAGTGGGAGTTTCTAGTGTCTCACTATTTTTTGTTTGTTTGTTTGAGACAGAGTCTTGCTCTGTTGCCCAGGCTGGAGTATAGTGGTACAATCTCAGCTCACTGGAACCTCCACCTCCTGGGTTCAAGCAATTTTCCTACCTCAGCCTCCCGAATAGCTGGGATTACAGGCCTGCACAACCATACCTGACTAATTTTTATATGTTTTATTTTTTTATTTTTTTATTTTTATTTTTCTTTAGTAGAGATGGGGTTTCTCCATGTTGGCCAGCCTGGTCTCAAACTCCTGACCTTAGGTGATCTGCCCTCCTTGGCCTCCCAAAGTGCTGGGATTACAGGCGTGAGCCACCATGCCTGGCATTCACTATTAAATATAATGTTAGCTCCGGACTTTCTGGTAGGTTTTTTTTGTTTTATTTTGTTTTATTTTGAGACAGTGTCTTGCTCCATCACCAGGCTGGAGTGCAGTGGCCCGATCTCACCTCACTGCAACCTCTACTTCCTGAGTTCAAGCAATTCTCCTGCCTCAGCCTCTGGAGTAGCTAGGACTATAGGCGTGTGCCACCACGCCCAGCTAATTTTTTTGTGTTTTTAGTAGAGATCGGGTTTCACCATGTTGGCCAGGATGGTCTTGATCACTTGACCTTGTGATCCGCCCGCCTCAGCCTCCCAAAGTGCTAGGGATTACAGGTGTGAGCCACCATTCCCGGCCCTAGTAGGTTTTTTGTTTTGTTTTGAGACAGGGTCTCACTCTGTTATCCAGGCTGGAGGCTGGAGTGCAGTGGCACAATCATAGCTTACTGCAGCCTTGATCTCCCGAGCTCAAGCAATCCTTCTGAGTAGCTGGGTCTATATGCCATTTATTTTTTTTTTTGAAATGGGATCTCACTCTGTCACCCAGGTTGGAGTGGAGTAGTGGGATCTTGGCTCACTGCAACCTCTGCCTCCCAGGCTCAAGTGATCCTCTCACCTCAGCCTCCTGAGTAGCTGGGACCACAGGCATGCACCACCATGCTTGGCTACCAAAAGGTAGAGACAGGGTTCTGTCATGTTGATGTTGCTCAGTTTGGTCTTGAACTCCTGAGTTCAGGTGATCCACCCACCTTGGCTTCCCAAAGTGCTGAGATTACAGGCGTGAGCCACTGTGCCTGGCCTGGGCCACCACATCCAGCCATAATTTTTTAGTTTTTTGTAGAGATGGGGTCTCACTATGTTGCCCAGGCTGATCTTGAACTCCTGGAGTTGATCCTCCCACCTCAGCCTTCCAGAGTGTTGAGATTTCAGGCCTGAGCCACCATGCCTAGATGAGATATTCTTTAACAAGTTGAGAAAGTTTCTTCTCTATTCCTTGCTTACTGAGAGGAAATTAGCTTTCTTTTGATTAGTCATTGCGTAGTATATCTTTGTTCATCCTTTTACTTTTGACCTTTTCACATTCTTATATTTAAGGTTTCACCCTTGTAGGCATGTAAGATTTGCTTTTTTGAAATTAAGTTTTTTTCTAATTCAAAGTATTTACTACACTATATCTAATGTGTTTACTGATAGACTTAGGTTTGAATGTACCATCTTACTAATAATTCTTTCTATCGGTTTTTCTGTTACTGTGTTCTTTTCTTTTTTCTGTCTTTTTTCCTTGTTTTGGATTAAGGTTGTTTGTTTTGGGTAATTTCTCCTTTATTAGCATATGAAGTATACTTTTCTTTCAGTTCTTACCCTAGATTTAACAAGCATCCTTGACTTACTGAAGTGTATTATACATGATCACTTCTATCATTTCCTGGATAACCCAGCGACTACACAATTTTTTTTTTTTTTTTTTTTGGAGACGGAGTCTCCCTCTGTGGCCTGGGCTAGAGTGCAGTGGTACGATCTTGGCTCACTGCAACCTCCGCCTCCCAGGTTCAAGTGATTCTCCCGCCTCAGCCTCCCGAGTAGCTGGAATTGCAAGTGTGCACCACCACACCCTGATGATTTTTGTATTTTTAGTAGAGACAGAGTTTCACTATGTTGTCCAGGCTCGTCTCGATCTCCTGACCTTAAGTGATCCACCTGCCTCAGCCTCCCAAAGTGCTGGGATTACAGGTGAGAGCCACCGTGCCTGGCTCCAACAACTATACAATTCTTTCACCTTTCTACCTGTTACGGTAGTCTTGTCATGGATTTCAATTTTCTATGTATTTTAAGCCACAACAGACATTCTTATTAATGCTTTCTATAGTCAATATTCATTTAGATTTATTCACATGTTACTTTTTATTGCTCTTTGTTACTTCAATTTTATTGCCCTTTGTTCCTTTCTGTATTTCCATACATCTATTTTGGATCCTGCTTCTGGAACTAACTTTAGAATTTTTCTTCAATATAGTATCATATTTAGTATAGTATATTTAGAAATACCTTTAGTATTTTCCTTTCAGTACAGATCTTATGGTGACAAATTCAATTTTTGTTTGCTGAGAAGTCTGTATTTTGTTTTTATTTTTGAAAGATATTTTTGGTAAGTAAGGAATTCTAGGTTAGTGCAGTTATTTTCTTTCAACCTTTTGAAGATGTCATTGGTTTCTGTTGCTTCTGTTGAGAAGTCATCTGTCAGCCCCATTGCTGCTCTCAACATTTTCTCTTTGCATTGAGTTTTAGCAGTTATATTCTGATGTGCCTAGCTGTAGCTTTTAAAGTATTTTTCCTGCTTGTGCTTGTTCATAGCACATCTTGAAACTGTGACATGATATCTTTCATCACAGCATTCACCCTCTTCTCTCTCATCTTGTTCAGGACTCTAATGATAAGTGTTAGACCTTTTCACTATATCTCTAAGACCCTTCTTGGTATTTTTCCATTCTTTTGGTTCTTTGTGATTCAGCCTGGATATTTTCTACTGACTCGTCTTCTCCATTAATCTTGCCCTCATTTGTGTTTAATTCTATCAATGGAGTTTTTTTGTTAACCCTATGTTTCATTTAAAAATCAATCCAGTTTCTAATTTTTTTATCTTTTTTTTTTTTTTTAAGAGGCAGGGTCTTGCTCTGTTGCCCAGGCTGGAGTGCAGTAGCACAATCACAGCTCACTGCAACCTTAAACTCCTGGGACCTAAGACTCCCAAGTAGCTAGGACTATAGGCAGGTGCCACCATGCCTGGCCAATTTTTAAATGTTTTGTAGAGACGGGGTTTTGCTGTGTTGCCCAGGCTGGTCTTGAACTTCTGGCCTCAAGTAATCCTCCTGCCTCTGCCTCCTGAAGCACTGGGATTACAGCTGTGAGCCACCATGCCCAGCCTGAGTTTTTAATTTCATCCATCATAATGTTCAGTTCTATAATTTTGTTTTTTTAGAAATAGTTTCCAGTTCTCAAATGAAATTACCAATCTTGTCATCTATTCTCCTCAATATTTAATTGTACTGCTTTTAAAGTTTATGTCTGCAAACTCTAATATCTGGTTCTTTTTTTTTTCCTTTTGCTTTTCAGTCAGTTGGTCTTATTTTTTGATATTCATGGTAATTTTTCATTAAATGCTAGACATTTTGAAAAATGAAAATTTTGAAAAATTGAAGAGATATACAAGGCTCTGGATCTTCCCTCAGGCAGGATTTACTTTTGCTTCTGGGAAAAGTAGGCTTGAGATAAACTTGACCCTGGGCTTTGTGAGAGCTAGTCTAGGTGTGATTAAACCTTACTCTCAGGTTGTAGCCCTACAGGGGTTTTAGCTGAAAACGTGTGTGTGTGTGTTTATAAAACCAGGACTCCTCTTTCATGGTGAGTCCTAAACCTCCAATTTTTGTTACCCCAAGCTGTGAGACATTTTTTTTTTTTTTTTTTTTTTTTGAGACAGAGACTCGCTCTGTCTCCCAGGCTGGAGTGCAGTGGCATGATCTTGGCTCACTGCAAGCTCCGCCTCCCAGGTCCACGCCATTCTCCTGCCTCAGCCTCCCCAGTAGCTGGGACTACAGGCGCCCACCACCACACGCGGCTAATTTTTTGTATTTTTAGTAGAGACGGGGTTTCACTGTGTTAGCCAGGATGGTCTTGATCTCCTGACCTTGTGATCCACCTGTCTCGGCCTCCCAAAGTGCTGGGATTACAGGCGTGAGCCCCCACGCCTGGCCGCTGTGAGACTTCTGAAAGCTCTACTCAACTTTTCAGCTACTTGGACTCTGCTTAGGACTCGGCAGGTGCCTCAAGGGGATAAGAAGGCTTCGGTGCTCATCTCCTCTCTCTACTTTTCTCTTCAGCATCTTGGCCCCTCGTGTCCTGACTATGTTGATATCTCTCTGATGCATTCAAACACATTTAAGAAAAAAGAACAATTGCTTTTAAACTGCTGTCAGCAGGAGGGTTGGTCTGATACAAGCTAGTTTACCATGATCAGAAGTAAATCCAGCTGTGGTTTCCATGATTATTTTTATTGTTACTATTTGAAAATCCTTCAAAGAAAGATGTCACCCTGTGGCTGAGAGCCCTTTAAAAAAGTCACAGGATGGAGGCTTCTTTGCATCCCTTCTGTGAAGGAGTTTCTAAATTATCAAAGCAGGAAGTGACATTTAAGGAGCATCTTTTTTGTGTAAAGCACCTGCTACAGTTGTTGCAGAAAGCAGTCCAAGAAATAAGGAATATGGGGTTTGCTGGGGAAGGAAAGTGGGACCTTCGCATGAGAGGAGGTGAGGAATGCATAGGACAAGGGGAATCTGGGTAAGAGGGTGGGTCCAGGGGATACAGTATGAGAATGGGCAGTGGAAGAGGACTCTGGACATGAGGTCCGGGAAAGTGAACTGTATCTTCACCCAACAGATGCCAGTGGGGTCTCATCCCATGGGGAAGAGGTGCCACGATGCAGTGAGCTGACAACTCCACACACATGTTGTAGGCCTCTCTGCTTCCTTCCAGCTATAGTTCTTTTACCTTTTCCTGCTAAATATTGCCAACCTTCTTAATATGGTCATCTGGATGTCCCATAGGCCCCTCCAGCTTGGAATAGCCCAAAATTAAGTGATCTGCTGTTGTTGTCAACTTGGCCTCAATACCACAAGGACCTCATTCCCTAGAATCTTCTTTCCTGTATGGTTCTGAGTTAGAATTGGCCAGCTTTGCCTGAGAAATATGACTCAAGGTCCTCTTATTCATCCTGACTGCTGCTGCCCTACTTTAGGCCTGTATCACTGTCTGTCCTGATTGCCTAGGCAGTCGCTTAATTTGTTTTGTTTTGTTTTGGTAGAGATCGGGTCTTGCTGTGTTGCCCAGGCTGATCTCAAACTCCTGGCCTCAAGTGATACTCCTGCCTCTGCCTCCTGTATTTCTGGGGCCACAGACATAAGCCCAGCCTCTTAATTTGATTTCTGCATTAGTCATGATCCACTTGGGAGACAGAAACCACATAACAATTTGAATATGAGAAGATTAATATAAGTACTAACTAGAACAGGGGATTGGAGTAATGAAGGAGTGGTAAGAAGTCAGGAGAGCTTTAAAGAATATAGGAATAATGGACATAAGGAGCAGCCAGCACCCCTAGAACTAAGAAAGAACACCCCCAGGCTCTATCCCCAGCTGAGATCCAGATGTTGCTGGGAAGGGCATGGCTGTGCCTCACAATGGCAGAGAAGTCTGGGAGAATGTTCTAGAAGTCTGCCCTTGGGTGCCAGGGAAAGCTGTCATGGAACAGTGTCTGATTAGAGGCACACCTATTTGTGGGGGCACTAGGAGAAGCTGCTAGTTGCCAAGTGCTACTGACCACCATCCTCTGCAGGATTCCTGTTCTGGAAAAGTTGCCTGCACTGCGGGAGGGTGATGTTGGAGAAGCTGTGAGCTCTGTGCTGTTAAGATGAGCCCAGCACAACCAGAAAGGAAGGCCTCTTCCTCCTCCAATGTCTCTAGCTCCCCCTCCTGACAGAGCCTAGCATTGCACCAACTACCAAAAGAAAAATATTTAAAGGGCCAGCTCCATTTTTGAAGAGCAGGCGATGAACAGTAAATTTGGGGTCCAGAGTAATAACTGAATGTCATTCTACCATTATCGAGGGGCCGCATAACCAAGTTGTTAAGAGTGTGGACTCTGCAGTTGGGTTTCTTGAGTTAAAGTCTTAGCTCTGGCACTTAATGTGAGTTAGTGTAAACCTTAAAAGATTTATTTAACCTGTGTCTCACTTCCCTAATCTGTAAAATCAGGTAGTAACAGTTCTAACCTTGTTGGGTTATTGTGCTGATTGGGTTGATATTTATGAAGCACTTGGAAGAGGATCTGGCACAGAGTAAGCAAGGAACCAGGCTGTCTATTGTGATTACTATTACACTCAAATCGTGGTGGCATGCGCCTGTAGTCCTAGCTACTTGGGAGGCTGAGGCAGGAGAATCGCTTGAACCCGAGAGGTGGAGGTTGCAGTGAGCTGAGATCGCACCACTGCACTCCAGCCTGGATGACAGAGCGAGACTCCGTCTCAAAAAACAAAACAAAACAAAACAAAATCCATCCTTCACATTATAGCCAGGATGGGCTTTTCATTGAAGGTATGAATTTTACTCCACATTGCCATGGCATAGACATCATATTCCTTTATTCTTCTCTTTTCTGAGGTGGGGAAGGCATAAGGAGTGCTAATTAATAAATTGTCTTCTGGCCGGGTGTAGTGGCTCACGCCTGTAATCCCAGGACTTTGGGAGGTTGAGATGGGCGGATCACCTGAGGTCAGGAGTTTAAGACCAGCCTGAACAAAATGGCAAAACCCCGTCTCTACTAAAAATACAAAAATTAGGCCGGGCGCGGTAGCTCACGCCTGTAATCCCAGCGTTTTGGGAGGCTGAGGCGGGCGGATCACCTGAGGTCAGGAGTTGGAGACCAGCCTGATCAACATGGAGAAACCCTGTCTCTACTAAAAATACAAAATTAGCCAGGCATGGTGGAGGGTGCCTGTAATCCCAGCTACTCAGGAGGCTGAGGCAGGAGAATCGCTTGAACCCGGGAGGCAGAGGTTGCTGTGAGCCGAAAGTGTGCCATTGCACTCCAGCCTGGGCAACGAAAGAGAAACTCCGTCTCAAAAAAAAAATTAAAAAAAAAAATTAGCTGGGTGTGGTGGCACTTTCCTGTAGCTACTTGGGAGGCTGAGGCAGGAGAATCCTTGAACCTGGGAGGTGGAGGTTGCAGCCAGCCAAGATCATGCCACTGCCCTCCAGGCTGGGTGACAGAGCAAGACTCCGTCTCAGACAAACAGACAAACAAACAAAAAAAGTGTTGTCTTCCAACTCGCCTTGTTTGTTATGGTCTGAATGTTAATGTTCCCCCAAATTCATGTGTTGAAATCTTAACTCCCAAGGTGATGGTATAAGAATTGTGGTCTTTGGGAGGTTTAGGAGGATTAGGTCATGAGAGCAGAGCCCTCACGATTGAGATTAGTGCCCTTATGAAAGAGCCTGAGAGAGACCCCTTGCCCCTTCTGCTATGTGAGAACACAGCAAGAAGCGCCCTCTATGAGGAACAGGCCCTCACCAGACACTGATGCTGCTGGAGTTTTGATCTTGGACTTCCCAGCCTCCAAAACTGTGAGAAATAAACTTCTGTTGTTTGTAAGTCACCCGGTTATGGTATCTTATTTTAGTAGTCTGAACAGACTAAGGCACTGTTCATAGTACAAAAGTTGGAAATCAGGCTGTGTCACTTTGTTGCTTAAAACTCACCTGTGGCTTCCCATTATTTTCAAGATAGAGTTCAGCTCCTTTTCCCTGGATACAAAGCTCTTGATGCTCTGCCCACTTCACCTCCCACCAAACCCTGGCTCAGGTTTTCACTTGAGTCATTCTAGACTTGGTACTTTGCTACCCTCATGCCCTCCCAGGTCGTGCCCCTATTTTCCAACTTTGCTGATTGTATTCCCTCCTTCTGGAATATCATCCCTTCTCCTTTTAGCTAACTTCCCTTCAAGCACCATCGCCTCCAGGAAGCCTTCCATTAATCCCCGAGTCAGTTGCAAAATGCTCCTTTGTCATTTTGCTTTCCAAGTTTTTGCCCTATTATGTCAGAGTGATACACTTCCATGCCTGGCTCCCTGGCTAATGTGGAAACCATGTGGGGTCTTCTGCATATTACTCACAGTTGCATACTCCGTGTTTCAGCACAAGCGGTGCTGCGTATCAGCACTGGCTACGCATTGCATAACTCTAGGGCTGCTGTTTGTAGAGTTTTTCACAACATGCCCTGCTGTTCCCTATGGCCCTGAGCGTCAAATGGAGTCGCACAGTAGGCAAGCAGAATTGTGCCCTGAAGCTCTGGACGTTTATGACAGTGGCCTGTTATACAAACTGGCCTCTCCTAATATAGCACTTCCCTGTTAGGTTGGTTAGGAGTGACTGAAACAAATGTGTTAATGCGTTAAAATGACAAAACCACATTTCTTTCCAAGAGGTGCCAGGGTCTAATTGCTCCATGTTTTTGGGAATCTCAGAGGTAGGGCTGGCAAAGGGGGAAGGAGGAGAGACACTTCCTCTGATGTGACCAAGGACTTTAATTGGAGGCGGCTCCCCCCCACGGTGGCTTTTTCAGAAGCTGGAGTGACTCTTGGTGGTGGCACAGGGATGGCTCAGACGTCTTCTCCTCCTGCAGGGGAGTTTCTGAATCAGTCTTCATGACTCTTGTCCACTGCCCTCTTCCTCATGGAAGCCCAGCAGCTGTGCAGCCGCAGGGACCACGTGGGTGCCGCCGGCTAGAATGCTCATGGCCTCCTAAGGATGCACGCCTTGAGCATCATGCGGTTGTCATAGGGGAGGCGTGGATGTCTTTTTGGTACAGCACTGTGGAGAGAATTTGTGTTCAGATCTGAAAGAACAGAGGAATAAACTTATCCTGGGTAAAGGCTTTGAGTGATGCGCGTATAACCTATCTTGGCCATACTCCACTCAGAGACTCCTCAAATCATTAATCTCTTTAAAAATAAAAGTTTGCTTGTATGAGCTAAGAATGATCTCGAGCTGGGTGAAGCAATGGAGATTTTAGAGTTTACTCATTACCTCAGCGTGGCCCAGCTGATCCTTATACACATCCACAGATATCATTTGTTGAATGTCTTTTTTTTTGTTTTGAGGTGGAGTCTCGCTCTGTCGCTCAGGCTGGAGTGCAGTGGCGCGATCTCGGCTCACTGCAAGCTCCGCCTCCTCGGTTCACTCCATTCTCCTGCCTCAGCCTCCTGAGTAGCTGGGACTACAGGCGCCCACCACCATGCCCCGCTAATTTTTTGTATTTTTAGTAGAGACGGGGTTTCACCGTGTTAGCCAGGATGGTCTCGATCTCCTGACCTCGTGATCTGCCCGCCTCAGTCTCCCAAAGTGCTGGGATTACAGGCGTGAGCCACCGTGCCCGGCCTTGTTGAATGTCTTCTTTGTGTGGGGCCATATGCATTCACTTACACACGGTGCCTGCCTTCATCCTCCTAACAGCCTGCACAGTGGGCAATATATTATCGTTATCCTCATTTTGGAGAGAAGGATGCTGAGGCTTAGAGAGGGAGGGTCGGCGACATGCCCAAACTCAGTAAGCAGCAGAGGCAGAGTTTAAACTACCATCTAATAAAGTACCACAAACTCAGTGAGAAATTAAATAAATCAACAAATGGCCATGGAGGACTAAAGCCAGTGATTTCAACGAATATCTACCACCTAATAACTAATCTCTAATAACTGATAGAGTCTTTAGACTGTGTTGTTCCAGGCTTGAGTAACTACGCCCTTTCCACACTCCCAGAAGGCTGAAAGAAGTCTGACTATGTCCCAGCAGGAGGTGGCCGGGGAGGCCGAGGCGCAGAGAATCATTCAGGTGTTCCTGACACTATCACACACCCACGTCTGGAACCTACTGAAGGACCGTGGATGATGCTGTTCGAACATTCTTGGATTGTGGAAGCCAACAGTGGTGGAAGACCCCTCGCTGGTCTTGCGGCAACAACAGAAGATCTTGGACCCCATGTTTTGGTGCGCGGTGGGAGGAGGAAAGGGCACTGGGGCTCCTGGCTCTGCAGCTCCAATCCCAGAAACCCATTGTTATTTAAGCGCTGGGTCATAGTGGGCCCTTCCCCTCTCTCTGACCTGCTGTAGCTCCCTGTGGCCAGCAGTTCCAGGCCCACCTGCCTGGGCCCACCACTCTGAGGGTCAGTCTTTCCTCAACTGTGCACATTTCTCCTACCTGTGGAAAGGACATGGAGCCTCCACTCTGCCAGTCTTTCCCTGTAGCGTTGCCTTCTTGAACCACAGATGTTGGAGGTCCAGCACAGTTCTCTGGGCAGGGTTGTTTTCTAGATGAACTTAAGACTGTAGCTGGAAAACGTGAATCTCTGCTTTGCCAGGTCCTATGGCAGCAGAACCCCAGGAGATGCGGCAGCCCACACAGACAAGCTTGTGTTTAAGGGTCAGATTTGCCTTCTCTCTAGGTGTATGTGTGCTCTTGGGTTGGTTCTGTAATCTCTTTGTGCCTCACTTTATTTTATTTTATTTATTTATTTTTTGAGACAGGGTCTTGCTTTGTAGCCCAGGCAGGAGTGAAGTGGCAAAATCATAGCTCACTGCAGCCTCGAACTCCTAGGCTCAAGTGATCCTCTTGCCTCAGCTTCCTGAGTAGCTGGGACTACAGGTGTGTGACACCGTATCTGGCTAATTTTTTTTTTTTTAAACTTTTTGTAGAGACCGGATCTTGCTATTCTGCCCAGGCTGGTCTTAAACTCTTCGCCTCAAGAGATCCTTCTGCCTCAGCCTCCCAAAGTGCTGGAATTACAGGCATGAGTCACTTTGCCCAGCCACTGGCCTCCCTTTCTTATCTGGAAAATGGGAACAGTAATACCACCTTGGAGTAATGAGTGTTTAATTGTCTGTAAACTGGCCGCTCTGATGGGAGGTACCCCAAAGTACTTTCTGTGCTCATTGTCTTCCCATATGGTTTGTTGGCTCCATTATTCCAGCTGGGCCCAGGTCCCACAGGAGCATGATGATGAAGCCCAGCTTTGCTGGTCCCAGTCCTGGCACTGCCACTAACTTGCTGTGTGGCTTTGGGCTAGCCCATACTGAGGCCCCCCGCATCTGCAACAGGAAGTCAGTGGGCTGCGTCATCTATCTTTCCAAGGATTCTCCCAGCTCTGATGACCGAAGGTTGTAAGTCTATGTTATTCCCAACCTCCTTTCTCTTTTCCAGGCTCTGGCCATCTGCTGTTGCTCCCCTTTCTCTGTGGCCAAAGCCCCACTCTGGAAATTTCCATCATCGGTGGTCGTGTGTCGATCACAGCACACTGGGTTCACTCCATGGCCTCATCCTTGGGTAGTGAGTTCCCACCCGTCCAGTGCTCCTCTCCAGCCTCAGTCACCAGCATCTCCTACTTGGATTATTGCAACGGCTCCTAAGCATCAGCATTAAGCACCAACACAGATGAATCCTCCTCCTACAGACATTAGATCATGTCACACCTCTGCCCAGACCTCCCAGTGGCTTCCAGTATCATGTTGAATAAAAGAAAAGTCTTTCCCTGGGCCTGTCTTGAAAAAACTCATAATCTAACCATTTATCCACTTGTCCCTCACTGTCTCCTGCTACTTTACCCTTCACCCCTTTCCCGCCACACCAAACACACCACTGTTTGCATTTCTGCTGGAACGCTCTTCCCCTAGAAATCCACAAGACTCATTCTCTCACTTGTTTCAAGCCTTTGCTTAAAGAACACTTCATCTTTTTTTTTTTTTTTTTGAATGGAGTATCACTCTATTGCCCAGGCTGGAGGGCAGTGGGGCGATCTCAGCTCACTAACCTCTGCCTTTGGGGTTCAGGCGATTCTTATTCCTTAGCCTCCTGAGTAGCTGGGATTACAGGTGCGCACCACCATGCCCGGCTAATTTTTGTGTTTTTAGTAGAGACGGGGTTTCACCATGTTGGCCAGGCTGGTCTCAAACTCCTGACCTCAGGAAATCTGCCTGCCTCGGCCTCCCAAGTTGCAAGGATTACAGGCGTGAGCCACCATGCCTGGCCATGAACACTTTTTCTAGTGAGGCCTTCTCTGGCCTATTTACTCTATTTAATTCTCTCTGTTTATTCCCTCTGTTTAAGCCTCCTCCCTGCTCCCAGCACTCTCTATTTCCCTTCCCCACCTCATGCTTCTCTGCAGCCCTTGTCATGTTCAGAAGTAGCCTAGAATTTATTTATGAGCACGTACTCACTTTCCCATTAGTAAACCCAGGAAGGCAGGGAGTCTCCTGTGTTCACTGCTGGGTCCCCAGTGCAGGGTGTAGGACAGGTGGTTAACAGCATTTATGGCATGGTTGGATGAACCTGTATGTATCTCACTTTGGTCTAGGGTCCAAGCAGGTGCTGTCACCGGGGAGCAGCAAGGAATGTCACAACAAGTAAGACACCACCTGCCTCATCCACCTGCCAAGCTGATGGATGGCTTTATGGATGACTTATAGGGTTGCTTTTGGCTGCCTTCTGATGGGACCACCTCTCTTCTCCACCCTCTCCATCCCAAACTTGCTTTTCCTCCTCTCATGTTTCCTATTTTGGGGACAGGTACCACTATTCATTTTGTGTCTGCAGCTAGAAATGGGGCACCCCTTACCTCCCCTCCGCTCACATTCATCAAGGCCTTTTGAATCTATCCCATAAATATCTCCATTGTCAGCCACCCTCCGTTGCCATTGCCCTCACCACTAGCGCCTCCTGCCTTTGGATCCTGACCACTGCTTTCCCACTAGCCTCTCTGGTGGCTCATCTGCAACCAGAAGATCTGCCCCTGGTGCAAATCCTGTTAGGTCACTCCTCCTCTGCCTTAACCCCTCAGTGGCTCCCCTGTTCTGCTGCTCGAACTTGTCTGAGGATCTGCCCCTGTCGACTTTGCCAGCTCCGTTCATTCCAACTCAGTCACTACTCTTCGGCCATAGGAGCTGCTGGCTGTGCTCCAGACTTTTTCTTACTGTTCCATCCCTGTGCCTCTGCACAAGCTGAAACCTGCCCCTCCATGTCCTCTCCTCATCACACTTGAAGACAGCTCAGGTGTCACTTCCTTCAAGAAGCCATTCCTTTTTTTTTTTTTTTTTTTGAGACAGAGTCTCACTGTATCACCCAGGCTGGAGTGCAGTGGTGCGATCTTGGCTCACTTCAACCATCCTCCACCCTTTGGGCTTAAGCGATTCTTTTGCCTCAGCCTCCTGAGTAGCTGGGATTATAGGTGCACACCATCACACCCAGCTAATTTTTGTATTTTTAGTAGAGACAGAGTTGTGCCATGTTGGTCAGGCTGGTCTTGAATTCCCGATCTCAAGTGATCTGCCCGCCTCTGTCTCCCAAGTTGCTGGGGTTACAGGTGTGAGCCACCATACCCAGCCAGGAAGCCATCTCTTAAACCTGGGATGAATTGAGGCATTTCCTTTATGGTTCCCTTGTCCCCTGGGCTTCCCTGTGTCCTGGACCTGACTGTCATTCCAGTGTCTGCCTAAACCACAGTGGATGCTCAGTAATATTTGTTGAATGGACTGTATTTTCACTGCCTGTTTATTTGCCTACAAAAAATCAGTGATTAAAAAAATTTGTTCAGCATATACTTTTTGAGGACCTACTGGTGCCAAGCACTGACTGTGGTGCTGGGGATACTGCCGTGGACAAGAGCAACAGAGCCTCACTCTCGAGGAGGCAGGGGTGGGTCCAGCCCACCTTCGGGTCCCAGGATGCAGCACCGGGCTGTGTGCAGAACGCGTATGCTCTCCATACTGATTGAATAAATACAGGAACATTGTCTGACTGTTGGACAATGGTACGCTCAATCCTTCACCCTGTTCTCCCTTCCATGAACAGGCTTTTTTTTTTCTTTAATGTCAGAAAGTTATGGGAATAGAAACAGAACACTGACATTCATTGAGCATTTGGGCAGGTCCTTTGACATTGCTGAGCTCATTTCATTTTCCTCTCCACCTTGCAAGGCAGGACTTTGTCTGATTTTCCAGATGGAGGGAATTGAGCCTAAGAAAGGTGACTTGCTCAGCTGTGGCAGCCAAGAGGAACAGCTGGGATTTTAATGTAGTTTTATCTGAAGCCAGATTTTATTCCGTCTATACAATTCCAGAATGAGATGTTCAGAACCACCTTGATCTCCAAGAGTTGATGGTAAGTGGTTTTTAAATGGAAAGGCTCCATCTGAAGCCTGGCAGAACAGCATAACAGTTAAGAGCACACTCCTTTTTTACTTAGATGGACTTCAGTTCTTAATTCCTGTTGCACCTTGCTGTGTAATTTCGGGCCGTTTAGCTTCCTTGAACCTCAGTTTTCCAGTCTGTGCAGTGGTATGGTGAAACCTACCCGCAGAATGCCGTTGTAAGGATTTGGTGACATAAAGATGTCAAGTGCTTTGCAGGGTATGCGGTACACAGTAGGCGTTTAATATCACTGAGATGCTGGCTGGGACAGAGTAGGGGTGGGTGTGGTGTTTCTTGCATTACCAGTGTCCGCCTCTAGAGGGAAGCAGGAGCCAAAGAAAAGGGCCCTTGGGCTGTCCCCACTGGGCTGTGAGTTTCAGGTCTCTAGGGACCCCACAGCACCTTGATCAGAATAAGAAAGATCAATGAAGTCAAACAGGAAGTCGTCTGGAGCTAGGGGAGCCCTCAGGAGTCTTTCAGCACAGTGGGGGAGACTGAGACCCAGAGACAGAGAAACAGTGGGGTCAAGGCAAATAAGGGGTGCTTCTTGTAGCAAAGTGAATAGGTGTCCAGGAGTGGCGGGGACATTTTCTGTTTTAGTACAGAAAAATTACGCCCTCTTACCCTTAGGTCTAACCTATGAGTCTCATTCACCTGCAGCTGGCAGAGTGGACAGGAGGCTGTCTGTGATGTCACAGAGTGGGGGAACCGGGGAATGTTGGGGACAGTGGGGTTTGGACTGAACCACAAAGGCAGGGAGGAGGGAGGACATATGCTGAGCCCCTCTCCAGCAGTCCATTCCTTTGTCCACCATGCTGTAATGTCCACTGTGCCTATCAGGTCGGCTGGAGTGGTTCTGCCTCACATGTCTCTTACCCCTTTTGGGTTAGTAGGCTAGCCAGGTGTGTTCTTCTTCTGGGGCTGCTAGAGGAAGACACAGCAAGCCCCACTGTGAAAACACATTTCTAAGCCCCTGTTAGTGTCCTATCTGTTATGTTTTCATTGGCCAAGCAAGTCATATGACAATTTAGTTCCTTCTCCCCAGGAAGGGGATGTTGGTGAATTCCCGACTGCTGCCACCTCCTCTCCTGTCCTGGCCTCTGTGCTGTTGTGGCAGAAACATGCCCCAGAGTGGGCTGCAGATTCTCCCAATGTGATTAGATGGGGCCCACCCAGGTAATTGTGAATTATCTCAAGGTCACTGATTAGCAACCTTAATTGTATCTTCAACTTTAATCTTTTGCAGTGGGGTCATTATTCTGTCTACCACTGTGTTTAAACACTTGTATCAAGAAAATAAAAGAATGAAATAATTTCCCAATTCTTAAAGCTGGAAAAAGAGCAACAAAGTAAGGAAAAGAAAGTATAAGATTAAAAGCAGAATTTACTAGAGTATTAAAAAGCAGATCTAATTAATCAAAATCTTTTTTTGAAAAAAATTAACAAAATAGAAATACTGTGTAGCTTAATCAGGAAAAAAAGGAGAAAGCAAAAATATATAAAATTAGAAAGAATAAGGGGGAAAAATTGTTGAAACAAAAGAAATTTTAAAAATCTTTAGAGTCCATAATATACTTTTATGTAAAAAAGTTTGAAAAACTATGAAGTAGATAGTTTTCTGGGAAAATAGTTTATTAAATTGACTGCATTAAAGATAGAAACTATCAATTTCTGTAGAAGAAATTTATTAAGAAACTACCCTCCCCCAAACAGGCAACAGGTCCAGAAGGTTGCACAAGGAGAGTTTCACCAAGCTTTTAAAGACCAGTTACAGTACTACATAAATTGTTCTAGAGCATATAAAATAAAACTTCCAAATTCTTTTTGTGAAGCAAGTGTATATTGATAACCGCATGTGATAGGGATAATCAAAAAGAAAATTACAAGGCAACGTTACCTACCAATACTGATACAAAAATTCTTAATAAAATATTAGTGAACAGAATCCAACCTCACAGTATGAAGATAATAAATCATGATCAGGTGAAATTTATCTGTGGAATGGAAGTTTGATTCGATATGAGTAAAGAAATTGTGATTTTTTTTATAGATGCTGAAAAAAGAAAAAAGAGGGAATTGATGGATATTATATTAATATGATAAAATGGCACTCTCTCTCTCTCTCTTTATCTCTACCTCTATGCCTTTGTCCTAAACCCAACTTCTTCCTTAATTTGCAAATACTGGAGCTATTTAAAATCAGGAACGAAGCACAGATATCTACTGACTTTAACATTGTAGCGGTGGCATTAACCATTGCAATCAGAAAAGGTAAATTGGAGACATAAAAATTAGAAGAAGAAGAAGTTAAAGTATTTCTACTTGCAGATTACATAATAGTATTACTGGTAAACCATCGGAAAGCAAAAACAAAACTACTCAAACAATGAAAGAATTCAGAAGGGAAGCAAGGCATACAATTAGCATACTGAACTCAATAGTGTTATTATACGCAAGCAATAACTAACTACAACAATAGTGAGAGAGAAAACTTCATTTACAATAGCAACAAAAGATAAAATACCTAGGAGTAAAGTTAATAAGAAATTTGCAAAATTAATATAAAGAACTCTTGAAAATAGTCCTGAAAGCCAACAAAGTAGGTTTGAACAAATGAAAAGACATTGGTTGGTGGTTAGGAAGAATCAATGTTATAGATGTGTCAGTTCTTCCTGATTTATAATTTTCCCTAATTTGTAAATTTAGCACAATCATGATGAAAATAACATCAAGATTTTTTCTGAAGCTAGACAAATTGATCCTAACATTTACATGAAAAAACAAGCAAGAATAAAACAGGCATTGGGCGACAGTGAGACTCCGTCTCAAAAAACAAACAAACAAACAAACAAACAAACAAACAAACAAAAAAACAGGCAGACTCCCCAGTGGAGTAGAATAGAAAGTTCAGAAAGAGACACAAATATATATGAAAATTTAGTGTATGATAATAAAGGTGTCATCTCAGATGGATGATTGGACCAAAGATATTCTCCTTAATAAATATGCTGAAATGACTATATAATCATTTGGAGAAAGTGTAAAGTTAGATCCATACTTCCTAAATACATAATAATAAATGCCAAATGGAATAGGTTATATTTCTGATGTATAATGCTATACAAGCAAACGAAGAAGTGTGGGTGAATTCCTCTATAAACTGGATGTAGGGAAAGGCTAACGACAACCCAAAGTCCAGATTCAATGAAACATTAATAAACTTGACTTTGAGGAGCTAGTATTTCTAGTATATAAAGAGCACTCAAAAATTAACAGGAAACAGGAAAAAGAAAAAAGAGTGGAAGACATAAACAGATCATTAATAAAAACATATAAAAATGACCCTTAAACATATGAATAGATGTTAGTCTTCACTCATGGTAAGGGAAATGCAGGTTAAAACCAAAATGAGATACCGTTTCTCACCTGTAGGATTGGGAGAGCCTAAACAGTTGCTGAGGGCATGAGGAAACAGGTATCTCAGATATCATATACTCTTACAGAACAGAACTTGGCAGCATCTAACAAAACTGTATATATCTTTTCCATTTGGCTCAAAAGTCCATGCTGAAAAATTAACCCTAAAGATACACCGTATTAATCCGTTCTCATGCTGTTAATAAAGATATACCTTGGCCTGGCACAGTGGCTCACGCCTGTAATCCCGCACTTTGGGAGGTTGAGGAGGGCGGATCACCTGAGGTCAGGAGTTCGAGACCAGCCTGGCCAACATGGTGAAACCCCATCTCTACTAAAAATACAAAAATTAGCCAGGCCTGGTGGCAGGCACTTGTAATCCCAGCTACTCGGGAGGCTGAGGCAGGATTGAACTGAGTTCAATCACTTGAACTCAGGAGGCGGAGGTTGCAGTGAGCTGAAATGGTGCAAATGGGGAAAATGTAGATTAAACAATTGGTGACTCTGGGTAAAAGGTAAATGGGAGTTCTCTGTATTATTCTTGTGACATTTCTGTAAATTTGGAATTATTTCAGAAGGTATCCAAAAAGCTGTTTTCTCCTTCCTCTCTCTCTCTTTTTTCTTTCTTCCCTTCCCCCTTCCCCCTTCCCTTCCTTTCTTTCTTTCACGGAGTCTCACTCTGTTACCCAGGCTGGAGTGCAGCGGCGAGATCTCAGCTCATTGCAACCTCTGCCTCCTGGGTTCAAGTGATTCTCCTGCCTCAGCCTCCCTAGTAGCTGAGATTACAGGAGCACGCCACCACACCTGGCAGATTTTTTTATTTTTAGCACAGATGGGGTTTCACCGCATTGGCCAGGCTGGTCTTGAACTTATGACCTCATGTGATCCACCTGCCTCGGTCTCCCAAAGTGTTGGGATTACAGGCGTGAGCCACTGCGCCCAGCCAATAGGCTAAATTTTTTAAGCTTAGTTAGATGTGACAATATATTTAAAAATAATAAGACATTAGTTGGTAAGGGGGAAAGGAAAAGAGAAGGACACATCCTCTGGTGCAATCAAGAACTTTAATTGGAGGCAGCTCTTCCCATGGTGGCTTTTTAGGAGCTGGAGTGACTCTTGCTTGGTGGCACAAGGATGGCTCAGATGTCTTCTCCTCCTTCAGGGGAGTTTCCGAATTAGTCTTCATGACTCCTGTCCACCGCCCTCTTCCTCATGGAGATGCCCCAGCAGCTGTGCAGCCGCCGGCTAGAATGCTCAGGGCCTCCCAGTGAGGCATGGCTGGAATGGCCAGTGCTCCTGGCAGTAGCGGTTTAAGTTTCTCTTGTAAAAATTTCTTTGGGAAGCATATGCATTCAGATCTGAAAGAAGAAAGGAAAAAATTATGCTGGGTGAAGGCCTTTGAATTGGGCTTTGATGAACTGTTTTGGTTGTTTGTATCCATTGCTGATCATTCCTCAGCTTCTTGAATCTCAAGGGACCCAAGGCAGACCCTAGTCTAGGACTTGGAAGTCTTTTGTGATAGGAGGAGTTTCTTGCAGTGTATTTTGCATTGTGTTACGTTGGTGGCTTCAGTGACAGTAGGCTGTCTTGCAAAGCACAGTGATATGGAAGGTAGGAGACTTGGGCCCATCCTGGCTCTGACACTTACGTCATTCCCTAGTGCACTCGTGGGAAGTCCCTTTCCCTCTGTGAGCCTCACCCCTATGGGGGGGTGGGAAGGGCAGAAGGAAGGAGTGGGCGAGCTAGTGGGGTTCCTACCTTCTCAAGCTTGATTCAAGCAGAGCTGTTCCTCTTTGATCTTTTATAGAAAATGGACTCTGTGAAATGCTGTTTTCAAGGGGGTTTAGTTGTTAGGGGAATTCAAAATGACTGGGTTGGATAATCCTTAGTTCTCAACAGGACTCCTGGGGTGGTTGTGAGTTATGTGAGACCACCTGGGGATAGAACTGGCGCCCAGCAATGTGGCTGCATTTCTTCTTCCTGGGCTGTGCCACTGTCCTGGGATTGGGCATCTGTTCTTCTGTGACCCAGAGGCATTTCACCCCCAGTTGAACTACACTCAATCCACAAGTGTTTTCTGGCATTGTTTACTTGCCATGCACCTGGCTGGATCTGGGGGCATAACAGGGAATAAAACTGATGTGGGCCCCTGCCCTCCTGGCACTTACTGTCTAGTGGCCAAAGTAGACATCAAGTAAGCATATGAAAAATACACGTGTAAGATGATGCCGCCAGGTGCGGTGGTTACACCTGTAATCCCAGCACTTTGGGAGGCCAAGGTAGGTGGATCACTTGAGGTCAGGAGTTCGTGACCAGCCTGGCCAACATGGTGAAACCCTTTTTCTACTAAGAATACAAAAATTAACCAGGCATGTTGGTGGGCGCCTGTAATCTCAGCTACTCAGGAAGCTGAGACAGGAGAATCACTTGAACCTGGGAGGTGGAAGTTGCAGTGAGCTGAGATTGGAGACTGCACCACTGCACTCAAGCCTAGACAACAGAGGGAGACTCCATCTCAAAAAAAAAAAAAAAAAAAAAAGATGATGCCACAAAGCTTTGAAAGGAAAGCATGGATGTTTGCCCTTCCCCCCAGACCTGCTCCTTCTCATGCACTTCCTAGCTTGGAAGATAGTGGAGTCAGGTCTTAGCCTCTAGGGTCTCCCCAGTGTGCTCTGGAATATGACTGGGGCTGCTTGATGGGAGCAATTCCATCTCCCCATCTCGCTTAGCTGAAGTATCAATGGGGTCTGGTTATTAGGACCAGGCTCCCTGTCTGGGAGTTTCTGGTCAGTGTTAGGACCCCAATTTGGGACTCACCCTCAAACTCACTGCTGCTGGAGGAAGTGCTCTTTTTTGTCTGGATCAGGGGTGTTCTCGAAGGCAAATGGGAGACTGCGTTAATGCGCTTGGGATTTTGTCTGTCAAGCTCATCCTTCTGAAGCAGCAAATCTGGCAATGAGAATTCCACAGGGTCACGTGGGGGAGGCTTAGGTGAGATCACGGAAGTGAAGATGTTTTGCAAGCTCTGAAGCAGCGCACACAGGCAAGTGGGGGTTATTATGGGGTGGGGGTGTACCTGAAACTACCACCTCCTGTCCTCTGAGGGCTTCCCCTCACAAGCAGGTGCTGGATTCAAAGTGTGTATTTTAAAATAATACATTGTATTTGTATGTATTTATGGGCTACATATGAAATTTTGTTACATGCATAGAATGTGTAATGATCAATTCAGGGCAAAGTATGTATTCTTTTTAAAACATTAACTTTTTTCCATTTATAAATGTAATGCATACGCTTTATAGAAAAGTTAGGAAATATTGAATAGTATAAGGGAGGAAAAAGTGCCCCAAACATCTCTTCCCCAAGTTATTATCACAGTTCCAGTCTTTTCCTATGCATATTTTACATAGTCCATCATATCCTATGTATTATGGATGAATTTTACTTATCTATTTATTTATTTTTTGAGACAGGGATCTGCTCTGTTGCCCAGGCTGGAGTGCAATGGTGTGATCATAGCTCCCTGTAACCTCAAACTCCTAGGCTCAAGCAATCCTCCTGCCTCAGCCCCCCGAGTAGCTAGGACTACAGGCATGTGTCACTGCGCCCAGCTAATTTTTAAATTTTTTTTTGTAGGGAGCGGGAGTCTCACTATGTTGCCAGGCTGGTCTTGAACTCCTGGCCTCAAGTAATCCTTTAGCCTCAGCCTCCCGAAGTGCTAGGATCACAGTTGTGAGCCATCTCACCCAGCCCTGCATTTGACTTTATTCATATACATTATGGCATAAATATTTTTCTCATGTCACTAAATTTAAAAAATGGTTGTACAGTATTCTAGTTTTTGAATAATGTAAGATTTATTTAACCAAAGTTCCAATGTTGTATTATTTATTTATTTATTTATTTTTTTGAGAGAATCTCACTCTGGTACCTAGGCTGGAGTGCAGTGGTGCAATCATGACTTACTGCAGCCTCGACCTCCTGGGCTCAAGTGATCATCCCACCTCAGCCTCCTTAGTAGCTGAAATTACAGGTGTGCACCACCATGGCTGGCTAATTTTTTTTTTTTTGAGATAGAGTTTCGCTCTTGTTGCCCAGGCTGGAGTGCGATGGCACGATCTCGGCTCACCGCAACCTCCACCTCTCGGGTTCAAGCGATTCTCCTGCCTCAGCCTCCTGAATAGCTGGGATTACAGACATGTGCCACCATGCCTGGCTAGTTTTGTATTTTTAATAGAGACGGGGTTTCTCCATGTTGGTCAGGCTGGTCTCAAACTCCCAACCTCAGGTGATCCACCTGCCTTGGCCTCCCAAAGTGCTGGGATTAAAGACATGAACCACCATGCCCAGTCTGGCTAATTTTTTATTATTTGTAGAGGTGGGATCTTCCCATGTTGCCCAGGCTGGTCTTGAACTCCTGGGCTCAAGTTATCCTCCTGCCCCTCAAAGTGCTGGGATTATAGGTGTGAGCCACTGTGCCCGGCCCAGATTTTGCTACCATAAATACTGTTGTGATGAACATTGTTGTATATGAGACTTTGTCTTTATACACTTCTAGGTTTCTAGAAGAACAACAAAGAATTTTGTCAATAGTCTGAGCTGTGTTCTGTGATAGGCAGCTCTGTCATTTATTAGCTGCATGCCTTAACTAATTGCTTAACCCCCACCTGCCTCTTCATTCATATCTGCAAAATGCTATGCTCAATTTGAATACTAATGTCTGCTTCTTAGAGTTATCATGGGGATTAAATAATATCATTTTACTGTTAAATATGAAATATACACTCTGAAACAGTAAGGGATTTATCTGATCACAGCTGGGTCCCCAGTGTCTAGACAGTGCTTTGCATATTATAGAGTTTCATTAATTATCATCATTCTTACCTTGGGAAAAGGCATTGATATTTTTAAGGTTCCTGATTTTTATTGTGACTCTACTTCCAGGGAAAGTATTTTAAAGACCCTCACATGTGGATTTCTGTCAAAATACATCATTGTATTATCCTGTCTCTCAGTGGGACTCTGCCACGTTCCTGGCCATCTGTGCTCACCCCCTCCCACCTGTGTGAGTCCTAACTTTGGCTGATTTTGACAATAGTGCTTCTTTTTTTTTTTCTGTCTGAAATTGTTGATTTTGATCCCTGATCTTCTCTGCTTGATCTCTTTTCATGGATCTTCAAGAAGGTTTTGATTACAAACTGAAGGCCAGGGTGACTTCTCTGTCTCTCTCTCTTCCCTTGACATGGTAGCCTAGGAAGTCTCATATTCCAGAGGCTCTGGCTAAAGATTTAAAGGGGGGTGGCTGGTTTGTACTAGACTTTGTGCAAGCAAGAAATACATTTTTATTTTGTAAACCATTGAGATTTCAAGGCTTATTTGTTTCAGCAGCAGAACATACTCTATCCTGATCAATACCTATATATTTTTTCTGCATGTTGAGTGCCTACTCTGTGCCAGACCCTGAGCTAGATGCTTATTTATATTGCCTCACAATAATAATGTATTGTGAATATCCCTGTTTTAGAGGCAAGGACAGTGAGACTCAGGGAGGTCAAGAGACTTGCCCAATTTCTGTGGCAGAGCTGAGGTTTGAACTAACATGTATTGCCCCCAAAACAGGGATCTTAACCACTATTTTTATAGTCTTTAATCCAGTGCTTCTCAAACTATCATGTACATTCAAATTTACCTGGAGATCCTGTTAAAGTGCCAGTTCTGATTCAGTAGTTCCAGAGCGGGGTCTGAAAATGCATTTCTAACAAGCTCCCAAGTGATGCCAATATTGCTGGCCCATAGACTACACTTTAAGCACAAGAGTTTAAGCTCTCTTGTTTATTGGTTTGAGTACTTAGCCATCCAACACCCACCTCATTTTAAATTGGAATTATCACTCAGTGATAGTGATGAAGGCAGTTTGGGGGTATCCCAGCAGGCAGAGAGTGAGCAAAGTGAGGTTTAGAGAGGCCATGCAGAGTGTCCTTATCTGATACCTACTTTGGGTCGATGGCTTGTGCTCCTGGGTTTGACTGGGAACCTTGGAGTCATTGATGGCATAGGGCTCCTGACAGTCCCTGCAGCATAAACAGAAGATCTTCAAGATCAGGTTTTGGTGGGCTGCTGTTGGAGGCAAAGGAATGAGGGGCATGGGTTCCGGAATCTGAATTCCAGATGCCTATTGGAAATTGACTGTGGTGGGGGTATCATTGGGTCAGCCTCTCCCAAGGCATTAATATAATACTCCTCCCCTCTCCCAAATCTTCTGTAGCTTCCCATGGCCAGCAGATCCTTCTGCCTAGGCCATTTTTTCCTATTCTGTACAAAGTTTTCTTACCCATGGAAAGGAGTTGAAACTTCTACTCTGCCAGCTTTGTCTGCAGGGGTGCCTTGTTGAATCAGCCAGTCTTGAGTTTGAGCCCAGTTCACTGGGCTGGGCTGTTTCCTAAGTAAACATAAGACCGTGGCTGAAAAATGCTAGTCCTTCACCTGTGTTCACACTCCAGATAGGATCTAATGACAGCAAAATCCCACCTCATGCAGACATGCACATAAACATGCTCAGGTTTCAGATAGCTCTGTGTCCTACCCCATGAACAGGTGCATGTTCTTAGGTGGATTCTTTACCCTTTTTGAACTTCACTTTTATCACTTGAAAAATGAGAATAGCAGTGCCTACTTTGCAGGAGTAAAGACTCATATATATGAAAAGTAGCTCCTGTGAAGCTAGGTATATGGTAAGTGCTCAATCAATGGTCATTCCATTTTCCTCCCTTCTCTTTATGTAGCTCACTGGCTTCCAATGATCCCAGCTGGTCCAGGTCCTATGGAAAGGAAGCATATGGACTTGTAGGTTTAAATTCTGGTTTTGCCACTAATTTGCTGGAGGGCTTTGGGTAGGTCCATGCTTTTTTCTGTGTCTCAGGCTCCTCGTCAGTAGTAAGAAGTTAGGCTGGATGATCTCCTCAAGGATCTTTCTAGTTTTGAAGGTCCAGGATTATAAGGCCTTGCTTTAGTCCCAGATCCCTTTATTTGTGTATCAAGTTTTTAGATCTCTGGATACATTCTGTTCTCACTCCCCTTCTTGTGGCAAAACCCTCTTTAAAAGGAAATTCTTATCATGGTATTGTTTAGGCGTCCCTCACAATACCTAATTCACTTCGCTTTGTGAGTTTTGCCTTCATTATAGGCACTTGAGTCCCATTTTCTCTACTGCCATACCCTGGCCTAAGCCACCATCATCTCTTGCCTGAATTCCTGCGATAGCTTCCTGACTGGTCTCCTTATTTCTCTTACCCTGAACTTCCTCCATAATTAATACAAAAGTTGGGGTAGTTCTGTTAAAATATATCATGTCACTCTTCAGCTCAAAACTTCCAAGGATAGGAAAAAATGGGTATAGTAGATGGAGCGATATAATATGGAAGGAAGAAATGGAAACTCAAATAGAATCAAATAGAAATTCTAGTTCTATAAAAACCAGTATCTGAAGAAAATATGTATTGGGTAGGGTTAACAACAGATTGGACAAAGCAAAAGCAATGATCAGTAAACTTGCGAAAAGGTCAATAGAAATTATCCAAACTGAAACAGGGAAAGCAAAAAAGATTTTAAAAGGATGAAGAGTACCCCACTGACCTTGCGGGATGCTACCAAGCTGTATAACATACGCGCGTTACTGGACTCTCAGAAGGACGAAGGGCAGAAAAAATATTTGGCAATAGTGGCTGAAAAGTTACTAAATTTGATGGAAAGCATCAACATAAGTATTCAGTGAGCACCAAACATGAAAAACAAAAAATCACAACGACCGGGCGCGGTGGCTCATGCCTGTAATCTCAGCACTTTGGGAGGCCGAGGCTGGCAGATCACCTGAGGTCAGGAGTTCGAGACCAGCCTGACCAACATGGAGAAACCCCGTCTCTGCTAAAAATACAAAACTAGCTGGGTGTGTGGCACATGCCTGTAATCCCAGCTACTCAGGAGGCTGAGGCAGGAGAATCGCTTGAACCCTGGAGGCGGAGGTTGTGGTGAGCCGAGATCACGCCATTGCACTCCAGCCTGGGCAAGAAGAATAAAACTCTGTCTCAAAAAAAAAAAAAGAAAAGAAAAGAAAATCACACCTAGGCACATTTTAGTCAAATGGCTAAAAAGTAAAGAACAGGCTCTTAAAACAACTGGAATAAATAAACATGAAAGAAAGAAACTGTAAACCTTTCACTTCATATTCCATGAAAATATCCTTCAATAATTAAGGCAAAATGAAGACATTATAAGATAAACAAAAATAGAGAGAATTTGTCTTTAGAAGGCCCAGGCTGTAAAAAATGCTAAGATCGAAGGAAAATGATACCAGATGGAAATTCACATTTACAGAAAGGGATGAATAGGATAAGAAATAGCAAATATGTGGGGGTAAATGCAAACTTTTTTTTTTTTTTGAGACAGAGTTTTACTCTGTCACCCAGGCTGGAGTACAGTGGCGTGATCACAGCTCACTGCAGCCTCAAACTCCTGGGCTCAAGTGATCCTCCTGCTTCAGCCTCCCCAGTAGCTGGGACTACAGGTGTGCACCACCACACCTGGCTAACTTTTGTATTTTTTGTAGAGACGTGGTCTCCCTATATAGCCCAGGCTGGCCTTGAACTCCTGGGCTCAAGTGATCCTCCCACATTGGCCTCAAAAGGTGCTGGGATTACAGGAGTGAGTCACCGCGCCTGGCCAGAAAGATTTTTTCTCTTTCTTTTCTCCAAAATTCAGTGGTTTTGCATATTCCTCAGAAGAAAAACCAAAGTTCTCACCTGGGTCTTAAGATACTCTGTAATCTAATCATCCTTCTTCCCTCCTGTCCACCCACAACCCTCATCACCAACTCTGTCTTCAATTCCTCCAATTCCCCAATTCCATTTGCCCCCCCTGCTGAGTTTTAAAACACAGCAAGCTCCCAACTCAACAATTTGTGCTTGTTTTACTCTCTGCCTGGAATTCAGTTCTCTTAGATAACAACATTCTGTCATTACCTTCAAGTCTTTGCTTCACCTTTTCTAGTGAGACTTTCTCTGTTGTATTTAACATTATAACCCCCTTGCCCAGCACCCCAGCACTTCCTAATCTCTTCCTTGTTTACTTTTCAAACATTTTCTCTTTCTTTTTTCTTCTTTCTTTCTCTCTTTTTCTTCTTTTTTTCTTTTCTTTCTTTTTTTCTCTTTTCTCTTTTTCTTTCCTTCCTTCCTTCCTTCCTTCCTTCCTTCCTTCCTTCCTTCCTTCCTTCCTTCCTTCCTTCCTTCTTTCCTTCTCTCTTGCTCTCACTCTCTTTCTTGACAGGGTCTAGCTCTATGCTCAGGCTGGAGTGCAGTGGCACAATCATGGTTCACTGCAGCCTTGAACTTCTGGGCTCCTCCTGCCTCAGCCTCCTGAGTAGCTGGGACTACAGGTGCATGCCACCATGTCCAGCAAATTCTTTTTTTTTTTTTTTTTTAAGAGAAGGGGTCTCACTGTATTGCTCAGGCTGGTCTTGAAATCAAGTGATCCTCCCATGTTGGCCTCCCAAAGTGCTGGGGTTACAGGTGTGAGTCACCGTGCCCAGCTTCATTTCCTAACACTCTACATAATTTGCTAAATTACTGTGTTGAAGGTCTGCTTCTTCCCACTAAATTAGAAGTCACATGAGGTCATGGATTTTAGCTGTTTGGTTTACTGCTCTATTCTCAGTGTCTAGAGCAGTACCTAGTGCAGTGTGGGAAGTCAATAATTGTTTGTAGAATAAAAATTGAGGGTGTTTGTAGAATAAACTAGCATTTATTCTTGTCTTGAGTAAAAGCACTTGCAGGCCCTGGGGGCAGTAGAGAGGTGGGTGGTAGTTTTTGTGCCAGGAACATCACAAGCTGTAGGACACAGCTTACCTCATTCACATGCTAAGCTTACTCTGATGGTTTCATGAGTCAATTTTAGTTCTGCTCTCTGTTTACTGGTTGGGACTATTTTTCTTCCCTGTCCACTGCAAAGCATATCTATCTTCTTCCCATGTTCCCTATTTCGTGGGATGATCCTATTATTCACTCTGTCTCTAGAGTCAGAAGCCTGCCAGCCTCCTGCCATCTGCTCGTGTTCATCAGTCTTTGAACTTTACTTTCCAAATATCTCTTCAGTCTGTCTGCCCAGCCAATCCTTTGCCATTTCCTTCACCGTAGTGTAAGCCACCATCACTTCTCACCTGGACCACTGCTTAAACTTTCTCATTGGTTTGTTTGCCTCCACCTAAAGCTAGAGTTATCTGGTAGACATGTAAATCCTATCTCTCTTCTGCCCCAACAACCCTCTGCCCCACCAAGGGGGTCCCCAAGTCTGCAGATCCAACTCCTTTTGTGATCACCACTGTTATTCTCTTCATCCTCATCTTCTCTGGGTTGCACTCACCGCCCTACAGCCATAAGAGATGCTGTATAGGCAGCTTCCCCAATCACCTTTTACTGAATGGACCCTGTTCACATCCTGTTCCCTCTACCTGGGATGTTCTCACCTCAATCCTTGAGTCATCAAACTCCAGGATTCAGCTCAGGGGCTACAGGAAGGCATGGGATAAGTTAGGAGTCCCTCCCTTGTGCTCCCACAGCACTCCCCTGCTGGCCCACCATGTTTTCCTGTACACAGCCTGTTATTGTACAGTGACTGCCTAACTCATGGTAAATGCTTAATAAACACTTGTTGAAACGTTGTCTTGTAACTGCCTCTTGTTGACAGTCTGGATACTAGTTCATGAGCTTTTTCCTTTTTCTTTTTCTTTTCTTTTTTTATTTTTTGAGACAGGGTCTCACTCTGACACCCGTGCTGGACTGTAGTGGCACCATCAGGGCTCACTCCAGCCTCATCCTCCCAGGTGCAAGCGATTTCCCTGCCTCAGCCTCCTGAGTAGCTTGGACTACAGGCTCGCACTACCATGCCCGGTTATAGTTTTTTTGTTTTTGTTTTGGTAGAGATGGGATTTTGCCGTATTGCCCAGGCTTATCTCGAATTCCTTAGCTCAAGAGATCTCCTGCCTCAGCCTCCAAAAGTGCTGGGTTATAGGCTTGAGACACTGAGCCCAGCCAAGCTTTTTTCTTTTTTTTTTCTTCATTTATTTCACATGTATTTACTGAAAACCTGCCATGTTCCAGGTACTGTTAGGTGCTGGAGATATAGCAGTGAACAAGACACAGGATAGACAAATGTCCATGGAAGCAGGGACAGTATTTTATTCACTTTTTTTTTTTTTTGAGATGGAGTCGCGCTCTGTTGCCCAGGCTGGAGTACAGTGGCGCAATCTTGTCTCACTTCGTGCTCCGCCTCCCGGGTTCACGCCATTCTCCTGCCTCAGCCTCCCGAGTAGCTGGGACTACAGGCACCTGCCACCACGCCTGGCTAATTTTTTGTATTTTTAGTAGAGACGGGGTTTCACTGTGTTAGCCAGGATGGTCTCGATCTCCTGACCTAGTGATCTGCCCATCTCGGCCTCCCAAAGTGCTGGGATTCCAGGCGTGAGCCACCGCGCCTGGCCTTTATTCACTTTTGTATCCTCAGCACTCAGCCCAGGGATGGGCACAGAATAGGTACTTTATACATATTTGTTGAATAAACACATGAACCTTCTCTGACTGTTGGAAAAAAACTATGCCAAACAGATCTCCTTCCTCCCTTCCACTAACTGATTTTTAACTTTCTGCACATAAGCTGTTCCTTGTGGTTAGATACGATGCGGGCTAGACACATACAGATGTCACCATTGTGTGGATTTTTTGGTCAAAGTGGGGGCACTCACTAGGTCCATTTAGCTCCAATCTCCAATAGTCTTTTGGATCTGCTGCCAGGTGAGGTGTTTTTGTTTGTTTGTTTGTTTTTTTGTTTTTCCCTAGACCTAGTGTCAGTGTCATGGGATTTTTTTTTTTTAACATGATTTTAGCTCTGATGTATTTCATTGAGTT
Organism: Homo sapiens; assembly: GCF_000001405.40. Lineage (NCBI taxonomy): Eukaryota > Metazoa > Chordata > Mammalia > Primates > Hominidae > Homo > Homo sapiens. The sequence goes on from NC_000009.12 coordinate 114,677,340, forward strand.
CTCTTTAGTGGATTTATTTCATTTTCCTATAATTTATAAAGAAATAGAAATTTATACAGGCAGTTAGATCTTTTGTTTTGGAGATACACCATTTAGCAAATATCCTTGCCATTAATCTGCTTCGTATTCTGCTACTTGCTTTAGTTTCAGTTGTCTTCATCCACTTATAAAAATGCTTGCCTCACGGGGTTTGGCTTTGTTCCAGACTGCCTTGTGTATGTTGAATGTAGAAGGATGCACTTCATAAGAAAGGAATGGAAGCATAGCTCTGACAAGCCCCCACCATGAGTCAGCCCTGAGTGTCTGGAGTTTTACTGGAGTGGTAATTGATTTGTCTAGAAGAAATTGCTAAAACCTGGACTTGGGTCCCTCTAAACCTTTGTCAGCATGTGTTCTGTCTTGGTAAATCATAAAAGAAGGTCACTTTTTTTTTTTAGCTTATATTCGGGAGTCAGTAATTTTCAGGTTTTTGATCATGTGGCCTCTTTTAGGCTCTGCTTGGTCAAGAAATTCAAGACACTGCACAAGTAGAAACTGTTTATCAATTGTAGCGTGCTCTTTCCTGCTTGTCGTGGTCTCATCTGCATTAAGGTTGTTGCCTCTTCCTGGAAAAACTCCGTATATATACTCTCACTATAGGTACTCTCATGTATTTGTCTTAATAAATGGCAAAAGTTCACTAGATGACTTAGGATTACTGTAGCCATGATGACAAAGTTTTGATGTCAAAAATCAGATTTAAGAGGAGCTCTAGAGAAGAGAGAAGACAAAAATGCCAAACATAAATAGAAGGCTTCTTTGTCTGGAATGCTATGGCCTCAGGAAGAAAAAGATAAAAAAGACCTTACTCTTACTCAAACCTTCTGACACCTGTTTTCTTTGCTTCTGTCTTTCTCTCTCCACCCAACTTGATCTTTACTACCCACGTATACTCCTCTTACTCCTTCCCCTGGCTGCCCAAATAAACTTTTTCAGGGAGCATTTTTCTAGAGAAGAACAATCACATTGCACAACACCCACCTAAAACTTCTGCACTGAAGGTAGATCAAGAGAGGCCGAATTTAAACTCTGAGTAAGAGTTGAGTTGGGTAAAAATAGAATCTTCCCAAATTTCAGAACAAAAGAAAGTTTGTTTTGTATATCCTGTGTAATTCAGGATTCTGTTCGTTACTTATTGTCTTGGACTATCATATTTGTACCAATTAGTTCATTTCGTTGTTGACCTTTAGGCCAGGCACAGTGGCTCACACCTGTAATCCCAGCACTTTGGGAGGCTGAGACAGGAAGATTGCTTGAGTTTTGGAGTTTGAGACCAGCCTGGACAACATACCTCATCTCTACTAAAAATTAAAATTTAGCTGGGCATGGTGGTGTGCACTTGCACTTCCAGTTACTCAGAGGCTGAGGAGAGAGTATTGCTTGAATTTGAGAAATCAAGACTTCAGTGAGCTATAATCATGCCACTGCACTCCAGCCCAGGCAACAGGAGATCCTGACTCAAAAAAAAAAAAAAAAAAAAATTGTTGACCTTCAACAATGGGGAAAATGTTTAAGAGTAGCAGGATGAAAAAGGTCAGAAGATTCAAATAACCTATCTATGCATAATATTTTTAAGCATGGACTTGAGAGGGTAAGAAAAATAGGAAGTATGCCACATGAAACTATTTTAAAAGATTTTCTCTTAAGGGTGGATAGGGCAAAGATTCAAGAATAACAAACAAAATGATGAATCAATAGGTGACTTAATAGACTTCAGGACACTTTCAAAGGACATTCTGGGGCAAACAAAAAGTGTAAGTAAAAGGAGCCCTTTCTTTATGCAAAAGCTCATATCTAAAATAGAGGATTTAGAAAAAATCAATTGGAATGGGAAATTCCATTAGTGTAGATATCTTGATCATTTTCCAAGAGTCCTAAAATGTTAACTAGAAATCGAGATAATCTTTTGACCTACTAGATAAAACAACTGGCCCCTGAAATAAAGACAGGACCCAAATCTCCTCTGTTCTTTAAGAATTTGGAGTCTGTGGAGAACACTTGCACTTACTGTATGCAGAAAGGCCATTAGAAGAACTAATGTTCCATGTCAGAAGGACAGCTGTCCATATCTGTCTACTGAGTCTTTCTGAGGAGAACTTTGCACTTAACATTTTCCTATTTTGCCTCTAAACTCCCAAAGGGCATTGTCTATAAATATAAATGAACAGCTATACTGCTTGCTTGTTGATATGGTTTGTTTCTTATGTGGAGATCAGACTCTTCTATTCCAACTATAATTAAGACTAATTGTTCTGCATGATGAATACTTAGACCATTCCAGTGCATGATTCTCCAGCACCCACGGTGGACTATGTCTTCTTACACAGAGTCTGAAGGGATGAAACCCTTCTTGGGGGTTTAACTACTAGTAGATGAAACAGACTTCTGAGGATTCTGAGTTGAACAATTTAAAGTGCCTTTTTTCCCCTCACCTTGACTGACACAGCAAATCATGTAGCCCACACCCTAGGGTACACCTGACCAATTTAAAATCCTTAGTTTGAGTAATTATGGATCACAGAAACCTTCGGGTTTTATTTTAGCTAATTAGGGGAGTCTGCACCATTGCTAACACTCCCGTTGTGCCTGGATTAATATCACAGGTGAGGTTAATCTATAGCTAAGCCCAAAGAAAAAGCAGCCTGGCTATCTAAGGTAGATGGTCATGCCAGGGAAATCATGGGGCATGACTCCAGAGAGGCTTTCAGATCTTTTTGAAAATACTTTTAATTGTCATTGTCCCTTTTTTTTTTTTTTTTTTTTTTTGAGATGGAGTTTTGCTCTTGTTGCCAGGGTTGGAGTGCAATGGTGCGATCTCGGGTCACTGCAACCTCCGCCTCCTGGGTTCAAGCGATTCTCCTGCCTCAGCCTCCCGAGTAGCTGGGATTACAGGCATGCACCACCACGCATGGCTAATTTTAGTTTTTAGTAGAGATGGGGTTTCCCCATGTTGGGTCAGGCTGGTCTCGAACTCCTGACCTCAGGTGATCTGCCAGCCTTGGCCTCCCAACGTGCTGGGATTACAGGCGTGAGCCACTGTGCCTGGCCTTAATTATCATTGTCTTGCATCATTCAGGTTCTGTTGTCCAGAGAGCTGAATGCTTTTATGTAGCCTCTGGTTTGACAAATGGTGAAACAAATGATTCAAAGAAAAAATGAGAAGAAATGAGGCAGACTGATACTCAAAATGAAAACCAGATCTCTGTACATGGAAAAATGGAACTGTGTTTTCAAGAAAAGCCAATGACAGTGGTGAAGATCTGGACAATCTTGGAGGGTCTTTCCTGCACCTTTAGTTGAGGGAGACCAGAAGGCAGATAATGAGAATTAAAAAGAGAAGCTCCCACATTCCTAGGTGACGATGGATTGCCCTGTAACCACGGTAACAACGAATCCCCAGAACCTGTGTGACACTCATTTAATCTATTAATGAAACTCCCTTGGTAACCATTCTAACAGACACATGCCAGTAGGTACATTTCATAGCTAAAGGTCTACCATTCCTAAACACTGCTGCCTCTGAAACACCACCAGTCCACGAACTCAACACCTCCCAAAGCCCCTTATGCATCAGCCATGAGCTTTGTTCAGAGACTTTGCCATACAAGCACAGTTCTCCCTTGTTTAACCAGAAATAAATTCAGTTTTTGTTTCATGTAGTGAATGCAGGCATCTTCCACCAAAGCAGCTTATGGATATACAAGAAAATGTAGTTATTCAAATTCTCTTTTTCTCTCTTTTTAATGCAAATGATAGCTTACTATACACCACGTTTTGCACCTTGATTTTTTTCAATTAAAAATAAACCGTGGAGATCGTCCGTATTATCAGCAGCGATCTGAAGCGCAGGTTTGTTGACACCCCGTGCTGATGCTCTCTCCACATCTTTACTAGAAAATTTTGCAAGAAAGAGGGTAGTAGAACCACTTTCTCCTCTAAGTGTTGACAGCAGAGAGCTTTGAGTTTTTGAACCCTCTTCAAGAAATGAAAAGGCTCTTAGGGAGAGCAGTGTATCAGTTACAAGCACATTCTCTGGGGGTATAATTCTTGGAGATCTACTGTTAGCTAGGAAATTTAGAATTTATGACCTCTTTGAATCTCTGTTTTCTGACCTGTAAAATGGGGATGAGAATAATAGTATCTACAATAGAAGGTAGTTCTGAGGATTAAATAATGATGGAAAGTGCTTAGCACAGCTTTCTGGTGTGTCGTAAAGGCTTAATAAATACAGATGAAGGTTCTGATGCTGATGAATATGTAGGGAGATGCCTAGGGGATGTGTGGCACTTCTTGCACTACCAGTGACCCCCTCTAGAGGGAAGCAGAAACCAAAGAAGAGGGCCCTTGGGTTGTCCCCAGTGGGTATGAACTTCAGGTCTCTAGTGACCCCATTGCACTTTGATCAGAAGAAAGATGAATGAGGTCAAACAGGAAGGCTTCTGGCGCTGCGGGCGGGGGTGGGGGAGGTCATTCAGCACAGGTGGAGACTGGGACCCAGAGAGAGAGAGAAACAGTGAGGTTAGAGCAAATGAAGGATGGGGATTGCTTCTTGGAGCAAAATGAATAGGTGTCCAGGAGTGGTGGGGACATTGTGCCTTTTAGTACAGAAAAATTATCACCTCCCGCCCTTTGGTTTAAACTGTGAGCCCCACTCACCTGCAGCTGGCAGAGTAGACAGAAGGCTGTCTGTGATGTCACAGAGCTGGGGAACCAGGGAATGTTGGGGCTGGGATGTTTGGACTGGACCACAACAGCGAGGAGGAGGGAGAAGTTCTGCTGAGCACGATGCCATGCTGGCCACCAGACTGTATACTGGGGCACAAGTCCTGGGGCCTCAGGAAGCACCTAGAGGATGGCCAGAAGGGGGCAGTACAACACTGGATGCTGTAGATCTGGGTGCCATTCTGTCTCTGTCCGCCCACTGGGTAGTAACCTTAGGCAAAGTGACTTCACGCTCAGGTTCTCCCTCTGCAATATGGGAATAATAATAATTTTTTTTTCTTTTTTGAGACAGAATCTCACTCTGTCACCCAGGCTGGAGCACAGTGGTGCAATCTTGGCTCACTGCAGCCTCCGCTTCCCAGGTTCAAGCGATTCTCATGCCTCAGCCTCCCAAATAGCTGGGGCTACAGGCATGCACCATCACGTCCGGCTAATTTTTGTATTTTTAGTAGAGACAGGGTTTCACCATGTTGGCCATGCTGGTCTCGAACTCCTGACTTCAAGTGACCCCCCCCCCCCCACCCCACCACCTTGACCTCCCAAAGTGCTGGGATTATAGGTGTGGCCTTCGCCTGGCCAGGAATAATAATAATTATATGTCCTGTTTGCATTTTTAAGTATTAAATGAAATCAGGTAAACATTTAACATGGTATCTAGATGTAGTAAGCACTTTAAGAAAGGGTAGTTATTAATAACATATGCAAAAATGAAGTGACATTTTCTTCCCTATTTATTTTTCAGAAAAGAAGGAATCACTTTGTATTGGAGTCCTGACAAAATCTCTCAGCTTATGGGGCACTCTTTCCATTCCTTTATTTAGGACAACCAAGTACTATTCATATATGGGGAAGCCACATTGGATTAACATGTTCTCAATCAGTGCTATCATTTGATGCACAGAGAGGTCACTGGATACAATAGAAACAGAAGAAAGCAAAGGAATTCAGCACAGCTGTGGGGTCATTCATGTGGTTGGGGCGGGTGATGTGACTCCACAGCTGTGCTGAATTCCTTTAATAAATATTTGATGGTGAGTTAAACAGCCTTTGAAAGCTCACAGGTAAAGCCACATTCTTTTTTTTTTTAAATTATACTTTAAGTTCTAGGGTACATGTGCACAATGTGCGGGTTTGTTACATACGTATATATGTGCCATGTAGGTGTGCTGCACCCATTAACTCATCATTTACATTTGTTATATCTCCTAATGCTATCCCTCCCCTCTTCCCCCCACCCCACGACAGGCCCCGGTGTGTGATGTTCCCCGCCCTGTGTCCGATGTTGCCCGCCCTGTGTCCAAGTGTTCTCATTGTTCAATTCTCACCTATGAGTGAGAACATGCGGTGTTTGGTTTTCTGTCCCTGCGATAGTTTGCTCAGAATGATTAAAGCCACACTCTTAAATGGTAATTGAAGGTTCTCCATTTTGGCTGCAAGTGAGATTCACTTGAAGTGTTTTTAAAACAAAGAATACCTGGGGCCTAACCCCAGATAAATTATAATTTTGGTAGGGTGTGGAAACTGGGTAGCAGTATGTTTACAAAAATTTCCAGGTGATTCTTGAGTATAATCAAGAACTGCTGAATTCCATTGTGCAGGTCATTATATACAGGTAAGCGGTGGTTCTCAGATCAGGCTGTATATTAGAATCATGGGAGGAGCTTTAGAAAATGCCACTCCTAGCACCTGCTCCCAGTCAGTAAAATCACTATTTTGGGGGCAAGGGCCCAGGTGTCGATAGATTTTACAGCTCCCCAGTTGATTTTAATTCGCAGCCAGCATTAAGAACTACTGATTTATAGAGGTTTTTTTTTAATCATAAATTTCATTGATGTGATACAAATGGATCCTTTTTAGCTTGGGATGAGCTTTTCAGGAACAGCATTATTTATATACAGATTCAAAAGCATTATTTAAAAAATAACTTAGAAATGAAGATAATATATTCTGAAAACCTGTGCTAGATGAGGTTAAAGATGTGTATGAAGCATTTGAATGAAATTGTTTCAGAAAATGAAAGATTGAGGATAGTGATATAGTTTGGCTGTGTCCCTACCCAAATCTCCTCTGGATTTGTAATCAAAATTGTAATCCTCACGTCGGGGGAGGGACCTTGTGGGAGGTCATTGACTCATGGGGGTGGTTTCCCCCATTCTGTTCTCCTGATAGTGAGTGAGTTCTCACGAGATCTGATGGTTTTATACGTGGCAGTTGCTCCCGCTCTCTTCTCTTTCACCTGCTGCCATGTAAGATGCGACTGCTTCCCCTTCTGCCATGATTGTAAGTTTCCTGAGGCCTCCCAAGTCATGCAGAACTGTGAGTCAATTAAACCTCTTTTCTTTATAAATTACCTGGTCGTGGGTATTTCTTTATAGCAGTGTAAAAACAGACTAATATGGATAGCAACACAGGTATTTCCAAATTAATGTATTTTATATAATATGCTCTGGCAAACACATATCAGGTACTGACTACTTATAAGTTGATGCTTGATTATTTCACCCATAGCACTAAATGTGTATATATTCAAATTGGAGAAAATACTTAAAATCTTTGCATAAAGAAACTGCCTTCTGTTTGGGGTGGTTTACCATTCAAGCATGTATGGTGTGATTACTTTCTTCTCTTTGGGTCTGGGAGGGGAGATGGGCCAACAGGCTTCTGTATTAATTTCTGGTTCAGGTAGGGAATAATGAAATCTTGACCTGATGCACTGGGCTAAGACAAATGGGTGGATTTTTACTCTGGTGATTTCACAGTGGGTAAGTTCTGGGGTCCGAGTACCTGGGTGGGACGCTTGCCTTCCTAACTTAATGCATGACCTGGGCCATAGCCATTAACCCCTCTAATTCTCAGTTTCCTTAACTTTAAAATAGAAATAATAATAGAGTTGGTGTGAGGAGTAAATTAGACCAGCCATGGAAAGCTGTAAATGTAGTGCCTGCTAGAGAGGCAGCACTCAATAAATTTTCCTTATTATTATCTGGTGTTGAGAGTGAAGGATTAGCTTTCACACCTGTGGATGTGAAATCAGGGAATTCAATTTAGGTTTTCAAAAGTTTTATTTTGTTTATTTTTATTTTTATTATTTATTTATTTATTTGAGACAGATTCCCGCTCAGTCGCCCAGGCTGGAGTGCAGTGACTCTATCTCCGCTCACTGCAAGCTCTGCCTCCTGGGTTAACGCTGTTCTCCTGCCTCAGCCTCCCGAGTGGCTGGGACTACAGGCGCCCGCCATCACGCCCAGCTAATTTCTTTCTTTCTTTTTTTTTTTTTGTATTTTTTTTAGTAAAGACGGGGTTTCACCGTGTTAGCCAGGATGGTCGCGAACTCCTGACCTCGCGATCCGCCCGCCTCGGCCTCCTAAAGTGCTGGGATTACAGGCGTGAGCCACCGCGCCCAGCCTTGTTTTTAAATAAAGTCTCGATCTGTTGCCCAGGCTAGAGTGCAGTGACATGAACTCGGCTCACTGCAGTCTTGACCTCTTGGGCTCAAGCCATCCTCCCACCTCAGCCTCCCGAGTAGCTGGAACCACAGGCACACACCACCACGCCAGGCTAATTTTTAAATTTTGTGGAGAGGGGGTCTTGCCATGTTGCCTAGGCTAGTCTCAAACTCCTGTGCTAAAGCAATCTTCCCACCTCTGCTTCCCAAAGTGGTGGGATTATAGGCTGAGCCACTGTGTCTGGCCCAAAACTTTATTTTGAAATAATTACAAATGCACAGAGAGTTACAGAGGTAACTTTGTAGCTTTCTCTCTTTAGAGAGAAACAAAGAGGTAACTTTGTAACTTTCTCTCTGCAGACAGTTCCCATGAACCCATCCCCCAGCCTCCTCCAATGTTAACATCTTGCCTTACTATATTACAAGATCAAAATCGGAAATTAACATTGGCCCAATCTACAGAGCTTATTCAAAGTTCAGTCGTTATTCAAGTACTCATTTGTGTGTGTATGTGTATAGCTGCATGAAATTTTATTACATGTGTAGCTTCGTGTAACTACCACCACAATCACGGTACTTAACTGTGCCATCACCACAAGGTTCCTTTCTGCTTCCGCTTTATAGCCACACCCACTCCCTCTCCCCAACATTTCTAACCCCTGGAAACCACTAACCTGTTCTACATTCTATAATTGTCATTTCATGAATATTACATAAATGGACACATGCAGTATATATGTATATTTCTGAGGTTGGCTTTTCTCAGCACAACTTCCTTGTTCCTCATATACATGAGGAACATGTATCAGTAGTTAGCTCCTTTTTATTGCTGAGTAGTAATCCATAGTAATGCATGTACCAAAGATTTTTTGACCATTCGCCCATCGGAAGATATTTGGATGGTTTGCAGTTTTTGGCTATTACAGATAAAGCTACTGAGAACATTTGTGTACTAGTTTCTGGTGAAAATGTTTTCATTTCTGTATGATAAATGCCCAATTTACTATACAATTGCTGGATTGTATGGTCAATCAATTTTTAGTTTTAAAAGAAACTGCCATATTATTTTCCAGAGTGACTGTACCATTTTACATTTCCATAAACAATATATGAGTAATCACATTTCTCTGAATCCTCTCCAGGGTTGTTTTTTTTTTTTTTTTTTTTTTTTTTTCCACTATTTTTTACTTTTGTCATTCTTATATCTTGAGCCCAGGAGGTTGAGCCTGCATTGAGCCATGATCGTACCACTGTACTCCAGTGTGGGTGACAGAGCAAGACACGGTCTCAAAAGAAAAAAAAAAAAAAGAAAAAAAAATTTCACTGTATGGATATATCACATTTTGTTTATTCATTCATCTGTTGACAAATGTTTAGGTTGTTTTCACATTTTGGCTCTATGAATAATGCTGCTATGAATATTTGTGTGCAAGTTTTTGTGTGGATGGATATTTTTGTTTCTCTGGACTATATACCTAGAAGTGAAATTGCTAAGTCATATGATAATTCTATGTTTAACATTTTGAGGAATTGCCAAACTTTTTCCAAAGGTGCTGCACCATTCTGCAATGCTGCCAGCAATGTTTGAAGGTTCCAGTCTTTTCACATCCTTGATGACACTTTATACTGTCTGTCTTTTAAATTTCAGCCTAGTGTGTTTTAAGTATTATCTCATTGTGGTTTTGATTTGTATTTTCTTAATGACTAATGATGTTGAGCATCATTTTATGTATGTATTGGCCATTTTCATATCCTGTTAAGAGAAATGTTTATTCAAATCCTTTGCCCTTTAAGAAATTGAGTTATTTGTCTTTCTAGTGTTGAGTTTTAAGAGTTTTAAAAATATATTCTGTATACTAGACCTTTGTCAGATCTATGGATTGCAAATATGTCTTGCATTTTGTGGGTTATCTTTTCATTTGCTTAATAGTTATAGTGTCCTTTGAAGCAAAAAATTTTAAATTTTGATGTTAGATTTATCTTTTTTTTTTCTTTTGATGCTTGTGCTTTTGGTGTTACATCTAACAAACCAATTGTCGAACCCAAGGTCATAAAGATTTATTTACTCCTGTCTTCTTTTTTTTGAGATGGAGTCTCACTTTATTGCCCAGGCTGGAGTGCAGTGGCGCGATCTTGGCTCACTGCAACCTCCACCTTCTGGGTTCAAGCGATTCTTCCACCTTAGCCTCCCAAGTAGCTGGGATTACAGGGGCACACCACCATGCCTGGCTAATTTTGTGTATTTTTATTAGACACAAGGTTTCACCATGTTGGTCAGGCTCTTCTTGAACTCCCGACCTCAAGTTATCTACCTGCCTTGGCCTCCCAAAGTGCTGGGATTACAGGCGTGAGCCACCACACCTGGCCTAATTTACTCCTATGTCTTATTCTAAGAGTTGTATAGCTTTAGCTCTTACACGTAGGTGGATCATCCATTTAATTTTTGTATATGGTGTGAGGTGGGGTCCAACTTCATTGTTTTGCATGGAGCTAACTAGTTGTCCCAGCACCATTTGTTGAGAAGACAATTCTTTCCCCCATTACATGGTCATTGTACTCTTGTTGAAAATCAACTGATCATAAAGGTAAGAATTTAAATTTAGTTCTGAGCATGTTGCATTTGGCTCTAAAGGATACTCAAATGGAGGTTTCCAGAAAGATCAAAGGAGATATTGAGTGTGATAGATTGAACTGTTGTCCCCAATTCTTTATCCCTGCCTATGGTTATACCTTTGCCATGGCCTCATTGTGGACAGTATGTGTTTCCATGCTTTTGATTTTGGATTTGACTAAGTAACTTGCTTTGGCCAATGGCTTGTGGGCAGAAGAATAGTATTAGGGTTCTGAGCTTATGCCTTAAAGTTCCCCTATGCTGCCAATTATGATCTTGCTCTTCTGCCAGTGTCAAGAAAAAGTATGCCCCCCCTAACCTATTAGTCCCTGGAGGACAACGAGAAACATAGATCAGTCATTCCAGGCAAGCACCCAGCTAGGCCCAGCATTGACCCGCATGCTACTCACAGATAAGAAAGTGATGAAAACTGGGTGTTGTCACTGAATTTTTGGGTGGTTTGTTACACAGAGTGGATAAGTGAGATACAGGGCACAAGATCTCTTTATATCTACGAAGTACTGTCCATATGAGAGGGAGGACAGATCACTCACTCCCCTTTCTTCTTTTTTAAAAAACTTTTAGGTTCAGGGGTACGTGTGCAGGTTTGTTATACAGGTAAACTCACACCTTGGGGGTTTGGTGGACAGATTATTTCATCACCCAGGTGCTAAGCATAATACCTGATAGGTATTTTTTCTGATCCTCTCCTTCTCCCCACCCTCCACTCAAGTAGGCCCCAGTGTCTATTGTTCCCTTCTTTATGTCCATGTACACTCATTATTTAGCTCCCACTTATAAGTGAGAGCATGCAGTATTTGGTTTTCTGTTGCTGCATTCATTTGTTAAGGATAATGATCTCCAGCTCCATCCATATTCCTGCGAAGGACACGATCACATTCTTTTTTATGGTTGCATAGTATTTCATCATGCATATGTATCACATTTTCTTTATCCAGGCTACCACTGATGGACATTTAGGTTGATTCATGTTTTTGCTATTGCAAATAGTGCTTCAATGAACATAGATGTGCATGTGTCTTTATGATAGAATGATTTATGTTCCTTTGGGTATATACCCAGTGATGGGATTGCTGGGTTGAATGGTAGTTCTGTTTTTAGTTCTTTGAGGAATCACCACACTTTTCCATGATGGTTGAACGAATTTATTTCATTCCACCTTTGTTTTTGAACAAGAGCTCTAATCAATCAGAGATCTTGGGACATTTCCTAGGTGAAGACATTAGTGAAATATTTTCCTGCAGTGTGGGGCCCAGTCCCCTGATGAGAAGTGGGGAAATTTAAGGCCAAACATGGACATGACATTCTATAGCACTGGTTCACATCATGAAGGAATGACTCCCTTTTTAGTCCTTTCAATTACCTAAATTTAGCTGGATGCTACCCCCTCAGTAATGCCTCCAAACAGTTGCTGACCTCCCTCACAATAAAAAGAGAACAGCAGGCAGGCTCTGAGTCTTTGGCAGGTGATGGCATCAGGCTAGAAGTTAAGCTCATTGTTTTGTTTTTGTTATGTTTATTTTTGTGTTGATCTTTTCTATTTATGGTAGTGGTATGTACCTTTGTTTTAATGTAAAAGAATAATATGGTTTAAAGAAAAATATTAAGGAAATAAGAGTAGAGGTAATAGAGTCACAGTGATATGTGAATAAATGGGGTTTAGAAAACCTCTTTTGAGATACATCCTTGTGTTAGGGTTCTCCAAAAAACGGAACCACTAGGATCCTGCTTTCCTCTCTCTTTCTCTCTCTCTCCGTGTCTCTCTTGGTGTCTCTCTCTCGGTGTCTCTCTCTCGGTGTCTCTCTCTCTCTCGGTGTCTCTCTCTCTCTGTCTCTCTCTTTCAGTGTCTCTGTCTGTCTGTGTCTCTGTCTCTCTGTCTGTCTGTCTCTCTGTCTCTGTCTCTCTGTTTCTCTGTCTCTCTGTCTCTCTCTGTTTCTCTTTCTCTCTGTCTGTCTCTCTCTGTCTCTCTCCGTCTCTCTCTGTCTCTCTCCGTCTCTCTCCCTCCCTCTCCCTCCCCCTCCCTCCCCTCCCTCCCTCTTTCAGTCTCTCTCTCTCGACCTCTCTCTCTTTCTGTCTCCATCTATATGTATGTCTTATCATCTACAAGCTGGAAAGCCAATGGTGTACAATCCCGCGTTGAGTCCGAAGGCCTGAGGACTGTAAGTGCTGAGGGCAGGTGAAGGTGGATGTCCAAGTTAAGGCAGTCAGGCAGGGAGAAGTTGACTCCTCCCTTCCTCTGCCTTTTTGTTCTGTTCAGGCCTCCAACAGATTGGATGCTGCCCACCCCCATTGAGGAGGGCAAACCAGTTTACTTAGTCCACTGATTCAAAGGCTGATCTGTTCCAGACATACCCAGAAATAATGTTTAACCAGATAGCTGAACATTTCATGATCCTGTCAAGTTGACTTATACAATTAACTATCACAGCCATTGTATCCATGACCTATATACTAAAAGTTATGGGATGGTTTTTTGTTTCCCTCCTAAGAAGCTGTGGGAGGGCATCATTGTGGATGTAAACTCGTCACTTGTCCATGGTTTCTGAGCTGGAAATTTGGTTTATTCTTTCAAACTACTTCAGATTCTTGATTTCCAAGAATCCTAGCACCTAAGCTCTCTTCAAAGCCCCAAGGTGATTGTCACAAACAAAACCCTTCTGTGGCTCATACATAATTGATACTTATAAACCTTTTGGAAAAAAAATCATCCTCTGTAATGTAATTTCCCATTCTAAAAATAGGCTTGACTTTTGGATTTCTGCTTAATAAAAATATATTTTTCGATTACACTGGAGACAGAGAAAAAAATTTCCAGTATCAGTTTGAGGCTTGTGAGAAAATGGAGAGAAGACAAGTTTCACTGCTCTTGTTGAAGGCTTTGTATTAAAATTTTGCCACAGTGGCTGAGTTCTGAGTGTGGTGGGGCTGGGGAGGAAGGAAGAGTGAACACTGTCACCAGTCATTTAAGATGTCATTTATTACTCAGATCTGACCCCAAATGCGAAGGCTGCAGCAGGGAGATGAAGCTGGCATCGCTGTACACGTTTGTGGTTAAGGAGCGCATCTCTGAAATTCTATGGTTTCTCTGAGTAATCACTGAATCATCTCTTTATTACAGTGAAACTTCACAGTGCCATTATTTGCTGTGGAGCGAAGCTAGAGAGCATCACTCTGAGGCTTCTTGGGCAGCATTGGAAAGGGCTTAGGTTCCGAAGAGGTGGTGCCCGTCCCTTTCTAAGGCTCTCTCCCCCAATAGATGGCCCAAGGAACAGTGTTACAGTGCAGGTCATCTCTCAGGAGCACTTGGTGGGCATTCCTCTTGGTGCTGTGTTTTGTGCTTCCCTTTTGGAAGAGAAGGAGGAAGGAGCCGCCGCAGTGTAGGGCAGCATGTGATTCAGAGTCAATATGGCTTCCCTTTCCTTCCACACATGCTTTCTTGTCACCAAGTCATCTGGAATGTCCATGGCCAAACATACTACCCACCCCTAGTTGGATTCAGACTTCTGCCTTTCCCATGCAGGGCAAATCACTTTCCTTCTCTGAGTCTCATTTGCTCATCTTTAAAATGACACCCACAATTCCCACCTTGCTCAGGGCAAAAAGAGCTGGCATGTATGAAGTTACATTTTGAACTGCATGGTGTGCTGTATCTTGGAAAGACTTCTGTGCCTTCCCCGATGACACACTGTGCTGTCTTTCGGTAGCCACCCACCTCTCTATGCTTTTGTGCTCATGAAGCTCAAAAGCTTCTTCATGATGATTCTATACTGAGCCTTATAACTGATTTCAAGACAGTGTGCTAATTTTCAGAGATATGGAAGAAATTTTTTTTTTCTTTTGTTTGTTTTGAGACAGGGTATTGCTCAGTTGCCTAGGCTGAAGTGCAGTGGCACTATTATGGCTCACTGCAGTCTCTTCTTCCCTGGCTCAAGTGGTCCTCCCACCTCAGCCTCCTGGGTAGCTGGAACTAAAGGCATGCACCAGCACACTGGGCTAATTTTTTCTATTTTTTGTAGAGGTGGAGTCTCACTATGGTGCCTAGGCTGGTCTCTAACTCTGGGACTCAAGCAATTCTCCCACCTCAGCCTCCCAAAGTGCTGGGATTATAGGCTTGAGCTGCTGCGCTTGGCCAGAGGAGATTATTTCTTAAGATTGTTCTGATGAAACCCTAAAAAGTGAAATCAACATTCTCAGAAACCAATAAAATAAGACAAATCTTCTGGCTTTGGCAGGGATGTGGGAAACTTACAGGAAAAATTATGGGTTTGCCAATGAAAATCATCTAGACACTGTGGGTTAAGGAATCTGTGGGACCACCTTGCCCAAATATATGCAGGAATCATTTTATTGATTGATTGATTGATTGATTTTTGAGCCTGAGTCTCCTGTCGCCCAGACTGAAGCTCAGTGATGTTATCTTGGCTCACTGCAACCTCCACCCTTGGGGTTCAAGTGATTCTACTGCCTCAGCCTCCTGAGTAGCTGGGATTACAGGTGCCTGCCACCACGTCTGGCTACTTTTTGTATTTTTAGTAGAGACAGGGTTTCACCATGTTGTTCAGGCTGGTCTCAAACTCCTGACCTCAAGAGATCCGCCCGTTCGGCCTCCCAAACTGCTGGGATTACAGGCGTTAGCCACTGTGCCTGACTGGCAGAAATCATTTTAAGGAAAGTAAGCATAATAGTAACATTTGTGACATTAACTATGTGTAAGACACTGTGCCAAGTGCTTTGCTGTGGAGACAACTATCTAAGATGAAATCCCAGCTCACCGTATGTTAGCTGTGTGACCTTAGATGACTTATGTGGCTTCTCTGAGCTTCAGTGTCCATGCCTGTAAGTGGCATGGTAATGCCTAATGGCTTTTTGAGGATGCATTGAAACATTGAACTCAAAGTTTTAAGCACAGAGTAAACACTCAATACCTAATGTTGCTGTTTTGTTGTTATAATTCATGCATTTCTTACAAAATTCAGGACAGTCGTGAATTTTGTGGCAGATAGAGCATTCTGAGGGCCCTGGGCTTCAGTGCTATTTTGAATTTTTTTTTTCCTCAAGGGGAGAGATAAGTACACTTGAGGTTTAGAGTAAAAGTAAGAGGATTCTTGAGTTGTAAATTACGTAAGTCTGATTTATCAAATATAAAGTGGGAAGTTTCTTTCATTGCAGAACTATAAAGATTTATAGGACTTTTAGAAAGCTGTAATTACACTCTGAGTAAAGGTTTCTTTCCTCTTTATAAAGTACACATATGGGCTATGTAATTTGATGATGGTAAATTAAAATGTAGTTTTCTCTATTCCTACTCCAAACAGGACCATATAAATGTTGCCTGGCTGGATTTTGACTATCAGACCACTCCCTTTCCATATCTTTTTGGGTCTCTGCTTCCTTAGATGGAGTCCCAGGCAGGAGTTGAGCAACATAATTGGATCTTTGTTCTCTGACCTCTACTGGGTGCTTGAGGGTTATAGCTAGAGGCCTTAATGGACTAGATGCCTGCACCAGACAGCTGCTTCTATGTAACTTGAAAAGCAGCAAGAGCGAGCCCAGGCAGATCTTTTTCCAACACAAGTTTCTGCTAGGTGTTGGCCTTTTTGTTCACTAAATAGCTTCAGACTGAAGGGGCAATGTCACCTAGGTGTGTAAATAGGTTCATCTTTGCTAGCATCTGATGGAAGGCCAACCCCTTCAAAATCTTCACTTTGATTTCTAGCAAGGAAAGAGCCAGGAGGAGCTTAAGAGCCCATGCGGACTAACTCTCCCTTGCTCCCACTGTATAGATAGGAACACTGAGGTCCCCGAGAAGGAAACATTTTGCCCACGGTCACAAGTTGAGTCCCTGGTTGAGCTGCGATATGGACCTACGTCTGTTTGATCCCAAACCTGTCTGCACTTGCAGCAAGACTTCTAATTGTTTCCCAGTTTCCTTTCACCACTTCTCCCTTAATAATAGAACTTGCAATTTGTGGCTGGAAATGTAACTGTCTGGAATAAAGACCATTATTTTCCAATCTTCTCTGCAGTGGAGGCAGCTGTGAGACTGAGTTCTTGCCAATGACAAATAACTGATAGCATCCTATGTGACTTCTGGAAACATTCTTTTGTCCTTCCTCCTTCCTGCTAGCTGGAATGTAGAGGTGATTTATTGCCACAATAATGCTTAGTAATAAATACAAAACCTCAGTGGCTTATGGCAATGCCTGTTTCTTGCTCTTGTGCCCGGGATGGCCGGCCAGTTCTGCTGAAATTGGTTGGGGTTGGTCATACATCAGGGCAGTTGGCTGGCTACTGGATGGTCTATAATGGGCATGGCTGGGACAACTGGGTGACTTGACCCTGGTTCATGTCTCTCATCTTCCAGCAGGCTGGCTTATGCCCATGGAAGAGGCTACAAGGGATAAATAGGAACATGCTAGTAATTTTTCTTGCCTCTGCTTGTGCCATGTTCTCTGATTTTCTGCTGGCTAAAACAAGAAACATGGCTAGGGCCCAGAGACAGAGTAGGAGGACACCTCACTTTTATATCTATGTCATGGGTGTAGGGTAGAAGGAAAGCTGGGGCCTTAATGGATCCAATCTATTGTTGATGGATGACTGAATGAATGGAGGGATGGATGGAAAGGCAGCGAAAAAAGGCAGACAGGGGAGGAAGTTCTCTTGACCGTGTCCAATACAGGGGGAAAGTAAGCACTAGAGAGCAGTTTCCCATGGCTCTACGGTTCTCTGAGACCCTCCTGGCTTGGAGACTGCGCATGGCACACGGGGGTGCTTGGAGCTTGTGGGGTGTTTATTTCATGACTTGCTTCTCTGTTGGGGAACCTTTGCTTCTGAGTGAGTCATTGCGAAAGGCTTCTTAAGCTTCACTTTCAGGTTGGGAAGAGTCTATTTTGGAGATGAGAAGCCTTTTCAGAGGTCCTGAGCTTATAACATGAAAACAGTTGTGCTGTGGCCTGAGAACTGAACTGAGAAGCAAGGGACATGTGTTTCAGTCCCACCTCTGCCAACTCAGGAAAAAAACAAAAGCAAACCAAGAACAAAACACATCAGAAGTAGGAATCTCTCTTGGGCAATTTCTAAGTACTATAGAACTTGTCAGCAAGAGAGAAGGCCAAGGAAAAAGTTTTGTTGTTGTTGTTGTTTGTTTTTTTTTTGAGACTAAGTCTTGCTCTGTCACCCAGTCTGGAGTGCAGTGGCATGAACTTGGCTCACTGCAACCTCTGCCTCCCAGGCTCAAGGCATCCTCCTGCCTCAGCCTCCTGAGTAGCTGGGATTATAGGCACCCACCACCATGCCTGGCTAATTTTTTTTTTTTTTGTATTTTTAATAGAGACAGGGTTTTACCATGTTGATCAGGCTGGTCTTGAACTCCTGACCTCAAGTGATCCACCCACCTCAGCCTCCCAAAGTGCTGGGATTACAGGTGTTAGCCACTGTGCTCAGCCAGAAAAAGTTTTAAGAATTCATTTTTTTTTTTTTTTTTTTTTTTTTTTGAGACAGAGTCTCGCTCTGTTGCCCAGGCTCTGGAGTGCAGTGGCATGATCCCGGCTTACTGCATTTTAACCCAGGCTTCATGGTTCTTTGAGCTTCTGATAATATATTTTTTAAATAAGATACAAATTTTAAAGGAGATAAAACTAAGGTTGATAATTGAGTTTTCCTTTTTTTTTTTTTTTCAATTCAAGAGCAGGTACTGTTTATTAACTGACCAGATTAGAAAAATAATCATGGTAGACATCTTCATTTATTCTTCTAAGAAGGCTGTTGATCTGGTCCCCCCTGTTGTCAGCATTTCCACCTTCTACAAAATGGGTGGTCTTTTTCTTCATTCCACCTTCTGGAGAGGATGGTTTGGAGGGCCACAGGAAGTTACTTGCTTGTTTGAAGCATTTTCCAACAGTATAGATCTCATGAATCAGATCTTCCGTGCAGATGATACCATATTTACCAAGAGATTGAGCAATCAAAGTGTTACCTGTCAAAGCAATTCGCTTCTTATTGATTTTGCCATAACCACACTTACAGATTAGTTCATTTACTGACTTCAGATTTGGCTACCCACATGCAATATATGGTTCTACAATCCTCAGCATGTTAATTGAAGATGTGTTGAGCTTCACAAAGGTTCCATTGAAGATTTTATTTATTTATTTATTTAGAGATGGAGTCTCGCTCTGTCACCCAGGCTGGAGTGCAGTGGTGCAATCTCGGCTCACTGCAAGCTCCACTTCCCGGGTTCACGCCATTCTCCTGCCTCAGCCTCCTGAGTAGTTGGGATTACAGGCGTGTACCACCACACCTGGCTAAATTTGGGATTTTTAGTAGAGACAGTGTTTCGCCGTGTTGGTGAGGCTGGTCTCGAACTCCTGACCTCAGATGATCCACCCACGTCGGCCTCCCAAAGTGTTGGGATTATAGGTGTGAGCCACTGTGCCTGGCAGGGTCTACATTTTTATCAGTTCTGGAAGAGCCAGGATTTTGCCTTTATTAGGTTTGCCATTTCACCCGGTAGAAGGTGGAGAACTAAATCCCAGGAGCTTTGGGGGTCCCTTCCTGCTCTGACTTTGGGTGGTTTTGCAAGGTTCACTCCCAGAGAAAGGGAAAGGTCCCATTATCACATGGTGGTGTGAATCGGAATAAGACAACAGCAAAAAACAACTCCCACCATCCCCCAACTTTTACTATCTCTGGGGCCTCTTCTGAATCTCTCTGCAGAGAGAGATCAGGGATGCCCCGAAATTGAGATTGTGGTCGAGGACTGAGACCAAGTTATTCACAACATGGTTATATAATGGATGCTCAGTCATATCAGGACTCAGAAGATGTGAAGGGCCCCGCCCTGCAAGCTGTTTGAAGGTCATGATGGCTTCGCAGTGATGGGAAACAAGGCCAGTGTCTCTGTTTGTGGGTTCCCTGCACCAAGGGTATAATTCACTGGGGCTCTTCCCACCATGGCCTGGCCATGTCTCCACCCACCCACCCACCACCTGACTCCTGGAGAATGGGGGGGAAACTTTTATACTTAATTTTTTTTTGTCTTCTCCTCTTTTTCTGTGTTTTCTTCAAATTTGTTATAAGGGGGCAGCTTGGCAGAGGAAATGTGGTAGTGGCCTGAGGCCTTGGGGCTGAAAGAGCCCGGGGTCTGAAATCATCAGAATTGTCTCCAGATGAATTGAAACTGAGATGGAAAGCAGCATATGACTCATCGTGGGTAAGAAGCCACAGTCTTTTTTGTATGATTGTAACCCCCGGCCAAGTGAAAGCAGAATGACCCCTGTCTCTTCTTTGGGGTCACACAGCTACTCAGGAGGGTGAGAGAAAATGATGTCTATGAAGCACCTGCTATGGGATAGGCATTCTATCTAAACCTGTCCCATTTAAACCTGACAATGCACAGTGAGGGAGGTGTGAGTACCACCCCTGTTTTGTAGATGTGGCTCAAGGAAGGTAAAGAACACATCTTAGGGGAGAGGTTTCTGGTAGTCACTCTCCCTAGACCAGAGAGAATAAGTAATCCCTTGGTACCCTCCATTTTTCAGCCCCTCTGCCTTAAAAAGTGTGTGCTATAGAAGGGGAGGTGTCATGTCCACTCTGCTCTGTGTCTTTAGGAAAATCCCCTTTCCTCTCTGGTCTATTTCTGCTTCTGTAAAATAAAGTCTTTGGTATGAGGTCTTTTTGTGCTCAAGGATTCTATATTTCATGCCCACTTCTTACTGCTCACTTTCATTTTCCCTAGCTCCAGGATAGGCCATATCACTTCCTGGAAAGTTCTGTCCATTCCCATGCTCCCATGGACAACTGAGAGTGAGGACATAAGGTGATTGGGATAAGATCTTGATATTGTAGGAAAAATGGTGAATGACTTTGAAATGGACCGAAAAGATGACTGGGTGTCTTCATCAGAAAACTAGGTGTTTCTATGGGGCCTCTGGGCCTTTCGTTGCCTTTGAACTGTTTCAGAACTGTAAGTTGTAGATGACTGAGAGTGATGCAAATGGTTCTTGTCCGTAGATATGCAAATACATTTTCTGGTGGTAATACAATTGTCTTACCACATCTCCTGTGGAATAAACCAGTTTTGCATCTTTATTCATTTCAGTATTTCTTGCTTGTGTATATGTGGTTCTTGGAATTATCCTTGCAACTAGATGTGACGTCCTACTAGTTCTCTCACAAATTAATGAGCTAAATCATTGATATGCAATTCTTTGATATTTCAGTGAGTGTTATGATTATGTGCTCTTCTAGCAATTATCCTTTAATGGTATATAGGTAAGTATAATCCAATTCTATTTGGCATTGTTGGTGGGTAAAGGATGATGGTGGGGTATGTTAACATAAACCTTCCTATGTATTTCAGCCTGGAGGCTGCTTTTCTGGCCCAAACCGTTTTTCATGACACCCTCCCTCCCGGCAGGCTTCCTATGGCTTCTGCTTATCCTGTGTGCTACCACTGCTCTGGGATCCCGGGCTTCTCTCTCTGCGTTTCCTGGAGGGGAATCTATTCTCCCCAGCTCCCTACTTCTAAGCTACCCTAGAAGCTTTGCTAGCCTACTACCTACATCTGTGTTCAGATTTGACTTATCATCATTTGGGGGGAATAAATACCTACCGTGGGGCAGTGATAAGAGTTCAGCTATGTTGCACGTGTCTGAGGTTACTGACCTGCAGTCATTCCAGGTACTAACGGGTGCCTGTGCCTACTCCATCTTCATTTATGAGAGTGGGACTCTCCCAACACCTGGCAAGGTGGTGGAATCCTCTACTACTTGGAAACAAAATATGGGCCTAAAGAGCCCAGATTTCCACTGTCCATGGGATAACACTCAAGTTAATCAATCCCATTTTATTTGCATCACAAAGGACAGTTACAATCAGCTAACATTGGGTTAGGAGAATATCCCAAACCAAAAGGAAGGGGTAGAACAGAGTCCTCCCTCACTCAGATCCTCTCTTTGACCAAGGTCACAAACTTCTACAACAGCCAATGTTGGGGGAAGCTGGCCATCTAGAGTCAAAGTGAAGAGTACAGCTAGAGGCGAACATCCAACCAGTGCAGAATGTTAGGTGTCTCTACTTTTCAGAGCAGGTGATGAGACTTGCTGAGGCCTTCAGTGTTGCCTGGAATGATATTCTCTAGAAATTTCCTCGCTAGTGCTTTACTATTTACACAATCTACTTCCATCCATTCTGAGTTGAGCCTACAATGACTCCTTGAGCTACGCAGGAAAAACTTGATTATCCTCCACCTTACACATGAGGGATGTGAACTTCAGAGAGAAGTGACTTGCCCAAGGTGGGTGTGGCAGGAAAAGAACCGGAGCCGGGACATGACAGACCTGGCACATCTCATTCTACTTTTCACTTTGACTCTAGACAGCCAGCTTCCCCCAACTTTGGGTGTTACAGAAGTTTGTGACTTTGGTCAAAAAGAGGATCTGAGTGAGAGAAGAGAACTCTGTTCTACCCCTTCCTTTCTGTTTGGGATAGTCTCCTAACTCATTGTTAGCTGATAGTAACCATCCTTTGTAATGCAAATAAAATGGGATTGATTGACTTGAATGTTATCTCATGGGCAGTGGAAGCCCTGGGGATCTCCTAAGCTCTCTCTCTCTCTGGTAGTGACACAGGCAGGAGGGCAGGGTCCCTGGTGAGGGCTCCACCCTCAAGCCTGGACCTATGGCCCTAAATGAGAACAAGTATTCCTATTTTTGTGCCTGAATGTTGCCTTTCCAAGACCAGTCTGGCCCACTCCACCCCTTATCCTATGCCTGTAAGAACCCCAAATCCCAGGCTCCATGAGCAGCAGAGCAGCAGAGTGGCACAGCAGAGGAGAGAAGAAGCATCTGAACGTGGTGAGGAGTTTGGCTATGGACAGTCAGAAAGGAGTTCATCCTGGGACGGCTGAACTCCAGGGGAAGATTATCTTCCCATTGCATCCCCTTTCCAGCTCCCTATGCCACTGAAAGCCACCCTGTCACTCAATAAAAACTCCGCATTCATCACCTTTCAAACTGTTCGTGTGACCTGATTCTTTCTGAACACTGGACAAGAATTTGGGACCCACTGGGTGTGGGAACCTCAAAAGGCTGTCACACTGGCCCTTTGCCCTTGTTGGCAGGGGGCAGCTGCTCTATACGATGAGGCAAAAGGGCCACTGAGCTGGTAACATGCCCTCTGGGGCTCAGGGGTTGCAGGCACCCCATCCTGGATGGCAGAGCTAAAAGAGAATTGTAATATGCTTTGATGCAGCCATGAGGCCTATACAGGGCCTGCTCCTGCTGGAAAGAATGGCTGGGGGTTCCAGCCTTTTTTTCTCTGGTTCCTGCACCCATCTGCTCATGTGCTCCCTCCTGTAAGGGATGGAGCATGGTAGCCGAGTAAACAAGCCACCCCCTTCATGAGGGGTCCCATGAAGGGGTCAAGGGAATTGTCCCATTTCAGTAGGATCTGCTAGAATACATATAACTGCAGGTAAATGTATTGATTTACAGTGATTTAAAAATTAGGCATTTATTTCTCTTATATAACATGGAGTCTGAAGACATGTGGCTCAACACTGAGTAGAGATTCTAGGAATGTCTCACTTTAGCTGTCTAATAAGGTCATCACTAGCCACAGGTGGCTATTTAAATTGAGATGAATTAAAATTAAAGAAAAATGGAAAAGAATCCAGTTCCTCCTTCCCACTAGCAACATTACAAGTGGCCAGTGGCTACTGTGCTGGGTCAGTGCAAATGTAGAACATTTCCATCATGGGGGGAAGTTCTGGTGAGTGTCAGCAAGAAGGCTCCTGCTGGAGGTATCGTGTATCTGTTCAAAGAAGAAAGGAAGAAGCTGATGCTGTTAGCCATGTTTGTTCCTTTTTATTAAAAAAGAAACACTATTTTAGAATTCCTACAAGGCTTCTGTCAGTATCTTATCAACCAGAACCATGTCAAGTGGCCCTTCTGAGCTGCGAGGAAAACTGGGAAAATGAGAATCTTGAATAGGGCTGGAAATTTTGAGACACTAAAAGAATTGGGGTGTGGATAGCCAGAAGGAAGAGAGAAGGATATTGGGCAGGAGACACTGCACTGGGAGAGGTTTATATTTTCCTGGCCACCTCTACTCTGAGATGCCCCACTCTGCTGGATTTGTTCAGCACATGGACTATTCCTATAGGTGCTGATCTATTCCACCTCACTTTCCCCAACAAGCTGTCTTCGATTTCCTCAAAAAACAACAAAAAAAGCAAAATTAAAAATGCTCACCAAAGGTTTTTGTGTGCAGTGTCCTTTATTAGAGGTTCGGGGGACATAAAGGAGGCTTAGATCATGTTAACAGAAATCCCTTCATGCTAACATCAGACATTCCTGATCTTTACATTCTGTCTGTACCACTCTGTCATGTGGCTGTTTCTCCTCTCACTCTCTACTTACCTATTATTAGGATCTTCACCCATCAGCCCTCCTGATTTCCCTGTTTTTATTAAGTAATTTAGGCTGATACCACAGATCATGTGGCATGGGGCCTCCCTTTGCACGCCCAAAGACTCTTTAAAGCCATGGGCAGTCTTCTTCAATGCCTCCCCACCTCCCACTACTTTCACTGGTGCCAGAGAACCTGGGAAAGACTCTGAAATGTCAGTCTATTCCTTTCTCTCTCCCTACCAGCTCTGCCAGACAACAGGGCACCACACAGATTTATCTTCCTTCTGATAGAAACAACATCATCTTTGAAAGGCAGCAATGACAGCTAGTTTTTATTTTAAATAACATGTTTTTTATCTTCTCACATTTATGAACATTGCACTATGAACATTGAAAAAGCAGTTAAGCATATTGGTTAAGAACCAGAGGTTGGCAGATTTTTTAAAAAATGAAATACAGTAAAGAAGTCTTAATCCTGGAGGCAGAGTGGCCCAGGAGTCAGATATGAAAAATGCCTGTCTTAATCACTGGGTGACCTTGGGCAAGCATACTTAACCTCTTTGGATCTTGGTTTTTCCTTCTGTGTGGTGAGAGGGTTGGGTGAAGCTGGGATCCACCAACCATGGTCTTCAGGCCAAATTCTGCCCCAGGCCTGTTTGTGTATGCTCTTGAGCTAAGAGTGGTTTTTTTTTTTAAAGGGCATAATGAAAATAGAAGAATATTCAACAGAAACTGGGTGTGACCCACCAAAACTAATATGTTTATAATTTGGCCCTTTAGAGAAAAATTTGGCCCATGCCTGGATTAGGTGTTCTCTGAGGGTTTTTCCAACTGTCAAGAGTCTACAAGTCTAGGGCCCTGGTAGCCTAGACAATTCCGGGTGTGCTGGTCAAGTTCAGGGCCTTATGGGGCTCATGAGAGTGAAAATCATGGGAGCAGTTTCCCACATCTCTGGGGTCTTTCTGTTCCCGTATCTAACGGGAAACCAGAAGGAGCATGACTAACTAGGGACTCGGGCTGGAAGCTGTGAGATGGTAACTTTATGGTAAACCTGCTGATATTGGTCTGTGGAAAGAGATTTCCCACGGCGGCTGAGCAGCGGGCGCCCACGTCAGAGTCTGGAAACTGTGGTGCAGAACGTCTGGTTTTCCGGTCACAGAGGGGCCTGCTCATCCGAAGCCGACAGGACAAGTTTTTCGTTTTTTTTTTTTTTTTTTTTGAGACGGAGTCTCGCTCTGTCGCCCAGGCGGGACTGCGGACTGCAGTGGCGCAGTCTCGGCTCACTGCAAGCTCCGCTTCCCGGGTTCACGCCATTCTCCTGCCTCAGCCTCCCGAGTAGCTGGGACTACAGGCGCCCGCCACCGCGCCCGGCTAATTTTTTTGTATTTTTAGTAGAGACGGGGTTTCACCTTGTTAGCCAGGATGGTCTCGATCTCCTGACCTCATGATCCACCCGCCTCGGCCTCCCAAAGTGCTGGGATTACAGGCGTGAGCCACCGCGCCCGGCCCGACAGGACAAGTTTTGTGGGAAGCTGATGGGTGCCTGTCTGTGGTCAGGTGCTGGTGGCTCCGACGGCAGTCAGCTGGGCAGCACTGGCACCAGGCCCTGGCTCAGATGGGGGTGGGGAAACTGAGTCACATTTGCTCTTCCATAAGAGTACTGAGTCTGGAATTTCACCCTATGTAGGGGGCTTTGTATGGGATTTGGCACCCTTGGCTTTTGCTCTGTTCCTCTGGTGATTCCGGGGCTTCTCCTTGGGGCCTGTGAGGCCAGCCTTTTACTGCAGGCCTTGGAAGGCACTGAGTCTTCCCCTCTAGTCATCCCCGGTGTGACCTAGGCCAAGTCACTTCATTTCTCCAACAGTCAAGTGGTGCTAATGAGTCCTATCTATAGACATCTGGTTGGGTTATTGGGAAAGCAAAAGAGGATACTATGTGGAAAATCAGATACAAACAGCAAAGAACAGAAAGCCTCAAAGTTCCAGCTGGAGATTTAAAAAAAAAAAAAAAAACACCCTACTGTTTATTGAGCACTTAATTAGGAATTAGGCACTAGGCCCTTGGATAAACCTTTTACATAGTTTATTCATGTAACCCTCACAACAATCCTCTAGATACATGTTGTTATCCCTGTTTTTGGGTGAGGAGACCATTTTAATGCATAAGGTAACTTTTTAAAGGGCAGCATTTGGATTCAATCGGGCATGGTGTGATCTCTCGGTCTTGTCCACTTTCTAAGACCTGGAAAGATGATGCATGGCTGGAACTGATGTTTTTAGGCCACTATAAGGATTCCTGCATTTGCTCAGCTGGCTTCCTCATTCCCTTTGTGGGAAAGACCAGTATTGCTTTAGAGGTGCTTTGTGTCTGCTGTCCCATAGAATTTTACCTTGGCTCCTGACTAGCCACGTGGAGGATTGTTGCTATGAAAGCTCTTAACTGGAGTATTTCTATTGTTTAGTAACACCAGAGAACAGAAAAAAGACAACTGTTCTTGGGAAGTAAACAGACAAAAAAGATTGTAATCCAAAATGAAATAATAGTAGAAATAACGAAATAGGGTTTAAGATGGGATCCAAATGTTCTGCTTTGGGTAGATTTTGTGCTATTAGAGGTTTCCAACATAGATGGGGTCTCACTATGTTGATGGGGCTAGTCTCGAACTACTGGCCTTAAGCAATCCTCCCGTATTGGCCTCCCAAAGTGCTAGGTTTACAGGCATAAGCCACTGCTCCAGGCCCCAAATATTTTGATTTTATCTTACCTCTCCCACTGCTAATTTTCATCTCTTTTCTGCCTGCATCCTGAGTAACTGTGGAATGAAAGCATTTTAGAATTACTGTTGTCCAGTCACATCTAAATCATAATTTTCCTTTTATGGAGTCATGCTACAGAGTTTTCTAACCACTATTATTTCTATTGTCTTAGTTGAATATTACAGAAACATTCTGAGGTCTGGATAGTATTAAAATCTATTTTCCACACCAGGCGTGGTGGCTCATGCCTATATTCCCAGCACTTTGGGAGGCCGAGGCAGGCGGATCACCTGAGGTCAGGAGTTTGAGACCAGTTTTGTCAACATGGTGAAACCCCATCTGTACTAAAAAAAAATACAAAAATTAGCCAGGAGTGGTGGTATGCACCTGTAGTCCCAGTTACTCAGGATGCTGAGGCAGGAGAATTGCTTGAACCTGGGAGGTGGAGGTTGCAATGAGCCGAGATCATGCCATTGCACTCCAGCCTGGGTGACAAAAGCAAAACTCTGGGGGGAAAAAAAATCTATTGCCCATAAGAAGGAATGGGGGCTCAGGGAGGTTAAATGACTTGCTTAGAACCACGTAACGACTCCCCAGCAGAGGCTGGATTCCCAAGACTGGCCACACCTAGCTGCCCTTCTGGGGAGGGCAACCTACCCTGATTTCATGGTATATGATATTAACAGTGGCAACCACCACAAACATTGGCTGACTCTATGTTTAATTGCTTCTTTTTTAAACATCATAAAAACCAGCAAAATAGGTATTGATTGTCACTGCTGTCTCACAGATGAGGAAACTAAGACTTACAGGGGTCCACACTTTGCCCAAGTTCACTCAGCCAGTTGGAGGCAGGATCTGAGCCCAGCTCTGCCTGCTCTGGGACCTACATGCTTGCCCACTGTTTTCTGTCCTGTCACTGGAACCGCCAGGGAAAATTTAGGTGATGGGGAGGGGAGAGCATAGGGTATCTTGGCTTCTAAATTCATTGGAATTTTTTTTTTTTTTTTTTTTGAGATGGAGTCTTGCTCTGTCACCAGGCTGGAGTGCAGTGGCGTGATCTCGGCTCCTGCAATCTCCGCTTCCCGGGTTCAAGCGATTCTTCTGCTCAGCCTCCTAAGTAGCTGGGATTACAGGCACGTGCCATCACACCCAGCTAATTTTTGTATTTTTAGTGGAGACGGGGTTTTGCCACGTTGACCAGGCTGGTCTCAATCTCCTGACTTTGTGATCTGCCTGCCTCAGCCTCCCAAAGTGCTGGGATTACAGGCATGAGCCACCACACATGGCCCAATCCATTGGAATTTTATGTGGCCAGGGAGTGAGTCTGGTGGAGGACCTACATTAAGTTTGGTGATCAAGACACACACAGTGTGTATTTAGATCTCTGTCATTAGGAAATTAGTATGTATTAAGGTAGCTAAAAGGATGGTCTACAAACAGCAGGCAAGTAGGGTCAATCTGGGCAGGTGATGTGTTTGTGCATGCATCAGTGTCTTGTTCCCCCTGCTTTTTTTTTTCTTAAGCTCAGCATGAAAAAGTTAAAAACATTTATCAAGCACCTCCTATGTACCCTGAAGCTTACTGCAAGATACATATTTATTATCTCCATTTTAAAGCAGAGGAAATGGAGGCTAGAGATATACAGTGACTTGGCCAAGCTCGCATGGCTGGAAGGGGCAGAACTAGGATTTACACCCAGGTCTCTTTGGTACTGAGACACTCCACCTGCTATCTTTATCTGCCTTTTCATTCAGCCTATGGCTACTTTTCTTTTAAGTAGCCCCTGCTGCCATATTTCTAAGCTGACTTTTCCCCAAACACAGCTCTGAGGAAGTCCATGCTGGGCCCAGGCACAAGAAAACTCAATTCCCAGAGGCTAAGATGCTGCTCTTGGTTATAAGCTCTGCTTGGGTGAGCGAGCTCCTGCTTTCTAGTTCTCTTTCCCTTACCAGCATCTTGTATGACCAGAGTAGGCTTTCTCCAAGAAGACTAGTGTTAGTAATGGCTAAAAAATGAGCAGTGCTTCATACTCACATTCATCCTCCATCTGGACTGCAAAGGCTCAAACACTTCATAGCTGTTGCCCTCTTCCAGGTGGGTTCCTGGGTTCTGGTGTAAGCTCTGCCAACTATCTTTGTAGGCCCTTGGCTCTGCAGCTTCCCTTTTCTGGATCTCAGCTTTCCCATTCGCAGATGGACGGGATCATTGGAGAGCTTCTAAGGGAACAGGCTGAGGCCTCTTTGGCTTCTGTGTAAACTTCTAAGATCTTACTTAGTCTTTTACATTTTGCTCTGTTAAAAGACTAGTTTCATAAAAACACCCAAAACAAACAACAACTCCTTCTCTCTCAAACCTTTTTTGGCAGAGGGCATATTTCCTTGTTACAGTGTGAACTGCACCCAAATATAATTGATTATTCTCTACTCTACCCCCAAGAAATGGGGAAGATGAATTTAGCTTTAGAGCGATTACTCCTAACCCAGTACAATATTTCCCTACCATGCCCATGAGCTGAGCTCCTAACAGTACATCAGAATGAAGATGTTTTCCACTCAGGGGACTGTATCTATTTCTGTGATCAATCTCATCCCTCCCCCTCTGACAGAACACTCAATTCTTGGACAATTTCGAGAGCTTGCTTTAGGGAAAAACCCATTTTCCACTTGACAGCAGAGCTTTCTTTTTGAATCAGCTTTGGATGCTGCAGCCCAGGCAAACAGATTGCTCCCTTTGCTTTACCAAATTGTTTTTCTTTTTCCCTTTGCGTATTTTTTTCACAGGCATCCCTGTACCCATCGCTACCCTACCCTCACCTTTGTGCTAACTGGAAGCATTGGCCTAAGATGGTAAATGAGACATCAAACCAGGAATCGTGTCCTTCCAGGCTGCAAGGAGAGCTGGAAGGTCAGAGGTCTTTGATTCCATTCCTGGCCATCTTGTCCCTTATGGCTGCACAGTATCTCCTGGCCAGGATGAGGATGTTTTCCTCATCTCCTCTGAAACATCATTAATCAGCTGCCCCTCCCCTATGCCTGCCTGAGCTTTGGAGGTTTGCAGAGAAGCCTGAAGGTCTACTTTTTGTCCTTGGGAGGGTGTCCCCTTGAGGCAAGTAGATTTGATTGAAAAAAGTGCAAAGTTGACCAAGAATGGTCTGCCGAGGCTGCACTGAAATTACTAACATGCTCTCTGTCCCCCACCAAGCCTGGGGCCACCAGCTCTTCCCAATTTGTGCTAACCCCTGGGGCTTTGCAGATCAAAAATAAATTTGGTTATTTGGTCCTTAGGAGGTTACAAGATAGTCTGGAAAAATACCACTTTCATCATGTCCTTGCTTTCTCAAAAATACTCAGTTGTTCCTTGTAATAGTTTTCTATTCTTGTGGAACAAATTATTCCCAAACCTAGCAGCTTGATATAACAATAAACATTTAGTATTTTACACAGTTTCTGAGGACCAGGAATCTGGGACCAGGTTATAGCTGGGTCGTTCTGGCCTCAAGAAAGAATATCCTCACACTTCAGCAGAGGAGACAGGTTTGTTAATAAACGTGATATCTGTGACTTGTCTTACTGGCTTTGGGGATAAGCATGGTCACAAAAATTTATTAGGAAACATATTTTGAAAGAAATAAGGCATAAAGAATAATGTAAGGTGGGTATACCTAACCTATTCTAAGAAACAAAGCATTTCCAATATGGTAGAACCTCCTGTGCATCCCTTTCCTACCACATCCTCCTCTGTGCCACCTCCTTTCTCAACAAGTAGCCAATTTGCTGAATGAGCTTTTTATCATTCCTGGTCATTTTACTTATACTTTTACTGCACTGGCACATGTGTGTCCTTAAGCCATGTAAAGCATTGTTTTGCAGGTTTTGAACTACATTAAATTATGTCATACTGCATATATGACATGATTTTTATGCAATTTGCCTTTTTTAAATTTACTGTGATATTTTACATGTGAATATCCTTTTTCATCCTTTTTTTATGCCATATAGTATTTCACTATGTGAAAATACCTTAATTTATTAATTCATTCTCTTGTTGACAGATACTTGGTTTGCTTATCATTTCTTTCAAATTAATTGCATTGCTTATCATTTCTTTCAAATTAATTGCAGAAGCATTCCCTGTCCCAATTAGCAGGAAGTTTCCATTGCATCCATGAGGATCCACCTTCCCACTTCCCCCCTCCCCCCACCCTCCACCAAGATGTCCGGGAGTCTCAGTGACTTTCTTAGGTTGAAGAGATCAGTTCTGCTCAAGAGTTGAAACAGTCCATGGCTGCCCTTGCTTCTGGATAGTAGTGTTGTGTCACTGCTCATAATTTGTTCTACACAGTCCTTTGTGTCCTTATTCCCTGACATGGTGATACTCTTAGAAGAAGAGCTGAGTTTTCTGAGTATGAACAAAAGAGCAGTAACCCAGAGTCTGAGTGTGGGGCACTGCTGATCCCATGCAGGGCACAGTCATTAAGGGGTTGTTGCAGCAGGGCACAGGGACAGAAATTCCCTGACCAGTGCCCCATCAGCGTGGAGAACACTTCTCCAGGCAAACCCATCAATAACTGATCAATAATTGTTTGAACGCTGTGAGATTGGAATGCTGTTGCTGAGGTCTGTAGAAGCACTGCCTTTGGTGGGTCTGTGGGAGGAGCTTTATTTTATTTATATATATATTTATTTATTTTTGAGATGGAGTTTCACTCTTGTCGCCCAGGCTGGAGTACAATGGCGCAATCTCGGCTCACTGCAACCTAGGAGGACCTTTATTTTTCACTAACATTTCCTCTGTACTTTAGTTTCCTTATCTGTAAAGAGTGTTACCCTATGTGATGAAGAAAACCATTGTTACTGATTATTTAGCTAGAAGTAATCTCAGCTAGCACATGCACTGCCAGCCCCTACATGCGCTCCCTCCTTCCCCTGGGCAGTAATTTTTTTTTCTTTGAGATGGAGTCTCGTTCTGTTGCACAGGCTGGAGTGCAGTGGTGCAATCTTGGCTCACTGCAAGCTCTGCCTCCTGGGTTCATGCCATTCTCCTGCCTTAGCCTCCCGAGTAGCTGGGACTGCAGGTGCCTGCCACCATACCTAGCTAATTTTTTTGTATTTTTTAGTAGAGACGGGGTTTCACCATGTTATCAGGATGGTCTTGATCTCCTGACCTCGTGATCTGCCTGCCTCGGCCTCCCAAAGTGCTGGGATTACAGGCGTGAGCCACCACGCCCTACCCCCTG
Source organism: Homo sapiens (assembly GCF_000001405.40). Lineage (NCBI taxonomy): Eukaryota > Metazoa > Chordata > Mammalia > Primates > Hominidae > Homo > Homo sapiens. Next base: position 114,709,585 of record NC_000009.12, read on the forward strand.
GGCAGTAATTCTTGCTGGGTTTCCCTGACAGGTGACTGCTCAGCCCAGATGTCTCCAATGGAAGGCATGGCCAAAACACTGCTCTTGGAACAAGAAGTGGACCTTCAGGTTCTCCATCTGTTAAGTTCAGGGAAAACCACCTCTCTCTCCCCACAGAACTGTTTTGAAGGTGAAATGAGACAATGAACTTGAAAGTGCTTGAGAAGGTGGAGTGGGTAGAGTGAGGGTGAGGCTGTCATTGTCTTTGGAGGTAGCACATCCTGTTATTGGACAACTCTGATTTTACAGACATCTGAGTCAGGCCCTGATGCCCACAGCCCTCTGAAGCTCTGCTTGGAAGACTGCACAGCCTTTTGGGAATTTGAAGACGCTCAGCATGTTCAGAATATCCCCCAATTTGTTTATGGAACAAATTTCCCTAGTTCCTTAATATGTGACTTTATGATCTACAATTTCCATAAAACAGAAGAAGGTTGTGGAACATAAACTGCTTACAAAAGTATAAAATGTCACATAATTCTAAGGTGATACCATTGTGACCATTGTTATTGTCACAGCAGTGAAAATGACAACCTCCCCTATTGGGAGCAGAGGTGGCTGATGACTTCCATGTCCCTAAATCCAGGGAATACCTTTCAGTCCTCTGGTCACACTTATTTTTTTTGAGATAGGGTTTTGCTCTGTTGCCCAGGTTGGAGTGCAGTGATGTGATCACAGCTCACTGCAGTCTCAATTTCCCCAGACTCAGGTGATCCTTCTGCCCCAGCCTCCCGAGTAGCTGGGACTACAGGCATGTGTCCCCACACCTGGCTAATATTTGTATATATATATATTTTTGAAGAGACGGGGTTTCATCATGTTGCCCGGGGCTGGTCTTGAACTCTTGGGCTCAAGTGATCCTCCCTCTTTGGCCTCCCGAAGTGCTGGGATTACAGGCATGAGCCTCTGCACCCATCTTGGTCACATTTCTTGACACCTGCTCTTCTCTTGGCTCTTTTGACACTCCTGGGTTTCTTGCCATCTCACTGGCAGCTCCTTCTGAGCCTCCTTTCCTGTCTCTTCTTTTTCAGATCAGCCCTTAAATGTTGTGGTTTTCAGGGTTTATATCCTGGACCCTCTATTCTCCTCCTCACACCATCCCAGGAAGCTCACTTTAGCTCATCCATTCCGGTGGCTTCTATTACCATTCATATACTGCTGACTTCCAAAGTCATCAAGTCCACATTTCTCCCCTGGGTGTAAGGCCTAGAGCTCCAACTGTCTGCTAAACACCTCAATTGGGATGTCTTATGGGCACTCCCCATCCTCCTCCCTCAACCCCCAAACCTCCCCTTTCTGCTACATCCTGTATCACAGTGAAAGTCCCCACCATTTGCCCAGTGGCCCAAGCCAAAAACCTGGGAATCATTCTTGACCTTTTCCTTGCCTTCTATCCTACATGTAAAAAAGCACCGAGTCCTGTCAATACCATCTGTTTCTCTATTCCCACTGCCAGGACCTCTGTGTAGGATGTCAACAGGTCATCTGCTGCCATAGTCCCTTATCTGGTTTCTCTGCCTCTAATATTGCCCATGTCTGATTCAGTTTCTACACTCCAGCCGAAGAGACCTTTCTAAAGTGCAATCAGATCGTGGGGATTTCTGGCTAGATAGTTTTCTTCATTCTCCCTACCCCTCTTCCCGCCCCCACCACAAAAACTTGAATTCTGGAGGCACATGGAAGGAGAGGGAAGCATGGAGATGCTGAAGAAATAGCACAAAACTTGTGGGAAAACTCTGGGGTACTGCAGGGGAAGGAATCTTAACTCAGAAGGAAATGTGAGCCAGAGACAGATGGGGATGGATGGGGAGCCTCACCAGGGGACAGGCATGACTCCTACTCTTTCCTCTATCCCATGCATTGCTTCAGGGCATCAGTGCCTGCCTGGCATAACTGTGACATGGAAAAGTATGTGAGCACTTTGGATTATCACTACAGTTGAAACCAAGAACAAGCAATGTGAGATTGTTATGGGTGCATTGTATCCCCAGTTCGCATGTTGACATCCTAACCGCCAGAACCTCAGAATGGGACTGTATTTGGAGACAAGGTCTTTACAGAGGTAATTAAATTAAATAAGGTCACTAAGTTGGTCCCTAATATAATGTGACTGTTATCTGTATAGGAAGAGGAGATTAGGACACATATAGGTACAGAGACAAGACATTGTAAAGACACGGGGAGTGTAGCCATCCACAAGCCAAAAGGATCACAAGAATTGTGAGAAAATAAATTTCTACTGTTGTTGGATGACTCTGATTTTACAAACATCTGAGCCTTCAGAATTGTGAGAAAATAAATTTCTATTCTTTAAGACATCCAGTCTGGTGTGTGTGTGTTTCTTTTTTAATGGCACCCTAGCAAATTAGTATAAAAGTGTGTGAGGATTAAAAGGGAGAGGCAGGCTGGGTATAGTGGCTCACGCCTGTAATCCCAGCACTTTTTTTTTTTTTTTTGAGAGAGAGTCTCGCTCTGTTACCAGACTGGAGTGCAGTGGCACGATCTCGGCTCACTGCCACCTCTGCCTCCCGGGTTCACGCGATTCTCCTGCCTCAGCCTCCCGAGTAGCTGGGACTACAGGCGTGTGCCACCACGCCCAACTAATTTTTGTATTTTTAGTAGAGATGGGGTTTCACCATGTTGGCCGGGAAGGTCTGGATCTCTTGACTTTGTGATCTGCCTGCCTCAGCCTCCCAAAGTGCTGGGATTACAGGCGTGAGGCGCCGCGCCTGGCCATAATCCCAGCACTTTGGGAGGCCTAGGTGGGTGGATCACTAGAGGCCAGGAGTTTGAGACTAGCCTGGCCAACATGGCAAAAACCTGTCTCTACAAAAAATACAAAAACTAGCCAGGCGTGGTTGCACATGCCTGTAGTCCCAGCTACTCGGGAGGCTGAGGCAGAGAATTGCTTGAACCTGGGAAGCGGAGGTTGCAGTGAGCTGAGATTGCGCCATTGCACTGCAGCCTGGGTGACAGAGGGAAACTCTGTCTCAAAAAAAGGAAGAGGCAAAACTATCATTATTTGTAAGTGCTATAGTAATCTGCATAGAAAGCCAACTGAATCGGCAGACTCTGTTTTAGAACTGATAAGAGGATACAACAAGATTTCCAGATACAAGATCAACTACTAAAAACTAATAGCATGTGTCCATACCAGAAAATACAGAACCAACCATCAAACCTAAGAAAATAAAATGCCATTCACAGTAGCAAGAGAAACTAAATATACCTAGCCATTAATTTATCAAGGAGTGAAGAAGTTCTCTATGGAAGAAAAATTTAAATTCAATCAAAGGACATAAAAGGAAGTTTTGAGTAAGTGAAGAGATATTTCATGTTTGTGATAGAATAACAGAACCTTGTAAAAATGTCAATTTTCTTCAAAGTAATCTATAAATTTGATATAATTGAATTAGAGTTCCAGATGGCTATGTTGATAAACTTGACAAATATTCTAAAATTAATAAATATAAAGGTCCACAAATAGCTGAGCCAGCTTTTAAAAAGAGGAGGGACTTGTCTTCTAGATATTAAGATATATTACGGGGTCACAGTAATAGAAGAATTGTGTGGTTCTGATGGAAGGACAGGAAAATAGATGAATAGATAAGATAGCTCAGAGACAGACCACACATACATGGGAACTTGACATATGATAAATATGGTATCATGCATTAATGGGAAAGGTCTCACTGACTTGCAGATGGCTTTGAAAAACTGGGTGACTATGTCTATCAAATTATACCTAGAAACCTACTTTATCCAGAATATAAAAGTAGAGCATAAATTAAAGACTTAAATGTCAAAGGTTAAACAATAAATCTGATAAGAAACACTATAGGGCCCGGTGTGGTGGCTCATGTCTATATTCCCAGCACTTTGGGGGGCCGAGGCGGGCAGATCACTTGAGGTCAGGAGTTTGAGACCAGACATTATAGGGAAATATTTTTATAACCGAGGAATGATAAAGTCTTCTCAAATAATACCTCCCAAACACAAAGCACGACATAAAAGTGGATTTTATTAAAAGTTACGGATTTCTAATCAACAGAATTAGGTAATTATAACCCAATAGGATGAATAACCACTGGTTATAGACCAGTGGTTCTCACCTGGGACCAATTTTGCCCCCCACCCCTCAGGATGTTTGGCAATGTCTGGAGACATTTTTGGTTGTCACAACTGGGTGGGGGGTGCTACTGGCAAATCTGTCAGGTAGAGGCCAGAAATGCTGCTAAACATTCTCCAATGTGCAGGATACCTCACAACTAGTAATTATCTGGCCAAATATTAATAATGTTGAGATTGAGAAACCATGCTATAGATGGATGCCATATGCAGACTCCAAGTTTAAAATCCACATGTAACCTAATCCTAGACTACACAAAGAAGTCCTATAAATCGTCCAGAAAAAGGCAGGGAACCCGAAAGAAAAGTAGTCAAAGTATACAAATAGCAATTCACAGAAGGGGAAACACAAATAGCTCATAAGTATATGAAGAGATGCTCAAACTCAATAATTAGATACATATAAACACAATAGTGAATTATTACTTTACATTCACTAGCCTGGCAAAAATGAGAAAGTTGGATAATGCCAAATGTTGGCAGGGATGGAAAGGAACTGGGAGCCCCTGTATACCACTGTTGAGGATGTAGACCAATGCAGGAGTTTTGAAGAGCCATCAGGGAGAATTTATTCAAGATATCGTGTCCATATGAAGGATCCAGCAATCTCACTGATGAGCATCCCCAGCCCTGCTACATAGCTCCAAAAGGGGACATCGTCAAGCATGTTCATTGTGGCATTGTTTTTGGTGGCAGGACATTGGAGTTCCCTAGGGTCCTCCACTAGGGGAATGGAAAAGTAAATATGGTGTAGGCATATACTAAAATACTATGCAACAGTCAGAATCCATCTACTTGATATACATGCACCAACATGGATAGGCCTTAAACAATTGTAAGAATTAAATGAAATCAATTAGAATCATAGCTGGCACACAAGTTAACTTTGAATAATACCTTTGCACATGCCAGTTAGATAAATTTAAAATACATGTCTATATGTTTTTGCTAGAACATGCACCTGTGGTTTTTTTTTTTTTTTTGGAGGGGAGTCTCACTCTGTTGCCTAGGCTGGAGTGCAGTGGCGTGATCTCGGCTCACTGCAAGCTCTGCTTCCCAGGTTCACACTATTCTCCTGCCTCAGTCTCCTGAGTAGCTGGGACCACAGGTGCCTGCCACCACAGGTGCCTGCCACCACGCCTGGCTAATTTTGTTTTTGTATTCTTAGTAGAGACGGGGTTTCACTGTGTTAGCCAGGATGGTCTTGATCTCCTGACCTTGTGATCCGCCTGCCTTGGCCTCCCAAAGTGCTGGGATTACAGGCGTGAGCCACCACGCCTGGCCTGTGTGTTGTAAATTTACCTAAATTCCTTCTATGCCTTGTTTACTCAGTACTATGCTATCGGTGAACACTTAGATAGTATGCCAGGGACTATTTTCATTACTCACCTCCTCATGCCCCCACAAGAAACTAGATTAATAAGTATATATATATATATATATATATATATACACACACACACACACATATAGATATACATATATATATATATATATAGTGTGTTTGTGTGTGTGTAATAAAAATTAATTAAAGCAGGAGAGAAGCATTCATTAGTCTGCTTGGGCTGCCATCACAAGATACCATAGGCTGGGTGTCTTAAACCAGACATTTATTTTCTCATGGTTCTGGAGGCTGGAATTCCAAGATCAAAGTGTCAGCAGGGTTGGTTTCTCCTGAGACCTCTGTCCTTGGCTTGTAGGTAGATGGCCACCTTCTCCCTGTGTCCTCACATGGCATTTTCTCTTGTGGCTTGCTGCTGTCTTCTTTTTCTTATAAGGACACCAGTCCTTTTGGATCAGGACCCCACTTTATAACTTTAACATTAATTACCCTCTTTAGAGGCTCTGTCTCCAAATACAGTCACTTTGATGATTAGGGATTCAACAAATGAACTTTACAAGGACACAATTCAGCCCACACAGCCCGACTGGTGTTGAAGAGGACATGGGGAGGGCTCTGGGATGCTTCTTGCGTTCTGTTTCTTGATCCAAGTGCTCATTACACAGGTGTGTTTAGCTGGTGAAAATTCACTGTACAGTGAGGATTTGTAGACTTTTTTTGTAGGTATGTTATCCTTCATTGAAAGCCTTAAAAAGAATTGAATTGTAGCCACTGCTTTCTCTGCATTTACTGATATGTTTATATAGGTTTTCTACTTTGGTCTTTTACTCTAGTACTTTGCTGGGGCTGCCCTACCAAAGTTCCACAGACTGAGTGGCTTAAAGAACAGACATTTATTTTCTCATGGTTCTGGTGGCTGGACGTCTGAAGATCAAGGTGTCAGCAGGATTGGTTTCTTCTGAGGCCTCTCTCTTTGGCTTGTAGATGATTGTCTTCTCCCTGTGTCCTCACACGGTGTTTCCTCTGCAGATATCTATGCCTCTGCCCAAATTTCCTCTTCTTACAAGGACACCAGTCAGATTAGGGCCCACCCTAATAACCTCACTTTAACTTAATTACCACTTTAAAGACTCTATCTCCAAATACAGTCATATTCTGAGGTACTGGGTGTTAGAACCTCAACATATGAATTCTGGGGGGACATAATTCAGCTCAGAACAGGTATCTTATATTGAAATATTCTTGTGGTACTACTATCATGAGGTATTTTATGCATTGCTGAATTCAAATTGCTAGCATTTTGTATAAGATAAAAATAAGCTACGGCCACATTGAAATTTGTCTCACATTTTATTTTATGATGCCATCCCTGTCAGGTTTAAGCATCAAGGTTATAATAGCTTTAAAATGAGATAGGTAATTTTTGCTCTTTGTTCTATTCTGCAAAACAACTATTGTAATTTCATTTTATGTGTGTCTTGGAGGCTTGCTGAAACTGAACAGTAAAACTCTTTTACCTCAAACAAAAAGTAAATCAAAATGGGAAAAGAGAAGGGGAGGGAGGCACGCACAAAAGTAGATGAATGGCACCATGAGTGTATTTTCTGTCCAATTCCCACCCCGTCCAAACACATAAAGGAGCAAACAAAACAAGTTGCATCAAGCCACTCTCCTGCTCAAACTTTCCAGTTGCTCCCTATTGCCCTCTGGAAAGAGCCCACTCTTTACCATAGACCCCCTCAACCTGAAACAGCTTTTATCTCCCTTCTGCACTTTCGTTTTGTTTTCTGAAACAGGGTCTTGCTCTGTTGCCCAGGCTGAGTGCAGTGGCATGATCATGGCTCACTGTAGCCTTGACCTTCTGGGTTCAAGCAATCCTTCCTCCTTGGCTTCCTGTGTGGCTTGGACTATAGACATGTGCTCATCACACCTAGCCCCTTCTGTACTTTTGATTGGAACACTGTCCTACTTCCTAAATGCTCCCCAGGTGAACTCCTCTTCCTCTTTCAGTTTATCTCAGATAGCACCTCCTCCGTGGAGCCCCCCCACCCACCCAGGCTTCTCCCACCCTACCCGACTCTAGTCCCAACTAGAGGTCCTCCTCTTGGCTCCTCCTACTCTTTATGCTGTCCCAGCCTCAGCCCTCCCCTCTCCATTGTTCTTGTTGCTGGGAACCCTTTTATGGCCCGGCAGGGGTGTTGTGGGCTCCAGTCAAACTCTGCAGGATGGATGACAATCTGACTCAGTGGGTGAGACTCACAGACTCACATCATGGAAACAGCCTTTCCCTAATTAAACATGGAAAGAAATGGAAGTCAGCCTTTGCTTTGATGACCAAAACTTTTTCAAGAAGGTAGTGGCTCTCATAATTACATCTAGAGTTAAACACTACACAAGTTTGTATTTAGGAGTGAGGTGGACTTGGGTGGGTGAGGCATGCAGCCCCCTCTCTCTTCTCTTACAGCTCAGAGTGACAGGAGGTGTCTTCTTCTCTTGCTCCTGGGCTGCCTGAGACAGGCTCACTCACTCCCAAGGGAGGATTTAGAGTCTCTAAACTTAGCATTACCTCCCCTCCCTTCTTTTAGCCTTGAATGGGCTTGTTTGAAAGACCATCTGGCTCTTTTTTTGAGCCCCTGGGACATTTGCCCTTGGAAGAGAGCTTGGTTGTATCCTGGGGATATTTGAGAACAGCACTACTCCTACATTGTGTACCAGCGAAATAGAGACACAGATAGGGGAAGCGCTTAAAGTTCCTCCAGTGCTGGCAGAGGCTCTTGCTACCAATAGGTGCTGTTCTGGCAGTGTGTGTTCTAGGGCAGGTGTGCTTCCTGGGCTACCATTTTCCCATCTTCATCCTACCTCTGCCCTCCTGCTGTGGACTGAGTTGTGTCCCTCCCCAATTCAAAAGTTGTAACCCTAACCCCCAAGGTGACTGTATTTGGAGACAAGCCCTTTACAGAAGTAATTAAGGCTAAATGACGTCATAAGGGCAGAGCCCTGATCCAAAAGGATTTTAGGGTGCTTAAGAGATACTAGAGAGCTTTCTCTCTCTCTCTCTCTCTTTCCTCTCTCTCTTCTCTCTCTCTCTCTTTATCTCCTCTTCTCTCTCTCTTCTTTCTCTCTTCTCTCTCTCTCCTCGCACCATATGAAGACACAGCAAGAAGGTGGCCATCTGCAAGCCAGGAAGGGAGCCCTCATCAGGACCCGACCATGCTGAAACCCTGGCCTCAGACTTCTAGTTTGCAGAGCTGTGAGAAAATAAATGTCTGTTGTTTAGGTCACCCAGCCCATGGTATTTTGTTATGACAGCCTGAGCTGAAAAATACATCTCTCAATCCTGATAGACCTGCTCTTCCCCTTATCTCAGACTGCTTTACCTGTCTAATCCTCTGTCTCCTTTTTCTCCCTAAAATCCTAGATGTTGGCATTCTTCAAGGTTTTGCCCCTTACACCATGCCCTTCCTTCTCCCCTTTCCTGTTCCCACTCTTCCCTCTTTCTTCTCTTTTCTATACTCTGGCTTTCACATCTTCAGTTCTAGCCTCACTGTAGGTAATATCTTCATTACTTCTCTCCTGACTCCTATCTGGCATTTCCAGCCACCTCCTGAAGTTTTCTACCTGGGTTTCCTTTCATCAAAGATGGTGTCCTCTCCACTCTCCCCAACCAGAAAATTCATGGCCCTCCTGACTTCCTTGTTTACATCCTTGACACCCCACTCCCCCTGCCTTCTAATAAATTTCCAAGTCATCTTTGGTCTGCCATGCCTCCTTTCTGGACCAGGGAAGAGGGGGTGTGAGTTGCAGCCTTAGGGAGTGGTTAGCAAACCTGGTCGCATAGTCAAAAAGCACCTGCAGGAGTGGCCTCTGTGAGTCATGAAACCACAGGGGCCCCACCTCTTGTGTTTTTCTTGGAATCGGGTGTGTGGGTGTGAGCGCCCTCTCACGAAGACCTCTGCAGGGTTGCATCCTCAAAGGAGGGCAACAGCTGACCTGTGCAGAGCGCTTTGCAGTTTACAAAGCACTTTCACATACCTTGACTCATTTCCACCCTACGACAACTCCATGAGGCGGGATTATTGTTCCGCATCAAGAGCTGAAGGGACTGAGAGTGACTTGCCCAAGGTCAGCGCTAGAAGGTGGCCAAACTGGGACTCAAATCTGGTTATCCTGCTCACAGACAGAGGAATTCCCTGGGCACCTCTCACTGCTAGGCCCTTGACATTGGCTCTCTCAATACGTGAGGAAAGTTGAGGCTCAGCTAAGTGGGATGATTTGCTTAGGATCTCCAGTGGGTGAGTGCTGCCCTGAGGCTCTGAACCCATGTGGATCTGACTCCAAAGCCAGTGTATGCATGACTTCACTAGGTGCATGGCCTCCCAAATCCCAGGGCTTCCCATTAACCCAGAGGGACTTCCTGATGGGTATTGAGCCGTGGCTTGTCATCTTGTTGAAGTGGCTTCCAGCCTGGAGAGTCATCATCTCCGTCATCACCCTCATGTTTGGCACTATTTATTGAGTGCTTACCATATGCCAAGCACTGTGTCTGATGCATTATATACTTGATCCCTGCGTTGATGCATATAATGATGCAAATTCATCTGCTGAAGTCCTACTGTCCAGTATTTCAGAATGTGACTATATTTGGAGATAGAGTCTTTAGAGAGGTAATCAAGTTAAAGTCACCACGATGGGTCCTAATCCAATGTGACTAGGGTCCTTAAAAGGAAATCTGGACACAGACACATACTGAGGGGAGACCATGTGCAGACATGAAGAGAAGGTGATCATCTATAAGCCAAGGAGAGAGGCCATGGAAGAAACCAACTCTACTGATACCTTGATCTGGAACTTCTAGCCTCCAGAACTGTGGGGAAATGCATTTCTGTTTAAGCCACTCAGTCTGTGGTACTTTTTTATGGCAGCCCTAGCAAATGATATATCTGATCTCATTAGGTTCTCACAGCCATTATGGTAATGGGCTTCTGATCCCTAGGGGAGCCCAAGGCAGGAGAGAGAGAGGAATGGGCCCCATGAGGTTGTCTGAGAATGACCTGCTGACAATCAGACTGGTGCCCACAAAGTGGCAATTACCCTGGTGAGGCTGCCAGGGTTCGGGTTGTTGCCATGGTAAGGGCTGGCGGCCCCCAGCTCTGTGAGTTCAGAACCAGCCCACTGAGAATGAGAGCAACACAGCTGCACTTGACTGGGTCCTGCCTCTGTGCCAAGCACATGCTCAGTGATGTCAAAGAGTCTGTGGGTGGGAGCTGTCATCACCTTACTGTATGGATGGGGACATGGCGGTTCAGGGAGCTTCCCTGACTTGCCCAGGGCAACACAGCTTACAGGGACTAGAGGTAGAACATGAACCCAGTTCTGTCTGGCTCCAGGACTTGGCATCACACCAAGCAACTCAGAGACATGGCATCTATATTTATAAACCTGATGCCAAGGGATCCATTTCCAGTGAGGAATGTACCCCCATGTGATCTGGAATGCTCCAGGGCTTTGGGAGGATGTTTTGCTCCCTGTAGCCAACTTGTCACAGGGTTGCTTGGTGACCCTGGAATTGGAGTGATGAGAGTGAGTTTCCTTCTTTCAAGGCACAGTGGTCAGGAGGACACACCTGGTGGAGCCAGCCTGCGTCTCAGCTCTGACACTTGCCGGCCATGTGAACAGGGACAAGCTGCTTAATCTCATTGTTCCTCTGTTTCCTCATCCAGGAAACACAGAAGATGCAAATGGCAGAGTCCCTCCTAAGGCCATTTAGGAGGACGAGGGCATCAGGTTCCCATGCCAGGCTGGGCGAGGAGGCCACTCACGTCCGTGGAGGGGCTCACTGTACCAAGAGGTCAGGAGATGGAGACACTTCTGGGCAATCTTGGCTCAGCAACATCTCCTTGTCCTTCCCTTTCCCGGACACCAGATCTAGTCTAGTTGGTTTATTATCTTTTCTAACAGAATCTAATCCAATGACTTTTGATTGTCCCCCATGGGGTTTTGGAAACCAGGCTCTACACTCGCGCATTCTCCTGGTCCACTTAGATGGCTCATCTCTTCCTTTTGTGGGTGGATTTTGGTAACTAGAAGATTCTCTCCTTGTTCTTTCCCCTCCTCCTCCCATTAGAATGTAAGTTTGCTGAGGGCAGGAGTGTGACCCTCTTGTTAACGATTGAATCTGCAGCGAGTGTCTGCTTGGATTAGCTTGAGGTCATGATGCAAATGAAAAGGGTTGGACTGGAATCCAGATCTCAGGGCTCCCAAGAAGATCTTCTCGGTCCCCCATCCCTCCCTTCCTTCATACACCGCGCCAGATGCCCGGTTTCCAGCAGGGAAAAGACAGACACTCACCCTCTGCCTTGATGGGTTTCTTTCCTCCCATGCCAGTGCCTCCTTGGAAGCCTCCTGTTAATCACCCCAGTGTGCTCAGTTCTTTTCAGCCTCCAGGTTTTTGTCCTGCTGTTTCCTCCCCTGGAGCCGCCTTCTCCCTGCTCTGTGTGCTGGCTCCTCCTGGGGAGCCTGTCCACACCTGCCTCCCTGCGATGGCTGTTGTTCTGTTTCCCCTGCTCACTGCCCTGTCAGTCACAATCTGCTCACACAGGTTTGCTTGCTTGTTATCCACGCCCCCACTAAGCTTAAAGCCTCGCAAGGGCAGCAACTCTGTAGTCGTATTTACAGCGATGTCTACATGGACTCTGAGCTTGAAAACCACCTGGTGATTGAAAGAATGAAGGACTCTGCTTTCTAGTAGGTGAATGACTCTTTGTCAAAGGATTACACAAAAAACAAACAATGATGCAGTGAGGTAACTGCTGTGAAGGGAGTTTACAGTGTGCACGAGGGCACAACACACTGGGGCTGACCTCTGCTGGGTCTTGCATGGAGGCACACACAACCCTGTGGGGTAGGAGCTGGCGTTGCTTCCTCAGAGAAGCATCCCTGATACCCCAGATGAGTGCAGGCCTCCCTGTCATGTGGCTTGACAGCTCCCTGTACTTTCCCTACAGCACTTATTGCAACGATACACATTTATACAATTAGTTTTATTTTCATTGTGCTGAAACGTGCATAAAATTTGCTATTTGTGACGTTCGGTACATTCACAGTGTTGCTCAACCATCACTGCTATCTAGTTCCAGAAATTTTCATCATCTCAAAAGGAAACCCCATACACTTTAAACGGTCACTCCCCATCCTCCATACCCCGGGAAACACTCATCTTTCTGTCTCTATGATTTGCCTATTCTAGATATTTCTTATAAATAAGATGTAATTAGTTAAAAATGTTTTCCCCCCACAGCCATAAAAAAGAATGAAATCACATCTTCTGCAGCAACATGGATGGAGCTGGAGGCCATTATCCTAAGTGAAATGACTCAGAAACAGAAAATCAAATACCGTGTGTTCTCACTTATAAGTGGGAGCTAAACAATGGTTACTCATGGACATAAAGAGGGAAATAATAGACACTGGTGACTCCAAAATCCAGAAGGGTGGGAGGAGGGTGAGGGTTGAAAAATTACCTATTAGATGCAATGTTTACTATTCGGGTGATGGGTTCACCAGAAGCCCAACCTCACCATTACACAATATATCCATGTAACCTGTACATGTGCCCCCTGAAACTATAAAAAACAAAAACCAGTGGAGGAAAATATTTTCTTCCTCTCTTTTCGTCTCCCTCAGGGTAAGAATTGTAGGATTTGTGTCTGTCTGGCTTACTTTCGCCCAGTCCTGGCACAGAGGCTGGCATGTGCTCTATGCCCCCCAAACAGTGGTGGCATGATGGAAGAACATTTTCTCACTGCACGTCTGCAAGCTCACTGGATGAAAACGGTGTGACTTATAGGATACAGGAGTCAGCGTGCTTGGGTACAGTTCCTCCAAATGCCTCTTGCTAGATCAAGTATTACCTTAGTCTTGTTATTAAACACCTTGGCACATCAATTTCCTCATCAATGAATTGGGGAGAGTTGTAATGCCTGCCTCCTTCGGGTAACACGAGGACAACTGACACTCTATCTGCACAAGTGCCTGTTGCAGCAGCTGGCCCAGAGCAGGCTCTCAGGATCACTAGCTATTATTATATTCCTTGTGCTTTTCAACCCCAAGTTCTGGACTGGGTCATATACAGAGTCTATGGCAAATGCACGTTAGTTTGAATGATGCCTAAAAGGGTTTAAAAATTAGGCAGGTGGATGCCTAGGTCAAAACTGAAGAGAGTTCAGTTGGGATGATGATAAAGAAGAGACTTCTCCCATGAGATTTTGTTCAGTTGTGCTGCAACACCAGTATCTCAGAGACTTACAACACTGCGAGTGTGTTTGGCTCACTCTGTAGGTCCCTGTGGGCCAACTGTGGCTCTGCTCCATGGGCTTTTTATTCTGAGATCCAGGCTGAGGATGCAGCTCTCATCTGGGCTGTGCTGCTCCTGTCGCATGGCAGAGGGGAGTGACAGGGTTGGCTCCAAGACTCCTGCTCCCGTGTTGCATACATCACTACTGCTTATATCCTGAGGCCACACCAATCACAGCCAAGCCAAGCAGGGCAGCCACGGTGATCTCTTCCAGGGAGTGCAGCAAATGACTGGGAATAATTATACACAACCATGCTGTGGTCTCAGAGCTTTAGTTATGTTTCGGGCATCTTCCGATGCATCCCTCTAGTTCATGCACTCCAACTCTCTACCCACAAGTTAGAACCATCATCCCAAGAGTTTTGAGAGGGTTGTCAGCTAGCAGTAGCTACTCTGTGGTCTGTGAGGCTCTCCTGCTCTGCAGATTTGGTCCATAGATGGAAAGCTTTGAAACTCCATTTGTGGCAGTGTTATTTATGGTAATGGAAAGCTGGGAAGAATCTAAATATCCAGCAATAGGGGAAAGGGAATAAATGGTGGTTTGTTCACACAAATGGTACTCTGTACCACCATCAAAATAAATAAATGACAGCAAAGTATTAAATTGGAGGAATCTCCAAAACATACACAGTGAGTGGAAAAAGCAGATGTGGGATGATACCATGTGAAAATATGCAAAGTGCTGGAAACCATCTGGCAGTTCCTTAAAATGTTAAAATAAACATAAGTTACTATATCACCAAGTGATTCTACTCCTAGGTATGTAACCAAGAGAACTGAAAATGTCTGTCTGTATAAAAACTTGCACATGAATATTCATAGCAGCATTATTCATAATAGCTGAAAAGTAGAAGCAACCTAAATGTCCATCAACCGATGACTGGAAAAAGTAGTATATCCACCAAATGGAATATTATTTGGCCATAAAAAGGAATGAAGTACTGATACATGCCATAACATGGATGAACCTTGAAAGCATTATGCTACATGAAAAAAGTCAGTCACAAAAATCTCATATTTCATGATTCTGCTTGTATAAAAAGCTCATCAGCCGTGTGCAGTGGCTCATGCCTGTTGCAGTTTGGGAGGCCAAGTCAGGAGAATTGCTTGAGTCCAGGAGTTCAAGAGCAGCCTGGGCAGCTAAGTGACGTCCTGTATCTATAAAAAATAAAAAAATTAGCTGGACATGGTGGCATATGCCTGTGGTCCCAGCTACTCGGGAGGCTAAGGTGGGAGGATTACTTGAACCCAGGAGGTTGAGGCCGCACTGAGCTGTAATCATTCCACTGTACACCAGCCTGGGCAGCAGAGCAAGACCTTGTCTGAAAAACAAAAAAGTCCATTATAGGCCAATCTATGGGGACAAAAGTTATATTAGTGGCTGCCAGGGGCTAGGGAGAGGGGAGAATGAGGAATGATTGATTGCTTAGATGGCATGAGGTTTCCTTCTGGGCTGATAAAAATATTCTAGATCTAGATAGTGGTGATAGTTGCACAATACTTTGTATGTACTAAATGTCACTGAATTATACACTTCAGAATGGTTAAAGCTGGATGTGGTGGCTCGCACCTGAAATCCCATCACTTTGGGAGGCGGGCTGATCACTTGAGTCCAAGAGTTTGAGACCAGCCTTCGCAACATGGTGAAACTCCATATCTACAAAAATTACAAAAACTAGCTGAGCATGGTGGCATGCGCCTGTAGTCCCAGCTACTTAGGAGGCTGAGGTGGGAGGATCACCTGAGCCCTGGAGGTTGAGGCTGCAGTAAGCTGAGATCATACCACTGCACTCTAGCCTGGGTAACAGAGAGAGACCCTATAATGTTAAATTTTATCATGTTATGTGTGTTTTACCACAGTAGGGAAAGATAAGCAGGACAACACATATATAGTGTGTATAAAAACCCACAGGGAGGAACTGCATATACCTATATCAGATTATTATTATACAGCAGAATATTAGTTATCTCTGGGGAAGGAGAAAAGGGGCTGGGAGGATGGATGAGCAGTGAAGGAATTTCCAGCATACTATACCTGTGACATTTTATTGCTTTAGAATGCTTTTGAGGGCATTTTGTCAAAATGGCAAAATGTCAACATTGATTAAATCTGGGTTAGTGTGGGAGTATTTATTGTAAGATTCTATGCATTTTTCTGAATGTTTGAAATATATCATAATTAGAAGAAAGCCCAGCAGCTTGGAAAGCCCTGTCTCTGGACAGCTGAAAGTGTGCCTGTGTCTTCTACCTCACTGCATTCTGGGAGCAGGTGACTTAGGGAACAGGGAACATTCGATTTCATTGTGTTTTTGCCTGGCTGCATCCCATTATTTTAGATTCTATTGAAATTAATGATGCAGGGACCTTATTTTTTTTCCACCCAGGCCTGGAACTTTAACTCTGATCAATGAATTTCATTTTCCAGAGGCACAGTGATGGGCTGGGGGTTTTCATCTCAGATAATTGCCTTTTTTCCTTTTATTTGGTGAAAGACAGAATTTTCCTTTCAGGCCCAAACTATTCAAAAATAAGGCAGTAAACTTGTTTTCTCAGTTTGCGATTTTTAAAATGAGTTATTCCATCATCATTATAAGCAATTCTCCAATCTATAGAAACTCTCAGAAATGATGAAGTGGGAGACAGAGGAAGCTCTGTTGCTAATTTTAGATGATGTTACTGATTATGTCTCTTGAATAAACAAATTCTGAGAGTGTCTCTGGGGATGAGGCAGGAGGCGGTGGGGAGTTGTTTTTCCTCAGTAAGATTTAATACCTTTCTGGGTCCTGTTCTTTTTTCCTATAAAACAAAATGATTACCCTTGTTGTTTCCTGAGTGCCTATGCAATGAAGTTACCAATCGTTTTAACAAAATATAGCCATATTTTACATATCCAGCAACAAGCATAATATCCCTGGGGTCACTATTGTTCAAACCTTTTCTGAAGGTCCCTTCAAGGTCATGTTGTCCAACAAACTCGTTTTACAGATGAGAAAACTGAGGCCCAGTTTGGCAACAAGATTTGTCCATGATCCTGAAGTCTGTTTTCTATTTCAAGGTGAAATCTCTCTATGATCTACTCACTAATCTACCTCACTCACCAGTTGTGTATTCCAATGTCTTTTGTCTGTGAAAATCAAACTTTTCTTTCCAAGGGTGTAGATTGCCCACTAAAAATTTTTCCTTGGGACAATCATGCTGTGAAAAAACTCTGCATGTTGGAGTCAGAAAGCCTGGTTAAAATACCTGCTTTATCTGAGAACCTGTATGGTTTTGGGCCAGTCATTTCTCTTGCATGATTATCAGTTTCCTTCTATATAAATTAGGATAAGGATCCCCAAATTGAAGGGTTGTTGTGAGACAACAGAGGTTCCCTGTGTTTGAGCATCTTGGAGTCAAAGAAAGGGGCCCAGCACGTAGTACCTGGGCATGAGCAAAAGTTCAAATGGCAGTGGCCGGGTGGGATGGCTCATGCCTGTAATCCCAACACTCTGGGAGGCCAAGGCGGGTGGATCATTTGAGGTCAGGAGTTCGAGACCAGCCTGGCCAACATGGTGAAACCCCGTCTCTACTAAAAATATAAAAATTAGCTGGGTGTGGTGGCGCGTGCCTGTAATCCCAGCTACTCTGGAGGCTGAGGCAGGAGAATCACTTGAACCCAGGAGATGAAGGTTGCAGTGAGCTGAGGTTGCACCACTGCACTCCAGCCTGGGTGACAGAGTAAGACTCTGTCTCAAAAAAAAAAAAAAAAAGTTCAAATGGCAACAGAGCCAGCCTCAGCCTTCACACACTGGCATGTTACCAGTGAAAACTGGCTTCTCTCGGGCTCATACACGTGCTAAGCATTGTATTCATTGCAGTTTGTGGATTTTCTTTTTAAATTCTCATATAACTCTTTAATGTAGGTGTTATCGTTATCCTCATTTCAACTGATAGGGAAACTAAGGCACAGATGGGTGAAGCAACTCACCGAAGGTCACACAGCCACTGGAAAGCAGCCAGAATTTGCACTCAGGCCTGCTGGCTCCAGGGCCCTTGTGTGTGTAACCTCAAGGCTGTCATTCTTTTCTGCTTTTGTGTCCAAGGAGGTATTTGCAGATCAGTGAGATGTTCTTAGCTGATGAACCCCAGAATCTTATCATCTCAATCCAGAAATCTTCAGAATATCTTCATGGTTTATGAAGGAACACTAGGGAGAGACATAGCAGACAGTACAACCCAGATGATGTCAGCCAGGCCTCAAATTTCCTTTCCTTGACAGGGGTCACTTTCTTGTTTACTTTCTGGCTGTTGGCAGGATGATTTCTTTCTTTTTTTTTTTAAATTTTATTATTATACTTTTAAGTTTTAGGGTACTTGTGCACAATGTGCAGGTTTGTTACGTATATATACATGTGCCATGTTGGTGTGCTGCACCCATTAACTCATCATTTAGCATTAGGTATATCTCCTAATGCTATCCCTCCCCCCTCCCCCCACCTCACAACAGTCCCCAGTGTGTGATGTTCCCCTTCCTGTGTCCATGTATTCTCATTGTTCAATTCCCACCTATGAGTGAGAACATGCGGTATTTGGTTTTTTGTCCTTGTGATAGTTTGCTGAGAATGATAGTTTCCAGTTTCATCCGTGTGCCTACAAAGGACATGAACTCATCATTTTTTATGGCTGCATAGTATTCCACGGTGTATATGTGCCACATTTTCTTAATCCAGTCTATCATTGTTGGACATTTGGGTTGGTTCCAAGTCTTTGCTATTGTGACTAGTGCCGCGATAAACATACATGTGCATGTGTCTTTATAGCAGCATGATTTATAATCCTTTGGGTATATACCCAGTAATGGGATGGCTGGGTCAAATGGTATTTCTAGTTCTAGATCCCTGAGGAACCGCCACATTGACTTCCACAATGGTTGAACAAGTTTACAGTCCTACCAACAGTGTAAAACTGTTCCTATTTCTCCACATCCTCTCTAGCACCTGGCAGGATGATTTCTAAAAGAAAGAGCTTGTGTTAAAGGACATACAATTACAGTGAGATAGAAGGAGTAAGTTCTGCATCCTATAACACTGTAGGGTGACAATAGTTAACAATAATATATTATTTAGTGTATTATTCTGTTTTCATGCTGCTGATAAAGACATACCCAAGACTGGGTAATTTATAAAGAAAGAGATTTAATGGACTCACAGTTCATCATGGCTGGGGAGGCCTCAAAATCATGGTGGAAGGTGAAAGGCACGTCTTACATGGCAGCAGACAGGAGAGAAAGAGAACCAAGTGAAAGGGGAAACCCCTTATAAAGTCATCAGATCTCATGAGACTTATCCACTATCAACAGAACGTAATGGGTGAAACTGCCTCCGTGATTCAGTTATCTCCCACTGGGTCTCTCCCACAACAAGTGGGAATTATGGGAGCTATAATTTAAGATGAGATTTGGGTAGGGACAGAGGCAAACCATATCATATAGTTTCAAATCACTAGGAGGAAGATATTGAATGTTCCCAACACAAAGAAATGATGAATGTTTGAGTCGATGCATATGCTAATTACCCTAATCTGTTCATTATACATTATATGTATCAAAACATTACTATGTACCTTGTAAATAGGTACAATTATTATACGTCAATTAAAATAATGAAATTTAAAAATGGCACCTGGAGTTTTATTTACTTGGGATAAGGAGAGACTGAAGAGGGAGACCACATATTTCGAAAGGATGTTTTGAAAGCTGACCCAGGATGAATGCTCTTGCCTTCCAAATTTCAGATCAGAGCAACTTCCTTGGCATCACCTGCTTCCACCAACTCTGTCTGCACCAGGAAAAATCAGGTCAGCTACTTACTCAACAGGACCTCTGACATTGTTTCCTGTGGACAGAGTTCCCTGAGGTCTTCACTGCAATAGAGTTGGAACCACTGAGAATGGATTTGGGCCCTGGTAAGAACATTCCTTTGGTGCCCCCAGCAAGGGACCCCACTAAAAATCTTTGCATGTGATTTATAGTGCATGTCGTAGAATGGTGCCCTGCAACCCCTTTTCTATTGCTGAACAGAGTCCTGGTTTTCTGTGCTGGCTTCCCCATTCTCTGGGAGGCTCTGAGTGGGGAGGAATATCAAGAAGAAGGCGGCAGTTTTGATGCCCTGTTTCCTGGTCTGTCTTACCCTGCAACCCCTCAACCTCCCACACCTACCTGTGCCCTCACTTTTCCTTTCATCCACGTACGTCCAGCCTCATAGACTGAGAATCCATGGCCCAGGTCCTCTCCCAGTCCTTGTTAGTATCTATTTTACATGTCAATGGAGCATATTCTATCGACAGTGCTATTTCTCTTTCTTTTTTTTTTTTTTTTCAAATAAGTTCTTCAGTATTACCACATAATGAAAGCCAATCTTCTCATCAGCCTAAAAGTCTGCATTGTGCCCTTGTCAATGAACAATGAGAACACATGGACACAGGGAGGGGAACATCACACACTGGGGCCAGTCATGGGGTGGGGAGCAAGGGGAGGGAAAGCATTAGGACAAATACCTAATGCATGCTGGGCTTAAAACCTAGGTGACGGTTGAATAGGTGCAGCAAACCGCCATGACGCATGTATATCTATGTAACAAACCTGCACGTTCTACACATGTAGCCCAGAACTTAAAGTAAAATAAAAATAAATTAGTTAAGTCCACATCTCTTATCTGCATTTCTGAAATCTGTGAAGCTTCATAAACCAGTTCTTCTGCTGAGAAAGTTCTTTTTCCTAACCTCACCTGAACAGATATGAGGCTATTTGTATTCTTTATTGATCCCACTTATGATGACTGTGTATCTGTTTTGCTGCTGCTACTAGTGTCTTTGATGTATCGCCCTAGACTCTGCTGGGTATGATATACAATAGAATATAAGCAAAAATAGATTTTCTAAAATTGGGAACATTTTGATTTCCAAAATACATTAGGCCCTAAAGATTTCAGATAAAAAATTGTGTACCTATATAATGTGCCACACAAGCTGCTTATCTGTTCTCTTGTTGCTATGTGTTTGCGATTTTTTAAAAACACTACTCTATAATATAAAGATATAAAGTTACTCCTCACCAGTCCCTCCTTCCTTTGGGATTATTTCCTTGGGTACACTCCTCAGAACTAAATTATTTTACATTGGGCAGGAGCAGTTTTATAGATTGTGTGTCTGGTGCCAGGTTAGTTCCCCAGAACTGTTAAGTTTGTGAGCACCAACGACACCTGATCACTCTCTCCTCACTCCAGGGAGGGGGATTTGTGTAAGATGCTGTCTTGTTCAGATGAGGCTGTGAAAGTGAGCAAGCTGTGGGACTCCACATAAATAATCAGTTACCCTGTGAATGTCTGCTTGGATTTCTGGGTGCAATGTGGTCTCCTCAATTCTGTTGACTGGCTGAGGCCCAGGCTGTTGGCTGGCTTTCTAGGGGGTATCAATCTACTCATCATCCATCCATGCTTCCATCTTTTCACCCGCCCATCCATCCATCCATCCATCCATCCATCCATCCATCCATCATCCATTCACCCTTCTAACATCCATCGATCCACCCATCTATCCATCCATCTGTCCATCATCCATTCACCCTTCTACCATCCATCGATCCACCCACTATCCATCCACCCATCCACCTACCCATCCATCCACCCATCCACCCACCCACCCACCCCCCACCTCCACCCCGATCTATCCATCCACCTATCCACCCACCTATCCATCCAGCCAGTTATCCATCTAGCCATCCTTCCTTCATGGGATATTTGTTGAGATCCTATCCCTTATCCAGGAACCAGGAAGAATGCAGCAGGCAAGACAGACAAAGTCCTTGCTCTCATGGAGCCTGTGATACAGTGGGCATGGGGAAGGGGAGGCAGACAATAAATAACAAATAAACAAGATGATGTCAGATAGGATTAAATATAATAAAAATAAAATGAAGTGGGGTGTGGTGGCTCATGCCTGTAATCCCAGCACTTTGGAAGGCCAAGGTGGGCAGATTGCTTGAGCCCAGGAGTTTGAGGCCAGCCTGGGCAACATGGAGAAACCCTGTTTCTATAAAAAAAAGTACAAAAAATTAGCCAGGCATGGTAGCATGTTCCTGTAGTCCCAGTTACTTGCTGGGGCTGAGGCGGGAGGATCGCTTGATCCTGGGAGGCAGAGGTTGTAGTGGGCTAAGATCGCGCCACTGCACTCCAGCCTAGGCTACAGAGTGAGACCCTGTTTAAAAAAAAAAAAAGAAAGAAAAAGAAAAAAAATGAAGTGATAGGATTAGGGGAAACCTGTCTATTCTGATTTAAAAAGAAGTACCTTAAGGACCTAAGGATAAAGGCTATAAACTTAATATAGGAAGAAAGTAATCCACAAGGCTACTCTGTGTTCATTCTTCAAAAGTCACATGACAGAGGGTAAAGACTAATAGCCCCAGACACCAGCAATGATGTGTCAATACTCACAAGGCGTGGTTTGAGCTAACATCCATGCCAAGGCCATCAAGACTAGTATATTTCCACTAGTTTGTACAGGAAAATGAAGGAAGGCTTTTTGAGGAGGTGGTGCTTGATATGAGGCCTGGATGGCAAGAAGGAAACCATCATTCAAAGATCTTGGGGGAGATGCCTCCAAGCAGAAGAAATAGCAAGTGTAAAGGCCTTGAGTGGGAAGGAGCTGGCATTTTGAAGGAAGACATGGGGGCAATTTCTCCCTTCCCTCGGCCCCTTGGAAACCACCATTCCACTCTGATTCTAGGAGTTGACTATTTTAGATACCTCATGTAAGTGCAGTCAGGAAACATTTGTCTTTCTTTTTTTAAAGATAACATTGTTGAGATGTAATTGGCATATAAGACCTGCACATACAGATGTGCACAATTTGTTGCGTTCGGGCAAAAGGCACACACCTGTGCTGTCATCACAATCAAGGTCATAGACATATCCAACATCTCCCAATTGGATGGTGTAGATATAAAACAATTTCATTATTATGCAAAATGTTCTTAGACAATGCTGGTCTAATTTGAAATATAAGCAGGCCTATCATTTTCCAGGGAGGGCTTCCTTGGTGACTGTTAGGGGTTGAATTGTGTACTCCAAAATTCATGTTGAAATCCTAACCCCCAGTACTTCAGAATGTAACTATATTTAGAGATTAAAGTCTTTAAAGAGGTAATTAAGATTAAATAAGGTCATTGGGATGGGCTGTAGTCCAATATAATTGTTGTCCTTCTAAGAAGAGGAAATTAGGGTTTAGACTCACATAGACCATGTGAAGACACGGTGAGAAACTGATCATCTGCAAGTCAAGGAGAGAGGCCTTCTGACACCTTGTTCTTGGACTTCCAGTCTCCAAAACTGTCAGAAAATAAATTTCTGTTGTTTAATCCACCCAGTCTGTGGCACTTTGTTACGGCAGCCTGAGCAGCAAAACAGTGATTTTATTCTTTGATCTGCTTATAACACAGGAGAATGCATTGAACTCTTTGGGAATTCAAACCTGTTCAGTCTTGGCCTGTGGAAATATACTAGTCGTAATAGCCTTGGCATGGATGTTAGCTCAAGCCACACCTTCTGAGTATTGATGCATCATCCCTGGTGTCCAGAGCTATTATAATCTTCACCCTCTGTCATGTGACTTTTGAAGAATGAACCCAGAGTAGCCTTTGTGGATTGCTTTATTCCTGTAATTAAGTTTATAGCCTTTAATCTTAGGTCGTTAATGTATTTCTTTTTAAATTAGTAAATAAGTAAGTAATAGACATAAGAAAAAAATTCCATACAGCTCAAGAAAAGCAGGGGAAAATAAATTCTTAAGACAATAACAGTACAGGGTCAGGAGCAAGGAAATCAAATTCCTAGTTCAACATTGAATAGCTTGGATTTTAAAAATGTTATGTAATATTTTTATATATAAGATAATGTTACATAATGATAGTTACATTATCACTGTGACATTATTACATATATTATGGAATTATAGTTTATGTATATGTATGCATGTGCATATCTATATGTGTAGATATATAGTACTGTGGTTCCTCCTTGTCCTCAGTCTTGCTTTTCAAAAGTTCAGTTACCTGCCGGGCACGGTGGCTCACGCCTGTAATCCCAGCACTTTGGGAGGCCTAGGTGGGTGGATCACGAGGTCAGGAGATCGAGACCATCCTGGCTAACACGGTGAAACCCCGTCTCTACTAAAACAAATACAAAAAAAAATTAGCTGTGCGTGGTGGTGGGTGCCAGCTACTCAGGTAGTCCCAGCTACTCGGGAGGCTGAGGCAGGAGAATGGCGTGAACCCGGGAGGCAGAGCTTACAGTGAGCCGAGATCACGCCACTGCGCTCCAGCCTGGGCGACACAGCGAGACTCCGTTTCAAAAAATAAAATAAAATAAAATAAAATAAAAAGTTCAGTTACCTGCAGTCTACTGCAGTCTGAAAATATTGAATGGAAAATTCCAGAAATAAACAATTCCTAAGTTTTAGACCGTGCGTCACCCTGAGTGATGAAAACTTGTGCCATCCTTCTCTGTTCCACCTAGGACATGACTCATCCCACCATATCCACCCTGTATACGCTCCCTGGCCATTAGTCATTTAGTATCTGTTTCAGTTATCTGAAAACCTGTCTTGGTATTACAGTGTGGGTATTCAAGTGACCCTCATTTTCAAAATGCAAGAGTAGCGATGCTGGCATATTGTTATAATTGTTCTATTTCATTATTAGTTGTTAATCTCTGACTGTGCCTAATTTATAAATTAAACATCCTAGGGGTGTATGTCTTGAAAAAGCCATACCATAGTACATATAGGGTTTGGTACTGTCTGTAGTTTCGGGCATCCACTGGGGTTCTTGGAATGTATCCCCTAGGACTACTTTAAATTATGAAGAATCACATTTAAATGGATAAACCTACCGCGCACAGGGAACTTTTCTAATACTATTGAATTGATCTACGTGCTGCTCCTAATCCCATTCCTTCACCCGTCTTTCAGCAGTAAGTACTACCCTGAAATTAAAAAACATCATTTCTTTCTTTTTTTTTTTTTTTTTTTTGAGACAGTTTCGCTCTTGTTGTCCAGGCTGGAGTGCAGTGACGTGATCTTGGCTCACTGCAACCTCCACCTGCTGGGTTCAAGTGATTCTCCTGTCTCAGCCTCCCAAGTAGCTGGGACTAGAGGCGTGCCACCACGCCCGGCTCATTTTTGTATTTTTAGTAGAGACGGGGTTTTGCCATGTTGGCCAGGCTGGTCTCAAACTCCTGACCTCAGGTGATCCGCCCACCTTGGTCCCCCAAAGTGCTGGGATTACAGGTGTGAGCCACCACGCCTGGCCTTCTTTGTTTTTTTTAACAATAGGGCTTCAGTACTTCTCTATGTACCCCCTAAACATGATCTAATTTAGGATCGTTTGTGTTTTAACTTTCTAAAAGTGGTATCACACTTACATGTAGTACTCCAAGAGTTACTTCTTTTCATTCAATATTATGCTTCTAGGATTTATCCATGCTGCTTGGAGCTATAATTTCATTGTCTTCACTGCACAGCGTTGCATTGCATAAATACATAATTTAGGGCCAGGTGCGGTGGCTCACATCTGTAATCTCAGCACTTTGGGAGGCCAAGGGGGGCGGGGTGGATCATGAGGTCAAGAGATTGGGACCATCCTGGCCAACATGGCGAAACCCCGTCTCTACTAAAAATACAAAAATTAGCTGGGTGTGGTGGTATGCACCTGTAGTCTCAGCTATTTGGGAGGCTGAGACAGGAGAATTGCTTGAACCCGGGAGGTGGAGGTTGCAGTAAGCTGAGATCGTGCCACTGCACTCCTGCCTGGGCGACAGAGTGAGACTCTGTCTCGAAAACCAAAACCAAAACCAAAACCATAATTTATTTATTATCTGTTGGTAGATAGTTGGGTTCCTTGCCAAGAATATTGTTTTTGACATTCTTGTGCATGTCTCCTATTGTATATTACAATAGCTTCTCTTAGTTATGTACCTACAATGCTTTTATAATTTAAAAAGTTTGAAGGATATGTACAAATGTAAAATATGCTTGAAAGTAATTCTCTTTTTGAGTAAAATTAAGCAAATAAATATTGTTTTGTTTGAAACAATCTAGTCATAGGACATTCCAGAAACTGATCTTTTATTGTATCATTAGCAGCTCCTGTAGCTTATCTCATTTCTTACGATAAATAAAGGTAGTTCAGAATCTTTAACTCAGTAGCTTTCGTTGAAGTATCTTTAAAAGCTCATATGTGAGATGCTGTAATCTTCCTTTTATTTTCACGCCTATATCCTGATTTCTTGACTAGGTGGTAAACAATGTGAAGGTATGTAATGAAGATATATTGCCTCCATTTACGGGGAAGGAAATTGAGACTCAGCGAAATTGAGTAATTTGCCCAAGTCACAAAACAGAGCTGGGAATCAGTCCAAAACCCATGCATGTCTTGCTACGGGATGCTGTGGGTCACAGATGTTTGTCTCCTTCTCCCCCAGTGTCTGCTCTCACCTCTTGCTACTGGGGTTGGCACATGAGAAAAGGAAGCCTCTGTATTTGGCAGGCTGGTTGTCTACTAATTGCTGTCATTTCTTAAATGCCTGCTATGTGCTTCCCAGACACAGTGCTAAAAACTCTAGCTGAGGCTGAGTTAATCCTCATGACAACAATATGATACTGATGTTATTCTCTACATTTCTCAAGTTTAGGGGAATGAGACCCAGAATGAATAACATTCAAGATCACACAGGTAGAAGAGACAGCAGAGTTGGGTCTCTAATCCAGGTCTGTCTTACTCCCAAGCCTTTATTCTTTCTAAAAATATCATATTGCTTTCAGAAGGAGAAAAAGCCAAATGTGCTTCCAATGTGGTATTACTTCCCATCAGGCTCTGATTAAGTATCTGTGCCTATGTTGCTAGAAGGAGGCAGAGTGACACAAAAATGTTTAGAACGATTATGAAAACTTAATTTAGATGTGCCTCTGGGGGGATACCACCCAGGGCTCAAACCCAAAACAGAACCTTTTGAGTGATTTTTGACTTTTGATACCCGAAGTCCTAGTCCCTGCTGGAATTTAACTAGGATGATAAGGAAGTTGGTCTGCATACACATATGTAATTGATGATCTTCAGAGTGGGGTTGGGTTTAAAAGCATAGACTCTGAAGTTGGGTGGACTTGAGTTCAACCCTGGCTCTTCCACTTATGAGTTGTGCGATCTTGGATAAGTTACTTAACCTCTCTGAGCCTAAGTTTTTCCATCTTTGGAGTGGTAATGATTAACAGTGACATCTTTATAGAGTTTTTGTGATGATTGATTCAACTCATGCAAACCTCATAAAATAATGCTGCTATCAGCTATTGTTAGTATTGAGTGATAATAGTAAAGAGACAGAGCAGTGAATCAGGCTAAGCTTCAGGGATTCGTCAAGAAATGAGAGGAATGGCCAGGTTATTCCACTGTGGGTGATTAAAAATCTGTACATTTGTGTTGCTTTGTGATCTTTGGACAAAGTCCACTAGATCAGTGGTCCCCAACCTTTTTGGCACCAGGGACCGGTTTTGTGGCAGACATTTTTTTCCACTGACAAGGTTGAGGGGATGGTTTCGGGATGAAACTGCTCCACCTGAGATTATCAGGCATTAGATTCTCATAAAGAGTACACAACCTAGATCCCTCTCATGCGCAGTTCATAGTAAGGTTTGTGCTCTAATGCTGCTGCTGATCTGACAGGAGGGGGAGCTCAGGTGGTAATGCTCGCCCAGCTCCTGCTGTGTGACCTGGTTCCTAACAGGCCACAGACAGTACCAGTCCACTGCCTGGAGGCTGGGGACTCCTGCACTAGATTCTCTCAGTAGCCCTGCAAAGCTAGCAGGGCCTACCTGATGGCCCTCTACTATCAACGAGAAAGCTAGGCCATGCAGAGAGTGGGAGGACAAGTGACTCACTCAAGGTTTCTCTTGCTTTTTCTTTCTCTTCCTTCCTTCCTTTCTGCCTTCCCTCCCCTCCTCTCCCTTCCTTCCTCTCCCCTCCCTTTCCCTCCCCTCCCCTCCCCTTCTGCCTCTCCCTCCCCCCTTCCCCTCCCTCCCTCCCTACCTTCCTTCCTTCCTTCCTTCTTTGCTTTCTTTCTTTTCTATCCTTCCTTCCTTTCTTTTCTTTTTTTCAATTGATGAATAATAATTGTATCTGTTTAAGAGGTATAATGTGATGGTTATATATATACATGTCATAAAATATTAAATCAAACTAATTAACATATCCATCACCTCACCTACTTACCACTTTTTCCCCCACCTGCTCTTTCTGGGGACAGAACTCAGGTGGCTTATTTGAATCCTACTTTGGTTGAAGTTTTCCGTGTGTGTGTGTGTGTGTGTGTGTGTGTGTTTATGTGTGTTTAGTTTCCAAAGGGACTTAGAAAATAAAGACTTCCAAAAATCCCATTAAAAAGGACATTTCCTCTCCATTGCAAAGACCCAACATGACCGCTTCTTTCGGCATTTATTAAAATGGCAAATTGGAACTGCTTGAGTGTGGGTTCTTATGGAAATCATGCGTGGGCTGGCAGCTGTGTTGGCATGAGGAGGGTTTGCTTTGAAGCCCTCTGAACTGTTCTAGCTTCATAGATAAACACCTGTGGCAGAGATTGGTCTTTAAAATAAAGGGTCTTTCTCTAACTTGTGTAGAAATCAGGTATTCTGTTGTTCTTTTCTCTTAGAATTATCCAGTTATGCTTACTAGTGTTTTCTTTTTTTTTTTTTTTTTTAAATGGAGACGGAGTCTCACTCACTCTGTCACCCAGGCTGGAGTGCAGTGGTGTGATCTCAGCTCACTGCAACCTCCGCCTTCCAGGTTCAAGCCATTCTTCTGCCTCAGCCTCCCAAGTAGCTGGGACTACAGGCACACCACCACCACACCCAGCTAAGTTTTGTATTTTTAGTAGAGACGGGGTTTCACCATGTTGACCAGGATTGTCTCGATCTCTTGACTTCGTCATCCACCCACCTCAGCCTCCCAAAGTGTTAGGATTACAGGCGTGAGCCACCACACCCAGCTGAGAAGTGTTTTCTTTCCATGTTTCCAAGAAGTTGCCATAGTTATAGCTTGGGTTATTTGTACCAAAAGCAAAACATTAACATGGTACATTTTAAAGAGAATAACATAACTTTTTGACAATATAACTGGGTGGGGAAATTACCCAATCTTGGGCAGAATCCAGCTAACCTGCTGCTGCTGACAGCATGGCTGAGCTGGGTCAAGGGCTCAGGGATGTAGGGATATGAACCACAAACATGAAGGTTTGGTGTTTCATGGCAGAGAGAAGGACCTTGGCCCTGGATGGGGGTCGAGGGTTTGAGGTCTGGCCTTGGCTCTGACAGTTGTCCTTGGTGTGACCTTAGGCAAGTCACTCTCACTCTTGGGTCTTTCATTGTCCCATCAGTAAATGAGGATGTTAGACTAAATGGTGTCAAAGATCTCTTTCACTTCTGAAATTCCACGATTCTGTGAGTTCTGTTTTTGTAGCCTTGCAGCCCGTTTGAAAACCATACCCTTTCCATTTAAGCCCACCAGAGGGCGATATGCCCCACGTGTTGGTCCTGCCCCGGTCCAAGAGACCTAATCACTGGGTTAAGTGCCTTAGAAGAGGAAGCCATGACTCAATCCCTGCTTCTAGGGAAGAGAGATGGAAGTGGACACTATTTAAGTTGCTTCTTGGATCTGCGATTGACCAGGGCTCTTCACGTCCATTTTCTCTTTGATTTCATGTCAGTTCCCTGGGCCACATGCCAGTTTCTTATTTCACAGGGAACCAAGACTTAAGGAATTGAAAGGACTTACCTTGGACTAGGTGGGTTTCCAGTGGTAGGCCCAAGACCTTACCTCTCCATCTGTGACTTGTCCTTCTGGGCCTTTTCCAGTGGATCTCAAGAGGCTGCCTCTGTTTCTAAGGGGCTCCTGCTGAACTAATAAGACAATTTACACATGAGTTGATTAAGGCAAAATACGAAACCGTATTAGAGTCAGGACTAGGAGCTACACTGCATGGATAGACAAACACTTCTTTCCAATGAAGCTCTTCTTCTGGGATTTGGACTAAATGATCTGTTAAATGTGAACTTCCATAGGAACTATAATGGTCTTGATTCTATGTTGCAGACAGTGGAATCCACTCTGGCTCATTTAAGTAGCAAAGGAATTTTTGAAAGGGTATTAGGAAACTCTCAGAATCTCCAGGAGAGGCAGAGAGTGAGAATCTGAAATTATGTAGCCAGAAACCATGACTAATTCCAATGTGGGGGCTTTTCTAGAAAAAAACCCACTGCTACATTTGCTTGCCCCCTCAGATGTTCGGAATTGGGCACATCATGGAAACTAATATTGACTGAGCATCTCCTATACAGTGGGCTTTGTGCTGGGCATGTATCTTATTTAATCCTATGGGATGGGTATGGTTATCCCTAATTTATATATAAGGAATGCAGGCTTGGGGAGTTTGATGACTTGCTCAATGAAACCCACCTCTCTCTGACTTCAAAATCTAGGCTCCAACAGAACAAGAGAATATGGACTTTGGGTTGAAACTAGGAACCACCACTAGTCCCCAAAGGGCAAATTCAAGGGAGGAGGGACTTTCTCTGTGTTTCTTACTGCCTTTGTAACTCTTTTATTGTCTAGTAATTTGGAAGAAGAGGAGCACAAAGGAATGTTAAATTCTAATTTTCTATTATTATTTTTTGCCTCTGGTTCTTCTGATCAGTAGAAATAGCTGCAAAGGAAGGGAGTCTTTCCCATATGATGCTTTGTGGGCATTACTTGGATCTCTCTTTGAATAAAAAATTGTTGGACTTGGAAGAGACCATGACATAGATTTATTCAATCTTGTTAGTTTATGAACTGGGAAACTGATTAGAAAACTACTTGCCCAAAGTCATATACTGTAATAAGATAATGGCTTTCATGCATTCAACAAATGTTCAATGAGTTGCCTACTACTTGCCAGTAAATGGACACAGTGTAAGATAGACAACTTCTCTGTTGCCATGAAGCTTTATATAAACAGAGATCCTAGAGGTAGCTTCACTTGTAGTTCTCCAACCTTCAAATAATCTGAAACAAAAATACTTTTCGCTCTTGGCTAGCCACATGTAGAAGAATGAAATTGGATCCTCATCTTATACAAAAATCAACTCAAGATGGATTAAGAATTTAAACCTAAGACCTGGAACTATAAAAATTCTAGAAGATAACATTGGAAAAACCCTCCTAGACACTGGCTTAGGCAAGGATTTTGTGACCAAGAACCTGCAAGCAAATGCAATAAAAACAAAGATAAATAGTTGGGACCTAATTAAACTAAAGAGCTTTTGCAAGGCAAAAGGAACAGTCAGCAGACTAAACAGAAAACCCACAGAATGGGAGAAAATCTTCACAATCTGCGCATCTCACAAAGGACTAATATCCAGAATCTACAACAAACTCAAATCAGTAAGAAAAAAACAGACAATCCCATCAAAAAGTGGGCTAAGGACATGAATAGACAACTGTCAAGATATACAAATGGC
This sequence comes from Homo sapiens, assembly GCF_000001405.40. Lineage (NCBI taxonomy): Eukaryota > Metazoa > Chordata > Mammalia > Primates > Hominidae > Homo > Homo sapiens. Next base: position 114,741,024 of record NC_000009.12, read on the forward strand.
CAACGAACATATGAAAAAATGCACAACATCACTAATGATCAGAGAAATGCAAATCAAAACCACAATGCGATACCACCTTACTCCTGCAAGAATGGCCATAATAAAAAAAGCAAAAAACAGTAGATGTTGGCATGGATGCGGTGATCAGGGGACACTTGTGCACTGCTGATGGGAATGTAAGCTAGTACAGCCTCTATGGAAAACACTGTGGAGATTCCTTGAAGAACTAAAAGTGGAACTACCATTTGATCCAGCAATCCCACTACTGGGTATCGACCCAGAGGAAAAGAAGTCATTATTTGGAAAAGATACTTGCACATGCATGTTTATAGCAGCACAATTCATGATTGCAAAATCGTGGAACCAACTCAAATGCCCATCAATCAACAAGTTGATAAAGAAACTGTGGTATATATAGATGATGGAATACTACTCAGTCATAAAAAGAAATGAAAAAAGGCCACTGCATTTGCAGTGACCTGGATGAGACTGGAGACTATTATTCCAAGTGAAGTAACTCAGGAATGGAAAACCAAACATCGTATGTTCTTACTGATATGTGGGAGCTAAGCTATGAGGACACAAAGGCATAAGAATGATACAATGGACTCTGAGGACTTAGGGGGAAGAGTGGGAAGGGGGTGAGGGATAAAAGACTACAAATAGGGTGCAGTGTGTACTGCCTGGCTGATGGGTGCACCAAAATCTCACAAATCACCATGAAAGAACTTACTCTTGTAACCAAATACCACCTGTACTCCAATAACTTATGGAAAAATGAAATAAAAAAATAAAATTTAAAGTAAAAAACACTTTTGGCTCTTTTTCTTAATTTTTTTTAAACAATAAAGATAAAATGACAATTTTATCCAATGGCAGATAAATAGAAAAAAGTTTAACTATATTAGTTATCAAAAAATACAAACAAACCTTTTTTCCTTATCGATTTGCAAATATTTAGAAAAAAAAGACTGCCCAATGACGATGAAAGAATGTGGAATTCCACCGTCTCATACACTATTGACATAAATATAAATTAGCTTTTGTGAAGGAAAAAATTTGCAATATGTATCAAAACATTCTTGACCCAGAATTTACTTCTTAGATTATCTCCTGGAAAAATAACTCTGAATGTGTATGAAGATACATCAAATAAGGATCACAGTGTGATGTATAATAAACAGCAAAATCTGGCAATAATCTAAATGTTCAACATCTGATTGATTATATAATGTATGCTACAGCCACTCTATTGGTCAGGATTAGATTTGGCCATGTGTAACAGAAAATCCTAAATAACAGTAACTTAAACATAAATGGATTTGCCCTTTTCTACCTAAACAAAATCTGGAGGTAGGTAGTTTGGGTCACAAAGTTATTTAGAACTCAGGTTCCTTCTGTGTTTTCACTATTGCTATTCTTCGTGCAAGTTCAAGCTGTCTGCTAGAGCTACAGCTATTGTGTTCACATTCAATATGGAAGAGAGGAATGGCAACGTGCACAGCTTATTGGCCAGACCTTGATAATATGTATCTGCAAAGAGACTTGGAAAGGTAGATCTTTAGCTGGACACATTGCCTACAGCTTTGGCATAAGGAACAGAAAGAAATGAGAGAGAATGGGCATTGGATAGGCCTATGGTCTTCAAAAAACCTTGCTCACATGTTCCTGAAAAGGATTTTGAGTCTGGTCATGGTGGCTCATGACTGTAATCCCAGAACTTTGGGGGGCCGGGGTCAGGACTTTGAGACCAGCCTGGCCAACATGGTGAAACCCTGTCTCTACTTAAGATACAAAAATTAGCCAGGCATGGTGGCATGCACCTGTAGTCCCAGCTACTATGGAGGCTGAGGCATGATAGTTGCTTGAACCCAGGAGGCAGAGGTTGCAGTGAGCCCATATCAGGTCACTGCACTCCAGCCTGGGCGACAGAGCAAGACTGTCTCAAAAAAAAAAAAAAAAAAAAAAAATTTTGAAAAATTATCTACCATTTTGTACTTCTTTAAATTGTTCCTGATTTTTTTTTAAAATCACAGGTGTACATGAATATGAAGAATACAACTTCTGGCCCATTGTAAATATTGACATAAAAAATAAAGCTGTTGCATCATCTCTTAAAATACACCCAATGGAATGTAAATACCATTGTGATGTAATAGCCACCATCCTCCACCTAAAACATAACTCAAACTGTTGGCAAATCTCTATTTTTCTTTTTTCTCATTCTACTTCTTCTACAGACTTTTTCCTAATATAGTATATATTTTTCTGTTTGAAAGTTTTTTGAATTGACCACCTTATACCTTTCCGCCACAACAATATATATAGAAATATAAATTTTAACTTCATGTGGCTTTAAGATTTTAAAAGTATTAAAATATTTCTTTGGATTATCATTACAATTATTAATACTAGGTGGGGAGCAGTGGCTTATGCCTGTAAATCCCAGCGTTTTGGGAGGCTGAGGCGGGAGGATCGCTTGAGCTCAGAAGTTCAAGACCAGCCTGGGCAACATAGTGAGACACTGTCTCTACAAGAAATTTTTGAAAAAATTAGCCAGGCATGGCAGTGCATGCCTGTGGTCCCAGCTGCTTGTGGGGCTGAGGTAGAATTGCTTGAGCCTGGCAAGTCAAGGCTGTGGTGAGCTATGATTGTGCCACTGCACTCCAGCTCCTGGAGGGTATGGTATCTGCATAAACTATTTGGTATTTTTTTTGGTATAGCAGATTTGTCTCTTCTCCTTTTGTTAACTTAGTCACTCTTTTTTGTTTATATCAACACAGACTCATGGATATTTATTTTATACTTTGGGCCATAATCCAATACTATCTTATTGATTTGGTTGCTCAAATGGTTCCAGCTTTGGCCATTGGATGATCTTTTAATTGGCTACTGGGTCCCTTGGAAATAATCCCATCATTTTGTCTTTTGAGCATTTTCTTACTTTTTAGCATGAGAGGCCATTTCTTTTTTTTTCTTTTTTCTTCAACCTTTATTTTATTTATTATTATTATTATTTTATTTTATTTTTGAGACAGTCTCACTCTATCGCCCAGGCTGGGGTGTAGTGGTGCAATCTTGGCTCACTGCAACTTACGTCTCCTAGGTTCAAGCAATTCTTGTGCCTCAGCCTCCAGAGTAGCTGGGATTACGGGTGAGCACCACCACGCCAGGCTAATTTTTTTTTTTTTGTATTTTTGGTAGAGATAGGGTCTCACCATGTTGGCCATGGCTGGTCTCTAAATCCTGGCCTCAAGTGATCTGCCCGCCTTGGCTTCCCAAAGTGCTGGGATTACAGGTGTGAGCCACCGTTCCTGGCCTTCAACTTTTATTTTAGTTTCAGGGGTACATGTGCAGGTTTGTTACATGGGTATATTGTTACATGGGCAGGTTTGGGGTAGATTGATCCTGTCACCCAGGTATAAGCATAGTACCCGAGAGGTAGTTTCTCAGCCTTTGCTTCCCTTTATTCCTCCTCCCTCTTATGGTCTCCACTGTCTATCTTTCCCATCTTTGTATCCATGTGTACCCAATGTTTAGCTCCCACTTACAAGTGAGAATATGTGGCATTTGGTTTTCTGCTTCTGTGTTAGTTTGCCTAGGATAATGAGATGTCATTTCAGATCACTAAATTAAAATAGCACTTCATCTCCAACCAATCCCTCTCTATGACACAACCTTTAAGATATTTTTATGGAATGAATCACTATAAAAATTATCTTTTTTAAATTTTAAATTTTGTGGGTTCATACTAGGTATATAGATTTATGAGGTACATGAAATGTTTTGATATAGGCATGCAATGCATAATAATCACATCTTGGAGAATAGAGTATCCATCCCCTGAAGCATTTATCCTTTGTGTTACAAACAATCCAATTATACCCTTTTAGTTATTTTAAAATGTACAATTAAGTTATCATTGACTATAGTCACCCTGTTGTACTATCAAACAGTAGGTCTTATTTATTCTATATTTTTTTGTACCCATTAATTATCCTCACTTTCCCCCCAACCTCCACTACCCTTCCCAGCCTCTGGTAACCATCCTTCTACTCTCTATGTCCATGAATTCAATTGTTTTGATTTTAGATCCCACAAGTAAGTGAGAACATGTGACATTTATCTTTCCCTGCTGGCTTATTTAACTTAACATAATGACCTCCAATTCCATCCATGTTGTTGCAAATGACAGAATCTCATTCTTTTTTAATGGCTGAATATACTCCATTGTGTATATGTGCCACATTGTCTTTATCCATTCATCTGTTGATGGACTCTTGGCTTGCTTACAAATCTTGGCTATTGTGAATGGTGCTGTAACAAACATGGGAGGGCAAATATCACTTCGATATCCTGATTTCCTTTCTTTGGGTATATACCCAGCAGTGAGACAGCTGGAACATACAGTAGCTCTATTTTTAGTTTTTTTGAGGAACCTCTGAACTGTTCTCCATAGTGGTTGTACTAATTTACATTCCCACTAACAGTGTACAAGGGTTCCCTTTTCTCCACGTCCTTGCCAACATTCGTTATTGCCTGCTTTGGATCTAAGCCATTTGAACTGTGTACAATTATGTTTTTTGGAGATGGGTGGAGTAGAGGAATGTTATTTTTTGGTGACTAAACCATGTATTTTTGTCAGCGATTACTCTCGCTTCCTAGTGGTCCAGTAGCTCCTATGTAAATAGTCAAATTCAGCCAACTTAGACCACAGAGCCTCCTGTGCCATGTAAAGAGGATTCTCCTCTACTGAGACAACAAGACCATGAGGAGCAAGGCGGATGTCACATTAGAGATGTTCTGATTGGGCTGGGAGAGGAAGGGGAAAACCTTGTTAGGGTGAGGGTCAGAGGATGCAAAGACTCAGATGTGTGTGTCCCATTCTGACCCTGCTTGTCTGGACTAATATCTGGAAGGGGAGGCCTTCCTCAAGATGAAGGGAGCACCCAAGCAGAGGAGGTTTGTGCTGGGTCGCTGGAGGATGCTTCTTTGCTGGGTCACTCATGTCAATTAGGGAGAGGAGGGTGGTGCAGAGAAGAGGCAGCACTTTCAGAAGCACAGAGGCAGAGCTGCAGAGCCAGATGTGGTACCACTTGTTGGGCGGGGAGCAGTCTTGGTCCTGGCTGCTCCTCCATGGAGTGAGAAGCATCCAGACAATTCCTGCATCCATCCTGGGGGCACTCTTCCTGGGGAGGAGATTGTGGCAGAGGCTTAGCATGGGTACCCTTCTCATAGGCCCAGTGGAGTATGTGACTGAGGCCCAGCAGAACCTTCAGGGCTAGCCAGAGCTGAGGCGGGGCTGAGTCACCCAGGGAGGACAACACAGGTCCATATCAGGCCTGGCATCTGTCAGTCATGTGTGAGGACCCAGAGGCCAGAGCATAGATCAGAGGCCCCATCTTTTAATATCATAGTGACACCACACCAGTCTCCTTACTCACCCAGAACAGAGAAAAAGAAAAGGTGAGGCTTTACCCAAAAGAACCTGAGATGAAAGAGACTATTGCACATGGAAATTACTGAGATAACTGTTAATTGGCAAATTGAAGTTTCCCTCTCTGTTTTCTTTACTGGTGAATCCCCAGACATTAGAACTGTGCTTGGCACAGAGAAGGCATCCAATAAATGTTTGAATGAATGAACCACAGAGACAATAACCCACTTCAGGAGGCCAGACTGGGGGAAGAAAGGCAATGCAATCCCATTCCATCTGGTTTTAAAAAATTGTTCTCCAGACCTTTATCCAAACTCCTCCTTCTCCTGCTATAAAACAAATGTTCCCGTGGCTAGCAATGAATACAAACAGATGTCGTGGAACAGTGATGGTGATTGCAAGAGAGAGGGGAGGATGCAGGCTTTGTGTCTCTAGGAGCATCTAGATGCCAGCTCAGCTTTTAAAAAGGCTTTTTCTGTGCTTTTCTTTATTTGTCATAGTTCTAATAATTCACAAGTGTTGATTTTGAATTCAGCAAAGGGAAATCTATTCAAACTGCTTTTGACAGCCTTTGGCATCCATTGTTTGGGATTGTTTTGTTTGTTTGTTTTTTTCTGTTTAAATATCAGGAGGTGGTATAGTACAACAGCTAAGAGGGTGAACTCTGGAGTCAGAGTGCCTGATGTCAAATCCCAGACTGACATTTGCTAGCTTTGTGACCTCTGGGAAACTAATCCTCTTTAAGCCTTAGCTTATTGACTGAGCTCCACTTGTCTCTTAGACACTGGTCCAATTTTTTTCATCCATTCTTGTTACTTTCTATGCTTCTATTTGCATATTTTCTATTGACTTGTCTTCTCCTATGTCTAGTCTGCTGTTAATGTATCCATGGTTTTAATTCAAACATATTTTTCAGTTCTAGAAAGTCTACTTGATTCTTTTTCATAAATTCTGACTCTCTTGAAATTCCTTTCTTTCCCACTATTCTAACTTCTATTTTCTTGACTATATTAAAATAGTCATTTTAGAGTCTCCATCTAATAAATCTGAGATTATCTGAATCATCTTTGAGTCTGTTTCGGTTGTCTATTTTAAATTTTCATCATACCTCATAATTTTGGAACAGATGCTAGATATAGTGGATGAAAAATTGTAGAGGTTCTGCATGATGTTATCTTTTTCCAAAGATCGTTAAGTTTTCTTCTGAAAGGCAGATAAAGCACTGGCAGATCACCTTGAAATTGTCAAAAGCCTGATTTTAATCTTTATTAGAGTCAGTCTATTTCAAGGTTTCTCTTACCCCTAGCGTACAGCCTTTACTGTTAGTGCATGGTCATTTATTCTAATGGATGGTCTTTTGGGAGACTCAATTGAAAATCTAGGGTATTTACCAAGGTCTTTCACCTTGGCGGGGCTTGAATTTCAACCTTAGTCTCCTAACACCTTGGAGTTGCTGAAGGTTGTTCTTGTCCCTTTAGCTTTTAAGCTGCTTTTTCTGCTGGGTTTCTTGGAGTCTTGGCCTGTGATTAAGCATTTTGGGAGTTGGCCATGTGTGGATTATATGCAGAATTTAGGAGTCTTTCTCTGTATTTTCCTGTCTCCCTCAAGTTCTCACCATTTCAGCAGCCCTGAATTCCAACATCTACCCCTTTGGCCCACTGAGACTGCTGCTTTCTGTCTGGGTTCTAGTCTTCTACACAGTGATTTGGAAAATGCCCTCATAAAATACACTAGGGAGAATGTAAAATTTGCATCAATTGCATTCTCTCTTTCAAAGACTCCTTAATTCCTGTCTTTGTTGGTTGTACACCAATGCTTTGAAATAATATATATTATTATATATACTTTAGCTTTAATAGTTACTTCCAGTGGGAGAATAATCTGTCATAAACTATTCTATCATGGCTGGAACTGAAAGTCATAGCCTTTTTATTTTTATTTTTATTTTTTTTTTTGAGATGGAGTCTCACTCTGTCTCTCAGGCTGGAGTGCAGTGGCATAATCTCTGCTCACTGTAACCTCTCTCTCCTGGGTTCAAGCGATTCTCCTGCCTCAGCCTCCTGAGTAGCCGGTACTATAAACATGCATCACCAGGCCTGGCTAATTTTTGTGTTTCTAGTAGAGATGGGGTTTCATCATGTTGGCCAGGCTGGTCTCAAACTCCTGACCTCAAGTGATCCACTCACCTTGGCCTCCCAAAGTGCTGGGATTAGAGGTGTGAGCCACTACACCCAACCCATTGCCTTCATTTTTGAAGAATATTTTCACTGGGTCTAGAATTTTAGATTGTTGGAGTGTGTGTGTGTGTGTGTGTGTCTGTGTGTGTATGTGTGTTGTCCTGGTGTTATTCTACTGTTTTCTGCTTTACACAGATTCTATTGAAAAGTTAATTGTCAGCCTTACAATTGACCGCAAAAAGCAGCCTTATTGGTTGCTTGTCTTTTTCCTTCAATTAGCTTTCAAGATTTTCATTTTGATTTTGATCTTTAGCATTTTGACTATTAAAGAAAATGACTGAAATTAACTGAGTTTCTTAAATCTGTATGTTGGTAACTATCACAGTTTTGTAAAATTCTCAGCCATTATCTCTTGATATCTCTTGAAATATTCCTGATGTATTTTTGTCTCTTTCTCTTCTCTCTGACTCTGGTTATGCATATTTTATACATGTTGACTGAATCCAACATACATCTTTATCTTACATTTTATTCCACTTTTCTTTTGTTCTTTTTTTTATTCTTGTTGCTTCAGTTCACATATTTTCTATGGCTGGGCTTCTATTTCACTACTCCTGGTTTTTCTGTGTCTAGTTTGCTCTTTACCTATTCTATATATTTTTAATTTTCGAATACTTTTTAGTTATAGAATGTCCATTTGATTCTTATCTGTAGATTCAGTTCTGTGTTGAAATCCTTCATCTTTTTAATTGCTTTGTCTACCTCTTCCTTTGTTTTCTTAATCTATTGCTTATAACCATTTAAAAGTCCCTACCTGGTAAGACCAATATCTGCCTGTATTGTTTTTTTGTCTTGATCATTAGTTATATTTTGTTGCATTTTGCAAATCTTATGGCTGGGTATGGTTCCTCATGCCTGTAATCCCAGTAATGCCAGTACTTTGAGAGGCTGAGGAGGGAGGATCACTTGAGCTCAGGAGTTCAAGACCAACGTGGGCAACATAGTGAGACCTCATGTCTACAAAAAAAAATTTAACAGGACATGGTGGCCTGTTAGGCCACATAAATGTGCCTGTGGTCCCATCTGCTTGGGAGGCTGAGGCAAAAGCTTCACCTGAGCCCAGGAGATCAGGGCTACAGTGAGCTGTGATTGTGCCACTCCACTCCAGTCTGGGTGAGAGAGACCCTGCTTTTTTTTTTTTTTTTTTAGAAGAAAGAAAATCTTTATTTTAATTGTGTGCCATAGAGACATACCACAGGAGCTCCCCCTTTGCTCTATTAGATGAAGGGCTGATACCTCTTTCTTTTTTTTTTTTAATTATACTTTAAGTTCTGGGATATATGTGCAGAATGTGCAGGTTTGTTACATAGATATAACACATGCCATGGCAGTTTGCTGCACCCATCAACCTGTCATCTGCATTAGGTATTTTTCCTTATGCTATCACTTTCCTTGCCCCCCACCCCTCAACAGGTCCCGGTGTGTGATGTTCCCCTCCCTGTGTCCATGTGTTCTCATTGTTCAACTCCCATTTATGAGTGAGGACATGCGGTGTTTGGTTTTCTGTTTCTGTGTTAGTTTTCTGAGAATGATGGTTTCCAGCTTCATCCATGTCCCTGCAAAGGACATAAACTCATTCTTTTTAATGGCTGCATAGTATTCCATGGTATATATGTGCCACATTTTCTTTATCCAGTCTATCATTGATGAGCGTTTGGGTTGGTTCCAAGTCTTTGCTATTGTCAATAGTACTGCAATAAACATATGTGTGCATGTGTCTTTATAGTAGAATGATTTATGATCCTTTGGGTATATATCCAGTAATGGGATTGCTGGGTCAAATGGTGTTTCTGGTTCTAGATCCTTGAGGAGTTGCCACACTGTCTTCCACAATGGGAAAGGCTGATATTTCAACCTCATCAGTGACTGAGTGTGGTTGGCGTGGGGTTGCAATTTTAGTAAAACTCAGTCAATCTCTGTTTCATTCTTGTGCTTAAGTCATGGCCTTTTTGTTTGTTTGTTTGTTTGTGATTGAAAGCCTGTTCACTCTCTATCTCTTTGTGCTTGCAAGATTGTGGTACTTTCAGTTATGTCGTTTGTTTGTTTGGGGCTTAGTTCTTGGGCCTCACATTGTCCATAGCTTCAAAAACTGGCAGGTGTCTTGATGCCCTGTGTTTGAGCCCGCCTCCTTCCCTCCAGTAGGACTCCCACACACTATGTTGTTGTGAGAACTTTTGCTCTGCCCTTTATTGAGCTTTGCTCTCCAGTCTTCTGCACTGCCCCAGAACTTAGCACATTTTTTTTTCATAGGGAATTCTTGACAAATTAAGGGGTCCTTAAGTTTTCAATATAAATATGTATATGCATGATATACATACTCTTGACATCAAGCTATGCATTGTGTTCTGCAACTTGCTTTTCCCAGTTACACAATATAGTATACATGTCTTTCCAGATCTATATATATGATTCTATTGTATTTTTAAAAGCAACATTTGATCTTCTCTCACTCTCTTTTATTCTCTCCCTCCACACATGTAGCAATTTTTCCATTGATGAAACATAGAGAGTTTTACTTTTTTTTTTTTTTTTTTTTTTTTTGAGATGAAGTCTCACTCTTGTCCCCCAGGCTGGAGTGCAATGGTGTGATCTTAGCTCAATGCAAACTCGACCTCCTGGGTTCAAGTGATTCTCCTGCCTTAGCCTCCCGAGTAGCTGGGATTACAGGCATCTACCACCATGCCCAGCTAACTTTTGTATTTTTAGTAGAGTCGGGGTTTCACCATGTTGGCCAGGCTGGTCTCGATCTCCTGACGTCAGGTGATCTGCCCACCTTGGCCTCCCAAAGTGCTGGGATTACGGGCGTGAGCCATCACACCCGGCCCAATTTTACATTTTTTTTTTTTACTGTTACAAACAGTACCACAGATAATGTGCGTATCTTTGTGAATTCTCAACTTTTTAGAGCTGTGAAAATTTTTAAAGAATTTACTAAGCAATGGCCACTATACTAAGTGCTTTTACATGTGTTAAATTATTTAACTCTCACAACAAATCTATAAGATAGCTGCTACCATTGTTCTCATTTCACAGATGAGAAAGCTAGGCTAAGATAGGCTAGATAACCTGTCTATTACCACATATTTGGTGGATGGCAGAGTCTGGATTTGAGTTCAGATATGTCTGCCTCTAGAATCAAAGAACTTAATACTATGGAATTTTGTATATGAGAGGAATTTGAGAAGTTTCCGGTATGCACTTTCTCAAAATTTCTTATGTTTATTCCCAAACTGCCTTTTCAAAAGCTGTACATAGTCTTTCTATCTATAATTCTGCTCTCTATATAAAATAACAATTCTGGCTTTTGATAAAAGTTATATGGTTGGCCGGGCGCGGTGGCTCACGCCTGTAATCCCAGCACTTTGGGAGGCCGAGGCGGGCGGATCACGAGGTCAGGAGATCGAGACCACGGTGAAACCCCGTCTCTACTAAAAATACAAAAAAAAAATTAGCCGGGCGCAGTGGCGGGCGCCTGTAGTCCCAGCTACTCGGGAGGCTGAGGCAGGAGAATGGCGTGAACCCAGAAGGCGGAGCTTGCAGTGAGCGGAGATCGCGCCACAGCACTCCCGCCTGGGCGACAGAACGAGACTCCGTCTCAAAAAAAAAAAAAAAAAAAAAAAAAAAGTTGTATGGTTAAGCCTTAATAAAAACTTTCCCGAAGGTACATGTATTTCTTTACTTTGACATCTCTACCATTTTGACTCTATGGTAGCCATTACTGCGGCTTATCAAATATTCCCAGATCTTTGCTTTCTGGGTATATGGTAGAATTGTACTTCTACCATCTCTGAATTTAGTATAGTTATATTATTTTCATTGCCCAAAGAAATGACCAGAGTGAGTGATGCGTGTCAAATTCCTGGGGACTCACACTGAACTTATAGTGGAAGCCAGAAATAAACTCTGGTTGTGTTAAGCCATTGAGATTTTGATTCTTTTTGTTAATGCAATGTAACCTAATTTATCCTGACAGATACAGCCTGATCTACAGTACCAATTTGCTGCTTCGTAATTCTCTAGCACAGAAGCATTGCTCTATTCAGGTTCCTTCAGAATACTTTGTATCCTCCTTCCTCTAACTCCTTTCACTGCCACCCTTCTTTCTGTCTTCTAAAATCTTATTTGCTATAGTAATAATGAAGTTATACTTCTTCCAGAAAGCCTCTCCAGACCACCCAAATCTATAAGCAAAATGTAAAAATAAAATAAAATAAAATAAAATATTTATCTACTGGGGCTTTGAATAAAGCAAGACTAAATTTAAATCCGCAGGTTGCCTGTTCACTCTGATGGTGGTTTCTTTAGCTGTGCAGAAGCTTTTTAGTTTAATTAGATCCCATTTGTCAATTTTGGCTTTTGTTGCCATTGCTTTTGGTGTTTTAGTCATGAAGTCCTTGCCTGTGACTATGGCCTGAATGGTATTGCCTAGGTTTTCTTCTAGGGTTTTTAGGCACATGGATGAAGCTGGAAGCCATCATTCTGAGCAAACTATCGCAAGGACAGAAAACCAAACACTGCATGTTCTCACTCAGGTGGGAACTGAACAATGAGAACACTTGGACACAGGGTGGGGAACATCACACACTGGGGCCTGTCCTGGGGTGGGGGGAGGGGGGAGGGATAGCATTAGGAGAAATACCTAATGTAAATGACAAGTTAATGGCCGCAGCACTCCAACATGGCACATGTATACATATGTAACAAACCTGCACATTGTGCACATGTACCCTAGAACTTAAAGTATAATAAAAAAATCTGTTTTCTGACACTAGGGGATTGACTTTGTGCAGGTAATTTGATGTTTTTGAAGCCTGTTGTATTCATTAAAGAATGTTTGCTACAGTAAGAGATAAACTTTTGGTGGCTTATTACAATAGAATTTTTTTCTCTTCTTCTAAGGTCACTAATCACGATCATAATAGAATTTTATTTCTCACTCACCTAAACTCCAACAGCAGGGGCCAGGGGCACTCTGCTCCATGCAGTGATTCAGGGAATCCGACTGAAAGAGCCTCTGTCATCTTCAGCATGTGGCTTCCAGGGTTCTCTGGGGTATGACATAGAGAAGAAGGGAGAGTAAAGGATTATACAGAGGTTTTTTTAGTTGTTTTTTATTTTTGTGATGGAGTCTTGCTCTGTCACCCAGGCTGGAGTGCAGTAGAGCTATCTCAGCTCACTGCAACCTCCGCCTCCAGGGTTCAAGTAATTCTCCTGCCTCAGCCTCCCTAGTAGCTGGGATTGCAGGTGCGTGCCACCATGCCTGGCTAATTTTTGTATTTTTAGTAGAGATGGGGTTTCACCATATTGGCCAGGCTGGTCTTGAACTCCTGATCTCCAGTGACCCACCAGGCTTGGCCTCCCAGAGTGCTGGGATTACAGGTGTAAGTCACCATGCCTGGCCTATACAGAGTTTTTAATGGGCCAGGTCTGGAAGTAGCACCTGTAACTTCTATTGGGCAGGACTAACTGCCAGGAAGTCTGGGAAATGTAGTCTACATGTATGAACAGTAAAAAGAGAACATGAGTTTGTTGAAAGCTTGCTAGTCATTGTTGTATGGAGTTTCTTCTCCCACTGTGTACAAAATGTAGGGACTAAATTCCATCTCATGATTTATTATGAGAATTGAATGAGATGCCATATAGAAAACACTCATACAGTGCCTAGCATATAGTAGGTGCCTGAAAATGTTTTGTTTCCCTACCTTTTGAATTTGTGCCTTTAATTTGGGCATTATATGCAAAATGGCCTCAGTTTATAATGTGACTTTATCACTGAGCTTTCCACTGAGCAAGATCTGATGATGGATGTAGTGCAGGTGTTTAATACAAATCTGGTGGTTGATTGCATTTGCTGAGATGGGGAGAAGGTTGAAACCTGCAGGCTCCAAAAGTCCAGAAGCAACAGACATCAGATAGCATATACTAGGCTCAGCTCTGAGCAGGGAGAAGTGGTTTATTCTAGGCAGAATAATTATGGTGATATGTTACTTCCCTTTTGCAAGATTGCTTGAAGAAGAAAGAGCAGTGGGCCCTGCTGTGACACCAAGACCACAGCAGCTGAGGAGCTATGGGTGTGTGAGGTGAGGCCAGAGAGTAGGTGGGGACAATTCTGCCATAAGAGGAAATGCTACCTTTTGTCAGATTTGACCTCCCTCCATACAGGAACCATTTTAACCACGGGTGAAGGGCTGGCAATTTGTGCGGTGAGGATAAAGGAAGTCCAGGCTCCAACTCTGATGGGGAATTTGAGATGAACAGAAATGACTATGGGTGATATCGCTTGGATTTTCTTCCTTTGTTCTCCTAAACAGGAATTTGGAGCTTCCAGGGTGATATTATTGATGATCAGACCCATGTTGGTTTTGGGAATTTGGCCTCCTGGTGTTCCCTTGTTTTTAGGAGATGTATAGTCAGGAGGAGTCCTCTCCTAGCTCTACTTCTTGACTTTATGACTCTTCACCTCACAGACTGTTAGTGTCTCCATTTAAGTGATGGGAGGAGTGCTATCTATTTCACAAGGCTTGTTGCAAGCAGCATGTAAATAACATATGATATTAAATGCACCACTGTCCTATCTCCTGAACCAGACTTGATTTTCCCCTAGGGTCATTTAGCTTTGAGAGCAGCACGACGATGCACTCAATTACTCAGGCCAGAAATCTGGACATCATACTTGCATTTTCTTCTTTCAACTCCTACATTCTATCAATTGCCAACGGCTGCTGTAAATAGCTCCTTAAGATCTCTGGCCCTCATTCGCCTCTCCATCCCTCTGCCCACACTTTAGTCCAGGCCACTGTTACCTCTTCTCTGGATGACAGCAACAGCCTCCAACAGGCCTTCCTAACCCCAGCGTCTCTCCCGACCAATTTCTTCTCCTGAGTGTAGCCAGAATAGCCTTCCTGAACTAGAAATCCTATCAATTCTTCCCGTTTCAAGCATATGCATGACTCCCCGTGACCCTCTAGAGAAGGTCTGGAATCATTAACGTGGCCTACGGTTCACCTTGTTCCCTGGCACCCTCTACTGCTCCAATGTCCTCTCTCTCTTTGTGCCCTTCATCTTCCCCTCTCACCCCCAGTGCTCTTCTCTCAGTTGTACTCAAGCCCCTCCAGTTTCCCAAACATCCTATCCTGTCTTGTACCTCCAGTCCTTTACCTGGGCCTTCTCCTTGCTTAAAACAGGCTCTTTTTTGCTAGGCTAACTCTTATTCAGTCTTGGAGGGGTAGCTCAGTTGTTCCTTCTTGCCTTGGGACAAACTTTCCTTGGGATACCCCTTCACCTCCTTCCTTGCCTGTAATCATCTGGTTCTTTGTCTGTTTCCCATACTAGGCACAAGCTCCTTAAAGCTAGTACTATCCATAGATCTAGGGCACATAAGGTCTTTAGCTTATAATTGTTGGATTTAATTGAAGTGATTTAACCATATAGAGTCCCTTTTCTGAAAGGCTTCCCAGCCAAAACAAGGTCAGTAACTATGATTATTAACTTCGCAAACACTAACACTATGCTAGGTACCTGCTCTCTCTTTCTGAATCAAACAGATTGGTCTCAAACAGCCTGTTTTCATGTCACTGGAGGCTACCAGGTAGTACTGGGATTGTAGCAGAGATAGCACCCTATTGCTACTAAATTCTTCTAAGTCTCGTTCAAAGAAGGTCTAGTTCTATGTGAATGACTTCCACGGGTCCCCAGGATCCAGAGGCTGAACAAGGTTGTTGGTCTTATCAGAAGGGAAGAAGAGGGCCACAGGAGTCAGCAGGGGGAATTTTTGGAGGGGACACTGTGTTTGTGGACTGTCAACTCTCCTTTCTCTTCCTCTCCTCTGAGGAGGGTGTTTGACTTGTCCTTCTCCTTCCTAAAAAATTGCCAAAGTCGAACTCCTGTTCCCTCACCCTCTTCAACACATTGAATTGGGCCAATTATCTCACTTCTGAAGCCTTTTGAATCCGATGACCTGGGGAGAACCAGAGACCCTGAAGCTGGTGGTGCTGGTTGTGGGAAAGGGTAGGTGAGAGCAGGTGGAAATGAGAGAGGAAGTGTGGGCAGGCTGGGCTCTCAGGGAACTGATAGGGAGTCTCCCGTAGGTACAGTGGGCCCCAGGAAGGTGTCTGGGCTTAAACTTTCTTGCTGGTTCCTCTAAGTGGACCACCAACTGGAAGAAGGGGCTTTTGCAGGCAGAGGCTATATGATGGACCACCCATGGAGGGGAGGGTTGAGAGAAGAGGAAGAGGTCAAGCCTCAGCTGGATCTGCCACACCAGGGGACTGGGTAGAGGGCAATCCCCAGAGAGCCCTTCAGAGAACCATAAACTGCCTCTACAAAAGGACCTGCATCTAAGCACCAGGCCCTAGAGTGAAACAGCCAGTCCCTTCAAGAGGGAGACTAAGAAGCAGAGACATCCCACAAGAAGGGAACTCAACATCACCCCAGCAGACCCCTGTGGGTTTGCTCACATAAGGGAACAGGAGTTATGAGCAATGAAGAGAACAGCCACATCCTCCAGCAACAGTCAGGTGAAGACAAACACCAATTTCCTTCTCCTTCCTTCCCATTCCAACACCAGAGGAGGGTGGCCAGGGAAGAACAATGAGCCAATGGGCCAAGAGTGCACCACATGAAGTGCCCTCTGCCCTAAGCAGCTGAGACCCAAGCACAACCTGGGCAGAGGGGTCAGGGAAAGGAGAACTTTTATGAGATGGGAATTCAAAAATAGATTGGACTAAGCTATAATAATAGAAATGAGACTGTTTTATATTTAAGCTGACTGAGAAGTAGCAAAAATGGACAGAATCATATTTAAGGGAGCCCATTACCCAGAAGCAAGAGAAGGTTGGATTGAGCATGAATTTGCCAAGAATTTGAAAAATAGTCATTTGTGGTTTACATACCAAGCTGAGCATTTCTGAATCCTTCCAACAGTCCTGCAAAATCGGTATTATTATCTTCATTTCCAGATGAAATTGAGAGTCATTTAAGTGACTTGCTAGAGATTGCCCAGCTAAAAGGTGGAAAATTATATCACAGCGTGACAGCCACACAGACTTCAGACAGCACAAAAATAGGAAAAGGGAGGGTGGGATTGTTCCTATCTGGGAGGGCAGTGGGTTTAAGGAGGGTCTTCTGGAGTAGTTAACAGCTGAGTTAGGTTTTGAGTGACAAATAGGAATTTCCCACCAAGGGGGTGGTAAGGACCCCCAGAGAGAGTGAAGGGAACATGTAAAGGCATGAAAATGACAATAAGCTGTGTTTATAGAACAACATACAGTTTATACAGCTGGAATTTTAATAACTATTGCTGAATGTTCCTTCTGACAGGCAAGTTTCATTTTAGACTTTATTTGGCAATATATGGGAGTGCCATATATTTTCTCTGAGCCTAGCCCACCTTGGGTGTTCGGTTAAAAACAATTACCGGCCAGGTGCGGTGGCTCATGCCTGTAATCCCTAAACTGTGAGAAGCCAAGATGGATGGATCACTTGAGGCCAGAAATTCGACACCAGCCTGACCAACACGGTGAATCCCCGTATCTACTAAAAATACGAAAATTAGCTGGGTGTGGTGGCACCTGCCTGTAGTCCCAGTTACTTGGTTGGCTGAGGCAGGAGATTTGCTTGAACTGGGGAGGCAGACGTTGCAGTGAGCCAGATTATGCTACTGCATTCCAGCGTGGGTGACAGAGTGAGACCTGTCTCAAAAACAAACAAACAAACAAACAACAGCAACAAAAAAACTGCCACTTAAATTTCTGGAAAATGGAGTCTCAGCATTTGAATTGGATTCTTTGATTGCCAGTGAAGTTTAAAGTTTTATTATCTGCTTATTGGCTATTTTGTTTTCTTCTTTTGTCTATATATCTTTGCCCATTTTCCACTGGGGTGTTTTTTTTTTTTCTTGATCTGAAAGAATTCTTTAAATAGTAATTTTACCGATAATTTCCCTAGTTTTTGATTTTTTTATCTTCATTTTTGACTTGTGGGATTTCAAAATATTCATCTAGTCAAAATGCCTTTCACTTTATGACTCTACTGTCAGAGTTTTTAGGAAGAGTTCCACCTTTATTTTATTTTATTTTTATCATTTAATAGTCTTCTTTGGGGATAGTTTAAAAATTTTTTTAATTAAAATATTTTTGTTTTAATAGTCTTTGTAGTATAAGTGGTTTTTGGTTACATGAATGAATTGTATAGTGGTGAAGTCTGAGATTTTAGTGTACCTGTCACCCAAGTAGAGTACAGTGTACCTAAAATGTAGTTTCTAATCCCTAACCCCTCTCCTCCTACCCCCATTTCTGAGTCTCCAATGTTCATTATACTACTCTGTATGCCTTTGTACACTCATAGATCTCCACCTTTGTATGTGCAATAGTTTATCCATATTTTCTTCTAGTACTTTTACTGTTTTATTTTTTATGACTGTCTAATATCTTATTTCTCAGTTTCGATAGGTTAGTAAATTGGAAGTTAAGCTTAGCAGAATGAGGGCCGTGTTGTGTGTGTGTGTGTGTGTGCGCACGCACACGTGTGTGTTTGAGCCATGTTCATGACTTTGAGTGCATGCAGTTATGAGTTGTCTGAAGTTTTTCTCTCCCCTTTCTCATTTACCACAAGTTCTCCTCTCAACCCACTTCCATCGGGCTATGGTTCTGAAAAATATTAAAGATGGCTGAAAATTCTTTGCCAATCTCTTATTGAAAGGTGAAGTCTGTTTCCCCTCCCCTTGATTCTGGGCTTACTTTGATTATAGAACCTAGTAGAAACAGTGCTTCATGACTTCTGAGGCTAGCTCATAATAATCCCTGTAGCTTCTGCCTAGGTGTCATGGAATGGTCCCTCTTAGGACACTGCCTTTTAGAACTGAGATGCTACAAGAATCCCAGGCCACATGGAGAGTCCAAGTTTAAACAATCTGGTCCGTAGCCCAAGCTGAGTTCCCATCCAACAGCCAGCATCAAATTCCAGCCATTGAGTGAGCCCTGTTGGATATTCCAATCCGATCAATTCCAGATGACTGTAACTATTCCAGCACACCATATGACACTGGATGGAACAGAGGAACAATCTGTCATCCCACAGAATCGTGAGAGATAATAAATTGTTCTTTTAAGCCTTAACCATTTGTTGATTTGTTACGCAGTGACCACCACATTGAAGTTCGTCTGCCAATGATCTTCTTTTTATCAAATCTGGTGGTCACTTCTTGGCTGTCACCTTGTGTGGACTCCCAACAGCATCATGTTTTGAAACACTCCCTTTTCCTTGGCTTTTCGACTTCCCACGCTCCTGGATTTTTCCCTGCTTTATTGGCTGCCACTTTTCAGTTTTCTTTGCTTTCTCTTTTATTCAACCTCTAAGTCTTGGAATGCCTCAGAGTAGTCAAGAACCTCTTTCTCCATTTATATCTGTACAGTCTCTTAGGTGACCTCATCAGTCCCATTGCTTTACAAATATCTTTGTGTTGATGGCTCCCAAGCATATTGGCTGGTGTTGACTTTTCCCTGGAACTGTAGACTTATAGAGCCCATTGTCTGCCTGACACATCCATCTGGCTATTGCATAGGCATCCCCAAATGTACATAGTGAAAGCATAGCTCTGGATTCTCCCTATACCCAAGACCTCTTTCTGTTGACCTCACCTTGGTAAATGACAACAACAGCTACCCAAATGCTAAAGTCCCCCAAATTAGCTGTTACCTTCATCTCTTTTCCTCGATCCCCACAATCAATCCAGTATTAAATCATGTGGAATACAGTTGAAAAACATAGTTTAAAATAATCAATTTCTCTTGAATCTACATATAAAGATTACAGCCCCACTTTCTCTTGCCTTGGTTCATCCAAACAATCTTTCAACTGGTGTCCTTCTCTCCTCTCTTGTGCCTCTCCAATCTGTTCTCTAAACTCCAGGTAGATTGATCTTTGAAAATATAGCTCAGATTTTGTCACTACCTTGCTTATGTTTAGTGGATTCTAATTGGCTTAAACTCAACTCTTTCTCCTCATGCAGAGCCCTCCATGATCTGGCCTCTGTCTTCTTCTCCGACCTCATCTCCTACTGCATTCCCTCCCATATATTCTTCTTGGATCACACCAGCTTTCTGTTGGTTCCTTGAACACTTCAAGCTCATTTGTACTTTAAAGCCACTGTGCTACTTAATCTTTGTGCCTGCAATTGTCTCTCTCTTTTTATCATCAACAACAATTGTTCCTTTCTACCCACCCCATCACTCCTGATTCCATCACTGAATTTTTTTTACTTCCTCCCCTCAGCTTTATTTTCCACAGCAGACATTTTACACACTCTCCAAAATTAATAAACAACACTTTGTCATATTTACTTCATGCTGTTTTTTTAAAGAAGTAAAATTTTGTAGCCTTTTCCCTTCTTTCCTTTCCAAAGGTAATAACATTCACAAATTTTATGTCTATTTTTATACTTCTACTACATATGTAACTACCCATAAATGATATATGTTATTTTTTGTGTATTTGAAAAAAATGTAGTGTTATTATCCTATACATATTGTTCTATAATTTGCTTTAAAAACAACAAAATAAACGTATTTTTGAGGTCTATCCATGTTGGTATCTATCTATCTATCTATCTATCTATCTATCTATCTATCTATTGTTATATAATTCTATCTAGCTATGCCATCACTGAATTTTTGTTTTCCATGTAGCACTTGGTTTGTTACCAGCTTCCCCCAGTAGAATATTATCTTCATGAGACCAAAGACCTTGTCTGTCTTCCTCGCTATGATGTCTCCAGCACTTCCAAAATAATGTCTGGCATGCAACAGGTACTCAGTGAATACTCATTGAAATAACTCTTCTTTTTAATCTCCTCATCTTTTTTGTCCTCTTTGAGACAGAGGTAAGTAAAATGCTACAATAAATGAGAAACACAAGCGAGTCACCAGGGAGGAAGCACACTAGAGCAAAGTGATATCCTAGAAGCACCATTTTGCCTAACAATATACAGTGACTCTTACAGCCCTCACAATAAAGCCTCAGGAGGTCCACAGCCCAGCTCCACCTACCACTGTGGTCTCACTGGCTGTTGCTGTTCTATGCCAGTCTCTCTCCCCAGTAAACTCGTCTTCTTTCCTAAATAGCCAACTCCTCTCCCTGTGTTCCTATATTTTTCACACTGTTTCCACAACTGAAGTGCCCATTCTTTTTTGACTCAACATAGCCTTCAAAATTCACCTCATGCCCCACCTCAACAGGTTTGCACATCTTTATTGAGCTTTTTTGTCAAGTGAGGGCTTTTCAGTCATGTGAGCTCAGGCAGGCCTCTTAGTGGCAGGCAGGGCAGGTACCACACCTTATGCTCATTTTACAGATGGTCCTGAACTTGGTCTCTAGACAGGTAAAGAAAGTCGAAAGAGGCTGCATTGGGTGAGGGAGATTCTTAGAGTTCATCCCACATCTCTGCACCAGAGAGGGCCTTCTCTCCTTTTCTTTTCTCTCCTCTCCTCTCCTCTCCTCTCCTCTCCTCTCCTCTCCTCTCCTCTCTTCTCTCTCTCCCTCCCTCCCTCCCTCTCTCTCTTTTTCTTTCTTTCTTTCTTTCTTTCTTTCTTTCTTTCTTTCTTTCTTTCTCTCTCTCTCTTTCTTTCTTTCTTTTTCTTTCTCTCTCTCTCTCTTTTTCTCTTTTGAGAGGGAGTCTCACTCTGTCACCAGGTTGGAGTGCAGTGGCATGATCTCAGCTCACCGCCACCTCCGCCTCCAGGGTTCGATTCCCCTTCCTCAGCCTCCTGGGACTACAGGTGCACACCACCACACCCGGCTAATTTTTTTTTTTTTGTATTTTAGTAGAGACGGGGTTTCACCATGTTGGCCAGGATAGTCTCAATCTCCTGATTTAATCTCGTGATCCACCCGCCTTGGCCTCCCAAAGTGCAGGGATTACAGGCGTGAGCCACCGTGCTCGGCCCTTGTTTATTTTTTTTTTATATGGTAGAATCCCATCTAACCAGGGTGAGCTTTTATTTATTTATTTATTTTTTGAGACGAAGTCTCACTCTGTCGCCCAGGCTGGAGTGCAGTGGCATGATCTCAGCTCCAGGGTGAGCTTTTAAAGCCAGCCCATGAAAACCCCTTTGAAAGGCTTAGCTTTGAAGAGCAAACCCATGGGCAGCACAGCCAGTTTTATATCCAATGGGGCTGCTGTTTCTTTCTTTCTGATTTTTTTTTTTTAAGATGGTAGTCTCAGTATGTTGCCAAGGCTGGTCTTGAACTCATGACCTCAAGCAATCCCCCTGCCTTGGCCCTCCAAAGAGCTGGGATTAAATGTGGGGCATTGCCCCTGGCCTGCTGTTTCTTTAGTTGAGCAACTTTGTCCTCTGTTTACTGGGAATACTGTATAAACAACACAAACCTATACCTTTAAATAACGGAATCAGCTTCAGCTCACATTCTTAAAAGAAGCATGGGGTGAGACCCTCCAAGTGTCCAGTAGTGTCACACCTGTTGCCCTGGTGGAACGATAAGCAGACGCCCATGAGATCTGACTTGTTGATTTTGTGTTCTCTCTTTTTGCGTGCCATGTTGGTTGAGATCTTGCCCACTGACTGGTGCATTTTCAAAGCATCTCACATTCACGTAAACATCTCACATTCATGTAAACATCTCACATTCACTTAAATTTGAACATTTTAAAATGTTGAAATCACAGCTCTATACCTCACTGTCTTCTGTGCTTCAGCAAATTGCTGAATTTGCATTATGCAATATTCGTGTGCAATATGTCTTGGAGAAAGTCTGAGGCTCGCAGTTTAATTATTGCTTTGAAGTTCTAGGAGCAGGGGATTTATCACCTTGTGCCATAAATACAAAAGTTGGTGACACATCATTAGAAATATGGATCCCCAGAATTAAATTGTTTTAGCTAAAAAGAATGCTATCAAAATGCTTTAAAAAAGATCCTAACTTCTCAGAGCTTAAGGCTATTATATCAGCAAGGTTGAGAGAAAAAGTTTCTTAATTGAGTAAACTTAAAGAAGCTTCATTAAGTGTGTGGGAACTGAGTAATTAGGATTTTCAATCCCTTGTTAAAATACCCTAGTGCATTTCAGGAGGGGAGTTTTCCTGTGGCAACAGATCAACAGAAAGGACCTATAGGCTTGATGTCATTTTATGAGGTTACTGTATTCAGTTTATTCATTCAGTCAATATTTATGGAGTGCTTATTTTGTGCTAGACAGTATTCAGTATGCATTGGCTATACTATTAACAACATAGGTAGGTCTCCCTTCTCAAGATTATTCCAGTGGAATGGGGCTGGAGATATGTATATAATAAAAAAAAACCCAGCATGATTTTGGAGAGTGGTACATGCTGTGTATGGGCAAAGTAGCAGTTGGGAAGTGCTAGGAACAAAGGATGGGGATCAGGCTTGCTAGGGTTGAGAAAGACCTCTCCAATAAGGGGACATTTTGATGTAAAACCGTAGAACCCTAAAAGCTAGGTTCAAGTACCTGATGCGTAGTAAGCCAAACACTGATACATCAGTGCTTAGGAGCAGAGAAAGTTTTATTTGATTTGGCCGAAGTGTGAGGATGGGAGAGGCAAACTCTCAAATCTGACTGGTCTTTGAACATAACTGGGGGTTTTTGTGAGTAAGGTAGGTATGTGGAAGGCGAGATCCCCAATGATCAAAGCTGCTTGCATCCCTCGGCTGATCAAACTTCTGGATGCCATCAAGGAGATCTGCATGAGCTAAGCATCATTGTTCTTTGAAAGAAAACCAAGTTCATTAATCTTGTGGGCAGCCCCCGGGGTCAATATATGAGGTTTATGAATTATTAGTGAATACTCTCTACCAAAATGACTAAGTGCAAGCAAGCACGCATGGAGGAAGAAAAGAACAAAGATTTTTATAACACAGGCTTGGTTACAATCTGAACTGAGACCAACTAAGGGGAAGGAGTGAGCTATGCAACATTCTGGAAAGGCCGTCATAAGCAGGAAGACAGCAAATGCAAAGTCCCCGAGAATTCCTGGAGAAGGAGGGTTGGCATAGTGGCCAAAGGCAGGTGAGAGTCTGGCAGACAACAGTCAGCAAATCCCCATAGTGGGGATTTGATTCTAATTGCAATGGGAAGCCATTGGAAGGTTTTAAGCAGGAGAATGGGATCACTCATATATAATCATTTTCTGCTTGCTGGATCAACTAATTCCCCTGCAGAAGGACTAAATCAGACATTCTAAATTATATCACAGAGAAAGGATTAAAGTAATACCTAGATCCAAGCCTGACCCTAGAGATTCTGATTTATCAGGCTGTAGAAAATTGGTATGTTGGCCCCTCTCTGGGTATTTCTGGTGTTCAGCCATGATAGAGTTGCCACTGAATTAGATCTTATTTTGCAGTAGGTGTTTACAAGTTGGAAAATGAAGCCCATACATTATTAATTATGTACATTCCTACTTAGATGGGAATGAAGCTTGCAATTAAATAAATGCAACAGAACGATTAAATTAGGAAATTATGCCAGAAATGGGATGCTACTACTGTACTATTTCTTTGTTGAGAACCAACTATATATCTAAGGCATTGGACTAGTGCTTTGTGTATCTGATCATATTTATACTTATAAGAAGCATGGAAGGTAGGTATATTATCCCATTTGGACTACAAAGTCTAAGGTCATATGACCAGAAAGTGTATGGCTGGGCCTTAAGATGAGAAGATAATTGTTGTAGAAATAGGGCATCAGACAGGACTGGTTGGTTCCTTCCTTTTGTACACAGACAGACCCATCATTTTCACATTGTGTCTTGGATTTGAGATAAACTCATACATCCCTAGCCATAATCAATTAGAAAACAGCCTCTCTCATTTCTCAGATGGTCTGAATTTATATCAGTGTATGGTTTTAGAATTTCCAAGCCCTAGACCTTGTAGATTTCATCTCCTGTAAGGACTGAAATATTGCCTCTTTTAGAGTCTCAGTTTTGTTCCAGTTTATGTGAAAAATTCTAGACCTATCCTGCCAGGCTGGGCTTCTTGCTCCTTGTAGGTTATCTCCAAAGATGGGGACTTGCAGGCTCATACTCCAAAGTCCCTGTCATGGCCTATGAGGGCCCCTGCTCATCTCCCTACTCCTCCACTGTTCTCCCCTCTTCACTCCTCTCCCGCTCCCATATCCAGCCGCACTGACCTCTCTGCTGTACCTGGAACATGTTAAGCTTCTTTCCCTTGCAGAGCATTTGCATTTCTTATCCCCTCTCCTTGGAGTGCTTTTCCCCCTGATCTTTTCATGGCTGGCTCCTTCCCTTCATCAGGTCACCTTCTCAGAAATGCCTTCCCTGACCACTGGATCCAAATCATGTCGCTCCCCCAGAATCCTTTATCACATCACTGTAACTTTTTTCCTTCATGGATGTATCATTATCTGAAATTATTTTGATTTATTTCTCAGTTGTTTATTTTCTTGAACAAGGACTTAAGCACTATGAGGGCCAGGATTTTGCCTCTCTTGTGTGCTGCTAATATCCCTAGTGCCTGGAACAGACACAATGCTCAATAAGCATTTGCTGAATGAATGAATCTAATTGTTTTAGGACTCCCCATCTCCCCAGGAGTGTAATCATGTCCTGTACCAAATATTAGGCAGAGTGTCAAAATATAAAGCAAATCAAAATGAGGTGTCTCTACTGAGGCAGTGTCAGGGCATGCCATGTACAGTGAAGGCAGTAACCCCTCCTGCCTCTAGATCCCAAGAAAATACTCTGTGGCCACTCATGGCTCCGTGGACCTCCATTTGAGAACTGCTGCTCTAATTGCAAAGCTAGGAAGGCTAAGACTCTGACAGGGGACAGGGCATGCCTGGGTTCAGTGAATCTGTGGCACAAAGAAGACTGGTGGAGCCCTGTCTTCCTTGCTTCCTCCTTCCCTCCCTCCCTCCCTCCTTTCTTTCCTTCTTTCCCTTCCTCCCTTCCTCCTTTCCTTCCTACCTTCCTTCCTTCCTTCCTTCCTTCCTCCCTCCCTCCCTTCCTCCCTCCCTCCCTTCCTTCCTTCTTTCCTTCCTTCCTTTCTTCCTCCCTTCTTTTTGATGGAGTTTCGCCCTGTTGCCCAGGCGGGAGTGCAATGGCATGATCTCAGCTCACTGCAACCTCCGCCTCTCGGGTTCAAGCAATTCTCTGCCTCATCCTCCCTAGTAACTGGGATTATAGGTGCACAACACCATGCCTGGCTAATTTTTTGTATCCTTAGTAGAGATGGGGTTTTACTCGAACTCCTTACCTCGTGATCCACCGGCCTCTGCTTCCCAAAGTGCCGGGATTACAGGTGTAAGCCACCATGCCCAGCCTGTTTCCTTATTTCTATAGGTCAGGGCTTTATATAGAACTTCTTACTTCCTGACAGTGTTATCCACTTCTTTCATTCCTCTACTCTTTAAATAACTATTTATTGAATACATTATAGGTACTAGGCTTCATAAAGGGGTTCAATTATGTAAGCTTTAACCAAAAGGGTTGCCTTTAGGCAATGGCCCTTAATGTTTCAGGGTCTCTAGCCTTGAGCTTCTCATGTTTTTGTCCAAACATATCAGAAAATAACTTGCAAAAAGTGGTTCTGCATCAGTAGCTCCCCACTTCTTGTTCACCTATGTGAGTAACAGAAGATGCACATTCCACAAATGTGCAGTGGGTCCCTGCTACATGAGAAACATGGGGACGCAGAGATGAAGAAAGCATAGCCTCTGGCTCAGGTAGCTCACAGTCCAGTGGAAGAGGCCAGTGCACATGACAGTGGCAGAGTGGATAAGCAGGTGAGCTAAGGCCTGCCAGGGAGCAAAGAGGGAGAGGCTAACCCAGCTGGGATGTCTGGTCAGAGAAGACTTCTTGGAAGAAGGGGCATTTCACCTGAGTCCTAAACAATGAATAGGAGTTAACCAGAGAAGGTTGAGGGAGGAGAGGGGACTGAAGGTGAGAAGGAGCTGTCCAGATTTTTGGAATATTTCATGTAAAGACATTAAATTGTCCAAGAGCATTTGAGAGAGCTTCAGGTGGCTGAGAGTGCCAGATATTCTAGGAACTGAGTACAAAGGGCTCTGTGGGAAGAGAGGCTCCTGGTTTTATTGTATCAGAATTGATATGGTTGAAGACAAAGATTCCTAGATCAAGTTCCCAAGTTAGTTTTACTCCTCTACTCGATTGACATCATGCCATACCATTCTTTGAACCCCCAAAGCAAGGGCAAAAGTTAGAGGACTAGCAAAGTAGGATCATTCTGCTCCCTCTCTAAATGTGAGTCCAGTGGTATGTGGGACTGGTCCCCTGAAAGGTAGAACAAAGGAAGTCTTAGTTTCTTTGGGTGAGTGTGCATACATTGGGAGTAGTGAGTGTGCAGATATATACATGTGTGTGCATGAATGGGGTAGAGTGTGCGTGTGTGTGCGTGGGGTAGATTGTGTGAATGTGTATGGATGCATGGGGGTTGAATATGTGTGTTTGCATGGGAGGGTGAATGGATGTGTGTGTGAATGTGTGTGCATGCATGGGGTTGAATATGTGTGTATGTATGTGTGTGGGGGTAGATGTGTGTGTGTGTGTGTTTGTGTGCATGCCTGGGGGCACTGAATGTGTATGTGAACATGTGTGCCTGCATGGAGTGTGCTGTAGACTGAATGTTTGTGTTCTTGGTAGATTCACAGGTTGAAATCTTAACCCCCAATAGGATGGTATTAGGAGGAAATTAGGTCATGGAATGTAGCCCTCATGATTAGAATTACTGTCCTTATAAAAGAGACCTCAGACATCTACCTTGTCCCTTTTACCATGTGAGGTCACAACACAAATATGGTCACCAATGAACCTGGAAGGTAGTGGGCCCTTGCTAGAAACCAAATCTGCCAGAACCTTGATCTTGGACTTCCTAGACTCCAGAACTGTGAAAAATAAATTTCTGTTGTTTATAAGCCAACCAACCAATGGTGTTCCCCTTGATAGCATCCCAAATGGACTGAGACTTCTTGAGTTTATGGCCCATTCCATCTTCTGATTTACTGAACACCCACTATGTGCCACTGCTGAGCTAGACACTAAAAGAATATGACATGTCCATATAAGCTTATGTCCATAAGCTTATAGAGAGCAGGGATCACGTCTGTCTTGTCCAGTGCTGGGTCCCAAGTACCTAATATAGTGTCTGGCACACAATATGCACCCAGAAAATTGTTTGAATAAATGAGTAGATGCCTCAAATTTGGTTTCTTTGTGGAATTAAGACACTTGGCATATCAATGATTCACAGCAATAAAAGTGCTTCTGGAGAGGAGAATAGATGTACAAGGTGATCCAGAGAGTTCTGATGACTTCCCTTCCCACCAGCATTTCAGAAAAAGTACTGATTTTGAGTCAGACAGATCTGGCCTCAAAGTCTGTTCCTTCCACTTTCTCTCTGGGTAAATTGGGCAAGTCATTCCCCTTCTCCTAGCTTTGCGTTCCATCTGTAATTTGCTACAGTGGTCCAAACAGCCTAACCCGAGGGGTGAATATGCATGTGTGTTCATGAGGGGCGAATGTGTGTTGTGTGAATGTGTGTGTTTAGAGTGATTGTGTGACATGGGGGTGAATGTGTGTATGTGCATGCATTGAAGGTGAATGTGTCTGTGTTTGTGTGCATGAGAGTGTGTGTGAATGTGCGTGTGTCTGTGTATGGAGGTAAATGGGAAATGTGTGTGGGTGTGTGCATGAAGGGTGAAAGTGTGTGTGTGTCTGTGTGCACAAAGGTGAATGTGTGTTTTGAGTGATTATGTGTGTGTGTTCATGAGGTAAATGTATATATGTCTGTGTGTGCCTAGGTGTGATATGTGTATGTCTATATGTGCTTGAGGGGAGCGAATGTGCATGTGTGTGGTGTGCAGTTGGAATGAGACAAGAGGAGGGCTGGGAGCCAACACAATGAAACAATACCACTTCTGAGGTCCCACTTTGTTCCAGGAGCCAGAGGGTTAATAGTGATTTCACAAAACCAGCATCTTTGGCTAGAGAAGCACCTGGCAGCTTATCTCACTCTCCCTATAATTCTTGTTTCACCCTTGTAGTAAAATTTAAATTAACTTGCTTTGATGGCTTTGAGTCCACATGGCAGGCTACACAAGATAGAAATATGCTCACATTAGCAGAAAAGAAAAAAAAAATACAGGCTCGCCCACAAAAGCTGACTCAAATCATTTGTAAGCTGATACATCCTAAGAGAACTTTTACTTTCCTTCTTGAATACTTTTGCACAAATGGAGAAGGGCATGCAAACATTAGATAGTGTTCAGCCCATGGAAATAGAATTCTGGGATAAAGATAATAATAATAGATAACATTTACAGAGAGCTTAGAGTGAACTAAGCTGTTTACATGTGGGGTCTCATTTAATGCACACAATAATTGAATGAGGAGGCATAATTATCCTCATTCTCATTTTACTAATGAAGAGGCTGAGGCTCTGAGAGATTGCCCATGGTCCTGCAGCTGGTGGAACTTAAGAGATCATCAGTTGCTTGCCCAGAGATACTCAGCAGATAAGGAGAGGAGTGAAGAGCAGAACCGCAGTAGTTTGACTCCAGTCCTCGACCTCCCAAGGTGTATCCACTGTTGAACTTTCTCTAAGGTTTGCAATCACTGTGGGGATCCATTTGGAAAGAAGCTCACTGCTTGTTTTTTAATGGACTGGGGTGAATATTTATCTTCAGAGAAAAATCCTCAAGGATCTGCATTTTTCTGAGACTTTGGTTGTGGAAAGGTCTGTGAAATCAAGTGCCTGGAATGGTTTCTGTGTTGGAGCTGGTAGATTCTGGCATTCTCAGGAAATCCGAGGTGCATGAGTTCCGGCTCCTACTTCAAGAGAAAGACCAATTGGTCTTCACTGGTTAGGTCATTCACCAACTCCCACTTTGGCTTGGTGCTCATTGTATCTGGGCCTTGTTGGGAGGCTGAGCTCTTGGATCCTAGTTATCAGAATGCAGGCCATTCTTGAGTTTCTGGCCCATTCCATCTTCTGATTTACTGAACACCCACTATGTGCCACTGCTGAGCTAGACACAAAAAGAATATGACATGTTCCCTGCCTTTATGGGACTCACAGTGTAGTGGGGGTGACAGATGCAGACACTAAAAATTTGACTACAGTATGGCTACATAAAATGATAGGGAGGTACTTGTACAAGCTCAGAGAAGACCTCCAACCTGTTGATGGCAGAGGAGGGGAAGGAGGATGTCAGGAAATGCTATAAATGACATCTCATCTGAGACCTGAATTAAGAGAAGTTGGCTAAGTGAAGAGGGGTGTGTGTGTTTGAACATTAAAAATGGGAAGCAATGTGCAAAATCAGAGCTAAGTAACTCAAGCGGACTGCAATACAGTTTGCAAAGGGAGAGTGGTGGGAGGTGAGACAGAGGTATACATGAACCGGATCATGCAGGCCCATTCCTGAGAGGAGATGGAATTTATCCTAAGGGCAATGGAGAGTGACACTGAAATATTTCTCTTTCAAACCAATCATTGACTGCCATGTGAGGGCCTCACTGGAGAGGTCAGACTACAGGCTGGCAGTCTGCCTAGGAAGCCATTGCAGTGGTAGGACTGCAACTAGTATGGAGGAAATGAAATTGCTCTCGAAATGGATGGAACAAAGAAATGATAAGGCAGGGTTCCATCCATGTCTTGAAGAAATCTGCAGATTAGAGTGTGAGCCTCTTGATGACAATGTCAAGGTTTTCTTCTTTTTAAAAACTGGTGTGCAATTTACATGGAGTAAAATGCATAGATTTTAAGTGCAGGGTCTAATGAGTTTTGATAAATACATATATTGATGTAACCCATATCACTATTGAGATATAGACTATTTTCTTCATTCCGTAAATTTCCCTAGTGTGCCTTCCCTGCCAGTCCCTGCTCAGAGGATAACATTGTTCTGATTTCTATTCTGATTTTTATCACTGTAGATTAGTTTGGCCTATTCTACAACTTCATATGAATAATATATATGCATTCTTTTGTGTGTTGCTTTTTCATTTAACATGATGTTTTTGAGATTCATACATGTGGTTGCATGGTGAGTAGTAACCTACTGTATAAAATACTGCAGTGTGTTTATCCATACTCTTGTTGATGGACATTTGGGTTAGTTCCAGATTTTGGCTATTACGAATGATTCTTCTCCAAATATCCCTTTTGGGGATATATATTTTAATTTCTCTTGGGTAATATCTAGGATTAAAATTGTTTGGTCTGGGTGGTTATATAAGGAAACTGTACAAGAAGCTGCCAACAGTTCTCCGGTGTGGCTGTACCATTTTACATTCCCTCCAGCAACGTGTGAGAGTTCCAAATGCTCAGTGTCTTGGACAATATTTGCTGTTGTCAGTGTTTTAAATACTAGCCATTCTAGTGGGTGTGCTGTGGTTTCTCATTGTGGTTTTATTTGTATTATCCTAATGACTAACAATCTTAAGCAATTTTTCGTGTGCCATTTACATATCATCCTTGGTGATGTATACGTTTAAGTCTTTGTCCGTTTTTGCTTTGGATTATATAATTTTTAAATTTTTATTTATTTATTTTTTTTGAGACCGAGTCTCACTCTCTTACCCAGGCTGGAGTGCAGTGGTGTGATCTCAGCTCACTGCAAACTTCACCTCCCGAGTTCAAGTGATTCCCTTGTCTCAGCCTCTCGAGTAGCTGCGACTACAGGTGTGAGCCACCACGCCTGGCTAATTTTTGTATTTTTTAATAGAGAAGGGATTTCACCAGAGTTCGAGGCAAGGTTGTTCTCGAACTTCTGACCTCAGGTGATCCACCCGCCTTGGCCTCCCGAAGTGCTGGGATTACAGGTGTGAGCCACTGCGCCTGGCCAAGGACTGTATGACTTCTAAAGATTGAGTTATAGGCATTCTTTTTATGCATTCTGATGTCTAATTTATTAATTTTTCTTTTATAGTTAGTGTTTCCTGTGTCCTGTCTAAAGGATCTCTGTCTATCTCAAGGTTAAGAAGATATACTCCTTTGCTTTTAGCTTTTGTTTTTACGTCTATAATCCATTTCAAATAATTTTTTTGATTCATGATGTGAGTTAATATTTTTCTAATACATATCTAGTTGTTCCTGCATCAATTATGGAAAAGACTTTCCCCTTTGAATTATTTGGCCCTTTATCAAAAATCAATAAAAGGTATAAATATAGGAGCATTCTTGGACTCTTTATTTTATTCCACTGAAATATTTATCTATCCTTGTGTCAATACGAAACTGCCTTGATTACTATAGCTTTACCATAAGTGTTGAAGGCAGGCAGAGTAAATCTTCCAACTATATTTTTCTTTCACAAGATTGTGTTGGTTATTTTAAATCCTTTGCAATTTCTTATGCAGTTTAGAGCCAACCTATCAATTTCTATTAAAAAAAAGTCTACTGGGGTTTTGATTTAGATGGTAATGAATTATTTATTAATCAATAACAGACAGAAATGACATCTTAGCAATATTGAGTTTAGCAATCCAAAAAGTGGTAAATGTCTGCACTTTTTTTTTTTTTTTTTTTCTTTTGAGACGGAGTCTCGCTCTGTTGCCCAGGCTGGAGTGCAGTGGCGCCATCTCGGCTCGCTGCAACCTCCGCCTCCCAGGTTCAAGCAATTCTCCTGCCTCAGCCTCCCGAGTAGCTGAGACTACAGGCAAGTGCCACCACACCCAGCTGATTTTTTGTACTTTTAGTAGAGACCGGGTTTCACCGTGTTAGCCAGGATGGTCTCGATCTCCTGACCTCGTGATCCACCCACCTCAGCCTCCCAGGTGCTGGGATTACAGGCATGAGCCACCGCTCCCGGCCAATGTCTGCACTTTTTAAGGTCTTAAGTTCTCCAAACATTGTTCAGTAATTTTCAGTGTAGAGCAGGGGTGGGCAAACAATTTTTTGGTAAAGGTCTAGATAGTAAGTATTTAAGCTTTGTGGCGAAGAGGCAAAATAGAAGATATTGGGTAGACTCTCATATAACAAGACAGAAAACAAATTTTCACAATTTTATTTTGATGAAATAAAAATATCGACTGCATTTTTTGGTATCTTTCTGTTATACCCTTTCAGGTTCTCTCCATTTTCACCAAGACGTTACTAAAACTAAGGTTTACTTTCACTCTAAAACCATTATATCCCTATGCTCTCAATCTAACTCATTAAACTATCACACAATTAGAGTTAATGAGTTAGATAAAAATTAAAATGCTTAAGGTTGCCACAATGAAAAATTCATGTGTGCTGAAAAGGCAGCATCAGAGAAACTCTATTAAGGAGGAAAAACTGTAGATATATTCTGGCTTTAAAGATAGTTTGGTAATGTGGTTTAAGCTGCAGTATTTTTATATTTTTAATATATTTCATAGCTTTAATAGGTCTCCGGAATATAATTTACATGTTTTGTAGAATGGTGTTATTTATATGCTTCAATTTTGACTTCAAATTGAAAGTCTTAACATTTTTAAAAGACTCACTATAATTAAAAATTGTAAAGCAATTCAATGTAAACAGTTCAAGATGTATAGTATCTAAATGTCTTCCTTTCAGTAGGCTATTTCTCAATTAAGTCTTCCTTCATTCAGCACATTTTCATTATGTGCCCACTATTAGGTTGGTGCAAAAGTAATTGCAGTTTTTGCCATTACTTAAAAAAATGGCAAAACTACAATTACTTGTATACCAACCCGATATATGCAAGGCACTGGGCCAGGTGCTGGGAGTCAGCAGTGAGAAGGCAGATATGTTACTACTACCTTAAAACACATTAAAAGAAATAAAAAATAATGCAAGAGTCTATGAAGGAAACAAAAGAGATGCAGAGCTCTATGTAGAGTGATCTTGGAAAGTCACACTAACGAGGTCATCAATGAATTGGCTGACTTTGAATAACTATTGGTGAAAGCATGGATGAGAAGGACAGTCTCAACAAACCATCTGAGACAACAGCAGACTCATTTCAGATTGCTTATGGCAATATGGACTCTAGTTTCATTTCCTTTCATTCAGTCTTAGAAGTTTCTATATGTAGCTGCTGAGCTGGAACTAATATGTATTGTTGCTGTTGAGCTGTGCTAACTGCTGAATTTTTAGTTCATTCGTCCCCTGAAAGAGCTGCTGCTGGAAATCGTGGTCAAAAGGGCCTGCTGCAGTAGCTTCTGAAGAGTCATTGGTACCTAAATACCACGATGGTCAAACTGTAAGGAATCCAGAGTACCTCGTTCCAGAGCATACTGATTCTGAATCTCAGGATCTGAAAAGTCTTCTACTAGTGGTTTATTAGCTGTAGAGTTAGGAAGAGACCCTAATCTATCTGGGGGATTATTCTGGACCCCAGATGCTCAACTACTTCGGTTGGAGAGACATAACAACTTCTAGGAGTACAATGAAAATCTTTGTAATTAACATCATTCTATTTCTTTGGAAAGTGTTGAGTTTCCCCCCCACCCCTCCCCTTGGTGGGGGTTGGTCCTTGGTTTAAGGACTTGTTGAAATGGGACTAAGGTAGTGTAGCACAGCCTACTCCTAATCATGGCCTTTTTAGGGTCTCAATGAATGCCTGTGGTTACAGTAATCTTTTTCTACCCTGGCTTGTCATAATTCCATCTTATTCTAATAGTGTGAGATCTCTGTAATCCCCATTCAGTTCTTGGGCCCCCGCAGCTGTTTTCTGTGAGGCTTCTGCACTTGCACAGTTTAACATTCAACCAAAGGGACCTAAGTGAAGATTTCTGCAGTTTCTCTGCATAGCATCCTTCTTTCCTTTATTCTTTGCCACAAATTTCAGCTATTGCAATAACACCAAAACCTGTTATATATTTCCCCAACCTTGTAAGATTGATGCTGTCTGTTTGGGCTTACTTTCCTGTGTCACTGGCAATTTTACAGGCAGAAAACTGAGGTAAATATGGAGTACATCTCACATATTTTCCTTCTGTCAAAGATTGTAGCCCTATGTTATCTGTTGTCTAATGTCCAATTTTATAGTTGTTATAATAAGCAGGCAAGTCCTGTAGCCATTGCTCTGTCTTGGCTAGAACTGGGAGTTCCAATGTTTTCTTCATCTTTTTTTTTTTTCTCAGAACTTAGAGTAGTTCCTAGAACTAGGTGCTTGGGGTTAGTTGAATGAATACACAATAATTTTGTTATGTTGACCTGGATAAGGGCACATGGCAAAGCAAAATGTAGTAGACCCCTGGTCTCTGGTCTCTTGGTGTGGGCTATTCTATGCTGCATCACACAGGGCTTCATTTTCTTCTCTGTGGTTCTGAATTGGGGATCACAGTTCACTCAACATGTACCTTTGTGGATAAAAGCCTTAAGTTCCCCATGAATGACTTTTCCCCCCTCCTTTATAAAATTGACACCCATGCTTGTGATGAAACCACATTTAACCTTTTGGGATTCACTTTGCACTTTGGGGGACTGTGGGGGAAGCACACAGAAATGTCTGGAATTTTTTCAGTACTATCTTCTTAGCTTCCTTCTTCATTTAACAAAGCCACAGAACATGGCTTAGATCATTTGTCTGATAAAATGCGGAGCTACTTTCCTGGTTTCTTGAATAATTCTGTTGATTAGCCAGGTCCTCTTGGGGCAACTGTTTATTGGCCTACATTCTTTCAAGTTGATGCTGAAATATTGATTTTTATTTAACTCACTTTCTTAAGTGACTTAAATATAAATTAAGTGGCTGCAGGGGGAAGTGGGGTACAGTTTAAGTGGCTGCAGAGGGAAGTGGGGTTAGAAGCTTGTGTCGGTCAGAAATGTGGACCCTAGAAGGAAGAAGGCTTTTGAAAGCTAAGTTCTATTGTGGATGAGATGTGCAACACTGGCCAATTTTCTCAAGCTCTCTGAACCTCAGTTTCTTTAGGTGTAAAATGGGAATAATAATACTTATCTTCTATATAAAGTTGTATTAGTCTCTTCTCACACTGCTATAAAGAACTATCAGAGACTGGGTAATTTATAAAGAAAAGAGGTTTAATTGGCTCATGGTTCCACAAGCTGTACAGGGAGCATGGCTAGGGAGGCCTCAGGAAAATTACAACCATGGTGGAAGGCGAAGGCGAAGCTGACACATCTTCATATGGTGGAGCAGGAGAGAGACCGAGAGCGAAGGGGGAGGTGCTACACACTTTCAAACAACCAGATCTCGTGAGAACTCACTCACTGTCATGAGAACAGCGAGAGAGAAGTTCACTCCCATGATCCAATCACTTCCCACTAGGTCCCTCCCCCAACATTGGGAATTACAATTCCACATGAGATTTGGGTGGGGACAGAGACCCAAACCATATTAATAATTAAATGAGTTAACAAGGGTAAAGCACCTAGTGCTGTACTTGCCTCAAAGGAGGTTCTCAATAATCTTGTGAATATTCCTTTCTTTTCTTTTCCTTCCCTTCTTTTTTCCTCCTCTTCTTCTCTTTCTCTCTCTCTTTCTTTCTTTTTTCTTTCTCTCTCCCTCTCTCTCTTTCTGTCTTTCCTTTCCTTCTTCCTTTCTCTCTCACTCTCTCTTTTTCTCTTTGTTCTCTTAAAGAGGTCAGGGAAGAGAGGAATAGTATGTTTTATTACAGTGTTTAACAACATGGTTTTTGCAATCAGCCAGACCTTGGTTTAAATCTTGGCTCCACAGCTCATTACCTTTGGGACTTTGGAAGAGTCACAGCATATCTTCAACCCTCAGTCTATTTAGCTGTAAAATGGAGGTAATGATTTCTGATTGATAAAATTATTGTGAGACTTGAATAAAAACTGAGTAAATGAGAAGTGGCCACCTAAACCTGTTCCATGGCAGGTGCCCAGGAGTTCTGTCTTCCAGTTTAGCTGTGGGTCAATCCCAGTTGTCATCCTACGATCAGCTACTTGATAGGTCTAGGTCCTCCCATTCTGAGTCCCTCTCCTTTCTCCTCACTAGGGAAAGTTTGTCTGGGGTGAAGATGTGAGTGTAAACTGGATTTATATTTATTCAAAACCATAAATGATTAAAATGCATTTTGCAGATTTGGGTTGGAACTTCCCCTTCCATTTTCCCCAACCTGCTTCCACTTCCCATATAAAGCCTGTTTTTGCTCTGGGTGACATCCTTGGGAATAGGAAGGATTGAATAAAAACTGGAAATTGGAAGACAAATGTATATAGGGAAGGAATCCAGATACAAAACTATGTTGAATAGTTTGTCCCACAAACATTTATTAGAGTTCAGCTGATGACAGTTCCTAAAAGTGAGTAAGACACCATCAGATGGGGGAAAGACAGACGATCAGACAACAAGCCCGAGACAGGGGATGGGGAGGGTTCCTGTGAGAGTCCCTGCATGAGGCATTCAGGGTTGGCTCCGCAGATGAAAGGACAGCTGAGCAGAGTCTTGAGAAATGACTAGCAGTTCACCACGGGGTAGGGGAGGGCAGGCATTCTACCCAGAGTGCTTTAATCAGGGGTGCTAGGGCAAATGTGTACCAATTTACAAGAAGGGAATATTAAATTACCAGGAGTTTTGTGAGCTGGTCATTAAACACAGCCATAATAAAATTAAATTACATAAACCTACATTTATATAAATTATATTACAACAAAGGTAATAAATACTCCAAACTTGTCACTTCTTAGTTATTACTACATTATCCATTATCTATCCTCTTGTGGTTGTAAATATCTATTGTATCCATATGGCTGAAATACATCCTTTCTGAACTCACTGGCAACACATTGGTTGCTTGTAATTGGTCATGGTGGAAATATTTACAACACAGATAGCAACAAATGGTGCGAATCAGGGCTTTATTTTGGAGAGCCGGATGTTCAACATTTATTAGCACATCACTGCCTCTATAACATAGGCAGAGGGGACATGGGAAACCAAATGAAGCAGAGAGGTTGGTAGGGACTGGATCAGGAAGGGCTTTGAATGCCAAATCCAGGAGCTTGGATTTCCCTCTAAAGATGATAGGAAGCTACCCTGGCCTTTCGAAGAAGGAGAGTTCTATGAACTGTTTTTGTAATAGCAAGACCACTGTAGTTGCTGTAGAGCAGATGGACTTCAGTGGGCTTCACTTGGTGCAGGGAGACCAGTGAGGAGGCTATTGACATAAAGAAGGAAAGAAGGGGTCTAATTTGAGACTCAGGAGTTGGCCTTAGTGAGTGATTAAATGTGAGGGATGGGGAGAGTGGCCAGCCTAAGATGACCCAGGGTTCTGTCTTGGGACACTTGGTGAAAGATGGTGATGCCTCAGAAGTACAAGTGCCCATGGGCAGATGGACAGAGTGTGACAGTGTCCTGGAGAGAAGGGAAGGGCAGATCCCAAAGCATTCAGACCTCACTCCTCAATTCCTGCCTTTATCAGACTCGTAAACACAGGGATTTATTTTTGCTAGACTCGCAGAGTGGGGTCTCTCTGACCCTTTTGCTCATGGACTGAACGCCTAAGGCAGCATCATGGGACTAGAAGCATGGTATTGGATTTGGTCAGATCTGGCTCAGTCCCTTTATTCCTATGAATATGATGGCTTCCTTTCTGAGCCTTGATTTATCTTTTTGTAAAATGGGTATTCTCATCCAGACCATACTTTCCTCCCCATGGAGCTCTTGAAAGAAGGGACACATGCTGGTAATTTTCCTTATCCTTATGATGTCAGATCATGTTTGTTAGCACAAGGGCAAAAACCAGGAAAACTTCCTGGCACACAGGAAAGCAAAGTCTATTTGGGCGTCATTCTTGAAAAACAGTAGGGAGTGCCAAGGACAACGTTGGATCTTCCTGTAGTGGCTGCAGGAGAAAAGTTTTCCATTGAGAGGCTGGAGTGGAGCTCTAGGGATTGGTGGGGTTGTCACCAGCCATACCAGTGCATTCTAAGGCACAAGTTGTTTGCTTTGGCCCAGAAACAGCTGGCAGTTGGCCAGTGCCCAGCCACCTTGTCCTTTGCCCATGAAGGCTCTAGTAATTAGCAATATTCACCGAATGAATCACAGTTGCTATCAGCCAGTAATTGTGCTATGGAGTCATGAGTCTAAATGTTAACTAAATCAAACACGCTGTGCAGAGTGGCCTTAGAGAGGCCTTCACTGAATCACTGACTTGGAAATTGGGTCCTATTTTTGTTCTTTATCTTTACAGCCTGTTTTTCTCCTTTAGATCACTTATCACAATAAGTTTTTGCACAGTAATTCCTTTATTGTAAACCTCCCCATTCCCCTCCAACTTCAACCCAATAGCATGGAAGTTTTATGAGTTTAGTAGCTATGTTTATTTCATGTGTAGCCCTTGGCATTGAGGGTCCTCATTAAGTAAGAGTTAGATGAATGAATAACCAAGTCTCCAGACCTTCATGTGCCATTCTATTATGATCTTATAATTTCTATAATTTGGTGTTGCTTCTTTAAATGTAGAAGAGAAGAAATAGAGACAGCAGAATTTTCAGGTAATTTTCTGATGAGGGACCAGGTACCTTTGTGGGTTTCATCTCATTTTATCCTCACAAGGGTGTGGTGAGGCATGTACTACTTTTTAAAAAATTTTTTTTCAAGTATTTCATATTTTTTGAGAAGCTTTCCTTCTGGTACCCATGAGCTTTTAGTTTACAGCATATAAACGTTTTAATGTCTTTATTTCCAAAACACAATACATTGCATTGTCTAAAGCATTCTTAAACCTTGGCATGTAGGAATAGCTTTATTCTGCTCTCATGCAATGGATGAATTGTGGTTTATATAATTAACAACTAGAGTGTCAAACTCAATGGGTATAACTGTGTACTGGGGAAAAATCAACAACAAAGGGATCAAGTCCACTGAGAACTTTTAAGAGATATCAAAAAATATTGTATTGGTACTAGAGTTCTCATCTTGACATGGTCACTGGCCAGGTATGTGACTCGCAACATGTGCTACTTTCATTCCCATTTTGCAGATGAAGAAATTGAGTCTCAGGTAGATTAACTCAGCTCTCTGAAATCTCATAGGTAAAAAGTGGCAGAACTGAAAACATAATGCGCATCTATCTAGCTTCAGGGCCGTGCTTTTTCTCTCATGTGGCAGTGCTTTGAAAACTGCAATTCTCAATTCTGGCTGCACACTGGAATTACCTGAGAGGTTAAAGAAAATATATCATTGTGTGCCATGCATGGTGGCTCATGCTTGTAATCCCAGAACTTTGGGAGGCTGTGGTGGGAGGATTGCTGGAGGCCAGGAGTTTGACACCAGCATGAGCAACATAGAGAGACCCTGTCTTTATAAGAAATTAAAAAATCATCCAGGCATGGTGGTGCATGCTGGGTAGTCCCAGCTGCTTAGGAGGCTG
This sequence comes from Homo sapiens, assembly GCF_000001405.40. Taxonomy (NCBI): domain Eukaryota; kingdom Metazoa; phylum Chordata; class Mammalia; order Primates; family Hominidae; genus Homo; species Homo sapiens. The sequence continues at coordinate 114,781,011 of NC_000009.12, forward strand.
AGGTGGGAGGATTGCTTGAGGCTAGTAGTTGGAAGTTGCAATGACTGCACCACCGTACTCCAGCCTGGGCAACAGAGAGAGGAGTGAGACCTTATCTCTCAAAAAACCATTGTCTGTCTTCCATCATTAACGATTCTGCTTTAATTAGCCTGGGGCATGACCTAGATACTGGGCTTTTTATTTTATCCTAATCCCTGTTCCCATCAATGTGCAGTCAAAATTGGGGACTATTGGGCTGAAAGGTAATGAGATACACATGGAGTTCATCAAGTATCTTTCCTCCGGAGCAGCCACAGCAGAGCTTACTGGGAAAAGCTTTGGTGATGGTGCTTCATGGTTCCCTGGGGTAGATGCACAGGCTGAAGAGGAGGGGCTTTGGGTAAGATGCCCCTTAAAAATTGAGACCTGACTTACCTGGGAATGCTCAGCTGGTTACTGTTTAGCTGGAATCCTAGAAATTTTGGGCTGAGAGTGAAAGTGGCATTCCTTACTGAGGCCCAAAGAAGTTAGATGACTTACTCAAGACCACACAATGGTTAAGAGGCAGAGATGTGGGCAAACCTGAGAAGCAGAACAAGACAGTTGATGAGAGGCAGGAATAACACGGACCGATGGGTTCAAATCCACGTTTATCATTCTGGCTGTGTGGCTTTGGGAAAGTCACTGTGCCTCATTGAGCCTCAGATTTCTCATCTGCAAAATCACCGTGATGATAATAGTACCTGCTCTCCAGGGTTCTGTGACGAGGAGAGGAAAATGTATTTGCTAAGCGCTTAGCACAGTGCTTGGCCTGGGGTAGGTGCTCAAATCTTTCTGTGGTTGACAAAAGCAGAATGGAGAATAGAGACAAAGGCAAAATGGGCACCAGAGGCCAAGTTGGGTGGAGGGTAACATTGCAGAGGATCCTGAGGCCAGTGGAGAAGGGAAACCCATGATCACAAGGTTGGTAGCTGGAGCTGGTCTGCATGTGGCCAGAGCTGGGGCTCCCCAGGTTGGGCAAGAATAGCTGACATGATAGTGGTGGTACCAATATTTCTGTTAGAGGAACCAGGAATGGGGGATCAAGCAGGACCTGCATTCTAGCAAGAGGACATCCTTGGATCCCTTTGGGGTCAGTATGCCTGATCAATGGTTACTCTTTTGAATAGAAGACCCAGTCATCCTTTGCAGATTTGATGGCTCATTCCTGGGAATGCCACCTCTGTAAGAGTAGATGTGGCTTATTGACTTGGAGCCAGGAAATCCACCTTTGATTAAGGATTGCTTTTTTTTTTTTTTTTTTTTGGATACAGAGTGTTACTCTGTAGCCCAGCTGGAGTGCAGTGGTGCGATCTTGGCTCACTACAACTTCTGCTTCTGGATTCAAGTGATTCTCTTGCCTCAGCTTCCTGAGTAGCTGGGATTATAGGCACTGCCACAACACCTGGCTAATTTTTGTATTTTTAGTAGAGATGGGGTTTTGTCATGTTGGCCAGGCAGGTCTTGAACACCTGACCTCAAGTGACCTGCCTGGCTTTGGCCTCCCAAAGTGCTGGAATTACAGGCGTGCGCCAGCACACTCTGCCCTTGATTGAGGATTAAATGAGATGATGCAGGTGAAGTGTTCAACACTGTAAATGCTCCCAAATGTTTGCTGCTCTTATTCACTATTGATAATGAATTCAGCAAGGGGGACACTTTTATCCTGTCTGACTTGGAAACTTGGTTTAACTGATTCTTCCTGGGCAAGTGGACTTAATCCCTCAGACCTCATTTCCCTCATCTGTAAAACAAGAGGATAATGCTAATCTCATTGAATTGTGAAATAAGATGAGTTATGTGATGAGTTGAGCTCAATGCCTGACATGGCCTAAGAACACAGGAAACACTAGCTGGTGTAAGGACTGGTATTAAGGTCCAAAATGAACCTGTGAGGATGGCATCCTTGGCTATGCAGAATGGAGAGTGGGCCACCAAGCCCCACTGAAGGTTAGAGAGACCAGGTGGGGAGAGGAGGAATGAAGTGCTGTCAAAATGGGACAGCACTGGTGGACCTGGGAGTTCACAGCTCAGTTCCAGTTACCTTTCTATTTCCTGCACTGAAGAAGTAAAAAGTCCCCATATATCAGCTGGAGAGCTTTGCAGTCTAAGGTACACGGGGGAATTTTGCTTTCTCTTGGAGAAACCTCTTGGCTTCTACCACATACCTGAAAAAAGGGAGCTTATTTGAAACTCAAACACTACAAGCACAGAATTATTGAGACCTGCAAATAGAAGGGAATTTAGCTCACTTCATCCACTTCTCCTCCAGATTCTCAGAGAAGGAAACTGAGACCTGTTGAAATGGTTGTTCAAGGCCTTAGAATTTGCCAGTTTGGCAGACCCGGGCCTGGAGCCCAGGACAGCAGACTCCTGATCCATTGCATCTTCTTCAGTTCCATCTTGGGCATTCTTATTATGGCTTATGATGAAGGTGATGATGATGTGTGCATGTTGTGGAGGGGGAGTGGAAGCAATGAAAACAGGAATAGTAGTCAGAACGTCTAACAACCAGTGTGGTATGAGCATCCATTAATCAGAATCACATCTAACAAATCGGAACAGACGCCACCTGTGTGCGTCCTAACTGAATGTTAGCTGGGGTCTGGTTGGACACTAGATATCCCCTGTGGACAACTGGACAAACATCAGGAGAGACCAATGGATAGTTTTTCTCTTTGCTCTGAAGTTCTTAGGCATGGAGGGTCCATTTGAGAATTAGTTGAAAAAGTTGTCTTTGGTGACTTAGATTAAATAACTATCAATGTTTTTCCTCTAGAGAACTGGCACTATGACTTTTGCAGATACTTGGTTTTTAATAAATTCAGGGCAAATAATTCACTTCTCTCCCCAAGTGTAAAAATATTTTGTTCTTATCACCCCCAGGAATAGAGTGAGAACTGAATTTCAGAAGGCCATCAATACATCCATTCTGATTCCCCACTGGGAGGGAAATTTTTGAGTCTGATGTTTTAGAGGAAAGCCTTACCCCCTCTCCCTTGAAGTTTGATTCTACATACAACTATCAGGTGGAAACAAATGAAATTTCTGGCATGTGACCCCTTTTGACCTTCAGAAATGGCAATTTAGTATGGTTCAATCTAATATTATTGACTGAGCACCAACAGGGACCCCAGCTACTGTGCTGGAAAACAGAAAGTGATGGATGTGTTGAATCCTCTTGATTCCCGCGGATTGCTGTTTTGATGCAAGGCAGACGGTGTAGTGTCAGAGAGTGACCTGGATCCAAATTCGGGCTCCTCCATGTACTAGCATGGGTCTTTATGGCCTCTCTTTCTTTTTCAGGGATGTTCAATGTGAGATTAGGCTACTCAACTACAAAGTCTTCTAATTCATGAAAGGAACCCTGTAGATTCTCTCCTTCCCTCCCTTTCCCTCATCTGACTAGAATGACACCATCTGTGGTGTTCAGTTTAAGGTTTATTATAATCTCAAGGTTTTAAGGTTTATTATAACTATGAAAGCCAGTTGCCATTTTGCAGCCAAGTACATGGAGAATTAGAAGCATTTAAAAAAAAAATCCCAAGAGGTTACCCTTAGACTTAATCTAGAAAGAAAAACAAAGGAACACATTAACAAAAGAACTGACAGTGTGAAAATTCTTCAGTCTTCAATGCCAGTTTATTAAGTTACATCTATTAAATATATTAACACATACAACATTTCATTTACAGAGATTAGAATTCATACACTAGTACCCAAAGACATGGGATGCATACCAGTTAAGTACGTATCCAACAACATACAATATGCATTTTACCTTGCGGTTGATGTTTTAACATAAAACATAAAATCAATGAAAGCACATGGGGTTTGTCACTAAAACCACATAAACACCTACACTTCTTCAATCTGTACACCCCTGAAACAAAAAAAGGGGAACATTACATGCTTTAATGACTTTAAGAATAAAATCATTTGATGAAGTTCAGCTACTTTATTTACTTGGCACTGTGTGTCTTGTTCCTCCTGAATGTATACACTGTGAGAGTAGGACTTGCCTGTCGCATTCCTTCTCAGCTCTCCAGTATCCAGGCAAGTGCTGCCACGTGACAGATGCTCAAAACAAAAATGATTTACGAATGAAGTTGAAAGACTGCTGGGCTTATTGTTAAGATATCTAAATTCTACTTTTAGCATCCAACTAGCTACTGTCTGGCACTGGCCACGAAGGGTGACAGGGTGTGGATGTGATGGCTCCCTCTGAGCCTGGGTTTCTTCATCTTTGAAATGATATAACTTGGAATAAACTCCGCAGATACTGTCATTTCTAAAATTCCATGACATTTCTCTATTGGCCAAGATCTTAGGGGTATTTTGTGTTGGACACTCTCTGGACAAATGGGAAATGACAGCTAATTACTGAACCCTTGAGAAGGCCTGCCAGGTTTGTAATGATCAACTAGAACACATGGAAGTCAATGAACAAAAGGCCACATAATTATAGATTTGAAAAAGACCTCAGAGATCCTTTGGCTTAATCTCTCCCCCAACCTCTGTGAAGAATAGCTTCTACAAAAACCCTTGTGACAAGCCCTTTGTTTGAGTATCTCCAGGGACTGAGAAATAGCATCCTAGAAAAATTCTATTTTGGAGTAGAAAATTCCTTTGGGGATCAAGCCAGAGAGGGCAACCTTGTAACTGCAACTCTGTAGCCCTAGCTCTCTTCTCTGGGGAGCTACAGTAGAAGTCTCCTCCCACTTCCATGTTGTCCTACAGGTGTTTGAAAATACTTGTCCCATCTTCCTTCAAATCACTAAAATGAACTCTATTTGCGATGAGTAGAGAGGTTAGAAGAGTCCAGGATTATGGTTCAGGAAGACAGCTTCCTAGCTCTAGATCAGCCCTTAACTCACTATGTGGCCCTGGGCAAGTAACTTCTTCCTTCCAGGCTGGTGTGGTATTTTCATCTTAAAATGGGGTGATGGAAGGGGTGGAGGCAAGTGTGTCTCAGAGCTGGGGAAGTTGTAAATGTGGTTGTTAGAGGGTGACGGGGCATGGAGGTGATGGCTCTGATCCACATTCTCTCACCACTGGTGCAAAAGGATTCAAGGCTTATTAGGTTAACAGTCTACTAAATTCTCTGTAGGTCCAGCTGCCAATATGATGCAAAAATGTTAATATCCAGGATAAGGATGTACACTTGAAAATTCTGCTACAAATATCAAAACACTTCTAGGACTCTGGGCCATAGGAAAGCCAGAAATCTTAAGGCAAGAGATGTTTGCATGTGTTTTTAAGGTACAGAATATAAACAGTTCTGTCTTGCAGAATTAATCCCCAATGTCACAATCATGGAAACAGAATTGGGTAAGGGCTTGGGAAAATACCTTGCAAGAGAATGTTGGCAATGGCCGTGCCTTGTGCACAGTGAGTTAGTTAAACTTTTATAATCCAGGGGGATTACTGACCAGCACAGAGGCGGAATTTCCTCTGGGGTGATGAGAACTGAATAGTTTAGGTTGAAATGGAGCCAAGAGTTCTGGTGTGCTCTATTATTGATTCAACCTGACATATTTCAGGAAGTGAAAACGTACACTTTTCCCTTTTCTTACTGTACCTTAGTAAAAAAAAAATCAGAGTCCGGGCACAGTGGCTCACGCCTGTAATCCCAGCACTTTGGAAGGCTGAGGCGGGCGGATCACGAGGTCAGGAGATCGAGACCATCCTGGCTAACACGGTGAAACCCCGTCTCTACTAAAAATGCAAAAAATTAGCCGGGCATGGTGGTGGGAGCCTGTAGTCCCAGCTACTCGGGAGGCTGAAGCAGGAGAATGGCGTGAACCTGGGAGGCAGAGGTTGCAGTGAACTGAGATCCTGCCACTGCACTTCAGCCTGGGTGACAAAGCAAGACTCTGTCTCAAAAAAAAAAAAAAAAAAAAAGAAAAAGAAATTTTAGTAGCATAATCAATTCTGTTCTGCCAAATAGACTGAAACCATGCTAGCATCAAAATGTTAGTGATTCTGTGCATTTTGATCATGGTCTCTGTATTTGCTGAGGAACACAGATTTTCAAAGCATTTCTGGGTCATCCATAAAATTCTAATATTTTTAAGGGTATTGATGACCAAACTTGAATATAGCAAATAATAACCTGTCTCTACATGTAGTTTAAATAATGGATTCTACAATAAAAAATGGGAACTTTTTTACCTTCTTGATTTATGGAAAACTATCCTTGAGTAGCTATTTTTAAAAAAACACTTCGAGTAAACACAAATCATTTTGTTAGTCATCAGCCTTAATCAAATGGCATCCATTTTCATAATGAGAATAGATCCATGTGCCTAAAGTTTACGAATTAATTAGCTAATACAACCAAAATAAATTAAAGAATCTGCAGACAGTAGAGGTGCTGGGAAGTTAGAATGAGTGTGTCTGAGACTAAATAATTTATCTCTGTGTCCCCAGGGGCAGTAGGTACTCAGTAAATGTTTGTGGAATTGATTTGAATTCAGCCTTTTGAGTGACATTTAACCAACAAAGCATTTTCTCCCTAAATTTACTGTTTTCTAAAGCATGCTTCTTCCTCCCTCCCAAACCCTGAATACACCCCATTAACCCCTTTTAGGGGAACATCACATGATCTTAAAAGCATTTTCCCACCTCACTTTTGAAAACAGTGCACTAATTTTTGCTATGGAGATAATGCCTTGGGAACAGAAGTTCTGACATGAGCCCTATTAGGAATGTCTGACTGTGCCTTTCCGTAAAAAATATACTATACAGAATTTAACAAAATCAGCAGTAAAAACTTGAGCTATGATACATTCTTTAAAAAACAAGCTTATGACAGGAGCCAAATAAATGCACAGCAGAGAATTTCCCAAAGCCTCAAATGTCTTCGAATATTAGGAAATTCCTGTCTTGGGATAAATTTCCAGATCCACCAGATCACCTACAGAACAGTGGGCAGGTTTGAGCAGGCCACTCTTCTGTGCAAAACTCCTCCTGCATACCAAAGCTGCTTGGTGCTCTCACGCACCATGAAGACCGGTTCAGAAAGAACATTTTATGTTTTTAATGGGTGTTAGTTCTGATCATGGAGCTAGACTAGAGTTATTGAGGAAACATTCTTGATCTACCAATAAATATTGTCCTAGGAATTGGTTGAGGGAATATTCTCCTATCAAGCAAGTTTTGGAGTTACTGAGAAATCTTTCTTTTCTGCTTTAAGTCAAGGGTAATTCCTCCATCTGAGATGCCCTTTCCCTGTGGTCATCTGGGGCCCGCCCAGTTTCTTCCAGGCTTCACTTCCTCTATGAAGACTCTGGTGAGCCAGGTGGAGGTGACCACACTCCTCTGTGCTCCCACTGAGTCTGTGCTGACTGTTTTGAGAAAGGGAAGGCAAGAAAAAGGCCTGGCTTAAGTTAGCCTAGCAGAGGTTAGAAAATATATTTAGAGCCTTAACCTCCAAACTGAGAAATCAGAAATTAATTTTTATTTAATTATAACTCAATAAATATTAATGAAGTGCTCCTGCTACACTGGACACTTTGCTCAGGAGCCTCTCAAATGCCTCTCTGCCTCTATAGTCTACTGGAAACCAGAGTGAGAGTGATTTTGGTGCCAAATTTCCTCTCAGACTCATCCATGAGGTCTCCCAGGATAGGAAGCATTTATAATACGGGCCAAGGGTCACCAGTCATATAATACCGAAATGCTCAGATGGCACAGAATGCATGAAGTTAACATCTTTCATTCTCATGAGCTCATTTGCTCCTTGGAAACAAATGGGCAGATTCCTGCTTTGCAGACAAGTCAACAAAGGCTAGGAGAACAGAGCTGCCTCTCCTGCCCTTGACATATTAGCGTAGGAAAATCATACGGACTAGAGGATATGAACCCACTGAAGCACAGAAGGGACCTCCGCAATGACCAGCCTGTCCTCCAGGGAAGGTCTTGGCTAGGCTCATTAGCTAATCCCATATGTAAATCCCTTTGAATATTTTAAGGGAAAATACCCACATAATACTCTGCATATAAAGTTGCAAATCAAACCTCAAAGATCTAGGTTAACTTCTTCAGATTTGGTGATTGACTTCTTTTTTCCCTTCCCCCATGGAATAAGTCCATTGTCTCTCAGCATCAAACAAGTTGGCAGTGTAGTTGATCTAGTTAACCAGGTATCTGTCTTCAGGTTTCTTCAGGGAACTAATCAGCTGGCTATCTTCCAGTCAGCTGGCTATCTTCCACAGTCAGTAGAGTGCCAGAAATCTGATGTAACAGTTTCAGATGATATTTTTTAAAGGCTTGGAGTTATTATTTTATTTTTTTTTTTTTGGACAGAGTTTTGCTCTTGTTACCCAGGCTGGAGTGCAATGGCGCGATCTGGGCTCACCGCAACCTCTGCCTCCCCAGTTCAAGCAATTCTTCTGCCTCGGCCTCCTGAGTAGCCAGGATTACAGCCATGCGCTACCACGCCCGGCTAATTTTGTATTTTTAGTAGAGATGGGGTTTCTCCACGTTGGTCAGGCTGGTCTTGAACTCCCGGCCTTAGATGATCCACCCACCTTGGCCTCCCAAAGTGTTGGGATTACAGGTGTGAGCCACTGCGCCTGGCCAAGACTTGGAGTTATTCTTTAGAGTATGTTGACTGATGTTTGATCAGGAAGTATCTAGTGGTGTTCATATAAATTTTGAGTGGAGTCTGTCTTGTTTTTCATAGTGTCTTCTGGGTTAAGGTAGAACCCAGCACAAAATAGGTGGGCAAGAAAACTCTACTGAATACAAGCAACTGTTGTATTTTTGATATACATGTGAAACTCATACTTCCTTATTTAGATATCTGTGTACATAATCAAAAGAAAGGTAGCTTTTCTCATATGCTGTAGATGACATGAAAACCAACTCCTTCTGTGTGAACATTCATGAGACATACCAACTCTCTTTTCATTTTTTTTAGGCAAGGCATGAAAGTATGTGGAAAAATTGGTGAAGGATTTTGCCTCTGAAAGTTTATACTGTTTTCTAGAGCTTTCCTTGGACTTCCTTCAAAGCTCCTGAATTGAAGCAAATTTATGATCAAATTGAACAATAACTGGACCACTGGTGACCATTGTATAGCAGGAAGGTGTTGAAATATTTCTCTTTCAATCCTGACCCGAGTAGATCATCCATTCATTTAGTGATCAGTGTCTTAATATTTAGAAACTCGCCAATCCTCCAACCCATCTTAATAATATATTTGCTCTCTTCAGCCTTTTTCCAGTTAGTACTCTCATCAGTAAGGCACATGAAGTGTGAAATTTTGGGCCCCAAATTTCATAGCTAAACCGTTGTCCCTGTGGAATGCCCCCTACTCCCGGCCCCAAGAAAACCCCTGGTTATAATTACATTTGAACAAAGAAAATTAGGAACTCGGTGGCAGAGGACTTTCATATAATGATATTTGCTCTCCTCCTATAGTAAGAAGGCTCCAAAGAAGGTTTTATCTTCTTTTGTGTAATCCACCAAAGAGATGTCACTGACGTTCACCATTAGCTTGTCCCCTTCTTGCAAGGAGAACATGGCTCCGAGGTAGATGGGCTGGAACCAGTTGCTACCTACTTCGCATACAGACTTGGTCCCCATGAGGAGCTGGGTTGGCTCAGGGTAGCTGTCTGTTACCTTGGTGATGACCACAGTGATGGAGTCTGGCTTGTTTGGTCGGCCTGCTTGTCTGATTTCACTGCACTCAGAGGTCATCCCACGGAATGTGACCTGGGAGTAAATGAAGTAGTCTCCCGACTCTGGGATCAGCAGGAATTTGTTGGTATAGTTCATTCGGTTCTTGGTGAAGGCCAGGCCTAGTTCATGTTCCCAGTGCAGAGCTGGGAACTGATTTTTAAAGTGCTGTGTGGGAGTTTGTCTCACAACTGGAAAGACAAGAAAGAGGATTAATTTTCTCATTGGGAAACTGTAGACTTTGCTTAAAAAGTGTCTCATATCATTTTCAAAATAGACTAAAGTGATCGAATATACCTAACAGCTAAAAACTGCTTTGGGGAGGAATGAATGAAGAATATGTGACTGGACATACACATTTGTTCAAAGAGAATAACATCTTGGACTAGTGACCTGGGGCAAATTACTTTGCCTTTCTGAGACTGAGTGGTCTGACCTGAAAATTTTTAATTTTACCTGAGACCTATGATCCTGGAGAACAATGAAGGTTAAGGAATCCCCCTATTCTTCTGTGTTTAGGAAAATGGCTTGCTGCAAGAATTATCCTTTCCCAAATGACTCAGATAAAACTCATCGATGCCTCTCTTGTTTACGTATGACAAGGCCAGGCACCAGACCCTTCAAATTCCCATTCTTTGCCCCATAAGTGATTGGCTGAACTGTTTTATCCCCATTCATCAATTGGAACAAAACACTTGTCTTACAGGCATGAGGTAAGTGATAGAAACTTGGCATCTCCCTGGTCCTAATCCTCACTCAGAGCTCACCACAAATAATTTCCTCTTAGTCAAATGATAACACCAATGTCTTGGGCCACAAGGATATCCCCCTGCAGACTGAAAATTTTCTTATAGGTCAGGAGGGTATGCTTCCTTTTTAACCTTCTAGGTTTTCAGTGGGTTCTAACATATCCTTCTGCACTGTCTTGTTCTTTCCTCTGGAGTCTCAGAGGTATAGGAACTCTAGGTGTGAGGTGCCTTGGATTTCTGCACTAGACTTGGAAAGTTGGCCAACTGGTGATAGTATGGAATTTCTCTTGATTTGGTGATAGTATGGAATTTCTCTTGATTTCTATATATCGATGAAAATTCTTTGGAAACACCTCCCTGAAGGTAAATGTTTAGTTACATCATCTTGAACAGGGCACAGATGAACTAGATAAATTGGCAACTCTGGGGACTTTTTGTTTGTGACCAGATCCAGAATTACTTGCAGCTCCGAGTTGGAGAGAAGCCATTTCTGAATGACTCAGTGTATGAATGAAAGAGAGAGACAGGAGAGAAAGAGAGAGGGCTGATAGAATCTGAAAGAAAATGCCCAAGAGACATGGGCCTTTGGAACCCCCCCACAGGGAAGAAGACATCCAAAAAACCCTCCATGAGATACCTGCACTCACATGCTTATTGCAGCACTATTCACAATCGCAAAAATATGGAATCAACTTAAGTGTTCATCAACAGATGAATAGATAAGGAAAACGTGTGTGTGTGTGTATATACATATGTGTGTACACACACACACACACACACACACACACACACACACACACACTGGAATATTGAGGGGAGGAGTCTCTTACCAAGGAATGTAGTTTTCATTTTAAGCCACTAGAATGAATTTTGGTAAAGTGCTGAAAGAAATCTCAGGATTCTGGCCCATGGTCTCCCGTAAAACACAGCAGGGAGGCTTACCTGTCAGGTGTGCCCTTGGCTTATCTCCGTCTGCTCTAAGAGGTGCATCTGTAACAAAAGGAGAAATGTGCTTTGTATGAGACAAAGGGTGACTGAAATGAAGACGGCCCTTTGTGAGTTGCATGGCGCCTATGATAGGAGAGAAACCTTGATCTCCTCCAGCTTGGTCCAGTGCCACTCCTTGCAGGATTTTGGATTGGAATGTGGCACCCGCAGCAAGCACCACCAAGGACAGGGTGACTCAGAAGAAAGAGTCTTGAACACAAATGAATCTTGGCCCCATGGCTTTGGGCAAGTTTATCTAGCCTGCCTGAGACCCTGTTTTCTCATCTCATCTAAGATGGGCACAGTATAGATGGAGGTGCTTAGCATGAATTTTGCACATGGCCAATGCTCAATAAAGCACAACTCACTGCTCTTTCCCACAAAATTCTTTCACAGGAGTGAATTGGCTTTTTGCCTTCTTCCATGGTCCCTTTAACTATATTCACTGAATAGATGGCCCAAAAGAAATGGGATGAAGAGTGGATGGGAACTATTCTTTAGCTATATGACTTTGGTGAATCCTTTTCCCTCTCTGGGCCTCTGTTTGTCTATTAGTTCTTGAGAAGACCTTAGAATTTCCCTTTGGTTCTCAGAAATATTATGTTGGATTAGGCATGGTCTAATTACAGTTATAAATATGGTGGTGTTGATGATAATAAAAAGCAAAAATGAAGTGCATACTTTTGATGTGCTAGACATTGTTCTAACTCCTTTATAGGAATTAACTGATTTAATTCACATTAACCCTTTTGAGTAGGATCTACTATAACCATTTTTACAGGTGAATAAATGCAGGCAGAGACAGGTGAGATTATTTGCCCAAAGGTCACACTGCTAGTAGATTCCGGAGTTGGGGTTTGAGTTCAGGCCATCAGCTCCACAGGCCATGCACTTTGACATGGTGCCATTTTGCCTTCTTAGTGCCTGCAGCAGAGCCTCATTTCTCCTCTGGATTTGCATCCCTCAGCTTAGCAACTTGTACTTAAAGACTCATCTCTGAACTTCCTGCATACAGAACTACTAGAAATGTTCTTATTCCCCACGAGGAAAGGCGTTGAAGATGAGCATACTTACAAACTTGCTGATGTGAAGGTGCAAACTCCTGTCCTTTTAGAGCCTATTGGGAAAGAAAGTATAGTTTAGACCAACTGTGGTCCTTTTGATCCCAACACTTACAGCTTCCCATAGCACAGGTATGATTACAAAGCTTCTGCTGCCCAGCCTGGGTACTCTGTGATGAGGGAAATGAGAATGAAAATATTTTTGTTGATGGGAATCTTGCATCTCAGCTCTCCACTTTCCTCCCCTGACACTTCCAATGACCTTCCTCTTTCTTAGGCTTGTCTCTGAAGCTCAACTTTAAGGTTCTTTTCTTGAGAGATTTTCTCGTTCTATTCTAGGGGAACTCAGCATCTTGTCTATGCTTTTGTTATTTGAACAAATAATGGCACTTGCTTTATTTTCTTTCCTCTACCATAATTTAAAAATTGGGACTCTTCTTAAAAACGACACAGAAGAGAAAATAATGGCTATGTTCTCCTTTTCATCAGCCTCAACAATTCTTCCTTGTTTCTGTGCAATACATAAAGACTTTTTAAATAATTGCAACCCTAGTTTGTGAGCTATTTCAGATACCACATGATGGTGGAAGAGTAACTGCCTTAGAGGCAGACAGATCTGAATTTAAATCCTTGTTCCACCATTTATTAACAATATGACCTTGACAAGACTTTTTCTCTCTGAGCTTTGGTGTCTTTATTTCTAAAGTGGGAATAATAACATACTTAGCCCTAAATTACTCATAGGATTGAGGTGAAGAGCAAATCAGAAAATCTATGAGTTAGTGCAAAGAATGCATGGAAAATGAAGGAACCATCACTCACATACCTGAGCATAAAGCTTAATAGCAAAAGTATGCTCTTAGCTTACAAATAATATCATGCATTGGACTATTATACATGGTTGGTGGGAATATAAATTAGTACAGCCACTATGGAAAATAGCATGGATATTTCTCAAAAAACTAAAAATAGAACTACCATACAGTCTAGCAATCTCACTACTGGGCACGTATTCAAAAGAAAAGAAATGAATATATCAAAGGGATACTTGCGCTCACATGCTTATTGAAAGACTATTCACAATAGTAGAGATATGGAATCAATCTGATCCATATCTCTATCAAGATATAGATGGAAGGATAAAGAAAAGGTGGTACCTATAAACAATGGAATACTATTTGGCATAAAAAATGAAATCACGTTATTTGCAGCAACATGGATAGAACTGGAGGTCATTATGTTAAGTGAAATAAACCAGACACACAAAGACACACTTTGCATGTTCTCATTGATATGTGGGAGCTAAAAGAGTCGGTCTCATGCGAGTAAAGAGTAGAATGACAGACACTAGGGGCTGGGAAAGGTGTGTGAGTGGGAGAGGATGGGGATGAAGTGAGGTTAGACAATGGGTACAAACGTACAGTTGGATAGAAAGTTTAAGTTCTAATGTTTGGTAGCAGAGTATGGTGACTATATTTAGGAACTATATATTATACTGTACATTACAAAGTAGCTAGAAGAGAAAACTTGAAATGTTCCCAACACATAGAAATGATAAATACTCAAAGTGATGGATACCCCAAATACCCTGACTTGATCATTACACATTTTATGTATGTAGCAAAATATCACATGTACCCCACACGTATATAAAATATTATGTATCAATAAAAAATAAAAATAAAACAAAATTTATGATATTAAAAAAAGCCTTCTCTAATATGATTTCGACTCAACCCAATCTTCTGATTTGGTTCTTGTTGCTACACAGTCTCCTCTAATAGAGTGATCCTCTTATTATATGAACACTTGATCTATTTTACATCTCAAAATGTGTGTGTTGTGAGTGTATAGTCAGGTTCTATGATTTCCATATCTGCAGATTCAACCAACTGTGGATCAAAAATATTTGAAGAAAATTACAACCATGAAAATAATGCAAATAACAAACAATATAGCATAGCAACAATTTACACTGTATTAGGTATCATAAGCATTTACATGTATTAGCATTTACACTGTATTAGGTATCACAAGCAATCTATGGATGATTTAAAGTATATAGGAGGATGTGACTAGGTTATGTGCAAATACTATGCCATTTTATATCAAGGACTTCAGCATCTGCAGATTTTGGTGTCCATGGGGGTCTTGAAATCAATCCCTGTGGATACCGAGGGAGGACTGTCTCATGAATGAGGAATTGTGTGTCTGTGTGAGTGTGAGAGAATACAGCTCCATCAGTGGGGAGACTAAATTGACGTGTTTTAGCATCTGTACACGTGTCTGTGATGTGGCGTCATATGTATGGATGTCTTGCCATCTGCCTGCGTAGTCATGTGGATGTAATTGTGTCATTGCTGAGTCTAGGTCTGTGAGCAGGTGTGTGATGTCAGTGATTTTGTTAGAGCCGGGACCTCCAGCCTTTTTTCACTCCCAGGTCATGCTACCTAACCTCTACTAGAAGCCCCTTGAGGGCAGAAATCTTGTCTTTGAATGACTAACTGACTTTACAGTCTGTCCAGCCCCTTTCCATCCACTTCTCAATTCTGTTAAAGCCACCATTACTGCTTTCTCTCGATTACCAGACCTGAAATTTTCTTTTTTTCTTCTTCTGCAAAACCAAGGGCTGTCATTTCTATTTTGCAATTTTCTCATGGTGTTTCAATTCCAGGCCTTGGCATGCTGCTCTCCTGGATTCTTTCATCAGCCCCTGGCAGGGTCTTTGTACTTCAGTTTTCTCCTTTTCCTTGATCTATTTCCTGGCCTGCCTTCAGAGGGCTTTTTCTAAAGCATCACTTTATCTAGATACTACACTGCTTATAAACCTTCAATGGCTCCTCATGGCTCTTAAGACCCAGTCCAATCTCATTTTGTCTTGGCATTCAAAGTCCTAACTTATCCCAGTCTCGCTATCCATTATTTACTTCTCTCTAAGCCCTCTGTGTTCCCAGCCATGAGAGGCAACCACTGTGAATTGATTCAAGGTATCTGAAGAAACAGAGTTAAGTGTAGTTACTTTATTGAATTAGTAGGGACACAGAGACCTGGCCCAGAAATGGGAGAATCAGAAGAAATTGCTCCTGAACAGAGTCTTAGAGGTCCTGCAGGTACTAGCCAGGTGATAAAAGAGGTAATGACTATTCCAGACAAGGCCAACAGCTTGCACAACAGCAAATACCTCAATACCCTGCATCTGTGATGTGGTGTCGTATGTATGGATACGACATGTAAGGAGGCTCAACAGGACATGGGAGTAGTTGGAAAACATCAAGGCTTTCTGCTGGGAAATGAATACATTATGTGCATTTGGCACAGAGTCATGAGTACAGCAGTTTTTGAAAACCTAAACCCAATTTCTGTGATCACCTATCCAGAATCAATAACTTGGATGGTCTTGAGGGAGTGGAGAAGCAGCCCAGAAATGAACTTATTCTGTAGTCTATTGCCTTCCTTGATATTGACAGAGCTGAAGGAATTGATCCTTTGGCAAGGCAGAAAACTGAAGGTGGAGTTCTCAAAGAGAATCAGAGAGATCTTGATTGCATCCTCTGGTGTAGGAAAGGTACCTGCCCTGGTTGGCCTCTTTTGATTTATTTAATTATCTGCTGAGAAATTTTGAACATCCTGCTTGTCTTTGGCTAAGATGACATTCAGCTAAGAGTTTACAACATTCCTCTTTGACTCAGAATCCCATTGTCATTAGCATGTATCTGAGCTGTGGACACATTTCCCTGTTTGCTCTGCTGGACTTCTGTAACTTGGGCACACATTTTATTTTCATATATGGATGGATAAGTATGGTCCAGTGTGCCACTAAACATCTGGAGGTGGTGACCAAGCCTGTTGGCAGATATTGAAGACTACAACATTCCAAGAGTCCGCAAGAAGGACGTCATTTGAGACTCTTTCTCCAAGAACAACATCTAAACCTTCCATTGCTGCTTCTCTTAATAACAACTCTGTCTATCACAGGAGGAAAATTATTGTGATAGGAAGCAGTAATGAATGAGGAAGAAATTTGAGAGGATGGAATAATAGCTTATTTGAGAAAAGGTTTATGCATTACAGCTGTCCTAATGCCTGCTCTCAGGATGGTTCCTGGGAACACCAGGCCAATGCAATGTCTTCTGTGTTCCAGCCCTGACTCATCTCCATCACTTCTTGTTATTCTGGGGGCACCGAAGAGGTGTTGGCTCCTAAGAGGTGCTGGTCATGGCAACATTAGCCTCCAATTGAATAGACATGGTGTCTGATAATGAGATTATTCCTACATACATATCTTTTCAAACCACTGGCTGAAATCCAGGATCGAATTTTATTATTTATTTGTGTGCTTATGACTTTTCTCGCTCTGAAAATTCAACCTGCCTACAGGTGGGGACCTATATTCCTAGTGCCTCAGTCAGTGCCTGGCACTTTTGCCAGATTATCCAACTGGCAAAATGCACAGATTCTCAGGCATCAGGAAGACAGAGGCAGACAAAGAGAGTCAGAGAGGGGGTGAGGATGCAGTGACTTCAGCCAGAGTTTTATAATCCAAAAATCTAGGAAAGACAACTTTTTGTTCCTATTAAAAATGTTTGTCATTTAGTACGAGGGCCTCTAAAGGTCTTCATCAGGCTCTGTGTGGAGCATAGCTGTGGCTCTAGAAAGATTTGTTGTAAGTGGCAAGGCTTAGCCAGGAGCCAGAGTCAGAAAAGCAAATGTGTATGTCCATAAGCATGCATCTTAGAGGGAGATGGGATGCTTGCTCCCACCAGCATATGTTAGCCCTAGCAAAAAACAGCTGGTGCTTCTCTTCCCCTACCCTCCTTAGTTCTTGTAGGTCAGGGAATTTTTCCTCTCATTTGATTTTTGTTTTTTTTTTTGTATGTTGACTGGTAATCCCTGACTCAAACTAACCATGGTCTGTTACTATAGGTATTTTTGGAATTACTTTAATTATTTAAATTGGGCAGAAGAAAGCATAAAGAGGAGATTGAAGTTTAGTGGAATGCTCCCCAGGTGCCAGGTCCTGTATTGGGCATTTATGTGTTTGCCTCATCTAATACTCCAGCTACTTTTAAAGGAGGGGTCAGCATCACCTTTTCATGGCTTAGAATGGCACGAAAAGAGGTCAAGCAACTGTCCAAGGTCAAAGAGTGCATGGAGGGCTTGGGATCTGAACCTTTAGACCAAGTACAGACCCTGGCACATATTGGGAGCTTCATAAACATCAGCTCAGTGTACAATAGATGAACAAGCCTGAAGCAAGATAATCTTTGAGATTTCCTGGCATTTCCCCAGAAAAATCCCCTAAGTATATTTTAATTAATGATCCACATAGCCTTTCCTCTCATGTACTATAGTCACTCTCTATCTCTATTCATAAACAGGGAGAGATATTCATCTCTTGCTGTCATAAATGCTGTAATTGCAAAGGCATAAATGTTTTATGATCCAAAACATCCTCCCAGCACTTCCAGGAGAAATATGCAGATGTTTGCCTCTTTGTCTCTTCCTTCTGCTTCTGCCTGTTTATACTTGCCCAAGGATAACGCCAACCTGGAAATGTTTTATTCTGAGGTCATTTCATTTCATCATCCTCCAAGGTGCCCTGGATAGGGCTTTATGTGCAACATTCAGCACAGTACAAAGCAAAGATGCTGGTGTTTGCAGGTGAGCAAATTTGGAAATCCCAGCTCCATTATTTCCTGGTGCTCTGATTGTGGCATGTCACTTGACCTCAATGGAACTGTTTCCTCGTCAATAAAAGCAGACAATAATTCTTACCTCCCAGGTCTATTGTGATGGCTCAGAAAGGCCACATATATAAGGTTCATTTTCCTCATTTCTTTGGGCTCAATATATGATTGTAGGCTGTATTGTTGGTTCTGCACATCCTCTTTTTGGTCTTAGGACTTCAGTTGTACACAGAAGCCACCCTTGTATCTTTTTATCACAAGGAGTAGATTTGGATGCTTTAGGAGCTCCGGGAGGCATCTGCTTTTCCCCAAGGACAGACATTCACTAGGCTTCCTCAGGCTTTTGAACTTCTGCCCTTTCAGAGTGCAAATAGATTGAGGGAATGGAATTTACGCCCCACCCACTTCACATCCCCAGCTTGTTGCTGCTGTCAGCTACAAGGAGGGGTCAGGCTGGGAGATGACCTCTTGTAGCCAGTGTGTGGTCTGCAGTGTATGCTCCATTGGGTGCGGATGCAGGAGCTCTCCAAGCTGGCCTGGCACTCAGCGATATGTTCACTTTACCTGGTGGTTGAGTGGATTCTGCCGTTACCAGCTGCAAGCTGCCTGGATGTCTGAGATTCACAGCCAGGCTTGCTTGCCCTTCCTGCCTCTGCACTTCCTCAGTGCACCTTCACTGCCTCTGGTTTCCCTTCCCTTTGCCCACAACCTGATCTTTGGAGTGAATATCTTCCAGGTATGCTGGTGCTTCCTGAGGTTATAGCAAGGGCATCTTCACTGAGGGATAAGGGGTCTGCAATTTACAAAGTACTTTTATCTCAACTATCTGTTTTTCTCTAGATAGCACTGAAAGAGATTATCATGATCCCTAATCCTTCGGAAAGAGGAAACAACTTGAGTGAGATAAGAGGGCTCATCCCAGGTGGAGTGGGGAGGGGGAGGGGGAGGGAATCATGTCTGCTGAGCATCTATTCTATGGCAGCAGCTTTCTGGACATTTTGCAGAATTCTCACCATAGTGCTATATAGAAAGCGTATTAATCTCCTCATTTTATAGACAGTGAGTCTATGGCCCAGGGAGATCTAGTACATTTCCCACCCCTCCAACCCTCCCTCCATCCAGAAAACACTTAGTGAGTGCCTTCTGTGTGCCAGGTACAGATAGGTGCCCTCAGGGGAGGAAGAGGACTGGCATTTATTGAGCACTTACTATGGGGTAGGTGCTTTTCATAGTTAAATCCTCCTGCCTATCCCAGGAGGTGAATACTTGGTTGGACTTATTCCCAAAGGCAGACAACATAGTGATTAGGAGAAATATATACAGTGGATTTAAATCCGTGTCACAGTCTTTAACTGTGTGACTGGGCACATTGTTTAGCCTTTCCAAACCTCAGCTTCATCATCTCTAAAATGTGGATAATAATAGTAGTTTCCTCATTGTGTGATTTCCATTATTAACTGAGGTGATGCATGTAGTAATGATAGCAAACAAGTATTGCACATGTTTACCTACCAGGTACCATGCTAGATGCTTTATAGGTGTGATCTCATGTACTTGTCTCAAAACCTTTAATATGAAAATATTTAGTGTGGTTTCTGCTATATAATAAGTTATTAAGAGGTCGCAGCTGTGATGCGGTGGAGCCATGGCTTTTCCTCAAGTCTGTGTGACTCTGAAGCCCAAGCCATCACTACAAGACCCTATTGGTCTGATTGGAGACCAGGAGGCCTCAGCAGGGAAGAATGGTTCAGGAATAAAAGGCAGGAGCATTGTAGAGATTTTCAGGGAGGCATGAAGTGAGGTTGGAGGGAACCAAGGAGAATGTGGGGAGAGTGTGCAGATGATCCTGGAAGTAGAACTGAAAAGGGAAGGACAGGTTGGGCAGTGGTTAAACCCTGGGCAGGAATGCCTCCTACGGCATCCCTGAGGATTCGTTGTGAGGTACTGAGTGCCACTGCTGGGCTTGGGCTGAGTCACCTTGGTGCATTCTGCTTTGCCTGCACAGACTTTGTGTGCCAGAGCTGTGCCCAGAGAGGATGGAGGCCTGGTCTCAGGGCACCTGGGCCCAGAGTAAGGCCTGTGGACCCAATCTGAGGGCAGTGGAAGATACTGTAGGGCCCAAAGAATGCCCAGCCTACAGGGCTGTCAAGTGCAGCTGGGTAAAAAATGGATTGAGGAATTAGTGGGGGTTGGGAGGCAAGACCTGGTTGGGGAATGAAACACAGAGAGAGCTCATAAACATGGACCAAGAAAATCCCTCTAGTATCAACACCTACTCTCTGGCCAGGCGATGGCAAATTCCAGGGCAGGTGAAGAAGTTGTCTTCTATGATGTGATTTCCCTGAGCGGGGAAATTCCCTGGTCATAATAATAATAATTGTTAACATTTACTAATCCCTCACTCCTTGACAGACACTTCAAATACTTTATTTCTAATTATTCCCATTTTATACATAAAGAAGCCGAGGCCCGAAAGGGTTAGGTAACATGGTTAAGAAGTGTCTAGGCCAGAATTCAAGCTGGATTTTAACTTTCAACCCTAAACTCTTCCAAGATACGTCTGTCTAATATTCTGCAGAAATCTAAAGGACCTAACAGTTTTATTATTTCTATACTTTTTTGTATAGGTAGCATACACATTTTGTATGGAAGAGGCTAGGTTTATAAATGACTCCCTCCTTCCCTTGCTGACAAGCCACCCAGTTTTCTACCAGGATGCTAGCAGAATTACTACTTTCTTTTGTGCGCTTCCTGAGATATAACATGCATTTCCAAATATGTTCATATAGGTAAATATTTTCATAAAAGGAATGTACCACATTATATATGCTGTTAACGCACTTTGCTTTTTTTTCAGTTAACTTGTGTGCAATGGGTTGTATTTGCTTGGCTGCATAAGAGGGTGAGATATTTATCTTTGCCATCTCTTGGTAGATTGCCTGTGATGTGCATCACATTCTGGTTTAATGCTTATTCAACAATAAAACTGTTTTCTTTCTCTACTACCTTTGTGGAGAGGATTTCTAGATTGGGAGAAGACTTTGGTTTTTTTTGTTTTTGTTTTTGTTTTTGAGACGGAGTCTTGCTCTGTCACCCAGGCTGGAGTGAGCTGGCGTGATCTCAGCTCACTGCAACCTCCGCCTCCCGGGTTCAAGTGATTATCCTGACTCAGCCTCCTGAGTAGCTGGGACTACAGGCGCGCGCCACCACGCCCAGCTGATTTTTGTATTTTTAGTAGAGACAGGGTTTCACCATGTTAGCCAGGGTGGTCTCGATCTCCTGACCTCGTGATCCGCCTGCCTCAGCCTCCCAAAGTGCTGGGATTACAGGCATGAGCCACTGTGCCCGGCCAGATTTTGTTTTTAATTGTATTTCTGTAATGTAAGCATGCTGTGTTAGCTCTCTGATTCTTAATTCTCTCTTTGGAAAAATACAGGTAGCCTTACTCTCTGCTGGGCCAGTAGTTCTAGATGGGTGACTCTGTGGGTGGCATAAGATTTGCCATCTGAAGTTCTTCAATGGGAGAGGGGTGAGGCTCAGTAACTGGTATAGTTGTGGTAATAGTTTTCTCCATGGTATTACTGATCTCCTTCTTCCTTTGATCCATGGTGTGGCCACCTGGCACTTGGAACAGCACAAATATGGCTGCCTGAATGCACAGGGAAGGAGGCCAGATGGTCCAGTTTCAAATTGTGGCTCTGTCACCGACTAGAGGTATGGGATTGGGCAAATCTCTTCAATCCCCTGGGCCTCAGTGTCCCTATGTGCAAAACTAGGCACTTTAGGCTAGCTGACCTTCAAAGGCCTTGTTATCTCCAATGACCTGCGATCATCTGACTGGTTTTTACCCATAATGGTGTCTGTGATCTGGACCTCAGCCACAGCTTCTAGCCCAGGTGCCTTCCTTCCCTCCTCCAGAAAGCTTTTCCTGAACCACCCCTGTCTCTGTGGCTGGGCCGGGAGAGCATCTGAAATTCCATAGCACCTCTCTGTTGAAATAGCCTATTTCCTGAGGCCAACATCAAATTTTCTCTGTAGTTGCCTGGTGCCTGGGGTAGAGTGATGATCACGTCACAGCCACCATGTGCATGCGGCTCTCCCCACATTTCTAACATACACAATGCTCCTTCTGCACACGCCTTATTGGTGCTGTCAGAGTATTGATATTAATACCCCCTTCAGAGAAAAGGAAAAAGGCTCAAAGAAATGAAGCCACATGCCTATTTTCATAGCTGGAAGTGAGCCACATTTCACTGTATGTTTACCCAAGTTCTCCTTGGTGCCCTGGTTTTCCCTCCTTGAATCCAGTCTTTTCCCATCTCCTCTGAGCCATTTCTTCTCCATCAGTCCCTCCAGATCCTCTCTCAGCCCTTCCTGACCCTGCTCTGTCCTGTGAAGCTGACTCCTGGCTCAGTTGCCCCTGGACCTTTGAGCTCTGGCTTCCTCCTGAGCCTGGTCAATGGGATTGGATTGGAGGCAGGGTGGGGGATGGGGGAGCAGTCAGCATTCCCTCCTTCCTTCTGTGCTCTTGCTGCTGTTTTGGCAGTGACTGCCTTTCTCCCCAGAGCCCTTAGGTCTTCCAGGCAGGCCCTCTCCTAGGCTTTAGTTCTCTCTGGGTTTCTCTAACACTTCTCCCTCCATGTGCCCTTCATGCCAAGGCATGGTTGCTGGTTTCCCACTGTTGCTAGTGCTGGATGTTCCAGCCCTTTCAGTTCCCTTCAATCCGTCTGCATCTCAGCAAAGAGGCCCTTCTTTAAATCCCTTCAAACTCTTTAAATATTCTTCTACAAATGCACTTTCTTGAGTGAGCCAGCTGTTTCTTTTCAGGACCCTGATTGCTACATGAGCCCAGCCTCACCCCCATTTCCCTCTCCTTTTCTTCTGACACACTAAGAAGTTACAGAGCCTGGGCAAACCAGAGCTGCAATCATCCCCACACATCTGCTCTCCAGGAAGATGAATTTAATGATAATGGAATGGATGGTGTCAGCCTTATTCATTTCTTGAGCATCTGCAATTGGATAGGCACAGTGATAGATTCAGGTAGGGGCAGTAGCAGTGAGTAAAAAAGACCCCGTGCCTTCCTTCACCGAGCTTCCCGTCTAGTGACAGTGCATGTCTCCATCTCACCTTCTGGCTGGGCAAGTCATGGATCCTCCCTGGTCTGTAACATTCTGCTTGCTGGTCTTCTAGATAGACAAAGGCAGTCCTCGCCTTCTGCTGACCAAGGGCTCTCAGACATCATCTTGATCGTGGGAACCTGTCATGCCTCTGGGCTTCCTTCAGACCCCAGTGCAGGTTTCTGGAGGCCACTCAGTGTCTCATTCAAGGACAACTATCTCCTTCTGGCTAAAGAGGGACAGAGTCCCAGAGCACCAACTGGGCGCTGCAGTTTGACTTCCAGCAGAAACTGGCCCCTTGGTGGTCAAAGGGTCAAAGTCTGACTTCCCATGACCTGCGGTTCTTCTTTAACATAAACAGCATTTCCGGTTTGTCTGCATATTTCTACATTTTATGAGCAATGGCATCTGGCCATGAACGCTGCTGCCTGAATCACAGTCTGTTTGTTGACCCTGATGGGGCAGCGAGAATTACAGATTTTCCATGGCTTACTTGTGGTGTCTATGCTTTGAAACTGGCCAGGATTGCTTAGAGGCTAGGTTTCCAGTTAAACCCATTGAAAACCCATTTTTTTCCCTTTGCAATTTAATACTTTGAACTGAAATGAAATCAGCCACCATAGATTATGAAGGGACATTTTTAAAAAGGATATTACTGGAAAGACTCATTCCTTAGGTTTTGAGGTACATCTTTGTTGTTCCCAGCCAAGAATTATGTTTTCTTCTTGACACCTATCGCTGCCCCTACCATTGTTCTCCCTAGACTTCATATTCTTTTTCTGACTAGGCTTCTCCCAGGCCTCAGCAAGACCTTAGAGATAGACAACCAGGCAGGAGGTTCTTTCTTAAGCTCTAAAAAGAGAAAAAGTTCTAAACCCAAGAAAAAGAGTGGGTAAAGAAATTATAGCATCCACATATAGGAATGTGTATCTATAGCATCATGTTGTTGTGAATTCATTAGCATATAAATAAAATCATAATATATTAGCAGACTCAGAATAATCTCGTCTCATTAAAAAATCCGTTTTATATCTGGCATATAATTCTGTACAGAATTATATATCCCAAACTGTTAACAGTGGTCAGCTATAAGAGTTATGGGTAATGATGACTTTCTTCCTCTCCTTATCTGTATTTTCTAACTTTTTTCAATGACCGTGTTAGTTATGTAATTTTAAGTTTTTTTCTTAAATAAAAAGAATCTTCCCAAATTACCAGTATACTATGATTATAATTATCTAAAAAATATGAGGCTGAAGGTTATCCCCACAGTAAAAGAAGGGACTGTTCATTCCCTAGAAATATTGAGAATAAACACCAAATTGAACCTCTCCACCCCTCCCACTCTACATTTCCTCTGCATGTAGAAACAAGAAATGTGATACATCAAGAAACTCTATCCTCTGTCCAGAGCTGAAATAGTTGCCACTCACTGCAGAGAGTCCACTGCTCCTCCCCAAGGTCAGAGTGCCATGTGGCTTACCTGGAACTGCACACAGGCCTCTCCCTGGGCCCGGAGCTGGCTGACAAGCAGGTATGTGGTGAGTCCTGCAAGGAAGGGGAGCAACACCAGGCAGCAGGTGAGAGCCCAGCGTGCGCTGCTGCTCCTGGCCTTGGGCCTGCAGCTGCCGTGCTCTGGCAGCATTTCCACACTGGCTGTTTCCCCAAAGCTCAGTCCCAGATCCTCGGCCATGCTCCTGCTGCTCCTGGAGGCACCTCTGACTCCTGGGCAGAGAGAGCCCCCATTAAATAGAAGACCAGCTCTCACAGTGGGTGACTTAATCACTCAGTCTCCTCCTTCCCTTTTCCTCTCCCCTCCCCTCTTCAAGAGCACACTGTGGCCCTACCCTGCTAGAGAATGCACCGCCTACAACAGAAACCAAGTTTGGTTTGAGGAAAAAAAAAAAAAAAAAAAAAAGAAGAAGAAGGAGAAGAAGAAAGCTTTCCCAAGCATATTTATATACAGTATGCTCATGTGCTCCTTCCTTCGTTTACAGAAGGAAGTTAGGAAAGTCCCTGAAGGAGGAGAGAAAGAATTCATCAAGTCAGTGGGTGGGGCAAATTAAAATATACCTGTTCCCTGCACTGGAGGCTTACCAGCTGTGCCAGTCTGGGGAGTGTGCTTCTGGAAGTGAAAGTGAGGGATGAGAGGTGTGTGGTTTGCAGATTGGGAAACGGAAATCACATTTGCATCAGCTCTTTGCAAAGTGCTGCCTAGCCCTCTGTCATTTTGAACCTCATAGAAATTCATTCTCAGTGTACAGATGGGAATAGCAAAGTTCTAAAAGGTGAAGGCACTTGTCCTAGGTCATCCAAGGATGAAGACAGAGGAGCTAGGAAGATGACCTAGTTCTAAATCACGGCTTGGAGTTGTAACCTCTAGCACATGACTGCCCATGAAAGGAAAGTATTTCCAGTCTGCATTGACCATTGTTTAATCAGAGTATGAGGCCACAGATCGAGGTGACTGTCTGTGAGGGTAGAACATTAACCACTACTCCCTGATTAGTCTAAAGTTAATTGATCATGTGATGTGCTTTGCCTGCAGTTGGGTGTGGGGGCCACAACATGTAATAAAAGATTATATTTATTAAGTGCTTACTTTGTGCCAATCACTGCTCTAAGTTAAATACATCAATAAAATTATTCAATCCTGAGATAAATTTTGTGACAATAAAGCTATCATTCTCATTTTACACATAAGAAAATAAAGCACAGACGGCAAGTGGTAGAGCCAGGATTGGGACTCAGGCAGGCTGGCTGCTGGCTTCTTCACCATCACACTTCACCATAGGTACTGCTGGATCATGCATGTTCATAAATACCTGCACTGTCTTTACCCAGGAGTGGGTAAGACCCTGCAGTGAGGGGGTTGAGGGGGCTTCCTGGAGAAAGAGGTGGTGTTGGAACTCGGCCTTAGAGCTCAGGGAGGGTTGATCTCAGAGGAAAGTAAAGGACCCTGGGAAAAGATGGGTTCTAGAAATAATAGGAAAGTTTAAGGAATGGCCTGTGATGTACGGCAGAAACCAGTTTTACTAGCGCCTCCATCCAGTTGCTACTTCTGGTTATGTCACAGCCTGGACTCTTCAGGCTACTTGGAAAGGCCTTTCATGGCTTGGTCCCTGCTCACTGTCACCCGTCCCCAGTGTCCAGCCTCAACTTTTACTACTTTCCCAAGCTGCAGTTCCCTGGATACACTATTGACTAGCTGTACTGTTGCAAAATGGAAGTGTCCAGTCCTCTTCCTTCATATCACTATGCTCCTATGCTCATTCTAGCAAAGGATGATTTTCATGTCCCATGGCTACTCATTCTTGGTTTAACAAATCTATTAAAAAATGTCTTTGAGACTAACCTAAATCTCTGCTATTGTAACTTAACCTTTCTTTTCTATGCTCCTGTTCCTTAATTGTGTGTAGAAACCATTTTTGTATCCGCCTGCCTCCAAGATTGGGTAAGATGATCATATTCTATGTTCCTATAGCTTCCCTTTCTTCCCTATCATTGAATACCTCCTACTAGACTATGTTTGACCATTCCTTCTGTCTCCCCAATTAGACCATCAGGTCTGGGAGAGCAGGTACTAAGTCATAACCCTTCCCCATGACTATTGCTCCTAACTGTTATTCAATAGACTCATTACCATCTACTAAAATAAGCATCTAACGTATTTTCAAAGAATTCTAGCAAAGGATGATTTTGATGTCCCATGGTTACTCATTCTGGATTGAACAAATCTATTAAGAAACATCTTTGAGATTAACCTAAATCTTTGCTATTGTAACTTAACCTTTCTTTTGATGACTGAGTAGCATTCTATGGTACGGATATACAACAGTTTGTTTAATCATTCGCCCACTGAAGGACATTTGGGTTATTTCCAGTTTTGAGTTATTATGAATAATGCTGTTGTGAATATTTGTGTACAGATTATTTTGTGTGAACATGTTTTCACTTTTTCTGGTATAAATGCCCAAAGTGAAATTGTTGGCTGTATGGTAAACAAATGTTTAATTTCCCATGGTAAAATTAACTGCCATGGTAAAAACATACCATGTTTTTTACCATGGTATGTTTTTACCATGGCAGTTACCTATAAAATTTAAGCAGTTGCCTAAATATAGCAGTTATCTACAATTAATTCTGTAGGTAACTGTATGGCAGTTACCTACAACCAGAGTGGTTGTATCATTTTACTTCCCACAAGTAATGTGTGAAAGGTCCAGCATCCTCTCTGTATCCTCTCTCCAGCATTTGGTGCCTTTACTATATTTTGCTTTTGCCGTTCTGATAAGTGTGTGGTCGTATCTCACTGTGGTTTTAATTTGCATTCCCCTAATGGCTAATCATGTTGAACATCTTTTCACATACTTATTTGCCATCTGTATAACTTCTTTGATAATACAGAGATCTATTTTGGCTGCCAGGAGGTACTTCTTTTTTCCTTCTTGAATCTCAGTGGATTCAAAGGCAAAAAGTAAATCACTTAACAGATAAATGATGAGTTATCGCACTTGAGTATGTGCAAGATAGTGTTCTAGGTACTGGGGATAAAACAGTGAAAAGAACAGACAAAACCTCCTGCTTTCATGAAGCTTATATTCTGGTGGGGGGAGACGGCCAGTAATTAAAACAAATAAGTTAATTTATAGTACATTAGATGGCCTTAAGTGATTTAGAAAAAAAAAAGAGATAAATGATCTTAATTGCAATTGAAAATAGAGTTGTCAGAATAGACCTCATTGAGAGGAGACATATGAATGAAGACTTGAAGAGGGTGGGGGAGGACGTGGAGGTGTCTGGAGGAAGAGAGCCTGGCATTGAAGCCAGTGTACATGGTGTATTTACAGAGCAGCAAGGTGGCCAGGTCAGCTGGGGCAGTGGGTGAGGGGGAGTGGGGGGACCACAAGGTCAGAGTGATGGAGGAGGCTGACCGTGTGTGTCCTCCTGGGTCCAGGTAGGACTTGGCTTCTTCTTCACTGAGTTTGATGGGAAGAGAGGTGGTGGTGAGTGGAGTAGGGGTTCTTTGGAAGGTGATGGGCGGAGAGGTGGCAGGCTCTGATTTTACTTTGAAAAGATCATCCTGTTTGCTGTGTTGAGAACAGCCTGAAGTCTGGGAGACCCATTTGGAGACCACTGCAATCATCCAGGAGAGGCAGGATGGTGGCTTGGATGAGGTGATGACAATGAGGGTCACAAGAAATAGTGGATCCTGGATATATTAATATTTTAAACTAGAGCAGACATAATTTCTTATTATGCTAGATGTGGAGTGAGAGAGAAAGAGAAGAGAAAAGTCTGAGTCAAGGGCTTTTTGTTTGAGCGTGGGGTGCGTAAAGACATCTTTAATGGAGGCAGGGCAGGCTTTGGCTAGATGCTTGAGAGCGGAGATTGAGATAAATAAAGTAAGGGGACTTTTAGATGACCAAGCGGAGGCAATTAATAGGTAGATGAACGGTTATTTGGGGCTTCCAGGCAGAGGCTTGCATGGAGATACTAATTTGAGAGTCATGCTTGACACGGCACCTACCACACAGTTAATACTCAAAGTGGAGGGTCTCCATAAGATTACAGGCCGTCAAATCCTGTATCTCAAGTCCTTGGAGCCAGGTTTCAAAAAGCATTAAGTTGAACCATCTGAAATTGCATATATCTGGTCATTTTTGACCTGCAATAATAATAGTTTTATATGGTTGTCCTGAGTAACCTATTACACATACCTTATATTTCATAACACTTTTGGTGGGGTCTGAAACAACACCTAATAATCAAATACAGAAAGAATTCTGCAGCCCAACATACTCATACTGAATGTGATAGGTAACAATTCCCAACAACACATGCCCTTTCAGGTCAGCTTTTGCTGCCAAATGCTTTCAGTTTTTAGATATTTTTGGATTTTGTTTACGGACTGGTATTATTATCACTGTTGCTGTTATTATTGTTACCATTCTGTATGGCATTCAGGGGGTTGAACTAGGCAATAAGTAGAAGTTACTGAAAGGCAAACTTTGGCTCAATTTGAAGACTTTGTCAATACTGTCCAAAGATAAATCATGTTGCTTCCAGAGGTGGGGGCTCTCTGTTTCAACGATAAGGACAGGACCTGAATGGCCACTGATTGAGAATATTTTAGAGGAAATTTGATTATTGGAGAAATGATTGGAGTTGATGTCTTTTATAGCTTTTGCTCCTACTGAGACAAGATGACTCTACATTTTTTCTACTTTTCAGGCCTTCTTCTCTTCATGTGTTAAATGGGGACAGGGAGCTTTGTGATTGCTAAGGATGCTTCTACCATTAACGTTTTCAGGGTCTCGTGATTCCCTGTGTCTTCTCTCTGCTTGTTGGTTGTTCCTTCCACCCATCTCTGCACATCTTTGCTTACATCCTTGTTTGCTAATAAATACATTTTTCAGAATGTCCCATAGCAATTTCCTCATGATGTGCAAATGAGGGATTAGCAAGGGCAGCTGAGTTGGGTCAGCAGATGTTTTCTCTGTTGCTTGAGTTAGTAAAAAAAGTTCATTTTTCAGCAATTACTTCTAGATAGGTTTTGGACTTGAGCAATATCCACAGCCTTTCTGCAAGGGTGCTTATTTGGGCATAGCCCTACTTTCCTGGACTGGCATCGATGGTTGGCAAGACCTCCCCCCATCTGGTTCTCTTGGGAAAAGAGCTATTTGATGAAATAGAAATTTTCAGTGGCTAACTCACTGTCTTCTAAGTGGCAACAGAAAAAGTGCAAACATTTTGAATAGAAACCTTTCTGAAATACAGTTTAAACTTTTAAAACAGTTTTTTTATGATTATAAAAGTAACATTTTAACTTTAGAAAACTAAAGAAACGGAAGACAATTGAGTCTTCTGCACTTATTGAATCACAAAGAGCAATGTTATTCCTATGCGGAATATGCCCTGAAAATCAGGCTTTGAGAAATCTTTCTTCTTTTCCTTTCTTCTTAATCATTTTCTTTCTTCCTGCTTTGCTTAAATCTAGCTTCCCTTTGGATTAATAAAAATTCTCAAGAGGGTGACAGCCAACTATTTCACTTACAGGCATATACCCGAAAGAAACCCTCACATATGTTCAACAGGAGGTATGTATGAGGAACAAGGAGCTTAACCGTAGCACCGTCATCACAGTGGCACAAACCTGGATGCACACCAGATGCCTGTCATCAGGCAGGCAGCAAATAAACTGTGGTGAGCCACACAATAGGGCATTGTTCAGCCATCCAGATAAAGGATCAACAGCAACATGCCTCAATGCGGATGAATCTTAACACAATAATATTAAGTGAAGATGCAAATTTCCAAAGATTTTATATAACAAAGCTTACATAAAGTTAAAAATAACATGTGTGCATTTGTGGTACACACACACATATGGACATATATACATACCACTCATTGAAATGGAGAGCAAAGCAAAGATGAATACAGGACTCTGGGTGATGGATACCCTGAGCAGGGGGATCAGAGGGTGGATTGGCAAAGGGTTTCATATGGTGTCATTTGATGCCGCATCCAGGCCCTAGCTTTCATTTTATGTCATGGGTTACTAGGTACTTATAACATTGCAACTAATTAACTAGCTGACTTAATAAAAGAAGTCCAGGCACGAACCTTGATGACAATGTGACATAATCTGAGGATGATGATTATTCCAATTCTGTGTATCTGAGATCCAAAAACAGAAAAGAAATGGGAGTCAGTGGGCACTGTATGAGGTCCTAGTAAACTTTCCATGAATCATGGGATGAGCATTAGTGCACAGATTTCACAGTGTCTATTTTGGCCTCACAGAGAAACATTTTTAAAATTTTTTTCATAGTTCTTGGCACTGGTCCAGGCAGGTGATGTTGCCAGACACATGAGATCTTGCAGAACCTGGTCCCACTCTTAAAGCTAATAAGTACTCCCTTGAAAAAGCCTGGAGTTATGACTTTGTATTTGATGGCCATTTGGTTCCAGTTAGAATATAGGAGTAGACCTATCTCTGGGTAGATGACAAGCTCTGGTTGAAAGAGTAGGGCCCATGTGGAGAGAGGATTGGCAGAAGTTCAGAAATAGAGAACAGCCAGCACCGAGGTAGAGAGATGCACCTGGTAGTGACAGAGCGTCTGCAATTCTGAGCCAGCCGGGTGGAGCCCAGGGAGTCTTGGCCAACCAGACAATTTCGTTGGACCCTTTATCCCTTCTCTAGCTTTGAGATTACTCAGTTTTAACTAAGAATGCTGCTAAATTGTGAGGCCTGGCTGAAGATGTGGACAATCTCTCATTCCTTGGATACCGACTCTGTGGCCCAGAGTCTATCAGAACCTGGAGATACAGATGCAACCCAGATCTGAAGTTGGAGATTGTTATTATTTTTCCATGGTTGTAGCCATACTTCTCAGGAAGAAAGTACTAGCTTTCAGTGCTGAGCTGAGTTAGTGGATCTTGCTATTAAGGAGCAAAGGCATTAGCTATAGACTGCGTTTACAGCGGCAGCCCCAGGCAAAGTTAGAGCTCCCTCTTTTGAGTGTGTGTCCAGCCCACATCTCCATTACTGTATTCTTATCACACTGCGTTGTTATGATTTATTTACCCATGGCTGCCACCCACTAGCTTGTGAACATCTCAAGGGTAGAGACTATGTCCTTTTCATTGCCAAGTCTCCCAAGTCCAGGGTGCAGTGTAGGTGCTAAATAAGTGTTTGAGGGGACACCATATATTGCACTTTGTGGCTGATGCCTGGTGAGTGAAATTCAAGGTGTGGACAGATGATCACTGGTTAGGAGGGATCCAAGGGGAATTTAGAGAGGAGGAGGGGGTGGTTTGGCTTGGGCTTTGAGTGAATTTTATGGATGGAGATGATAGGGAGAGTGAAGGCGGTGATGAGGGAGTTTTGGTATTGCTGGTGGTGGTATGGGGATATTCAAAGTAATAACCAGAACTGCATCCCTGCTGACCCACCAGAGTGGATTCTGGCTGTAAATAGTCAGCATTGCCACTCCTGTGCCTCCTAGCTGCAGGTCAGCCCTGAAGATAATGAGGGGCGTGGGGCCATGATGGTGCTGTGGTAGAAGGGGAATAAACGTTTCAGCATCACCACCTTTATTCCAGCTCTGTATCAGGACCTTTATGTATATGACCTTTGCTGATTCTCATACAACCTTGACAGGTGGGCACTATTACCTTCAATTTTGAAACAGACCCAGAAGGGTGACACAAGTGGCAGGGCTGGTGCTGAAGTTGAGCCCAGGTTCCTAGTTGCTGGGACTGTGCTCTGTTCTCTCTGGAAGGTGTAGGCAGCAGGGGTCAGAGCCAAGACGCCTACCGGGTCTTGAGCAGGAGCCATGAGATAGGTCCAGGGGCAAATGTGGGGGAAGAGCAGGAGATATGGCTTTAGAAGAGGGCTAGCAGGGTGTTTAGGGCTGGAGTGGATAAAGCACCCTATTCAGGCATCTGTGTTCAGGAACATTCTCCTCCTTCATATCCATGGAAGCTCACACCCTTGGCATGGCCTTGCTGGGGAATGTTTCTGGAACTGGACACAGAGTTCAGGGTCAATGGAAGGAAAAGTGCTGCTCTGGAATCAGGGCCAGAGACAACAATTTTGGAAGTGAGAGTGGAGAGGTTGAGCACAAGGTTTCAGTCACTGGGGCTGGAGATGAGTAATGCCTGCCTAGTTAGGGGAGAAACTTCATTAGAGGGATGAAAAGAAAGTGATTTTAAAAATAAAATGACAAAAAGTCAGAAACTGAAGATGCAGTTGAACACGTAAATGGCTTTAGTACCAGCTATGGTGAGAGAGAAACGCTCAAGGACCAGTTTCCTAGGGGTGCATTTTTCATAAAAAAGTGTCTGACTGATTTATTGATGGAGGCAACACGTATAAGGGAGAGATAGAGTGAGGGTTGCGAAAGAGGTGAAAAGACTCACAGAAACAGAAAGACAGACTGAGATGGAGGCAGGAATATACAAAGGCAAAAGAAATACAAATACAGTAACCCAGAGACACAGAGGAGGATAACAAGCCAGAGGTCCAGGGACAAAAGGAAACCGGTATAGAGAGAATCAGAGACAGGGAGAAAAGGACAGAGATAGAAAGAGGAAGGGGTCCAATGACACACATGCCCAATGCATAGCTGTGTTTAATGGAGAAAACACAGTGAAACTTCCTGAGAAGGACTGCATTCTGGGCCTTGGGGCCTCCCCAGGAGGATGGGTCTTTTGGCTTAGCTGAGATACTGAATGGTCCTAAGTCTCTGTGCCTTCCTCACTGTCTTAGTCTGTTACGGTTGCTATAGCAAAATACATTAAACTGGGTAATTTATAAATAATAGAAATTTATTGGTCTTAGTTCTGGAGGCTGGGAAGTCCAAGATCAAGGCACCAGCAGATTCAGTGTCTGGTGAAGGCTCACTCTCTGTTTCAAAGATGGTGACTTCTTGTTGCATCCTTACACGGAGGAAGGGACAAACCAGCTCCCTCAGGACTCTTTTATAAAAACACTAATCCCAAAGGTTCTGCCCTCATGACCTAATCACCTCTAGAAGGCCCCACCTTTTAATACTATTGCATTTGGGATTAAGCCTCAAGATATCAATTTTTTTTTTTTTTGGTGGGGGACACAGACCTTCAGACCACAGCACTCCCTGACATGTGGAAACTCCTGGGCCAAAGGCTACCTTTAATACAGATTTTCCATGTAATGACAGCATCTTAGCACTGGAAGAGAGAGGCCTTGGAGCCATCTCCCATTCTCTTATCTCAGACTGCTGCTTGCTCCTCTGCAATTAACTCCAATCACCAGTTGCTCATTACTCTTCCAGAACATTATTCCTTAAACTGAGCTACCTCCCTGTGATTTCCACAGTTTGGGAGCAACACATGTGCAAATCTAGTGTTGGTTTTTCTCTTGGCTTTTCAGGTTGTTGATGACAACAACAACCTTGTTCCCAACTATGTTCTTTCTTCTTTGGGACAATCTCCTGCATTTCCTTCACTGGTGTTATTAGTCAAGACAAGCTAGGTTATGCTGTAGAAACAAACAACTCCAAGATCTCAGGAGCTCTCAGGAGCAAAGGTTAATTTCCTGCTCACACTATGTATTCATCACAGGCTAAAACAACTTTACTCTGCTCTAACCCATATTCACCCCAGGACTCATGTTGATCAAGTAGACTCTATCTAAAACATTGCTGATCATGGTGATTGAAGAAAAAGAGAACACGAGTCTTCATACCCTGTTTCTGAAAGTTTCTACCAGAACTGAAACATATCACCTTCACTCATGTGACACTGGCCATGCCAATGAGGTGGGGAAGGGAAATTTGCTCTTAGGAAAGGACAGCAAATATTTGTGAACAGTAATAGTCTACTACAATTGGTTTCTCCCATCCCACAGTTTCTAGCTCTCTATAGAAACTACTCCCCTGTTCATGGAGGCTCCCAAGCTTATTGATGTTTCTCTTAATATTTGGGAGCCAGTACAGAACAAGCCACTTGGAGGGAGGTGATGCTCACGGGGCACCGGGTGACCATACTCATGAATGGTCCTCCTCTGTCTTAGAGCTGTACCATATACAATACGTGTCCACTGAGTTTACCAATGCCATGAAGAGAGAACAAGCACACCTTTAATCTGATCTCTCTACCCACGTTAAGTGGGCCTTTATCCCTCGAAGCCTTTTAAACAATCTCATCCTTTATTGCTTAAGTTCTAGAAGCAATTTTCTTTTCTGTAGCTCCAAGATGAAAAAGGTCTTCCTTACCTTCATTGGATTTTGAATGAGTGAGTAATAAACTTTTATTGTATTAATCCACTGAAATTTTCAGGATTTGTCTGTATTAGCAGCTAGTGCCAATTAGTCTAATGCAGAAATTGATACTGGTAGTGAGGGTGCTTCATTAAAAAGAAGGATAATAGAAATGACTTTAGCTTAGTGGTCAAGAGACAGTTGATTGGAAACTGAACTGTAGACTGGAAAGATGGAGATCAGGTTATGCAGGGGCAAAGTTTTGGAAAGTTGTCACCTGTGATGACTAGACGGGCAAACAGTGCTCATTGAACTCATCATTTCAGAGCAAGAAGTAGGAAAATAGTGTTATGGTAGCATAGCTGTATTTGGCAAGGTATTAGGAGTATTACACAAGCTCAAGAAATTGTTAGATGAGTTGCAAGCAGAAATTCAGAATAATAGAGCCCAGAAAGATGGGGCCTTGGAGTTGAAACAGCAGACTATTTCTAGGTTCCACACAATATGAGATGGAATTTAAAAGGGATTTACGTGGCAAGGGCCCAGTAAAATCTCCTGTTTGGGAAATGACTCAGGTCAAAGATCAAATTAGAAGTGTGGTCTTCTCATTGATTTTTCCATGTAGCCTCAAGGTAGCTGCTATTAGGTGAAGAGAGAGAGAAACAAGGTGATGAAAAAGAAAAGGAAAAGGCAGATTTAGGAAGTGTATCTTAAAAAGAACTTTGCCTGTGTTCACTGGCAAATACATCAGAAGCCTATTAAGTTATTGAGTGAAATGCAACACCAAAGAAGCCTCAAGTCTGGGCTGGACAATCTTTGAGATTTAAAGCAATCCCTGGGATGCCAGCCTCCCATGAACAGAAAGTGGATTAAGGAAACTATTTAAACTCCAAGGAGTGTTGTGGGAAGAGAAACCCCCCCAACCCCCAACCAAAGAGTGGAGCCAGTGGTCATGAGAACAATGGACAAGGCTCAGCTTCCTTGAGAGAAGATTCACAGCCCCTCACCTAGAGCTGGAGCCTTCAGGACATCTGCCTGGCAGGATTTCAGAGCAGCTCTGGATCTGTGACTCCTGTGTGTGTCCCATTCTTTCCACCACGTGTGTTTGTTGTGGCTGTCCCGTCCTGTTCCATCTTTGTATCTTGGATATGTAGTGTGTGTAGTGGGGTGTAGGGGTTGTTGGCAGAGAAGGATGTAGAAAATGTCCTTACAGATCATAGGCCTAGGGCAGTGACTCTCAACTGGGGGCACTTTTGGCCGCAGGAACTTTTGTTAATAGCGGAGGGCATTTTTGGTTGTCACAACTAAAGGTGGTGGTGATATTGACAACTAGTGGGCTGAAGGCAGGATTGCCATGAAACATTCTACAATGCAGGGGACAGTCCCCCCACGACAATGAGTTATCTAGTCTAAAATATCTACATGACCAAGGCATTTATTCCCTTGTCTAGGGAATAAAAGGCACAACATCCCAATCTCATAGCAAGATTATAGGACGTCACCTGGCAATCAGAGAGCCTGATGTGGAGTTGGTGCTCAGTTCTTCATTCAACAGACACTGAGTATCTGTGGAAGGCTGGGGGAGGTAAAGCAGTGGGGATTGGTCAGGGTAATTAGTGCTGGTTGCTGCAATAGACAAGCCCCCCAAATCTCACTCAGTGTCTTAAACAATAAAGGTTTATTTTTCACATCATGTCAAAGAAAATCTGTTTTTCTTCTGATCATCAGATATATATTTTTTCTCTTATGGGCAGCGTAAGCCTGGTAATGGATTGAGTTTCCTCACTGATTTGGCTACTAGGCAGCTCATTATAACAACTGTTTCTTGCTGTTTACTGATGTTTCCTGGCTTTTCTTATTATCTGACATTCATTTGCCCATTACTCTGATTTCTTCTCCTGCCTGCTACCCACTACTGTCAAAATACTTTGGGATGAGATAAGCTATAAACTAATGAATGAAGCAAAAACATTCTTGCTGGCACATGGCTGCTGTGAAAGAGAAATCAGGGAACCACTGTGTGCCTCTTTCCTTTTTTAAAAAGGAAAGTGGAGCTTTGAGTCCTGGCTTAAAGATTTACAGAATTGAAACATTTTGGGGTTGGGATCTTCAAACAGCTTTTCTTTTTGCATTCTGTAGTTTTACTTACCCATGTTAAGTTGCTATTTTAACAATCCAGAGTCTCATTTGCTTTAGCTGAGCAAGGGAGGAGACAAGAAACCAAGGTCTTTTCTCCAAGATCTTTTGGGGAATCACTTCATGCAAATGTCTTTGTATCAG
This sequence comes from Homo sapiens, assembly GCF_000001405.40. Lineage (NCBI taxonomy): Eukaryota > Metazoa > Chordata > Mammalia > Primates > Hominidae > Homo > Homo sapiens. The sequence continues at coordinate 114,818,350 of NC_000009.12, forward strand.
AAGGAAACTGTCTGAAGGTCAGCCCCCTCTCCACTCCTGAAAAGGCATAATTCAGAGTTGGCATTTTTAGTTTTGCTTTTCTATTTCCAAATATGAAACAGACAAGGAGTCAGGAGACCCATCACGAACTTGCTATGTGACTTCAGGCTGTTCACTCCCCTGTCTCTGGTCTCCAGGAAAACAAGAGGGCTGAGAATCCACCCAGATCCATGGTTTTTGTGTATCTGGGGAGTGGGCTATTCCATTGAAATGTGTGTTTTGATGATCATGGCTAAGTGGGACTTCAGTGACTCAAACCCTGTGTTCAGATGAAGCCTGCTCAGATTTCTCCTATAAGCGTAGAAGAAATGAGGGTTTTGGAGGCCCAGGCTGGGGTCTCACTGGACAGTCTTGAGAGGTGGGAGTGAATGTGAACTCTGGAGCACATTGGTTTCCACGTGTCCCTCTGTTGTGTAACCCCAGGCAAATCATGGAGCCTCCTTAGGCCTCAGAGTCCTCATGGACTACAACAGGATGACAGAACTACTTGTTATGAAGAATAAGTGACATGATGCTCATAAAGTCCTGGGTACATTCTGTAATTCACGTTCTTGATTACTGCCCTTCATTGGGTCAGATGTGGCTGGGTTGGGGTATGACCACCAGGAGGACTGGGCCAGGATGCCCTCACCCAGGGCACCACTGACTGGCCTCTTTCCCCTTGAAAGAGGTTAGAAAATAGTTGCCCCAGCAACTCTCCCTGAACAAAGAGCAAGAAGGATACAGAAACATCTTTACTGTTAAGGTTCCAGACAGCCAGCTTGCAATTTGCAGGGTCTTCTTCCTCTCCATCCAAATGTTCCTCGAGACACAAGCCGCTTTTCCTTTCTGGATTTCCATTTTCTCCTCTGTAAAATGAATAAGTTAGATTAGATCGTTCCTAATCTATCTGGGTGCAGTGGCATGTGCCTGTAATCCCAGCTACTTGGGAGGCTGAGGCAGGAGGATTGCTTGAGCCCAGGGGTTTGAGACGAGGCCAGGCAACATAGTGGGGCCCTGTGTCAATAAAGGGAAAAAAATGTGTGCCTCTTATCTAATCTTGGCACTACTGGCATTTTAGACCAAGTAATTCTTTGTTGATCTGTGCACTGTAGGACGTTTAGCAGCTTCCCTGCCTCTGCCTACTAGAAGCCAGTAGCAACCTTCTCCTGAGTTGTGACAACCACAAATTTGGCAAGAGATTGCCAAATGCTGAACACCTTTATTGAGTGCTTCTTTATTCCAGCTACTGTGCTAAGAGATTTCCATGTCCTAATCTTAATCAGTCCTCATGACATCCTTGTGAAGTCAGTAATTATCTTTTGCTTTGCAAACGAGGGTGATGAGCTGCTGATAAATCACGAAGCTGGGATTTGTACCCGTGTTTTCCTGACTTCAGAGCCTGTAAGCTTCACCATTCTGAAAATTTTGAAATACAGAGGTGGTCTTTTGAAGACCAAGGCAAAATGGTTGAAGTAGTAAAAGCACAGGATTTGGGACCAGGTGGACCTGACTTGGAATCTCAACTCCATGCTGATGAGCTTATCACTGTCTCCATGCTGACCCCCACTTCTGCCATTGTTAAATTGGGAGTAACTCCAGCCATGCAGACTGTTGGAGGATAGAATAAGGCTGCAGGACACCGGACATATCAGGTCCTTTTCCCGCTAAACCATATGCTTAACGACAATGGAGAGCTCTGTGAACGTTGCTTTTGTTCCTTCCCCACCATCCCCCATTTGGTGTCAGCTCTCCTGGGGTAGTTGAAGACCTCACGACACAGTGTATTACCCCCATTTTGGTACCACTGTCCCTTGGGTGTTGAGGCCTTTCTTCCGAGCCCCATACCCGTATAGACAGTGGGCTGCTGGAAAATTCATACTCAATATAACCAGAACCGAAATAGGCACGTTGCCCCAATTTGCAACTTCCCTGTGTCTCCTATCTCAGTGACCACCAGAGTGGTCCCAAGGCAGGACTCTGGGAGTCATACTTGACTTCTCCCAGCACCTCACTTCCATAGCCAAGCAGTAGCCAGGCACCGTCCGCCATACTTACTCAGCCCCACTGGCATTTGTTTGCATGTCTCATCCCTGCTGCCTTTTCCCTGGGCCAGGCTGCCATACCCTCAGCTGGACTGCTGAAAACACCTTCTAACTAGTCTCCCTGCCTCCCCTCTTGCCCTCACCATCTATCCTGACAGTGCCCTCACCATCTATCCTGATCGTGCCTCCAGAACGATCCTTCTCCTCTGGAAATCAGAGCAGGTCTCTGCCTCCTTGTCCTGAGATAAAGCCTAGCTCCTTAACTGGCACATACAACCCCTCTCATTCTGGCTCTGTCTTCTCTTCACCCTCCTCTTCGGCCTCTCTCACCTTAATTTTCTCAGTTTCAGTCCTAGGGGACCATTCACAGTTTCTCGAAGGCACCATGCTCTCTCTTCTCTTCAGCCATCGGAATATACTTTTGTCCAGCCTAGAGCTCTTCTCTGCCACTTTTACTTTGGCCTAGATGACTCTTTTAAGCTTCAGCTTAGAGTTCACTTCCCCTTGGGAGCCTTCTCTGATTCCTCAACATGGGTCAAGTACAGTCATGCATCCTTAATGACGGAAATACATTCTGAGAAATGTGTTGTTAGGCAATTTCGTTGTTGTGTGAACATCATAGAGTGTACTTAACACAAACCCAGATGGCACAGCTACGGCACACCCAGGCTATATGGTAGAGCCTACTGCTCCTAGGCTACATCACTGTACAGCATGCTACTGTACTGAATACTTAGGCAGTTGTAACGCCGTGGTAAGTTTTGTCTATCTAAACATAGAAAATGTCCAGTAAAAATATGGTATAAAAGATTTTAAAAATGGAAAAGCTGTATAGGACACTTACTATGAATGGAGTTTGCAGAAATGGAAGTTGCTCCGAGTGAGTCAATGTGTGAGTGGTGAGTGAATGTGAAGGCCTAGGACATTACTGTACACTACTGTACTTTATAAACACTCTACATTTAGGCTACACTAAATTGACATAAACATTTTATTTCTTCAATAATAACCTTAGTGAACAGTAACTTTTTAACTTTATGAACTTTAACTTTTTAACTGAGTTAAAAAGTTAACTTATTAACTTTATTTTTTAAATTTTTGACTCTTGAAACACCTAGCTTAAAACACAAACACATTGTACAGCTGTATAAAAATATTTTATTTCTTTGTATCGTTCATCTATAAGCTTTTTTCTATTTTAAAATATTTTTAAAATTTCTTATTTTTAAAACATTTTTGTTTAAAGACACAAATACACACATTAGCCTAGGCCTACACAGGGTCAGAATCATTAATATCCCTGTTTTTCATTTTCACATGCTGTCCCATTGGAAGGTCTATGGGGACAATACCATGCATGGAACTGTCATCTCCTATGATACTAATGCTTTCTTCTGGAAAACCTCCTGAGGCTGTTTTGCAGTTAATTTAAATTCAGTAGAGGGAGTACGTGTGAAAATAATGATAAAAAGTATAATATAGTAAACACATAGTCTAATAACATAGTCATTTCTTATCATTATCAAGTATTATGTACTGCACATAACTGCATGTGCTATATGACTAGCAGCATAGTAGGTTCGTTTACACCAGCATCATCATAAACATGGCAGTAATGCATTGTGCTACAACGTTATGATGGCTATGATGTCACTAGGTGATAGAAATTTTTCAGCTCCATTATAATCTTATGGGGCCACCATCATACATGTGGTCTGTTGTTAACCAAAATATCCTTATGTGGCATGTGACTGTATCTACTTAGGGCTTCCCCACTAAGGTAGTTACTCTTGTATGCCATAACCATCCATTGACGTGTCTGTCTCCCCCACCAGACTGAGAATTTTTTTTTTGAGAGAAGCAAGTATGTCTTTTTCTATAACCCTAGACCCCAGAACAGGCATTGCTATGATCATTGTTGGTAGCACAAATGAATGATAGGTGGTGTTGCATGACTTAAAGAGTAGCATAAGGAGGTGGGAAGAAATGAAGGCAGGGAGCTATGGACTCTGACAAACAAGCAGTCATGACCAGTTTTGAAACTGGCTCAGCATCCCCTCATCCCATTTTGAAATCTCCAGGAATTCAACTGGTAAATTATCCTATTTGTGGAAATGTGACTCAAGGCAACTTTATCTTTGACATTAAGAGAAATAAAAAAAACTAATGCAGAAACAGAAAATCAAACATCACATGTTCTCACTTACAAGTGGGAGCTAAACATTGGGTACACATGGACAGAAAGATGAGAACAATAGACAATGGGGACTGCTAATGGGGAGAGAGAAGGGAAGTAAGGGCTGAAAAACCACTTATTAGGTACTATGTTCACTTCCTAGGTGATGGGTTTAGTTATACCTCACACCTTAGCATCATGCAATATACCTTTGTAACAAACCTGCACATGTACCCTCTGATTCTAAAATAAAAGTTGAAAAAGAAAAATAGAAACCAAAACCAAATCCAAAACGTCTTTGCACCTGACAAGAAAGCTGTGCTCCTTTTGTGTGATCTAAATGTCAGATGGGGAGGTTCAAGAACCAGGAGCTATAGGACCTGTGATTCATTCTTAGCTGGGATGTTAAATAATTTATTAACAAGACTATCTGTTGAGGTAACTTGAAAAACCGGATGAGCTTTTGGTATGCTTAGAGCAGGATTTCCCACCCTTGACACCATTGACATTTTGGACCAGATAATTCTTTGTTGTGGGGACTTGTTCTGTGCATTGTAGGATGCATGGCATCATCCCTGGCTTCTACCCATTAGATGCCAGTAGAACTCCCCCCACTCCTATTGTGACAACTGAAAATGCCTTCAGACATTGCCCTGTGGGGACAAAGTCAGCCCTGGTTAAGAGTTACTGTCCTAGAGGAATTGGAGCCCATCTAATGGAACCAAAGAAGCACTGGATGAGAGTTGAGTTTGAAGTCCATTGCCAACTCTGCCATTTAGTGCAGATGTTTTCTTTAAGTTCTATCTGAATTCAAGGTCAGGCTGTTTGACTCTGGATAAACAGCTTGACCTGCTGGATAGCAGCCTTCTCATCTCAGGTAATAGAATAATGCAAGTCCAGAATATTGTTGATACTTCTGAGTTCAGCTTTGGTCTTAGGTGATCTGGGGGATGGGTGAGCTCAGACCTCAGAATGGGAATTGGTGGCCTGGCAACCACAGTCAGATGATAAGATTCAGGCCCCTGCTGGCTCCAGATGGTTTGTCTCCACAGGCTAGCTCTGCTCTCTTCCTTGGGCTTTTCCAGATGTCCCAGGGAGGACTCTGTCTCACCCATTCATTTCTGGGCTTCCCTTTTTTTCCTAACAGCTCAGGCTGTCAGGGCTGAAATGTGCTTAGAAACATTCGATATCAGCCCTTTGCTACAGAAGGGTAAACTGAGGCTCAGAGGAGGGAAGAGATTTGGCTGAGGTCATATAGTGAGCTAGAGTAAGTCCCCTTATTTGTCCAAGTTTTAAAATTCATAGCGTGGTATTCTTTCTCTTACTCTGTGCTACCTAACTGTGGGAGCCCACTCCCATGTCTTGGTGGAACTCTTAATTGTAGACTTTTCTTTTTATTTCACTGAAACTCACATGTCTTTAGTTTTACACTACCTGCATCTTGCTTTCTGCTTGGTGATAGCCATCTTACATGAAAGTAGGACTGTAACACTTTAGCAAGAAATAATGGGCTTACTTTACATCCCTAGTGCAACATTTGGTTTTTAATTGAGCTTTAATCCAATGAAGCAAAACTAGTGGTAAGACTTTGAGGGACTTAGCTAGGTTTAGAAAGACTTTTGGAGAGCAGCTAGGCCCTTTTGGGAAACTCCCCCATTCTTGGAAGCCATCTAGTCTACCATTGTAGGGTTACACACTGGGGTTATTTCCCATCATGTGATTTGGAGGGAAGAGCCTGGGCTTTGGACATGGGTTCAGATTCCAGCTCCATCATCTCACAGCTATGTGAATTTACCACAAGGGTAACACCACGTTTTTGAATGGTCACTGTGGGCTGGTTAAATTATGTATTACTTTAATATACTTTACAAGGACTGTGAGAAGAAGGGTTTACAGTTTATAAAAGAGAATACAAAGTGGCAGATAGTTTAAGACACAAAGTTACTACATTAAGGAACAAAGTTAAAAGTATCAGAGCCAGGAGTTGAACCCAAGACAATCTGGCTCAGGATTATAAATGACTAAAATCAGATTTTAAAAAATGATTAGGTATAGCATAGCTTTCTCGAACTTCAGTTACTTAGAAGGCTAAGTTGGGAGGATAATACCTCCTTAGAAAAACTGCTCTGAGGATTAAATAAAGTAATGCCTTCACAGCACGTGGCACCAAGTGTCTGTTTAATAGATACCTAGTCTTCCTCTCTTTAGCAGAAGTTGTTAACGTTAGCTAATTGTCAGTTATGATTTAACAACTGCTAGCTTGGCGCAGGCACATTGCTAAGGAGCTTACATTTATAATTTCACAAAAATAACATGAAGTTCCTATGATTTACTCCATATTCTCACTGAAGATATGGAGGCACAGAGAGCTGGAAGGAAACTGCGCAAGTTCAAACAGGGAGGAGATGGCAGACTGAGGATTTTTGCATTCACACCTGGCTAACTCCAAAGCTACACTCTTGGCCCTAGGCCATGCTCACCTCCTCTAACTACTCAAACCTTCAGAAAATCTCAGCTGCCCTAAGTTATCCCATTAGCATGCTTCGCACCTTTACAAACTAAAATAAACCAAGTTCTCATTTTAAGTAGTAGATCTTTTCCTGTTCAGGAGGCTGGTACCTTGAGAACCATCTGAGTTCTATTAAGCCTTGAGGATGCTGGAGTCATTTCTTGCTTATTCCTAGTGAATTTCTAATTTAGACTTGTTTCCATCCCTCTTCCAGTGTACCCAATACCTCCTCAGGGACTTCAGACTGACTAATCTTCAGCTGAACTGGAGTGAGATCTAATTAAAGTTGTTCATGGTCTGGCCCTAAAGCACCTAGCCAATCTCATTTTTCAGCATACCCTCTCCTCTTCAAGCCCCCTGTGACTCACAGCTTCCTGGACCCTCTGAAGCCTTTAGCCAGGCAGGCCCCTGCTCCTCTGCTTGGCATTTCCAAATCCAGTCCAGCCCTGTCTCCATCTGATTCAAATATTTCTTCTCTCTGAAGCTATGTTTGCAAATATGGGAAAGCCGGGTGAAGTCAGAGTCACATATTTCAGACCAAAGTTATCAGACTGAAAGCTCATTTTCTCTTTGTCTCGATAAGAGCCCAATATAGTGCCCCAAGCCGTAGGCCCTGATAAATGCCTGGTTAAAAAAACAAAACAAAATGAAACAAAACAGAAAACTGCCTATGGCATAAAAGCAGGGGCTATGGAGGCAGAGAGACCTGGGTGTGAATCTCAGCACTTATTAGTTCTTTGATCTTAGGTTATACCAAGATATTATTCTGAACCTCTCTTAGCCTCAGTTTCCTTATTGGTAAATGGGGGACAGCAATGTGATTGTTGTGAAGATTTAAGGATGTCTTACCTATGAAAGCATGTAGGATTGCTGAGTTTGGTCTAAGCGGATGGTTACTAAATCATAGCAGAACCGTAAGTTGCTCTTCTTGGATAGAATAAACAACCTTTGGGAGAAAAAGAACTCTATTGTGCTTCAAGGAGAAATTTATGAGAATCAGTCTGTGAAGGTAGGGATTGTATTTGTCTCAGTCACAGCTGTGTCCTCATCACTTGACACGGTGACAGGTGATATCCAGTGTTCAACCTATAACTACTGGAAAAATGAATATGGGTCCAGAAATATTTAGCCTATTAGAGTGCATAAAACTCACTTGGACTGATACCCATCTAGCCTCAGAAAGAGAAACTGAGGCCCAAGGAAGGGAAAGGACTCCCCAGTTTCACACAGAGACTTGGCAGCAGGTATTTTAGGTTACCTGGTATATAGTATTATCTATAACCTGGTATCACCATGGTGATTGGTTGACAAAGGCTGACTTGGTGTGGCCAGTCAGAACTGAATCTAGCCCAATTCTCTTGCTCCTCAGTGACTGGCAAGAGTGGAACCAAGCAGAGGATGAAAAGGGCTAAAGCATTCAAGAGGAGTAAGCACCTGTGTAGTAATCCACTCGGCACAGCTAGAATACAGGCTGCCTGGAGAAGAAACAGGGGAGGAAAGGAGGGCACAAAGATAATGATGACCCGGTAAACCAGGCTTACTGGGACTTTGTACCTGTGATTGTAGATTGTAGGCAGAAGAGAGACTTGATCACGTCTGCATGTTAGAATAATCATTCTGGCAGCTGTGTGAAGGGTGAGTTGGTGATAAGAGAGGCTGGAGTCAAGGCCCCCCATGGAAGGAAGTTCCTTTGTCTAGGTGAGAGATGCTTAAGACAGGGGCCAGATAGATGGGGTGGAGGAATAGATGAAACTAACATTAAGAGATATGATCCATCAAGGCCTCAGATTCCCCATCTGTAGTTGAATATTTCAGAACCAGTTTCTATGATGGCTTCAAAGACTAGAATAGAGTGTAACTACAACTAGGATTTGGGATGCCCTGGGAAATGAGTGGACTCCTGGAATAAGATTTTGTAGATTCCCTATTGTTTGATTGGCTAGATATATTTCATGGGGGGGTGCAGTGAGTGTTTCAATATTTATAATAGTCCTCCTAAATGGTGAAGAAAGTGCTATGGACCTTGAATGATGGGTTCTAAGGCTGGGTATATTTGAATGGTGGCAAGAGTTGGAAGAACTTTAGAAGCCAACTTGTTGGGTGCTCTCAGCACCTCTACAACCTGCTCATCAAGAGATTGTCCAGTCTGTTTTTGGATCTCTTCTGTAATGAGAAGACTTTTGCCTCCTGGATAGCGTGTTCCACTGCTGAGAAGTTTCAAGTTGCATATCAACACATTTGTCCTGTTTTTACTCTGCCTTGGCCAGAGGAAAGAGTGTCTTTGAAAGAGATTGTGTTAAGAATCCTTGCACAAAAATACCCAGTAAATGAAGGCATGAAAAAGGCAAGCCATCACCTTGATTGAAATTGATTTTCAGTTTTTCTCATTTGAGGCCCAATAGTATTTCAAGCTGCATGTCAAACAGAGACGGAAACACGGTAGAGCTCAAGAAGGATTTTTGTCAAAATGGAGCTCTGGTAGCCAGGTAAATCCAATGCCAACAGTACAGTTGAGATAGCTCCATTCATGGAGAAGCCCATAGTGGGGAGGAGGGGCACAAGGTGGAGTCTGAGAAAACTGGAATCTATTCTTGGCGGTAGGGATGATGTCAAAGCATGAATACAAGCATAAACTCATGATCATTAGAATGTATGATCACAGTCACTAGGATGTACATGGGAGCTGTTAAGAAATAAGGAAGAAACTGCTGCAGTGAGTGTGACCAAAGGGTTGGAAAAACATTGAGGCAATGACTTTAAATGCAATGGGCTGTGTACTACCCTCTGTTACCTCCACTTCCCTTATCCTCCTCCTACTCCAAACCTCTTCTTCCCAGTTTCTTCCATTGTCCTTTATCTAAACTGACTACCTCCTTCCTCCTTCCTTCCCCACTTAGATCTTCCTCACTCCAGGTTTCTGTCTCATTCCCCCCATGGAAGCCATGCCTTACATTTTTATAATGGTTGGCAGTTCACAATGCCAGCTGGAATACATTATCTCATCAACCTCATAACCACACTTGTAGGTAGGTGCTGTCCCCATTCTGCAGATGATGAAAACGAGCCTAAGGGAGATGAAGTCACTGGCCTAAAGTCACATAGCCATGTGGGGGCAGAGGCACAATGATGGCCCATGGTTTTTTCTCCATTCACCTCTCCAACTTTACAGATTAAGTCCCTGGCATTCCAGTGTGCTGACTTGCACTAGATTTGCCCTGAATGTTGAAAATCAAGTGATCCCCTCCTTTAAGGACCCCAAGGTGGCTACTTTCTCTAGGAGGGATTTTTAGTCAAAAGAGGATTTGTCTCCCTGAACGTTGTCTTGAATTCTGGGGAAGTCCCATCCTAAGTCATTGGAATCTTTTAATGCCCAAGCCCGTTGCCTATGTTCAAACTCCATTCTGATGATACTGATACTGTGGGTACAAATCAGCAGGCTAGAATCAGCAGCGAGCTGGAGCCCACATATACTGGCTTGTTGGTTAAATTTTCAGGAATTTTTTGAGCTGGCTGTTAAACACAACCATTACTGAAAATTATTTAAGCTTATAATCAAGTGAATTATATTGAAAACAAAGGTAAGGGATATTCAAAACTCATTACTTCTCATTTTGCTAGACTTTACTATTACTGTAATTAATGTACTCTTGAAGTTATTCCTATGTATTGTATCCGAAAGAGGAAAATGCCATGTAATGCTCTGCTGTTGCTCATCTCTTTCCCACTCTGTGTTTAGTGACATCACATTGGCAGCTTGAAATTTGCCACAGAGAGAATATTTACACCATGGAAATCAGCAAAAGTTACAAATCAAGGTCCTCTTTCTCCTTCATTAAACATTTACCAGCCAACCATGGGCTAAGATACATCAAGGTTTATGGTAATTGGGCCTCTAGACTCCTGAATGCCAAGGCTGGTTCTCCTTCATGCCAGCATGAACTTGGGCAGAAGGCAGAATGGTGTCTAGAGAATGGAGATAATAGAAATCAGGAGGTAACTCACTGCTTGTCCTCTCTTCCTCCACCTTGGTAGTGATGACAATACCAGCAATGATATAGGACACTTAAGACCATTATGGACCAGGTGATGTATTAGGCATTTTACTTACCCTGTCTGTTAAAGTCTCACACAAACCATATAAGACATTATTGTTCCCATTTTACAGGTGGAAATCTGAAGCTCTGAGAGGTGGAATGAGTTGCCTGAATTTACCAGAATGTGGGATTTACCAGAATGTTTACCAGAACGAATTTACCAGTCAGGCTTTGAGGCCAGATCTGTCTGATCCAAAATCAGTGCTCTTTCTGAAATGCTGATGCAAAAGGAAGTCATCAGAACTCTATAGACCAACCCTGCACATTTGTTACCTTCTCCAGAAGTGCTTTCGTTGCTGATATACCAGACGTCTTTTGTTAAAATTAATCTACTACCATCACCGTATGGGGAATAACTCTGGCTAGCCTAAGAAAAGCAACCTTACATAGGTAAAAATAATTGCACCCCTTCCATCTGCCAAAAGAGTTCTATTGTCGGTTTCCCAGGCAATATATGTGCTTTGGGAAATATTGCCATTAGACAATCTGAGTGTGGTTGCAGTAAAGTATTCTAGAATGACTGGAATACCCAGCAAACTGGGTAAGAATCATGTGTTCTGCTGTCAGCAGACCTTGTCTGGGCCTGGCAAACTCTGCCTCTGGGGTTAGCAAAACTCCCTTACGCTCCCCTCTTTCAAACAAGAGTGATTATCAGTTGTCAAAGTTGTTACTTCTGCAGAGAAGGAAAAGTGGTTCTGGACACTGTCCACAGATTGTTTCCTCCTCTGGGGCAAGAGGATTGGGAGAGGGGTATGCACATGCTTTTCTCAATTTGTGGTTTTTGCTTGGGTTTGTGGTTTAAATCCCTAATTTTGGCAATCATCTCTGCCACAGACCATCCAATCCATGCAGGTGGGTTCATTCCATACTCTGTGAAATATATTTTGATGTTAGAGGGGTGGGAATGTCTGATTTATTGTTTCATCCTCGTCTCTGGGGAGGGGAAGCAAAGCTAGTAGTAGTTTTTTTTTCAAGGGCAATCTCAGGCCATTCTAGAATGCTTCATTGCAGCCACACTCTGATTGCCTAATGGCAATATTTCCTGAAGGCTATATTTTGCCTGGGAAACAGACAGTAGAACTCTTTTGGCAGATGGAAGGGGTGCAGTTATTTCAATCTATGTAAGGTTGATTTCCTGAGGCTAGCTGGAGTTATTCCCCATATTGTGATGGTAGTAGAAACCTCTTGAAAAGGCTGGAAGCCTACAGAGGAAAGTCCCTTGGGAAACCTGATTGTTGAATGTGTCTGACCATAAGCTTATTCAAATATGGATGTTTTTCAGTTATCGGAAGATTTGGGCTTTCCAGGTCTGCCTTCTTTCTTGCTCTTGATGTTTGTAAGGGAGGTAGGTATTGATTGTACTTGAAAAGTATGCCCAGAAGATGGCATTCATTCCAGTGGGATGGTGAGAGAATGACACATTGGCACTAGAAAATGCCAGGCTGGGAATCTAGAAATGAAACAAAGGAAAGCACCCTGCAGAGCTGGCGAGGTGTGAGTATGGAGAGTCCCCACCTGGCAGGGAAGGGCTGCAGAAGCAGATGTGATCTGAGCCAACCTGGTTTTCCTCCTCAGTCTGCCTTCTCCCTTCCATTAGGGACATGGCTAGATCCTCCCTGATAAGAGCCCCTAAAAGAGGTCCTGTTTTAGTAATCTAGGCCAATTAAGCTGTTTCCTCAAGCTAGAACTACATGCAGAGAGTGGCAGTGCTTGTGTTCTGCAGACTTCTTAACCTTTTTGTTGCTCTTGACTGCATCCACAACTTTGGAAATCCCTCTTTCCTTGGCTTCCACAAGCAGATCCCAACTCTTCTCCATCAGAGAGAGTTTTACTATTAATATTATACAATTCTACTGCCCAACAAAACTCAGTATATTTACTTATTTATTTGACACATTGTAATTGAACACATTTATAGAAATGCCATTTGATGCTTTGACACATATCTATGTTGTATAATGATCCAAATAGAGTAGTTAGTGTATCCATCTCCTCATGCATTTATCATTTGTGGTGAGGATATTCAAAAGCTTTTCTTTTAGCTATTTCATATTATACAATATTTTACTGTTAACCATAGTCTCCCATAGCTGTGCAATAGAACACCAGAATTTATCCCTCCTATCTAATTGTAACTTTGTACCCATTGACAAACTTCTCCCCCGTCTCATCCTCCTTTTCATCCCCATTCTCTGGTAACCATTGTTCTACTGTATGATTCTATGATACCAATATATATATTTTTAGATTCCACATATCAGTGCAATCACATGGCATTTATCTTTCTGTGTCTGGCTTATTTCACTTAACATGATGTTCTCCAGGTTCATCCATGTTGTTGCAAATGATAGCATTTCATTCTTTTTTTTATGGCTAAAGAGTATTCCATTGTGTTTATATACTACATATTCTTTATTCATTCATCCACTGCTAGACATTTAGGTTGATTCCATATCTTAGGTATTGTATATAGTGCTGCAGTAAACATGGGAGTGAAGATAACTCTTTGACATAATGATTTTATTTTATTTTTTTGATATATACTCGGTAGTGGGATTGCTGGGTTGTATGGTTGTTCTATTTTTAATTTTTGAAGAATCTCCATACTGTTTTCCATAATGGCTGTGCTAGTTTACAATCCCACTAACAGTGTGTAACTATTCCCTTTTCTCCACCTTCCTTGCCAACATTTGTTTTCTTCCTTTTCTTTTCTTTTTTTTTCGATAATAGTAATTGTAACTGGAGTGGAGTTGTATCTCATTTTGATTTTGATTTGTATTTCCCTGATGATTAATGATTTTGAGCATTTTTTCAAAGACTTTTTGGCTTTTTGTATGTATTCTTTTGAGGAATGTCTATTTGGGCCTTTCACCTATTTTTTAATTGGGTTATTTTATTTTATTTATGTATTGCTGTTGAATTATTTAAGTTCCTTATGTATTCCAAATACTGACCACTTGCCAGATGTATATTTTGCAAATATTTTTTCCTATTCTGTAGGTTGTCTCTTCCCTCTATTAACAGTTTCCTTTGCTGCAAAGAGGCCTTTTAATTTAATGTAATTCCATTTGTGTATTTTGTTGTTGTTGTTACCTGTGCTTTTGACGTCTTACATAAAAAAATCCTTGCCCAACCCAATGTCATAAAGTGTTTCCCTCATGTTTTCCTTTAGTAGTTTGGTTTCAGGTTTTCCATTTAAGTTTTTAATCCATTTTGAGTTGATTTCTGTATACGGCGAGAGGTAAGGGTCTAGCCTCATTCTTCTGAATGTCATACCCAATTTTTCCAGCACCATTTACTATTTATTTATTTCTACTTTCGACTTTTATTTTAGATTCAGGGTATACATGTGCAGGTTTGTTATAAGCATTTATTGCATGGTGCTGAAGTTTGGAGTACAATCGAACCCATCACCCAAGTAGTGAGCATAGTACCCAATGGGTAGTTTTTCAGTTCTTGCTCCCCCAACTCACTCCCCGACTTGTAGTCCCCAGTGTCTATTGTTCACTTCCTTATGCTCATGCCCAGAACCATTTATTAAAGAGATTATTTTTCCCCCAATGTGTGTTCTTGACATCTTTGTCAAATCAGTTGGCTATGAGTGTGTGAATTTATTTCTGGGCTTTTAATTCTGTTTCGTTGGTCTGTGTGTCAGTTTTTATGCTAGCATCATGCTGTTTTGGTTACTGTAGCTTTGTAGTATATTTTAAAGTCAGGTCATGTGATGCCTCCTGCTTTGCTGTTGTTGTTCGGTATTGCTTTAGCTATTTGGGGTCTTTTGTGGTTCCTTATAAATTTTACATATGTTTTTTCTATTTCTGTGAAGAATGCCATTGGTATTTTGATAGGGATAGCATTAATTCTGTAGATCACTTTGGGTATTATGGCCTCTTAAGGGGCCTGGTGAGAGATGAGGACAACGAGGTAGCTAGTGGCTTCTGTATAAGAAATCATCAGAAATTTGGGTGTGGAGGGGTAGGAAGACAAGAGAGGGATAAGAACTGCATATCAGCAGCAAAGCAGTAGCTGAGGAATTTTTAAAGACCAGAGTTGTCGACTATAAAATTTTCACTTGCTTGGGCTGTTATAATGTAATGTCACCTTTATTCCCACCACCTCCCTAAACTTTTTGTAAATTCTGCTGTATGTATCAAGGTCCTATGAGCTCATGTACTGCAAGTAAGGCATTGAATCAAATTCCAGGTCTGCATCAACTTTTAAGAAAAGTAAACAGTGTATACTGTAAAGAAGGACAAGGTATAAAGTGAACTGATTCACTTGGTAGGAACTTGGAGTCAGAGGGTATCACGACAATGTCAGTTCCCTGGGAAATGTCATCTTCCCAAGATGAGTGATGGAGATTCAAGAGAATCTCATCTATTTGTAGATCTTTTTGTTTTTAGATGCTGAATAAATACTTTTTGAAACGATTTTTAAAAAATTAACAACTAATATTGTATGTTTTTATCAAGTACAACGTGATGTTTTATGGTATATATATATAGTAGAAATGGTAAATATGGCTAATTAACAAATGCATTACCTGTAATTGTGTGGTTTTGAGTGAATTTCTTAAGATCTAATTTGATTGCACTGTGGTCTGAGAGACTGTTATGATTTCAGTTCCTTTGTATTTGCTGAGGGTGTTTTACCTCCAATTATGTGATCAATTTTAGAGTCAGGGCCATATGGCAATGAGAAGAATGTACATTCTGTTGTTTTGGGGTGGGGAGAGCTATAGATATCTATCAGGCCCACTTGATCCAGAGCTGAGTTCAGGTCCTGAATATCTTTGTTAATTTTCTGTCCTTGATGATCTGTCTAATACTGTCAGTGGGATGTTAAAGTCTGCCAGTGTTATTCTGTGGGAAACTAAGTCTGTTTGTAGATCTCTAAGAACTTGCTTTATAAATCTGAGTGCTTCCTGTATTGAGTGCATATATATTTAGGATAGTTAGCTCTTCTTGTTGAATTGAACCCTTTATGATTATGTAATGTCCTACTTTGTCTTTTTTTTAATCTTTTTGGTTTACAGTCTGTTTTGTCAGAAACTAGGATTGCTACCCTTGATTTTTTCTGTCTTCCATTTCATTGGTAAATTTTCCTCCATCCTTTTATTTCGAGCCTATATGTGTCTTTGCATGTGAGTTGGGTCTCTTGAAGATAACATATTAATGGGTCTTGGCTCTTTATCCAGCTTGCCATTTTGTGTCTTTTAATTGGGACATCTAGCCCATTTACATTTAGGGTTAGTATTGTTATGTGTGAATGTCATCATGATGCCAGCTGGTTATTTTGCAGACTTGTTTATGTGGTTGCTTTATAGTGTCATTTGTCTGTGTACTTCAGTGTGTTTTCATCATGGCTGGTAATAGTTTTTCTTTTCCATATTTAGTATTTCCTTCAAAAGCTCTTGCAAAACAAGCTGAGTGGTTACAAATTCCTTCAGCATTTGCTTGTCTGAAAAGGACCTTATTTCTCCTTCATTTATTAAGCTTAGTTTGGCCAGATATAAAATTCTAGGTTGAAAATTCCTTTCTTCAATAATGATGAATATTGGCCCCCAATCTCTTCTGGATTATAGGCATTCTGCTGAGAGGTCTGCTATTAATCTGATGGGCTTCCCTTTGTAGGTGACCTGGCCTTTCTCTCTGGCTACCCTTAACATTTTTTCTTTCATTTCAACCTTGGAGA
Source organism: Homo sapiens (assembly GCF_000001405.40). NCBI lineage: Eukaryota > Metazoa > Chordata > Mammalia > Primates > Hominidae > Homo > Homo sapiens. The sequence goes on from NC_000009.12 coordinate 114,834,886, forward strand.
ATCTGATGATTATGTGTCTTGAGGTTGAGCTTCTTGTGCAGTATCTTACTGGGGTTCTCTGCATTTCCTGAATTTGAACGTTGGCCTGTCTTGCTAGGTTGGGGAAGTTCTCCAGAATGATATTCTGAAGTATGTTTTCCGGTTTGATTCCATTCTCCCCATCTCTTTCAGGTACGCCAATTGGTTATAGGTTTAGTCTCTTTACATAATCCTACATTTCTCAGAGCGTTTGTTCATTCCTTTTCATTTTTTTCCCCTCTATTGTCTGCTTGTCTTATTTCAGAAAGATAGTCTCAATCTCTGAGATTCTTTCCTCTGCTTGGTCTATTCTGCTATTGATACTGGTGATTACGTTGTGAAATTCTCTTGTTATGCTTTTCAGCTCCATCAGGTCAGTTATGTTCCTCTCTAAACTGGCTATTCTGGCTACCAGCTCCTGTATTGTTCTATCATGATTCTTAGCTTCTTTGCAGAGGGTTACAACATGCTTCTTTAGCTAATTGAAGATCATTATTACACACCTTTTGAAGCCTACTTCTGTCAATTCAGCCATCTCAGCCTCAGCCCAGTTCTGTGCTCTTGCTGGAGATGTGTTGTGGTCATGTGGTGGAGAAGAGGTACTCTGGCTTTTTGAGTTTTCAGCATTTTTGTGTTGAATCTTCCACATATTTGTGGGCTTATCTACCTTAGATTTTTGAGGTTGTTGACCTTTGAATGGGGTTTTTGTGAGGTCATTTTTGTCGATGTTGTTGTTTTCTGTTTGTTTTTTCTTTTTACAGTCAGGCCACTCTTCTGTAGGGTGGCTGTGGTTTGCTGGGGATCTGCTCCAGACCCTAGTTGCCTCAGTGTTTTTTGTACCTGGAGGTATCATCAGTGAAGGCTGTGAAACATCAACAATGGCAGCCTGTTCCTTCCTCTGGAAGCTCTGTCCCAGGGTAGCATTGACCTGTTGCCAGCCTGAATGTACCTGTAGGAGGTGGCTGGAGAACCCTGTTGGAAGGTCTCATCCAGTCAGGAGGAACAGGATCAGGGACCACTTAAAGAAGCAGTCTGGCTGCTTTTTGATAGAGCAGGTGTGCTGCACTGGGACTGGGGGGCCCTTCCTCGTCTGGACCATTTGGACTCTCCAAAGCTGGCAGGCTGTGTCTGCATAACCCTGGCTGGAGCTGGAGTGCCTGAAACCCCGACAGAGAGGTCCCACCCAGTGAGGAGGAATGGATCGGGGTCTTGTTTAAAGAAGTAGTCTAGCCATGATCTAGTGAAACAGTTGTGCTGTGTCATGGGGGGACCCTTCCTTGTCTAGACCATTTGGATTCTCCAAAGCCAGGAGGCTGGAATGGCTGAGTTGACTAAACCACAGAGAAGGGCTGCCCATCCCCCAGGAACCTGGTCCTGTCTCAGGCAGACTCCAGCCTGTTGCTGTTGGCTGGCTGGAATTCCAAGCCAGTATGAGGTGCCGTGGAAGTGGGACCTGCAGAATGACGCTGCTTGGCTTCCTGGATTCAGCCCCCTTCCTAGGGGTACGAACAGGTATCCTGCCTTGCTGGGGATCCCAGGGCTGGAGTATGTAAAACTCCTAGGTCTCTGTGCGTGCCTGAGCAGCTGCTTTGCCGAGACTTCTCACAACTCTGTGTATCAGTGTGTGAATTTATTTCTGGGCTTTTAATTCTGTTTCGTTGGTCTGTGTGTCAGTTTTTATGCTAGCATCATGCTGTTTTGGTTACTGTAGCTTTGTAGTATATTTTAAAGTCAGGTCATGTGATGCCTCCTGCTTTGCTGTTGTTGTTCGGTATTGCTTTAGCTATTTGGGGTCTTTTGTGGTTCCTTATAAATTTTACATATGTTTTTTCTATTTCTGTGAAGAATGCCATTGGTATTTTGATAGGGATAGCATTAATTCTGTAGATCACTTTGGGTATTATGGCCTCTTAAGGGGCCTGGTGAGAGATGAGGACAACGAGGTAGCTAGAGGCTTCTGTATAAGAAGAGCCCTGGTGGCATGGGCTCATGAGGGAATCTCCTGATTCATGGGTTGCAAAGTTCTGTGTGAGAATCGTGGTTTACCAGGCAGGGTCACACAATTACTCACTGCTTCTCTTGGATGGGGGTGGGGTTTCCTTTGGCTCCATGCAGCTCCTGGGTGGGCCATTGCCCCACCCTGGTTTTCTTCATTCTCTGTGGGTTGAGTTGTTTGCTTAGTCAGTCCCAGTACAAGAACCTGGATATCTCAGTTGGCGATGCTGAATTCACTTGCTGCTTTATTCCTCTCCATTAGTGCCATGTACTGCAGCTGCTTCTAATTGGCCATCTTGGCCCCTTGATCACATTTTATTTAGCTGTTCATTTTTTATCTTGTCTTGATCTTAAGGGGCATATGCTTGTAGCATGAAACTCATATTTGGGTTACAAAGAGAACAACAAGGTATAGAATGTACCCTCAAGAAACTTAAAGTCTAGAGGAAAAGGCAACTACATAGAAAGAAAATTTCAAAATTATGTCCCAAGCTACAGGGAAAGGGAAAAGTACTGGGTTCTATGCAAATCCAAAGGAAAGATATAAAGGAAAGTCTCCTTGGGGGGAGATAACAAGAGTCTTAAATGAGGATTAGAAATTATTCAGGTAAGGAAGTGTGGGAAGGACATTCTGGGTAGAGAGATTCGCTTGAGAATACCACTACTACTTTATTACTACTACTAGTATCACTACTGCTAAATAACATTAATGAGTATGTACTATATGTACCAGATGCTGTTGTAATAAATTTATACTTACAATTCTTTTGAACTTTACAATTCTGTACATAGGAGATATGTACTATTGTTATCACCATTTTACATATAAAGGAGTTGTTCAGGTCACTTGCTCAAGGTCACAGAACCAAGTAGTTGATAGTGAGTTGAACCCAAGTAGTCTTATGCCAGAGCTCAACATGCTTAATCACTATACTAGAGTTTAGTGAGTATACCAGATTTTTGGAGTACATAAACCTCCACATCTCCTGGAATTTTCCCCCTCATCTTTCTTCTTCACCAAAATATCTTTTTCCTGTTAGGATGTACCAATAATTATGTTCTAGTTGGGGGTTGTATACACTGTAGATTGCCACAAAAATACTGTGTAACAAGTACTGTGTAAAAATATTTATTTAACTTAGGATTCAGTGGGATTCAGATGATCTGGACTGTACTTAGTCTTGGCTGGGTTCACTCATGTGTTTGTGGACAGCTATGAGTCAGGTAGCTATGTTCATCTTGGATAAACTTTGTCACATATCTAGGAGTAGGCTGACTACTGGTTAAACTAGGCTGGTTCAACTAGGATGATGGGGAAGACCTAAATTATATTCAGATTTCCATAGTTTTAACCTAATACCCTTTTTCTGTTCCAAGATCTCATCCAGGATATCACATTACACTTAGTTGTCATGTCCTGTAGGCTCCTCTTGGTTGTGACTGTTTCTCAGACTTTTTTTTTTTTTTTTCTGATGACTTTGACAATTTTGAGGCATAGTATTCAGGTAATTTGTAAAATTCCCTAAATTGGAGTTTGATGTTTTTCTCATTATTAGACTGGAGTTATTAGATTTGGGGGTGAAGACCGCAGAGGTTCCTTTTTAGCATATCATGTCAAGGGTACATGCTATTAACATGACTTACCATTGTTGATTTTCACTTGCATTGGATTTTAAAATGAATCTTATATAAAACTCTATTTTTAATTGTATAAACTATATAATGGAGGATAAACTTACAAATATATTCTCCTAATCCTAAGGGACCCTGTACCGTTTTAGTTATTACGTGGATTAAATGCATGAAGATGTATGAGATTTTAAGTCAATGGGTTAACTATTATAAGCATGATAAATAAGTTTAATTTCTCATAACAAATATAAGGTGAGTTCTTAGTCTGTTTTATGCTGCTATTCTGTGTAGAATACTCAAAACTGAGTAATTTTTCAAGGAAAGAAATTTATTTCCTCACATTTCTTGAGGCTGGAAGGTCTAAGATCAAGGAGCTGGCATCTGGTAAGGGCCTTCTTGTAGCATCATGTGATGGAAGACAAGAGAGAGAGGGAAGGGGGCTGAACACATCTTTTTATAAGGAATCACTCCCATGATAACAGCCCTAATCCATTAATGAGGCAGAGCCCTCATGACCTAATCACCTCTTAAATGTCCCACCTCTTAATACCATTGATTTAGGAACAAAGTTTCCCACACATGAACTTTGGAGAGCCCATTCAAACCACAGCAGGCAGTAAATACAATTTCCCAATGCAAACACAACATCTTCGTTTCAAGGTAAAGATTATATCAAATATGAACCATTAGTGTTGAAAGAGTATTTGAGGGGCTCCTAGGGAAACAGTAAATGAAATAGGCATGAAGAGGCCCACTCTTGCCACAGACCTCGGGATCTTAGCTACAAGGGACCCCACAACTCTTATAGACATTTGAGTTGGCAGGGAGAACTGTCCAGAGAGTTAGCAGAGACAGAACTCCTGTCTGTGTGGAGGCCAGAGGGTTTGGCATGGGAACGGCTGCAGTGGAGCACATAGCCATGAGCACCCATCCCAAGCCATGGGCACCCATCCCATGGGCACCCATACTCCTCTAGGTGGCTTTAGCCTTTGCTAGCTGCTGGATCTGGAGAGAGCAGGGTTATCTTTCCTGTGGGATGGGGCCAGTCTCAAATGAATGTCCCATCTGCCAGCCTCTCCCAGGGTCCCTGCCTGGCCACACCCACTTGCAGCACAGCTTTAGCTGCCCCACTGAAATGCTTGCCAGCAGCCACCACTTCACTCGTTCACTGGCAGCCCCCACCTTCCCACTGGAGTACTTTTGCAGAGACTCCCACTAGTACACACCTGCCTGTAGACTCTTCCCAGCCATGTTGCCACAGCCCCACTGCTGCCCAGCCAGGATGCACACATACGTAGTCCCCCTGCTGCACTGTTGGTGTGCACTCACCCATGGCATCCTGCTACCCTGTTGGTGTGCCCTGTTGGTGTGCACTCGCTGGCAGCTCCCTGCTGCCCTGCTGCTCATGGCTCCCCTGTCACCCATGGCTCCCCTGCCACAGTGTACTGTCTTGTGTACCCACCACCACCCTGTCACAGCACTTTTATTGGCAGCCCCCATCTGAATGTTGTTGCTAGCACACTGGCAACACCTCAGTTTCTCCAATGCAATAGGTGATTGACCTAGAGGGGCCAGAGAGCAAAGCTGTAGGCTTGGTGCCAGCTCCTCAGGAATAGAGCATGAAGCTCAGGAGTGTTGAGCAGAGCCTTGGCCTCCTGAAAGGATCCAGAAATGAAGCCAATTGTTTAGACCCAACTTATGCCACAATGAAACCCTTAAGGACATCAAAGAATATATAAGCAAAAAGACCCATTCAAAGGACAACAACTTCAAAGATTAAAGGAACATCAGCCCATACAGATGAGAAAGAACTAGTGCAAGAATTATGGCAATTCTAAAAGCCAGTGTCTTCTTACCTCCAGATGACTGCACTGGCTCCCCATCAATGGTTCTTAACCAAAGTGGAATGGCTAAATGACAGATATATAATTCAGAATCTGGATAACAAGGAAGCTCAATGAGATAGGGGAGAAGGTTGAAACCGAATCCAAGTAAAACAATCCAACAGTTGAAACATGACATAGCCACTTGAAGAAAGAACCAAACTGAATTTCTGAAAATTAAAAATTCATTAAAGGAATTTCATAATGCAATTGGAAGCATTAATAACAGAATAGAGCAAGCTGAGGAAATAACCTCAGAGCTCAAAGACTGTTCCTTTGAATCAATGCAGGCAGACAAAAATAAAGAAAAAAGATTAAAAAAAGATCAAAACCTCTGAGAAATATGGGATTATGGAAAGAGCAAATCTACAACTCATTGACATTCCTGAAAGAGATGGAGAGAGAACAAGCAACTTAGAAAGTATATTTGAGAATATTGTCCATGAAAATGTCCCCAAAGTTGCTCGAGAGGTCAACACACCTCAGGAAATTCACAGAATGCCTGCAAGATACTATACAAGACAATCATCCCCAAGACACATAGTTATCAGATTCTCTAAGGTCAATGTGAAAGAAAAAACCTTAAAGGCAGCTGGAGAGAGGGGCAGATCACATACAAAGGAAACCCCATCAGGCTAACAGTAGACCTTTCAGCAGAAACCTCACAAGTCAGAATAGATTGGGAGACTATTCAGCATCCTTAAGGAAAAGACATTCCAACCAAAGATTTCATACCTAGCCAAACTAAGCTTCATAAGTGAAGGAGAAATAAAATCCTTTCAGACAAGCAAATGCTAAAGGAATTTATTACCATCAGGCCTGCCTGATAAGAGGTCCTTAAGAGAGTGCTAAACATGAACAAAAGACCATTATCTGCCACTATAATAACATACTTAAGTACATAGCCCACTGACACTACAACTTAATTACACAATCAAGTCTATACAACAAGCTGCTAACAATATGATGACAAGATCAAATTATCACATATCAATATTAACCTTGAAAGTAAATGGGCTAAATGCCCTCCAGAGTAACAAGTTGGGTAAAGAACCAACACCCAACTGAACACTGTCTTCAAGAGACCCATCTCACATGCAATGATACCCATAGGCTCAAAGTAAAGGGATGGAGAAAGATCTATCAAGCAAAAGGAAAACAGAAAGGAGCAGGGGGTACTAATCTTATTTCAGATAAAACAGATTTTAAACCAACAAGGATCCAAAAGGACAAATAAGGGCATTATATAATGACAAAGGGTTCAATTTAACAAGAAGACCTAACTATCCTAAATATATATGTGCCCAAAAATGGAGCACCCAGTTCTTCATCAAACCAGTTTTTAGAGGCCTACGAAGAGACTTAAGCATAAAATAAAAGAGGAAGACTTCAATATCCCACTGACAGTGTTAGGCAGATCATTGAGACAGAAAATTAACAAACATATTTGGGACCTAAATTTGACAATTGACCAAATGGACCTAACAGACATCTACAGAATACTCCACCTAACAACAACAGAGTATAAACTCTTCTCATCTGCTCATGGCACATACTCTACAAATGACCATATACTCGGCCATAAAGCAATTCTCAACAAATTCAAAACAACCAAAATTATACCAACCATACTCTTGGACCACAATGCAATAAAAATAGAAATCAGTACCAAGAAGATCTCTCAAGACCACATAATTACGTGGAAATTAAATAATCTGCTCCTGAATGACTTTTGGGCAAAGAATGAAATTAAAGCAAAAATAAAAAAGTTATTTGAAACTAATGAAAACAAAGATACAACATACCAGAATTTCTGGGACATAGCTAAAGCAGTGTTAAGTGGAAAGTTTATAGCACTAAATGCCTACATCAATTAGTTAGAAAGATGTCAAATTAACAACCTAACATTACAACTAGAGGAACTAGAAAAACAAAAACAAACCAACCCCAAAGCTAGCAGAAGAAATGAAATAAACAAAATCAGAAATAAACTGAATGAAATTGAGATGTGAAATCCATACAAAAGATCAATGAAACCAAAATTCTTCAAAAGAATAAATAAGATTGATAGATAGCTAATTAGATTAATAAAGAATAAGAGAAGATTCAAATAAACACAATCAGAAATGACAAATGTGATATTACCATTGACCCCACAGAAATACAAAAAAAAAATCCTTCAGAGACTAGGAACACTACTATGTACACAAACCAGAAAATCTAGAAGAAATGGGTGAATTCCTGGAAACACACAACCTCCCAAGATAGAACCAGGAGGAAATTGAAATCCTGAACAGACCAATAATGAGTTCTGAAATGGAATTAGTAATTAAAAAAAAAATCCTATCAGCCAGAAAAAGCCTTGGACTAGATGGATTCACAGCCAAATACTAGATGTACAGAGAACTGGTGTAAACCCTACTGAAATTATTCCAAAAAAGCTGAAGTGGAGGGACTCCTCCATAACTCATTCTCTGAGGCCAGCATCATTCTGATACCAAAACCTGGCAGAGACAAGACAAAAAAAGAAAACTTCAGGCCAGTATTCCTGATGATCATAGATGCAGCAATCCTCAACAAAATACTAGCAAACCAAATCTAGAAGCACATCAAAAAGCTAATCCACCACAAACAAGTAGGCTTTATTCCTGGGATGCAAGGTTGGTTTAACATATGCAAATCACTAAATGTGATTCATTATATAAACAAAGCTAAAAATAAAAAGGCTTTTGATAAAATTCAACATCTCTTCATACTAAAATTCCTCAACAAACTAAAAATGGAAGAAACGTACCTCAAAAGAATAAAAGCCATCTATGACAAACCCACAGCCAACATCCTACTGAATCGGCAAAAACTGGAAGCATTCTCCTTGAGAACTAGAACAAGACAAGGATGCCCACTTTCACCATTCCTATTTACATAGTACTAGAAGTCCCAGCCAGAGATATCAGGCAAGAGAAAGAAATAAAAGTCATCCAAATAGGAAGAGAGGAAGTCAAACGATTTCTCTTCACAGACACTATTATACCTATAAAACCCTATAGCCTCTGCCCAAAGCCTCCTGGAACGGATAAACAACTTCACTGAAGTTTCAGGATACAAAATCAATGCACAAAAATCAGTAGCATTTCTATACACAAATAATGTCCAACCTGAGAGTCAAATAAAAAATGCAGTCCCATTCACAATAGCCACAAAAGAATAAAATAGTTAGGAATACAGCTAAAAGAAGGAGGTGAAATATCCTACAAGAATTACATAACACCGCTGAAAGAAATCAGAGATGACACAAACAAATGAAGAAATGGTTTGTGCTCATAGATAGGAAGAATCAATATTGTTAAAATAGCCAGCTGGGCGGGGTGGCACACGCCTGTAATCCCAGCACTTTGGGAGGCAGAGGCGGGCAGATCATGAGGTCAGGAGATCGAGACCATCCTGGCTAACGTGGTGAAACCCCCTCGCTACTAAAAATACAAAAAGTTAGCTGGGGGTGGTAGCACATGCCCGTAATCCCAGCAACTTGAGAGGCTGAGGCAGAAGAATCTCTTGAACTCAGGAGGCGGAGGTTGTAGTGAGCCAAGGTTGTGCCTCTGCACTCCAGCCTGGGTGGCAGAGCGAGACTGTCTCAAAAAAAAAAAAAAAAAATTGGCCATACGTCCTAAAGCAATGTACAGATTTAATGCTATTTGTGTCAAGCTACCAAATCATTTTTCACAGAATTAGAAAAAACGATTCTAAGATTTATATGGATTAAAAAAAAAGCCTGAATAGTCAACGCAATCCTCAGCAAAAAAAAAAAAAAAAAAAAAAAAAACAAAGCTGAAGGCATCACACTACCCGACTTTATACTACAAGGTTACAGTAAGCAAAATAGCATAGAGCTGGTACAAAAACAGACACATAGACAAATAAAACAGGTTAGAGAACCCAGAAATAAAGCCACACATCTACAACCATCTGATCTTTGACAAAGCTGACAATAACAAGCAATGGGGAAAGAACTCTCTATTGATTAAATGGTTCTGTGATAACTGGCTAGCCATATGCAGAAGATTGAAACTAAGCCCCTTCATTTTACCATATATATATATATATATATATATATATAAATCAACACAAAATAGATTAGAGACTTAAATGTAAGATCTAAAATTATAAAGATCGTAAAAGAAAACCTAAAAATTACCATTCTGGACATAGGCCTTGACAAAGATTTCAAGATGAAGCCTCCAAAGGCAATTGCAACAAATACAAATACAGACAAGTGAGATCAAATTAAACTAAAGAGCTTCTGCACAGCAAAAGAAACTATCAACAGAATAAACAGTCAACCTACAGAATGGGAGAAAACATTCACAAATTATGCATTTGACAAAGGTCTAATATCCAGATTCTATAAGGAACTTAAATCAACAAGTGAAGAACAAGCAACCTCTTTAAAAAAATGGGCAAAGGACATGAACATACACTTTTCAAAAGAAGACATACATGTGGCAACAAGTATATGAAAAAATGCTCAACAACATTGATCATTAGAGAAATGCAAATCAAAACCACAACGAGATACCATCTCACACCAGTCAGAATGACGAGTATTAAAAAGTCAAGAAACAACAGATGTTAGCAAGGTTGCAGAGAAAAGGGAGCAATTATACACTGCTGGTGGGAATGTAAATTAATTTAGCCACTGTGGAAAGCAGCTTGGAGACGTCTCAAAGAACTAAGAACTACCATTTGACCTGGCAATCCTATTACTGGGTATATACCCAAAGGAAAATAAATCATTCTACCAAAAAGACACATGCACCCATATATTTATTGCAATACTATTTACAATAGCAAAGATATGGACTCAACCTAGATTGGATAAAGAAAATGTAGTACATATACACCATGGAACACTATGAAGCCATAAAAAGCAAAATCATGGTCTTTGCAGCAACATGGATGCAGCTGGAAGCTATGATCCTAAGTGAATTAATGCACAACAGAAAACCAAATACTGCCTGTTCTCATTCATAAGTGGGAGCTAAACATTGAGTACACATGAACACAAAGAAGGGAACAATAGGCACATGTACGGCAGCTCTTTTCCTTCTTCTTCCACTAGCACTGCCTTTCACGGTCCAGGGAGCCACCACCACCACAGCGGCAGCGGAGTCAGGAAGTTCAAGATGGCCGCCACTGAGACCCAGTTGCTGCAGGAACAGCCAGAGATGGAAGATGCTGATAATTCTGAAAAGAGTATACATGAAGAAAATGGAGAAGTATCAGAAGACCAATTTCAAAATAAGAACAAAATAAGTTTTAAAAAAAGTATAAACACAGAAGTAAACATAAGAAACATAAACATTCCTCAGAAGACAAGGATAAAAAACATAAACATAAGCATAAACATAAGAAACACAAAAGAAAAGAGGTTACGGATGCTTCTGATAAAGAGGGAATGTCTCCAGCAAAAAGAATTAAACTTGATTTAGCTTTGCTAGAAGACTTGGAAAAACAGCCTTGATTAAGGCTGAACTTGATAACGAGCTAATGGAAGGAAAGGTCCAGTCTGGTATGGGGTTCATTTTACAAGATTATGAGTCTGGCTCTGAAGAAGAAGGGGAGATTTATGAAATTTAAGAAATGGAAATAGATCTAGTACTAGATCTTCAAGTACAAAGGGGAAACTTGAACTTGTGGACAATAAAAATACTACAAAAAACGGTGTAAAAGCAGATCCAAAGAACGGAGTAGACCTAGGTCTGATAAGAAGAAAAGTAAGGGGGGTATTGAAATCGTTAAAGAGAAAACAACTAGGAGCAAGTCAAAGGAGAGGAAAAAGTCTAAAAGGCCATCAAAAGAAGTAAGTTTCAAGATCAAGCAAGAGAATTAAAATCCCCTACCCTTAGAAGGTGATCTTAAGAGAAAATTAGTAAGGCCAGATCTCCTACTGATGATAAGGTTAAAACTGAAGATAAAAGTAAATCAAAAAACAAGATAAATCCCCAATTATAAATCAAGGTAGAAGTCACGATCAAGGTAAAAAATCCAGATCCCCTGTTGTTTTAAGAGGTAAATCCAAAGACAGAAGGTCACAGTCCAAAAAGAGAAAATCAACACAGTCTGAAGCTGATAAAGAAAAGAACCCAATTAGATCTCCCTCTAAAGATACTTCATCTGGGAAAGAAAATAGGTCACCCAGTGGAAGACCTGGTTGTAGTCCTAAAAGAAGTTTGTCTTCAAAACCACATGGTAAATCAAGAAGTAGGTCTCCACTTTTAAATGATAGAAGATCTAAGCAGAGCAAATCTCCCTCTCAAACACTGTTTCCTGGTAGAAGAGCTGAGCCGATCCTTAGAAGGAAAACGAAGAGAGCCAGAGAGAAGACGACCTTCTTCTTCAAGAACACAACCTCAAGATGATATCCTCAATAGATGTGAAAGATTAAAAGATGCCAGCCCCATTAATAGGTGGTCTCCAACCCGAAGAAGTAGTAGATCTCCCATTAAAAGGAGGTCTTATTCCCCACTCAGGCATAGCACAAAAATCAGGTCTCCAAGAAGAAGCAGGTCTCCTCAGAAAAGGGACAGAGGTTGGAGGAGCAGATCATGCTTGAGAAGGTGGCCTCGATCATGGGGTGGTCGTAGATGAAGGAGCAGAAGCAAAGTAAAGGAAGATAAATTTAAAGGAAGTGTTTCTGAAGGAATGAAAATTGAGCAGGAATCTTTGTCTGATGATAAGCTTGAAGATTTTGATGTGGAGGAAGAAGATGAAGAAGCCCTAATAGAACAGAGAAGAATCCAAAGGCAGGCAATTGTCCAGAAATATAAATATCTTGCTGAAGATAGCAATATGTCCATGTCATCTTAACCAAGCATCCCCCAGAGCAGTATGAAAACATGATCACCTTCTCCAGATGACACTCTGGAGTGAGTAGCTGCTGACGTTAAAGAGTATGAACGGGAAAATGTTGATACATTTCAGGCCTCAGTGAAAGCCAAGCACAATCTAATGACAGTTGAACAGAATAATAGTTCATCTCAGAAGAAGTTGTTGGCACTTGATAAGTTTTACAGAATCTGATGATGTTTGCTGACTATTTTGATAGTGCTTGCCTTTGGGTTGCTGGCAATGGGTAAGATTCAAAGAGAATCCCAACCTCAGAGATAACTGGACTGATGCAGAAGGCTATTATCATGTGAACATAGGTGAAGTCCTAGATAAATGTTACAATGTGTATGGCTACACTGGGCAAGGTGTATTCAGTAATGTTTTATGAGCCAGAGATAATGCAAGAGCCAACCAAGAAGTGGCTGTAAAGGTCATCAGAAACAATGAGCTCATGCAAAAGACTGGTTTAAAAGAACTAGAGCTCTTGAAAGAATTTGATGCTGATCCTGATGACAAACTTCATTGTCTGCACTCTTCAGGCGCTTCTATCACAAACAGCATCTCTGTCTCATATTTGAGCCTCTCAGTATGAACTTATGAGAGATGTTAAAGAAATATGATAAAGATATTGGTTTTCGTATTAAAGCTGTAAGATCCCATAGTCAGCAGTTTTTCCTGGCATTGAAACTCCTTAAAAGATGCGATATCCTACATGCAGACAACAAGCCAGACAATATCCTGGTTAATCATCAAAAACTATTTTAAAGCTTTGCAATTTTGGGTTGGCTTCACATGCTGCGGATAATGACATTACACCTTATCTTGTCAGTAGATTTTATCATGCTCTTGAAATCATTATAGGTAAATGTTGTGACTATGGTATAGATATGTGGTCAGTAGGTTGCACCTTAAACTCTATACTGGAAAAATTTTATTTCCTGGCAAAACCAATAACCATATGTTGAAGCTTGTGATGAATCTCAAAGGACAGATGCCAAATGAGATGATTCAAAAGGTGTATTCAAAGATCAGCATTTTGATCAAAATCTCAACTTCATGTACATAGAAGTTGATAAAGTAACAGACAGGGAGATAGTTACTGTTATGAGCACAATTAATCCAACTAAGGACCTATTGGCCAACTTGATTGGGTGCCAGACACTTCCTGAAGACCAGTGTAAAAAAGTATACTAGCTAAAGGACTTGTTGGACCAGATTCTAATGTTGGGCCTAGCTAAATGAATTAGCATCAACCAGGCTCTGCAGCATGCCTTCATCCAGGAAAAAATTTAAGCAAGATGAAGAAACTCTAAGGGTTTGAGTAAATACAGAGACTGAAGAAATTTCACAGCACTTTATTAATGAATGTAAACTTATAAATATTTCTCCAGCAAATTTGAGGAAGCATGATATATTTGAGTTTCTTTTAGAAATGTTAATCTGTTTCGTGTCTTATGTGAAATTTCACCATAGAACTGTTTTAAATTGCCAAGACTGCACAAAATTACAGTGCTAATGTATATGGTTGCAGTTCACATTAAAGACAAAAGCATCTGTTATAAAATGAGTAGTAATATTAGGTGGTTGATTTGTTTTTAGCAGACTTGGCTTCATTTTGGTCTTCAGATAAAATGGCCAGCATAATTGCTGTTTATATTCCCGTTTTCCTACGTGTGTGTGTGTGCAGGCCACAGCAGCATGCCGTTGATGTAGTCAGTGCCAAGAGGGGTCTGTTTCTTCTTGAGCCTGCCTGCAGGGATGGTCTCCTTACAGAAAATGTGGCACATATACACCATAGAATACTATGCAGCCATTAAAAAGAATGAGTTCTTGTCCTTTGCAGGGACATGGATGAAGCTGGAAGCCATCATTCTCAGCAAAATAACACAGGAACAGAAAACCAAACACTGCATGTTCTCACTCATAAGTGGGAGTTGAACAATGAGAACACATGGACACAGGGAGGGGAACATCACAGACCGGGGCCTATCGGAGGGTAGGGGGCAAGGGGAGGGAGAGCACTAGGACAAATACCTAATGCATGTGGGGCTTAAAACCTAGATGATAGGTTGATAGGTGCAGCAAACCACCATGGCACATGTATACCTATGTAACAAACCTGCACGTTCTGCACATATATCCCAGACTTGAAGTAAAATAAAATTAAAAAAAAAAGCAGGTTGTGTACAGCATTCACTACACTGAAGGTAAGCTAAACCATCAACATCTCTGGTGTTTTAAGATGTCATTTTATTGGAACAACTGACAAATGAGGAATGTTAGTTTTGTGGCAGAATTCCTAGCATGCGTGATAATTGATCTTGTTTTTCTTTTTTGGCATTGCAACTGTGGCATAGTTACAATTTCTGTTCTATTCGTCACATTTAAAATTGGAAGAGAACACACTTGATGGATAGAGTGCCTTCAGTGTACTGTTTCTTATTAACTTTACTTTTAAAAAATCAACTTGCTATAGACTGTATATACATTTTGTTAAATACAGTTCCTAGTGACATAGAAACACTGCATACTTTTCATTTACTAATTACAAATGTTGAGGCCTAATTCTGAAAGTCCTCATATTTAAAGGTTAGACAGACAGGGTAATGAAATTTTTAAGTATGTGTATGTCATTTTGAAAGTGTACTGCTTTATGGTAAAAGTGTTTTAATTTGCTCATTGTTTTCATCATCTGTGATCATGTTGTCTTTCAATACAGGCATAAACCTTCTGCTCTTGAACAAAGCAGCTGCTTTTTAAAAGTAGTAATTGCTGCTTTACTTTTTATTTCTTTTGTAAATGAAACTTTTCTTTAAGAATGTGACTTTAAAGTGTTGTCTATTGCATAAAACAGTTGACACTCCTTGTAAAGTGAAGATTGTTCTACTGCATGTGAAGTGGGCCATGCAGATTTCTGTATGTTCTCAGTATGTACCACTAGATAATAAAGTCTTTTGTAAACAAAGAAAAAAAAAAGAAGGGAACAATAGACACAGGGACCTACTTGAGGAGGGACACTACCTATTGGGTACCATGTGCACTACGTGGGTGATGAAATCATTTGTATACCAAACCCCAGTGGCACACAATTTACCCATAATACATCTGTACATGTAGCCCCTGAACCTAAAATAAAAGTTGAGAAAATAAAAAAAAAAGGGTTGGGTGGGGACCAACAAATAAATTTATGCTTATATTTACATTAAAGAAACACTGGACAGACGCTACAGGAAGTTATATAAGTTTTTACCAATATGAGGCTTTGGGAAAGGAATGGAGTAGGTAAGAATAGAGGTAGGAATGACCTATCTGAATATAGACCTTTTAAATTAAATAAATAAAAGTCACTTTTAAAAAAGAAAGTATCTAATGTGATAGTTCCTTACAAATAAATGACTCATTTTCATAATGTTTGGATATACTACCAGAGCCTTGACTTTCAGTAAAATCTTTTCTCCTCTTAACTAATGCTTCCCCTCCTCAACCCCAAGTTACTTCTTACCTTTGGAAAAATGATATTATGTACCCCAATGCGGTTTGTTCTCAAAAACACTTATGGCAAGGATTTGTTTTTATTCTTCCAGGATTCTTCATTTCTTGTCATAGAAGCATGGGATCTCTGGTTACAATGAAAATATCAACCAAAGCCTAGTCAAGACTTTGGAACACATAATTATTTCCACATTTGAGTGGCACAGACAAGAAGGAAGTAGGCAGGGTAAGTATTCATTTATTCAAAAAATAGTTACTGAGTACTTATTATGTGCTTGGCTCTGAGGCAAGAGGCATTTGCTCCCCTGAAGAAGTTTAATTGTGACGTGGAAACAATGACAAAACAGTGTGAAGAGTATGATTCGCAGGAAGCATTGTGTCTTGCAGGGCTGAGGAGCAGAGGCACCTCCCTCTTGAGGGGGTGGGCTGTGGGAATGGTTCAGACCAGGATTCTCAGAGTTGTTGACTTCTATGCTACCTGAAGGATGAGTGGGATTAGAGGAAAGAGGTGTTTATGTGCATGCATGTGAACAAGCATGTATATATGTGTGTACATGTGAATGAAGACCATTTTAAGTGGAAGGGGAACCATGTCCAAAAAGCCTAGAGATAAGCATGGTTGTGTTACATTCAGAGAAGGACAAGGGGATCCCTGTGTTGAATGTAATGTGATCTGAAGCCTTCGAGGTCTAGGAGGGTTTCCTGGGGGAAGTTACAGTTGAGCTGATGGGTAAGAGATTGTGGAGACCGCCAGCTAATCAAGGGGAAGAAGGGCAGGGCTCTCTGAGTGAGAACCATATCTTGAACAAAGGCGCAGAGGAAGTGGATGCCTGGTCCCTTCAGGAAAATACAAATTGCTCAGTCAGACCAGAAAACAGATTGGAATGGAGGAGGAGAGGGGAGGCAGCAGAGGTGGGGAGGCGATAACTATCCTAGCTCTGCCACTCACTAGCCTTGAATAAACTGGGGTTAACATTTCCCAGCCTCAGGTTTTTTTAAATCTTAAAGTGGGGACAATAATAATAGACCTTGATGCATGCATTGTTTTGAGGATTAAGTGAGATAAACTTGTAGACCACCCAGCACCGTGCTTGGTATATAGTAAGAGCTGAGTAAAGGGTAGATTTGATTATCACTCATCACTTTTGAATTGTTAATGTGCTGGTTAGTAACCTAACCACTGTTTGCAGCTGGAGGTTTTGGAAATTCTTCTCTGAATTTTCCCAGAGTCCTTACTGGAGAGATCCTTGGCTGGACACAGTGCCTGGCACATCATTGACAGTCAAAGGATAGATGCAGAAGGGCAAGGGAGGTTATTCTTTGGGTTCTGACCACAGGGATGAACCTCAAAAGAAATAGACGGGAAGGCTCTGCAGATGTTTGGTCCTTATTGGGAGATGCTTCTCCCTCTTGATTGAGAAATTTCAGACATTTCTTCTTGCAGCCCGCTTTCATTTCTTGTTCCAATTTTAATCTCCCCCCTCCCCCCGACCTTCTCCCCACTCAAAGTAAAAATGTGTATGTTGTGTAAGGAAGGAGGGTAAGGAAGGAGTGTTGTGCAACAGTTCTTCATTCAACGCAGTACTGCTCTGCCAAAAATTCTATTTGTGGTATTTATCTTTTCAGCTGAGTGGCTGACACTGGGGTGTGTACAATGTTTAACAAGAGAGAAAGTTTTATGCCTTTAACCTTTACAAGAAAGAAGGAACCCCCAGGGGCAACTGGCCCATCCAGTTTCTACTGAAGTTCAGACCTCTTAGGGTTCCTTGGCTCTTTTCTGAAAGTCATTGTGGCCATCAGCTCAGGGCAGAGGGGCCAGTCTACTATATTTACAACTATCAGGCTGGGTGCGGTGGCTCACGCCTGTAATCCCAGCACTTTGGGAGACCGAGGCAGGCAGATCACCAGGTCAGGAGGTCGAGACCAACCTGGCTAACGCGGTGAAACCCCGTCTCTACTAAAAATACAAAAAATTAGCTGGGCGTGGTGGCAGACGCCTGTAGTCCCAGCTACTTGGGAGGCTGAGGCAGGAGAATGGCATGAACCCAGGAGGCGGAGCTTGCAGTGAGCCGAGATTGTGCCACTGCACTCCAGCCTGGGCAACGAGTGAGACTCTGTCTCAAAAACAAAAAACAAAAAACAAAACAAACAAAAAAACCAAAAAGAACTATCAGGGTCACCCTATCATCAAACATGAATGGGGTGGCAAGAATGCTGCATGGCTTCCTTACTTCTTTTTACAAATTAAGAAAAATGCCAAACCAAATCTTGACCAAACCAGCTTTCTTTAGCTATTCCCTTAAAGTCACCCCACGTCCTGGCCATGTCAATTAACATGTGCCTGTACTTTCATGTCTTCTTGCTTTTGCCCAAGCTGGGCCCTCTGCCTGGACTGCCCTCTGCTACTTGCTCTTCTCCACCAGGCTGACTCCTACACTGGCTGCTCCTTGTAATAGGCTCAGGCTGGCCTCTTCTCTGTGATCTTCCCCATATGTTCACCTTTTCCCTCGCAGCAGATGACTTTCTTCGATTCTTCCTCTATTGTCCTGAGTTCTCAGATTAGCATTAACCTGGGAGCTCACTGGGACAGAAATCCCACTGGACTTGTGTCTGTAATCCAGTCACTATGGTTGTGTAGAGATTGGAAGAATAAATAAATGAATTAGTGAATAAAATAACTGAGAGTAGGCTGAGAAGACCCACTAGAATAATTTTTTTTTTTAGTTTCTTAGAACACTTTAGAGAAAATTTTCTTGATAGATTTTCAATCTTCATAATAGGGTAATAAAAATTGCATTAAAAAGTTTATTGTTTAAACAGTCATGTCACAAGTAATGAATGTAATGAATGTTTATTGTAGATACTTTAGAATTTACAGATAAGTAAGGAGCAAAGTACAGTCTCCTGTAGTTTTGCACCTAGAGACAACCTACACTGAATGTTTTGACATATATGCTTACATTTCATCAAACAAATATGAACATATGCAATTTCAAATACTGTATAAACTATTTTATAACCCCCCTTAATCACCTATTATATCATGAAAATCTTTCCTGTCATTAAATGTTTTTGTTTTCATAGCTGCATGATATTCAACTAAAGACATAATTTATTTAATGATTTCCCTGGATATAGGGTTTTTAGATGGCTTCCAATTTTTTTCTTTTTGTTGTTATGAGTAATGCCATAAGGAGCATCTTTGCAGCTAATATTTGTGCAAATTTATGTTTTTCTTCTCCTTTTTTGGAGAAGAAATAAAATAGTGAGGTCAAAGGACATACATATAATTTTCACGACTTTTGACACAAGCGGCCTCCTTGCCATTAAGGAAACTATACCATTTACACTCCCATTGAAGTGACTCCTTGTCGACACCTGGCATTGCCATTATTTTTAATATTTGGCAATTATTAGATGAGTAGAAACTGGTATCTAATTTTAAGATGCAGTTCTTTAATGATTGATGACATTGAACATCCTGTTTGCTGTTTGATCATTTGCTTTTCTTCTTTTGTGAATTACCTATTAATTATCTTCGTTCATGTTCCAATTGGTGGGTTATTTTTTTTTCTAGTAGCAATGATAATACTAATACTGGGGCTCACTGTTTGCTAAATTCTGTCATCTTATGCTTATAGTAACTGTGTGAAAAAGTAGGAGGTCTTACTTCCTCCTGACACCATGTATGTGGTATCTTTTCCAACACCACTTCTACTCTCTGACACCACCTGGGAGTCTTGTAATTCTATTCAATTCTGACACTAACTACCTGAAGTTAGTGTCAGACTCTAAGGTTTAAGGGCTCAGTCCCATAAGACTGCCTCCATTTTAGATGGCAGTTGCAAGTACTGGGTCATCTGTACTTCTGACCAATGGCTACAAACTGGGGTTCCCATGACCCCTCTCCTCAGGTTTGATTATCTGCTAGAATGACTCACAGAACTCAGGAAAGCACTTCATTATTTTTAAACTTTTTTTTTTTTTTGCTCTCCTGTACTTTTGTAATAGTGTATCGTAGCTTTTTTCTTTCTTCTCTATTCCCCCTAAGAAAACACATTATTTACTGTTACTGGTTTATTTAATTTTAATTTTTTTTTTTTTTTTTTGAGACAGGGTCTCACTTTGTCACCCAGGCTGGAGTGCAGTGACGTAATCATGGCTCACTGCAGCCTCAACCTCCTGGGCTCAAGGAGGATCAAGTGATCCTCCCATTTCAGCTCCCCAGGTAGCTGGGACTATCGGTGCATACCACTATGCCCAGCTAATTTTTTGTAGAGATGGGGCTTTGCCATGTTGTCCAGGCTGGTGTCCAACTCCTGAGCTCAAGCGATCCACCTGCCTTGGCCTCCCAAAGTGCTAGGATTAGAGGGATGAGCCACCGTGCCCAGCCTGTTACTGGTTTATTTTAAAGGATACAAATCAACAGGCAAACCTTTATAGAATGAGGTCTGGAAGGGTCCAGATGGCAGGAGCCTCTGCCCATGTGAGTTGCGGGGTGCCACTTCCCTGAAATGTGGATGTGTTCACCAATTCGGAAGCTCTCAGAACCCCACTGTTTAGGAGTTTTTATGGAGGTTTTTATTATGTAGGCATGATTGATTAAATCATTACGCATTGGCAGTTGATTCCATCTCCAGCTCCTCTCCCCTCCCTGGAGGTTGGGTTGAAAATTCCAAGCTTTTAATCAAGGATGGGTCTCCCTGGTGAACATCCCCCATCCTGAAGCTATCTAGGAGCCCACCAAGGGTCACCTTATAGAACAGAAACTGCTCCTACCACCTTCATCACTAAGGAAATTCCCAGGATTCTAAGGATCTCTGTGCCAGGAAATGAGACAAAGACCAGTTATTTTTCTTATACCATAGAGGGCATTTTCCTCATTTTGCAGAGAAGGAAGAAGGCAAGGAAAGAACGTGGCCCAAGTCATACAGTTGGCAAGAAGGAGCACTGGGGCTGACTCGATTTGTCTGTCTGCCAAGACCATTTCTGAACACAAGGTTACATGGCATTATTAATATTTATTAGCTCCTCACATATTAAATGTAGTAACCTATGTCTATGAAAGATGTTGCATTTTCCTTTTTACTCTATTATTTGTCCTTTATTGTTTTGACTATGGAAGTTTACATTTTTTACATGATTATTTCATTTGAAAATAATTTCAAATTTTAAAAACTATGGATTTGAAATCCATAGGCACAAAAGCAGTACAAAAAGGCACATAATGACAAGTTGATCACCTCCTCACTTCTGACCCCTAGTCTTCAGTTTTTCACTCCAGAAGTTTAATTTTTTTTTATAGCTGAATCCATTCATTATTTTTCCTGTGTGGCTTCTACCTTTAGTGCCATATTTAGAAGTTATAGCACTACTATAAGGTGCTATGAATATTCATTTATATGTTTCTTACTGCTTTTGTGGCTTATTTTTTAACCCATACTTTTTAATCTCATAGGATTTATATTGACTTATGACACAAGGTTAAGATCCTTTTTTTTCTCAGTAGTTAGCTAACACATGAATTTTAAATTTGGCAGTAAGACAGATAATATTTCATGTCAAGTTGCAGAATCCAAGAGGAGTTATTATGCAGTAAAAAAAACAGAAAAGATGCTTCATCTGGAGAGAATGCTGAGGATGACACAAGAAAAAATTGCTTCTGGGAGGAGAAAATGAATGTGCTCATGATCTCACCAGTGGAATCCACAAGTTTTAACAAATCGGTTTGAACAAATAACTTATACAACGAAAGAAGAAACCCTCAGGGCCACTTCCACCAGATGCCCCCAGCTGGATTTCTCTCACCTGATTCTGCTGCAACAATCAGGGAAGAACAAAGCAGGAGATTCTCTTGAGGACCTGCTCAATTTTCTTGGGTGGAGGTCCATTTGCTCTTCAGTGTCTTTGAGGCAAGTCGCCAATCTTGGGACCCATGGGGAAAGATCATGACTCTGCAACTTTGTGTAGCTCAACTGGTGCCAAAAAACTAGGACCTCTGGAGCAACTAACTTGGAGGAAAGTAGGGTGGGGAGTTTGTGGAGACCAGTCCGGGGAAGTCCAAAATCTGCTCAAGTTTCCATTTTCTCATTGTTTCCTTTGGTAAACTTGAATATCCTCCAACTCTGTAGTATCCCCAAGATTCTTTCCAACCCAAAGTCTATAATCCTTCTAGGCATTGTCGTCCTCTTAGGCCTCAGCTATTCATTCTTCAATTTAAATTTATTCATTAATTCAACAAATATTTATTGAGTAGTTCTGTGTAGATAGAAATTGTTCTCACAACTAGTCCACATGCTCCACATCACTAATCACTGGAGAAATGCAAACCAAAACCACAATGAGACACCACTTTAAACCAGTCAGAATGGCTATTATTAAAAAGTCAAAAAATAGCAGGTGCTGGCAAGGTTGCGGAGAAAAGGGAACACTTATACACTGCTGGTAGGAATGTAAGTTAGTTCAGGGAAGCAGTTTGGAGATTTCTCAAAGAACTTAAAACAAAACTACCATTTGACACAGCAAACCCATTACTGGGTATATACCCGAAGAAATATAAATAGTTCTACTAAAAAGACATATGCACCCATATGTTCATTGCAGCACTTTTCACAATAACAAAGATGTGGACTCAATCTAGATGCCTATCAGTGGCAGACTGGACAAAGAAAATGTAATACATACATACTGTGTAATACTACGCAGCCATAAAAATAAACAAAATCATGTTTTTTGCAGCAACATGGATGCAGTTCAAGGCTAATATCCTAAGCAAATTAATACGGAACCAGAAAACCAAATACTGCATGTTGTCATTTATAAGTGGGAGCTAAGCATTGAATATACGTGGACATAAAGAAGGGAACAACAGACACTGGGACGTACTTCAGGGGAGATACCTCCTGTCAGGTACTATGTTCACCACCTGGGTGATGAAATCATTTGTACACCAAACCTCAGCAACATGCAGTTTACCCATGTAACAAACCCATGCATATACTCCCTGATCCTAAAATAATAAGAAAAGAACTAAGAACCCAAATAAAAAAGTAGCTTAAATAATAAGACTTTAAAAAATCCTTATATAACAAGTTATCCCAAGATAGGGAGATTCCAGAATAGGTTAATTCAGCTAGTGAATCATATAAAGTACCAGATTCTTTCTACTTTTCTTTTCTGTCATTTTCAGCAGTTGGGTATCCTCATGTTCTCAATAGAGCTGCAGCAGCTCCAGGCCTTGCACCCTCATGCATCAATATCTAGGGTCAAATAAAGTGGGTATTGCAATACCTAGAGTTCTTCTTATAAAACCTAAGAACTGTTCTTCAAACTTTCTTCATCTTTCTCCATGGAGGCATTCTCTTACATATCTTAGCCAGAATTGGAACATATGCGCTTTCTCAAGTCAATCACTGATAAGCAGAATAGAATCACCAACTTTGGTTCAGACTAATCAAGATTCTTCCCTACTGGGCTGGGGCTAGGCTGGTACCTAGAAAAACAAAGCAAACTGAAAAAGCCTGGATAACCAAATTTAGGGCTTTGTTGGCAAGGAAGGACACTGATGGGTAGGCAATTGACATTGTCTGCCTCACCAATCTTTATCTATTTTTTGCCAATCTTAAAGGCAAAAGTGAGATCATATATTTTTATTTGTTTCTTTGCTTTTTTATTCAGCTGGGCATTTTCTCCCATGTTGCTTGGCCATTTCTGGTTCTTCTTTTATGAGTTGGCAGCTCATGTCCATGGCTTATTTGTCAATTGGTATACTCGTTTTTCTTATTGGTTTGCAAGAGCCCTTATTATTTTTCTAGTGGGATTATTTTTTCTTTCTTCGTTCCTTTACTCTGAATAAGGTAATCCTGGGTTCTCTATTTTTCTCACACCTACCTTCCAAATTTACCTTCTTGGACATGTCTCAAAAACTTTCTTTAAAAACACACACAGCCTTGGTCCAACACAGAATAGTTATTCACTGACTAGTCATCCTCCACTCTTCTGGATTATTCTTTTAAAATAAATGTCTCATTCTTTTTCCTATCTCCGTTGCAAATGCCCCCATCGTTTCTCCCTTTGGACAGTTGCCATGGCCTCCTCATTGGTTTTCTCACCTTAGCGCCTTCCTTTTCATTCTTCCTGCAGACCCTAGGTGATGTTAATGTTACCAAAACACCAAGATGTGGATGACACAGCTTTGTACCCATTGTTGCTCAGGCTGCCCTCTTGCTATATAAAGTCTGGACTTCTTATCCTATCATTAAGCCCATTTCATTCATTTCCAAACAACTCGTTTCACTGTTGCCTTTTGTTGTCATTATATCGAGTGACCATGCCCAATCCTGCTTTCTGCTAGTTCCATTTTCCTTCCTCCCAAGTCCCCTTGGTGAAATCTCACTCATTTTTCAGCGGTCAGTTCAAAAGCTACCATGTTGGCAAAGTCTTCCTAGATGCCTCAAGTGAGAATGACCTTCTTTTTTCCTTCAGTCAACCTTTTTCCAGTTTGGGTTTATGTATTTGAGACATCTTGCCTGTATCACTATTCCATATGTGTGGAGCTCTCTGTCATGCCCTGAGGGCAGGACTTCTGTCTATGCTTGTGTCCTCTTCCCTCCTGGGGTTCATATGTAGTGAATGTTCAGTGTGTGCTTGTTGAATCTATTAGTGCTCAGTAAATGTTTGACACTAACAATTCCTCTTGGTGTACAATTAACCCAGGGGGCAACTTAAATTTAATTGCCATTTAGCAGTTTCTAGAGCAAGGCTGATTGCCACTATATGCACAAAAGCTTTGGGGGAAAGAGGTGTTTTCCACCATCTGTTTGTAGTATGGATTTTCAAGCCTTAGTTTTGATTTGTTAGAAGACACCTCTGTAATGATACTTCAATTAATCGATCCTTTTGTGGAAGGGCTATTTAAGTGAATTCAGCCTTTAAATTACTACTACAAACAAATCTGTATAAATCATGCTAAATTATGGGGAATGAAGTCAAACATAGAAATTTACTTTTCTAGTTGCTTTTAAGAAACTTTAAAAGACTTATAATATAATAACCAAGACAACTAGCTCTGTGTCAGGTACTATTCTAAACACTTTATATGCATTTATTTAATCCTCATAACACCTCTAAGGGATAGGAACAATGATCATTTTCTACCATCTTATGCCACTCGTAGTCTCTTTGCTAGAATACCTGCTGATCCGAAAGGCACAGTCAAAAACCCAGAAAAATGATAAGATATAAATTAAAAGGAACATTACAGAGTTTAAGGATTTGTGCTGCTACTATAAATATTCTGTTGCATGAAGATAAATGATTTGTGAATTTTAGCATCTATGATGTCATTTAATGAGGATGTGCATTCTAATTTCTCTGCTGTAACACTCTAACATCCAAGGATTTATCCTAGTCTGATAAACCCTTATATATCTCTTTCAAAGCAGGAAAGCAAAGCCTTTGATTAATTTTACCTACCCTATCTAGAACTTGTATTCTGAAATGTGTGGAAAAACAGTTCTCAAAGTGTGTCTGTGCATCCCTGGGGATCCCTAAGACCCATTTAGGGAGTCCATGTGGCTAAGACTACTTTCGTAATGACACAAAGATGTTATCTGGCTTTTTCACTCTCATTCTTTCACAAGTATACAGTGGAGTTTCCCAGAGGCCACCTAAGGCATAATACAGTAACATGTTAAATGCTGGAGCAGATCTGAGAATCCAGCTGACTTCTATGAAGCCGAACATTAAAGAGGTTTGCAAAAATGTAAAACAGTGCCACTTTCCTTATTAAATTATTTTTGTTTTGGAAAAATAGTTATTCTTCATAAAAGTACATTGTTTGCATTAATCCATCAACATATTATGAGTTTACTATAGTTATTTAAAATTGGAATTTTCAGTTCTTAATATAGTCAATATTGATAGACATAACCCCCATAAACAAAGTTCTTTAAGATGCTCAATAATATGCAAGAGTGTGAAGGAGCCAAAAAGTTTGAGAACTGCATGTGCAGAGAAACTAGGACAAATCCAAGTCATGAGTTGTATCTAGATTAGTTTCTGAAATCATAATTTCAATTCTGTATATGTGCTCAAATATTTATAGCTTGAAATGTATTTTACCTTGTTAGCTCATATAGCTTGACATTTTATTGATGTACTTGATGGATATTTGTTGAACACTTGTGTACCAGATGCTGGGCTAAGCATTGGAAGTACCATGGGAAGAAAGACTGCTCTCATTGAGCTTGGCTGTGGCATTCACTCCTGCGGCTCTCCCTTCAGTGGTTGTATTGCCCCAGGGAGTTCTGAATCTAGAGAGGCAAGACACTGGTGTGGAATCTTTAAGCAAATCAGAAGAATGAATACAGCTCAGAGGTTACTATGCACAGCTCTCAGGATGAAGGAGCTCAGAGGATGGAGAAATCAGCATAGGCCAGTATGATAAGGGTTTCTGGGACTGGAATTAAACTCAGGACAGACAAGTTTAAGAGAGTTGAGCTGAGTAGAAGAGGCCAGGCTGGGTGTGGGAAGAGATGAGAAAGCTGGTAGAAATGAGATCTTTTCTCACTGTGTAGGGATCTAGGGGCCTGCCTGAATGGAGAAGGAGGATTCCGGTGAGGAACTCCTAGTCTAAGGCTGAGTTTTCTTCTGTAGCTGATGAAACCTTCGTTACGTCTTCTAAGCTACCGGAAAGCAGCTCTCTTGGGTGTGCTTGGAAGTCTATGCTATCACCCAGTGTTTCCCGAACTTGCCAGATCCTCAACTTTCCCAAATAACAAGAATTATCTGGAAGTATTTCTTAAAGACACAGATTCCAGGGCCCCTGATTCCAGAAACAGTGATCAGGGGAGAGGCCTGGGTTTCTGTATATTTATCAAGTACTCTAGGTAATTTTCTTTTTTAAAAATTACAGACAAGGTTGGGAAATACTATTACAACCCATTACCAGCCCTGAGGCTGCACTCTGGGAAACTTTAAAAAATACCATTGCTTAGGCTCTACCCACAGTGACCTAATTTAACAACAACAGAATGATAAAAATGAAGATAAACTCTCAATAATCAAAATTAAATTATTAGAGTTTTTGACCTATAATTGTTCCTTTAGTGGCCCTATGTTCTCCATACCCCCAGAATCATTACTTAGCTAGGAAAATCACATCTGGCCTCGTTAATGGTGTTTTTCTAGTTTTTAGATGCCAAGAATACAACATTGTGAACTAGGGCTGTGATTACTAGTGGTGGGGGAAGCAGCAGAGTAACCACTTGCTTTGGAAATAAAACAGGAAACATTCATAGTTGCTTTGGGCTGTAAATGTGTGTCCAGGTTACAGCAAAGGCTAAGAATAGCCCACAAAGGACAAGTGGGAAGTAGCCCTCATGGATCCACTGAACTGGAAACCTAGAGAGGAAGCAGAGAAACAAAATCACACCAGGGCTTTCATTGCTCCAGATAACTTTCTGAGTAAATGCAAAGTATGTACTGTTTGATCCCACAGTAAAATCAACTAAATTCTTTTTTTTTTGAGATGGAGTTTCACTCTTATTGTCCAGGTTGGGGTGCAATGGTGCAATCTCGGCTCACCACAACCTCAACCTCCGGGATTCAAGCCATTTTCTTGCCTCAGCCTCTCGAGTAGCTGGGATTACAGGCATGCGCCACCACGCCTGGCTAATTTTGTACTTTTAGTAAAGATGAGGTTTTACCATGTTGGTCAGGCTGGTCTCGAACTCCCGACCTCAGGTGACCCACCTGCCTTAGCCTCCCAAAGTGCTAGGATTACAGGCGTGAGCCACTGCGCCTGGCCGTCAGCTAAATTTTTACTGAAGAAAGTGTTTGTGTTTTTCCATTTATGAAATCATGGACTCCAACTTTGGGGAGGTGACAGAGCCAGAAGACATTTGAGAGGTCATTTGGCTCTACCGCCTGCATTCTCTGTCTCTTTCTCTTTATTCTTCCTGATGCGATCCGGACCAGGCACTAGGAGATGTGAAATTTGGGCTGCCTCTGTCACTGACTGGCTGTGTGATCCATGCACAAGTCACCTGCCCTCTCTGGGCCTCAGCTTCCCTATCTGTTTAAAGAAAGGCATACTTTAGTCTGTTGAGCCCTTTCCACCTAGATCATTGCAAAAGTACAAGACTCTGTCATAACATTGTTCTGGCATCTTCCTAGACAAAGGACACCTAGTGTATAAGAGGGAATGGTTGAACTCCAGCTAAAAAAAAAAAAAAAAAAGAAAAAGAACAAACTATACTTATGTGGCCAAACTGAACAGGATCTGCTCAGGGACCTAGAAAACAACCCTTAGCATTCAGGAAAACATAACTTATATACTGAAAGAGAGGAAGGGTCTGAAGCTTGATCTTTGTTTATGTATTTGCGTGTTTAAGTGTTTACTTTTTAAAATTTGAAATATTTTTTCCCAACTTTATTGAGGTACAATAGACAAACGTTGTTTATATGATCCATCCTTCCTTCCTTCCTTCTTTTTTTCTTTTTTTCTTTTTTTTTTTGAGATGGAGTCTCCATCTTTCACCCAGGCTGGAGGGCAGTGGCTTGATCTTGGCTCACTGCAACCTTCGCCTCCTGGGTTCAAGCAATTTTCCTGCCTCAGCCTCCCAGGTAGCTGGGATTACAGGTGCCTGCCACAGTGCCTGGCTAATTTTTTTGTGTTTTTAGTAGAGATGGGGTTTCGCCATGTTGGCCAGGCTGGTCTTGAACTCCTGGCCTCAGGTGATCCACCTGTCTCAGCCTCCCAAAATGCTGGGATTACAAGCATAAGCCACCGCACCTGGCTGATGTTTTGATATATGAATACATTGCGAAATGATTACCATAATCAAGCCAATTAACATACATCATTTCACATGGTTACCATTTTATTTTTGGTATGGTGAGAACCCTTAAGATCTGATCTCTTAGCAAATTTCAAGTATACAATACAGTATTATTAACTATAGTTGCCGTGCTGTACATTAGGTCTCCAGAATTTATTCATCTTAAAACTGAAAGTTTGTATGTTTTGACCAGTGTTTCCCTTTTTCTCCCATCTCCCAGGCCCTAGTAACCACCATTTTACTCTTTGTTACTATGAGTTTGCTGTTTTGTTTTTTTTTTTAGATTTCACATATAAGTGAGATCATGAAGCATTTGTGTTTCTGTGTCTGGCTTACTTCACTTATAATATCCTCAAGGTACATTCATGTTGTGGCAAATGGCAGGATTTCTTTATTTTTTTTAGGTTAAAAATATTCCATTACGTGAATATGTGTATATATATATATATATATAATCACAATTTCTTAATTTCTTTATTCCTTCATTGATGCACACTTAGTTTTTTTTTTTTTTTTGAGATGAGTTTCACTCTTGTTGCCAGGTTGGAGTAAAATGGCGTGATGTCAGCTCACCGCAAGCTCTACCTCCAACTCCTGGGTTCCAGTGATTCTCCCGCCTCAGCCTCCCAAGTAGCTGGGGTTACAGGTGTGTGCCACCACGCCCACCTAATTTTTGTATTTTTAGTAGCGACGGGGTTTCTCCGTGTTGATCAGGCTGGTCTTGGACTCCTGACCTCAGGTGATCGGCCCGCCTCGGCCTCCCAAAGTGCTGGGATTACAGGCGTGAACCACCGTGCCCAGTCGGTTGTTTTTGTATCTTGGCTACTGTGAGTAATGCTGCAGTGAATGTGGGAATGCCTGATTCAGCTCCCTGCTGGATGGTATGGTCTTGGGTTCATGAAATATTCTCTAAGATCATTTTCTTTATCCAGGTCTCTGGATGAGGGATTATACTCCCCCACCCCCCAGTGCTATGCTTTATGACCTGCATTTCCTGAGCAAGAACATTTTGTGCAAACCCTTGGCCTGAATCATTCAGGTTCAAGAACATTTGGGTTTTCTCTGAGGCAAGCTTCCCACAGCAGGCAACAGCTGGGCCTCTTCTTCCTTCTTCCTCCATCTTCCCAGCCCCGGTCCCTTGGAATTGAGCAGTGACAGTGAGGAGTCCAGAGCTACCACACAGCTGCCATATGTCAGGCCTGGGAGTAAGGGCTTGGGGTCTGGTCCTTGTTCTTCAGCCTCTTATTCTCCCTGGGTCCTCAAGTGGGTCACTTGCCTCAATCCCAGACCTTTGAGTCAGCAGGTTAGAATGGATATGCAGTTCCATACATTAGGACTTCTTAAGGATATTTTATGAAAAATATACAGGTCCAGACCTCACTGTCAGAGATTCTGGGTCAGATAAATCCAAGACAAGTTGTGAATCACTGTTCTTGACCTGAGGCAACTGCACAGATAATTCTAGGTGTCTTCCATATGTGCTGTGTGGCACCATTCACCCACCTATTGGAGCGTGAGAGGATTTAAGCAAGTTTCCTCTTGCATGGAACTGTTGTCCAGGCCCACGGTTCTAAAAGTATGCCTATAGGTCTCCAATGGGCCATGAAGATCTGCCTGAAGGCCTCAGATGGAACCAAAAGTGAGCTCTTTCTTCACGGTTAGGAGGTTAATGACATCCATTTCCATCAAATGGTAATTGGTATATTTGCATGTGATTAAGAGCTGCTTGCTAATATCTACTATCTGGATTTAGGGTCCCCTGGAAACAAAGCCTAAGGCAAGGACTTAGATGAGATATTTCCTTGGGAGGTAACCCAGGGAGTAGAAGAGGGGGAAGGGAAAAGCCAATAAAGGATGTCTTACTCCGTTTTGCATTGCTATAAAGGAATACCATAGGCTGGGAAACTTATAAAGAAAAGAAGTTTGTTTGGCTCACGGTTCTGCAGGCTGTACAAGAAGCATGGCACCAGCATCTCCTTCTGGTGAGGACCTCAGGAAGCCGTCACTCATGGCAGAAGGGAAAGTGGAGCCAGCATTATACAGCAAGAGACAAATGGAAGGGAAGGGAAGGGAAGGGAAGGGGAGAGGAGGGGAGGGACTTTTTAACAATCAGACCTCATGGGAATGAATAGAGTGAGAACTCCCTCATTTCTGTGGAAATGGCACCAGGCACCATGCTGTTCATGAGGAATCTGCCCCCATGACTCAAAGAAACACCACTCACCGGGCCTTACCTCCAATATTAAGAGTATGTCATTGAATTGATCACTATTACGAGAAGCCGGAGCTCAATCCCTTTGGGGACCCTCTGTCAATCCATGTTGTTCAGTGGCTCTTAACTGGAAGTGGTTTTTCTTTCCTCACAGCATTGGCAATGCGTGGGGGCATTTTTGGTTATCATAACTGGGAGATGCGACAGCATCCAGGGATACTGCTAAACATCCTACGATGCACAGGACAGCCGCCACCCCTACAACAAAAAAATTATCCAGCTCCAAATATCAATGTTTCCAAGGTTGAGAAAACTGTAGCCCATGCCTCAGAACTGTCTCTCTGAAGAACGATGAGCCTGGAGCATTTATCCATCAACTGCCATCCATCTCTGGGTCAGGCTTGACTCTGCAAATGTCACTATTTTCAAACTGCCAGGCTGCACTTGCATTAGGGCTTAGCAGACTTCCATGGTTTTGGAGAAATCCTTGAGGCAGAAGAGCAGAGGCATCATGACACACATAGGCAAGAACCTGTCCACATGTGTGAAACAGCCTAGTATGTGCTGAAATCAGGGCAATGCCCAGGGGCTGTGGCAAGGTATGATTTTCCCAGCTTAGTAATTATTCTAGGGCTGTAGAGAATATGGTGTAATTGCAGAAAAATTATGGACACAAAGTGTCATAATTTAATTCTAGACAGAGCCAAAGGCTGGAAATCCAGTATGGAACAAAGTGGCTCTATGGTGAAATTGTTAAAAACATGGTCTCTGGTACAAGCCCAAATCCTGTCTCCAACATTTGTTATATTTGTGACTTTGAGCAAGTTAACTAACTTTTCTGTCTCTCAGCTTCCTCACCTAGACAATAAATTGGGGTTGATAATTGTTCCCACTTCATAAAGTTGTTGTGAGGACTAAATTGTGTGTGTGTGTGTGTGTGTGTGTGTGTGCATGTGATTATATATACATTTGATGTCACACCAATAGTGTCTGAAATTTGGTGAGCACTGTTTAACTGGTTGACTGTTTACATCAACCCAGGGCTGGGATTCTGGACTTGGGAGCTATAACATCAGCCTATCTCGGCCTTTTTCCATTGGTAGTACACATTGGAGCTTAGTTAAATGGAAAAATTCATTGAGCTCCTATAGAAGCCAGCCGCTGGCTTTCCTCTTCTACTCTTTATCTATGAACTGCTTTCCTTCCTTTGATTTTATGAAGTGGAGGTGAAGAGGAAGGAGCATAGGACTTGGAGAAATGAATTGCAATTCCTGGCTATACTTTATCAACCACTGGTTGTGATTTGGGAAACCACTTTGCTTTTGAATTCTCACGTTTATAAAGTGAATATAATCTAATCTTGCTTCACTGTGTTGCTATGAGAATTAAATAAAGTGATATAAGCAAAATATTATAAAAATTGATACATATGCTAAAAATTTTGTTTTAGTATTAGGGTGTACAAAAGTAATTGTGGTTTTACCGTTACTTTCAGTGGCGAAAACCACAATTAATTTTTCACCAACCTAATAGAATGTCAGTGTTCTCAATTCTGTCTGGGCCTGTGGAGTTTTAAAATATACAATTTTTCGCATTCTAGTCCCAAGATCGTTGAGTGTACTTGGAAGGGGACCAAAAGGCATCATAATTTAAAAAAAATCTAGTCAATTTTGATGATCAGACAGATTTGAGAACCATTAAACTATTCTGTGCTATGAAACAGGGATTATGCCTTATTCAACTTGGTATTCTCACTGGCTAACACAGTTTAGTATATAGTGTAATCAATGAGTGCTTTTTTATTTTAAAATAAAAGGGCAAATCTCGTTACTTAGAAAAACAGAAGAAAGTTACAGCACTCCAGGAGTTGCTCCACTCTCCAAAACTGCGAAACTGCGAAGGTGTCTTGAACCACCTTCCTTACGTTGAATTGTTGGCTTGTCACTTAAGTACCTGAGCTAATTTATACCCACGAATATAATACTTGAGCAGTTTACACTACCTTATGCTCACAATCAGGATGAATGACAATCTTTGCCCTTTCTACTTCAAAGATGGCTGTGAAAATTAAGGAGACAATAGATAAGAAAATGATTCTCGCTGGGCGCGGTGGCTCACGCCTGTAATCCCAGCACTTTGGGAGGCCAAGGCAGGTGGATCACGAGGTCAGGAGATCGAGACTAGCCTGGCCAGCATGGTGAAACCCCGTCTCTACAAAAAATACAAAAATTAGCTGAGCGTGGAGGCACATGCCTGTAATCCCAGCTACTTGGGAGGGAGGCAGGAGAATTGCTTGAACCCAGGAGGCGGAGGTTGCAGTGAGCCGAGATCACACCATTGCACTCCAGCCTGGGTGACAGGGCGAGACTCCGTCTCAAAAAAAAAAAAAAAAAAAAAAAAAGTGATTTTCAGGCTACAGAATGCTATAAATATATAGGGAATTCATGTTATTAAAAAGGAATATACACTAAGTAAACTTGTAGTTCTCTAAGACTCAATTATATTGTGACTGTTGAAGAGAGAAGATTTTTTTTTTTTTTTTAGATGGAGGCTTGCTGTTGTCAGCCCAGGCTGAAGTGCAATGGCATGATCTCAGCTTACTGCAACCTCCAGCTCCCATGTTCCAGCAATTCTCCTGCCTCAGCCTCCCAAGTAGCTGGGATTACAGGCGCATGCCACCACACCTGGCTAATTTTTGTATTTTTAGTAGAGACAGGGTTTCACCATGTTGGCCAGGCTGTTCTTGAACTCCTGACCTCAGGTGATTTGCTTGCCTTGGCCTCCTACAGGAGTGAGCCACAGTGCCCGGCCGAGAGAATATTCTTTAGTCAGATTCTTTATACTCACAGATTAAATACTGAGTTCAGTAAAGTGATTCAGAGACATGGAATTCTTTAAAATAAAGAAACATGGGAAGTTGAAATTATAAGATCGGGCAGAGGCATACTGGCTAAGACAACCCAAGAGAATATAGAAAGATCACAGCGTTAATATCAGGAAAGTAAAATTCAAGGCAAAAGTTGTTGAATAGGTCAAAAAGAAATGCTGTATAATGATAGAATTTGTGACTCATAATGGAATATAACTGCCATGAATAGTTATGCACCAATGAACATAGCACAAAAATATTAGAAGTAAAATCTTCAGAAAATATAAGAAAAATTTGACAGAATCAATATTGTAGTGGAAACATTTATTACACCTTTTTGGAACTTTGGCAAATCCAGTGGATACCAAGATAAAGAGAAAGTGAACATAATTTAGAAGATATTTTTATAGAAATAAATTGAACCCTAAAAGTAGAGAATAAACTTTTGATAAAGTGCTCATGGGACAAAACTTTATCATATCTTAGGCCTAGCAATGCCCTAATAATTTTTCCAAAGAAAAAATACTACTGATGTGGGCCGTTCAATATTGTTGCCACAATTCACATCTGGCTATGGAGCACTTGAAATGTGGCTTGTGTGAATTGAGATGAGAGGTAAGTGTCAAATACACAACATATTTCAAAAACTTGGTGCAGAGATTGCTGGCAAGGTGGCCAAATAGGAACAGCTCTGGTCAGTAGCTCCCAGTGAGATTGACACAGAAGGCTGGTGATTTCTGTATTTCCAACTGAGGTGCCCAGTTTATCTCACTGGGACTGGTTGGACAGTGGGTGCAGCCTACGGAGGGCGAGCTGAAGCAGGGTTGGTGTTGCCTCACCCGGGAAGTGCAAGAGGTTGGAGAATTCTCTCCCCTGCCCAAGGGAAGCCATGAGGGACTGAGCCTGGGGAACTGTGCACTCTGGCCCAGATACTGTGCTTTTCCCACTATCTTCACAACCCACAGACCAGGAGATTCCGTCTAGTGCCTATGCCACCAGGGCCCTGGGTTTCAAGCACAAAAATTGGGCAACCGTTTGGGCAGACACTGAACTAGCTGCAGGAGTTTTTTGTTTTGTTTTGTTTTGTTTTGTTTTGTTTTTTTCCCCATACCTCAGTGGTACCTGGAATGGCAGCAAGACAGAACCATTCACTCTCCTGCAAAGGGGGCTGAAGCCAGGGAACCAAGTGATCTGGCTTGGCCGGTCCCACCCTTATGGAGCCCAGCAAACTAAGATCCACTGGCTTGAAATTCTTGCTGCCAGGACAGCAGCAGTCTGAGATTGACCTGGGATGCTCGAGCTTGGCTGGGGGAGGGGCATCCACCATTGCTGACATTTGAGTAGGTGGTTTTACCCTCACAGTGTAAACAAAGCCTCCAGGAAGTTTGAACTGGGTGGAGCCCACTGCAGCTCAGGAAGGCCACTGTTGCCAGACTGCCTCTCTAGATTTCTCCTCTCTGGGCAGGGCGTCTCTGAAAAAAAGGCAGCAGCCTCAGTGGGACTTATAGATAAAACCCCCATCTCCCTGGGACAGAGCCCCTGGGGGTAGAGGCAGCTGTGGATGCAGCTTCAGCAGACTTAAACATCCCTTCCTGATGGCTTTGAAGAGAGCAGCCAACCTCCCAGCACAGCATTTGAGCTCTGCTAAGGGTCAGACTGCCTCCTCAAGTGGGTCCTCGACCCCCATGTATCCTGACTGGGAGACATCTCCCAGTAGGGGCCAACAGGCACCTCATAGAGGACAGCTCTGGCTGGCATCTGGCAGGTGCCCCTCTGGGACAAAGCTTCCAGAGGAAAGAACAGGCAGCAATCTTTGCTGTTCTGCAGCCTCAGCTGGTGATACCCAGGCAAACAGGGTCTGGAGTGGGCCTCCAGCAAACTCCAGCAGACCTGCAGCAGAGGGACCTGACTGTTAGAAGGAAAACTAACAAACAGAAAGGAAAAGCATGTCCGCTCAGAGACCCCATTCGAAGGTCACCAACATCGAAGACCAAAATCTATGAAGATGGGGAGAAACCAGCACAAAAAGGCTGAAAATTCCAAAAACCAGAATGCCTCTTCTCCTCCAAAGGATCACAACTCCTCGCCAGCAAGGAAACAAAACTGGACAGAGAATGAGTTTGACAAATCGACAGAAGTAGGCTTCAGAAGGTGGATAATAAACTCCTCCAAGCTAAAGGAGTGTGTTCTAACCCAATGCAAGGAAGCTAAGAACCTTGAAAAAAGGTTAGACGAATTGCTAACTAGAATAACCAGTTTAGAGAAGAACCTAAATGACCTGATGGAGCTGCAAAACACAGCACCAGAACTTCGTGAAGCATACACAAGTATCAATAGCCAAATCGATCAAGAGGAAGAAAGGATATCAGAGATTGAAGATCAACTTAATGAAATAAAGCGAGAAGACAAGATTAGAGAAAAAAGAATGAAAGGAGTGAACAAAGCCTCCAAGAAATATGGGACTATGTGAAAAGCCCAAATCTGTATTTCACTGGTGTACCTGAAAGTGATGGGGAGAATGGAAGCAACTTGGAAAACACCCTTCAGGATATTATCCAGGAGAACTTCCCCAACCTAGCAAGACAGGCAACATTCAAATTCAGGAAATACAGAGAACACCACAAAGGTACTCCTCGAGAAGAACAGCTCCAAGACACATAATCATCAGATTCACCAAGGTTGAAATGAAGGAAAAAATGTTAAGGGCAGCCAGAGAAAAAGGTCAGGTTACCCACAAAGGGAAGCCCATCAGACAAACAGCGGATCTCTCAGCAGAAACTACAAGCTAGAAGAAAGAGAGTGGGGGCCGATATTCAACATTCTTAAAGAAAAGAATTTTCAACCCAGAATTTCATATCCAGCCAAATTAAGCTTCATAAGTGAAGGAGAAATAAAATCCTTTACAGACAAGCAAATGCTGAGAGATTTTGTCACCACCAGGCCTGCCTTACAAGAGCTCCTGAAGGAAGCACTAAACATGAAAAGGAACAACTGGTACTAGCCACTGCAAAAACATACGTTGTAAAGACCATCGACACTATGAAGAAACTGCATCAACTAACGGACAAAATAACCAGCTAGCATCATAATGACAGAATCAAATTCACACATAACAATATTAACCTTAAATGTAAATGGACTAAATGCTCCAATTAAAAGACACAGACTGGGTATATACCCAAAGGATTATAAATCATGCTGCTATAAAAACACATGCACATGTATGTTTGTTGCGGCACTATTCACAATAGCAAAGACTTGGAGCCAATCCAAATGTCCATCAATGATAGACTGGATTAAGAAAATGTGGCACATATACACCATGGAATATTATGCAGCCATAAAAAATGATGAGTTCATGTCCTTTGTATGGACATGGATGAAACTGGAAACCATCATTCTCAGCAAACTATCGCAAGGACAAAAAAACAAACACTGCATGTTCTCACTCATAGGTGGGAATTGAACAATGAGAACACTTGGACACAGGAAGGGGAACATCACACTCCGGGGACTGTTGTGGGGTTGGGGGAGGGGGGAGGGATAGCATTAGGAGGTATACCTAATGCTAAATGACGAGTTAATGGGTGCAGCACACGTACATGACACATGTATACATATGTAACAAACCTGCACATTGTGCACATGTACCCTAAAACTTAAAGTATAAAAAAAAAAAGACACAGACTGGCAAATTGGATAAAGAGTCAAGACCCATCAGTGTGCTGTATTCACGAGATCCATCTCACATGCAAAGACACACATAGGCTCAAAATAAAGGGATGGAGGAATATTTACCAAGCAAATAGAAAGCAAAAAAAAGCAGGAGTTGCAATCCTAATTTCTGATAAAACAGATTTTAAACCAACAAAGATCGAAAGAGACGAAGAAGGCCATTACATAATGGTAAGGGGATCAATGCAACAAGAAGACCTAACTATCCTAAATATATATGCACCCAATACAGGAGCACCCAGATTCATAAAACAAGTTCTTAGAGACCTACAAAGAGACTTAGACTCCCACACATTAATAATGGGAGACTTTAACACTCCACTCTCAATATTAGATGAACAAGACAGAAAATTAACAAGGATATTCAGGTCTTGAACTCAGCTGTGGACCAAGCAGACCTAATAGACATCTACAGAACTCCACCCCAAATCCATAGAATATACATTCTTCTCAGCAACCTCATTGCACTTATACTAAAATTGACCACATAACTGGAAGTAAGGCACTCCTCAGCAAATGCAAAAGAAAGAAAATCATAACAGTCTCTCAGACCACAGTGCAATCAAATTAGAACTGAGGATTAAGAAACTCATTCAAAACCACACAACTACGTGGAAACTGAACAACCTGCTCCTGAATGACTACTGAGTAAATAACGAAATGAAGGCAGAAATATAGATGTTCTTTGAAACCAATGAGAACAAAGACACAATGTACCAGAATTTCTGGGACACATTTAAAGCAATGTGTAGAGAGAAATTTGTGGCACTAAATGCCCACAAGAGAAAGCAGAAAAGATGTAAAATTGATACCTGAACATCAAAATTAAAACAACTAGAGAACAAGAGGAAACAAAATCAAAACCTAGCAGAATACAAGAAATAACTAAGATCAGAGCAGAACTGAGGAGACAGAGACACAAAAAACCCTTCAAAAAATCAATGAATCCAGGAGCTGTTTTTTTGAAAAGATCAACAAAATAGACCACTAGCCAGACTAATAAAGAAGAAAGGAGAGAAGAATCAAATAGATGCAATGAAAAATGATAAAGGGGATATCACCACTGATACCACAGAAATACAAACTACCTTCAGAGAATACTATAAGCACCTCTACACAAATTAACTGGAAAATCTAGAAGAAATGGATAAATTCCTGGACACATACACTCTCTCAAGTCTAAACCAGGAAGAAGTCGAATCCCTGAATAGACTAATAACAAGTTCTGAAATTGAGGCTGTAATTAATAGCCTGCCAACCAAAATAAGTCCAGGACCAGATGGATTCACAGCCGAATTCTACCAGAGGTACAAAGAGGAGCTGGTACCATTCCTTCTGAAACTATTCCAAACAATAGAAAAGGAACTCATTTTGTGAGGCCAGCATCATCCTGATACCAAAACCTGGCAGAGACACAACAACAAAAAAAGAAAATTTCAGGCCAATATCCCTGATGAACACTGATGCAAAAATCCTCAATAAAATACTGGCAAACTGAATCCAACAGCACATCAAAAAGCTTATCCACCACAATCAAGTCAGCTTCATCCCTGGGATGCAAGACTGGTTCAACATATGCAAATCAATACACATAATCCATTATATAAACAGAACCAATGGTAAAAACCACACTATTACCTCAATAGATGCAGAAAATGCCTTTGACAAAATTCAACACCTCTTCATACTAAAAACTCTCTATTAAACTAGGTATTGATGGAACGTATCTCAGAATAACAGAAATAAATATACTAAACCTGAGTAAACTAAAGTCTACCCAAGAAATCAGAAAAACAAAACGTATATTATTCTCAGAGGTCTTATAGTCAAGTTTAGGAAAGTAGTCTCCAGTATAAAATGGATTCCCAACTGTCTCAGTACCAAGCATCTACTGTGAGCCAAGCAGCAGGATTACCCTTATTATCATTAATCTTTCCAAATAAAATACAAAGTTGCATATTATTGCCTACTTACTCCCATTTTACAGATGGGAAAACAGACACAGCAAGGTTAAGTGACTTGTTCAAGACCTTAAAACAAAATGAAAGATGTGTGATTAGAATTTTAGCTCTCATGCTCATGGGATTTCCAGTTCATCACACTGGTGCCATAAAATATTCAGCTATAGGACTGAGTGTCCATGGGTTATAGAATAGGAATGAAAGAATGGAAAAGCCTAAACAATTACATTTGACTTGATTTGATTGGCATCACTTGGTTTAGTTTTAGGAATGCTAGTCCCCTTCTTTATAAGACAAGGGAACAGCAATAGGTGATTGTTTAAGACCCTTTTTGGAAAGTAGCATTGAGAGGTGCTTTGGACAGGTTAGCTTTCCTGGTGTATGACAGTTGTTACTTGTTTCTGGTAGAAAAGGCCTCCTCCCATCATGGTACATTTGCACTAATGTGCATAGGGCACTCTGGGCATATGTCCCATTAAGAGATCTCTGGAATTTGGGTTGTTTATCCAAGTAATACTCTGTATCAGTCCATTCTCATGCTGCTATAAATAACTACCTAAGACTGGGTAATTTATAAAGGAAAGAGGTTTAATTGACTCCTAGTTCTGCAGGGCTGGGGTGGGCTCAGAAAACTTACAATCATGGTGGAAGGGGAAGCAAACATGTCCTTCTTCACATGGCTGCAGGATAGAAAAGTGAGTGCCCAGTGAAGGGGGAAGCCCCTTATGAAACTACTAGATCTTGTGAGAACTCACTCACTGTCATGAGAACAGAATGGGGGAAACAACCCCGATGATTCAATTATTTCTACCTGGTCCCTCCCACGACACGTGGGGATGATGGAAACTATAATTCAAGATGAGATTTGGGTGGGGACACAGCCAAACTATATCATTCTACCTCTGACTCTTCCCAAATCCCATGTCCTCACAATTAAAAACACAATCATGCTCTTCCAACAGTCCCCCAAAGTCTTAACTCATTCTGGCATTAACTCAAAAGTCCAAGTCCAAAGTCTCATCTGAGACAATGCAAGTCCCTTCCACCTATGAGCCTGTAAAATCAAAAGCAAGTTAGTTACTTCCCAGATACAATGGGGGTACAGGCATTGAGTAAATACACACATTCCAAATGGGAGAAATTGGCCAAAAAAGGGAGCCACAGGCCCTATACAAGTCCAAAATCCAATAGGGCCATCACTAAACCTTAAAGTTCCAAAATGATCTCCTTTGACTTCATGTCTCACATCAAGGTTACGCTGATGCAAGAGGTAAGCTCCCATGGCCTTGGGCAGCTCCACCCCTGTGTCTTTGCAGGGTACAGCCCCCATCTCAGCTGCTTTCATAGGCTAGCATTGAGTATCTGTGGCTTTTCTAGGTATGTGTTGCAAGCTATCAGTGGATCTACCATTCTGGGGTCTTGAGGATGGTGGCCTTCTTCTTATAACTCCACCAAGCAGTGCCCCAGTGGGGACTCTGTGTAGGGGCTCTGACCCCATGTTTCCCTTTTACACTGCCCTAACAGAGGTTCGCCATGAGGGCTCTGCCCCTGCATCAAAATTCTGTCTGGACATCCAAGTACTTCCATACATCCTCTGAAATCTAGGTGGAGGTTCCAAAAATCTCAATTCTTGACTTCTGTGCTCCTGCAGGATCAACACCACATAGAAGCAGCCAAGGCTTGGGGCTTACACCCTCTGAAGCCATGGTCTGAGCTGTACTGTGGCTCCTTTTGACTATGGCTGCAGCGTCTAGGACACAGGGCATCACGTCCCTAGGCTGCACACAGGAGTGGGGCCCTGGGCCTGGCCCACAGAACCATTTTTTCCTCCTAAACCTCTGGGTCTGTGAATGGTAGGGGTTGCCGTGAAGGCCTCTGACATGGCCAGGAGACATTTTCCCCATTGTCTTGGGGATTAACATTCGGCTCCTTGTTACTTATGCAAATTTCTGTTGCAGGCTTGAATTTATCCCCAGAAAATGGGGTTTAGTTTTCTATTGCATTGTCAGGCTGCAAATTTTCCAAACTTTTATGCTCGGCTTCCTCTTGAATGCTTTGCTGCTTAAAACTTTCTTCTGCCAGATACCTGAAGTCATTTATCTCAAGATCAAAGTTTCACAGATTTTTAGGGCAGAGGCAAAATGCCAGCATCCTCTTTGTATAGCAAGAGTGACATTTACTCCAGTTCCCAACAAGTTCCTTATCTCTCTATGAGACCACCTCAGCCTGGACTTCATTGTCTATATCATTATCAGCATTTTGGTCAAAGCCACTCAACAAGTCTCTAGGAGTCCCAAACTTTGCCACATCTTCCTGTCTTCTGAGCCCTCCAAGTCTCTAGGAAATTCCAAACTTTCTCACATTTTCCTGTCTTCTTCTGAGCCCTCCAAACTGTTCCACCCTCTACCTGGTACCCAGTTCCAAAGTCGCTTCTGCATTTTTGGGTATCTTTACAGCAGTGCCCCATTACCCAGTACCAATTTACTGTATTAGTTCATTCCTCATGCTGCTATAAAGAGCTGCCCCAGACTGGGTAATTTATAAAGGAAAGAGGTTTAATTGACTTACAGTTCTACAAGGCTAGGGAGACCTCAGGAAACTTACAATCATGGTGGAAGGGGAAGCAAACAAGTCCTTCTTCACATGGCAGCAGGAGAGAAAAGTGAGTGCCCACAGAAGGGGGAAGCCCCCTATAAGACCATCAGATCTTTTGAGAAGCAATTATCATGAGAACAGGGTGAGGAAAACTGCCCCCATGATTCAATTATCTCTATC
Source organism: Homo sapiens (assembly GCF_000001405.40). NCBI lineage: Eukaryota > Metazoa > Chordata > Mammalia > Primates > Hominidae > Homo > Homo sapiens. The sequence goes on from NC_000009.12 coordinate 114,877,185, forward strand.
TGGTCTCTCCCATGACACATGGGGATGATGGGAACTACAATTCAAGATCAGATTTGGGTGGGGACACCGCCAAACCATATCATATTCTAATACTGTCTTCACACTTGGACACATGGCAGCTAAAGCTTCATTAGCCGTGAAATGGACTTCACTAGAATTGATTCTCTTTTTCTGCTAAAAGAAAGGGGAAAGCCATAAAAAGTCCAAAAAAATTTCAATTCATTAGAGAGCTCTGATCTGTTGAATTCATTTCAACACACATTTTTCAGGTTCCTAGTGTGTGCCAGCACCAGAAACAGAGCTATGATGAACAAGACAGAATACCAGCCCTGGGAGGGATCATACAGACTCCTAATCTGTCATTTTTCCAGTTGTAAGAATAGAGACCCTCCCAGTCAACTCAGGAGATAATCAACATTAGAGTGTTGTTTGGGTAGACAACTGATATACCAAGGAACTCAGAATATCCTTCAGCCTGCTGTAAAGATAAACATAGCAATAAGGAGGAATAGAATATCAAACAAATATACCTCAAAAGACTAGATCATATGGGGTCACTGGAAGCTTCAAGGCCTTTCCAGAACACTACATGAGTACTGCAACTGTCTCAGCTACCAGCAACAATTTCTCTTTAAGGCTCAGATACTAAGTCAAACACTTTTCAATTCTAATAATTTTCTCTATTTTTCATATTGTCTACTCCTCCTTGGCTGTTATTTTAGCTTTCTTTACTCATGTGCATTGGTTTCTGGCTCTCTTACTGATTTCTTAGCCCTTTGTTTCTGGATTTTAAATGATCGTAGGATACCCTAATTTGTCCACTTCAATGATTCATTTAACTAATATTTAAAGTCCTCCTCTTAAGTGTCAATGTTGAGCTAGGTTCTGGGGATTCCAGATATAGTGAGAGAGTTGTGGGTCCTAGAGTATGTAAGAGAGAATAGAGAAGAGAGGAGGAGAGAGAGAGAGGAAGAGAAAGCAAGACCAACCAATAAACCAACATAATCCAATTTTTTATTTTAAGATGATTCTTCTTGGTGTGTCAAAAATACACCAGGGGTGAGGGAGGAGGCAGCAAGAAAGAGATAAGAACAGGTGGGAGCCTATTCCAGCAATACAGGTGAGAATGATGGTGTGGATTACAGTGTTAGCAGTAGAGATGATTCAAGAGAGGAAAAATGAGACAGCATATTAGGTAGTACAAGCCACTTACTGGTTGCCTAGATGCTGGATATTAGTGAAAGGGAGATTTCTGGTTTGATCAACTGAATCGATGGTGATAAAAGTTACTGCAGAAACCCAGAAGAACCGAGGTAAGTGGGGGAAGATGTTAAAATAATGAGTTTTGGGCATTTAAAATTGGCAATATCAGAAAAAAATGTTAAATAGTTTTTTTTTGACAGAGTCTTGCTCTGTTGCCCAGGCTGGAGTGCAGCGCTGCAAACTTGGCTCACTGCAACCTCTGCCCGCTGGGTTCAAGCAATCCTCATGACTTTTCCTCCTGAGTAACTGGGACTACAGGTGCACACCAACATACCTGGTTAATTTTTGTATTTTTGGTAGAGACAGGGTTTCACTATGTTGGCTTTGTATTTTTGGTAGAGACAGGGTTTCACTATGTTGGCTAGGCTGGTCTCGAACTCCTCACCTCAAGTGGTCCTCCCACCTCAGCCTCCCAAAGTGCTGGGATTACAGGCACAAGCCACTGTACCCTGCCAGAAAGTGTTAAATAGTTGAATTAGGAAGATTGGAGCTCAGAGGAGTTATCTGGACTGGAGATGTAAGTTTGGCAGTTGATATGGTTAGGCTATGTGTCCCTTGCCAAATCTCATCTTGAATTGTAGTTCCCATAGTCCCTATATGTCATGGGAGGGACCTGGTGGGAGCTAATTGAATCATGGGGGTGTTTACCCCCACACTGCTGTTCTCATGATAGTGTGTTAATTCTCACCAGACTTGGTGGTTTTATAAGGGGCTTTCCCCCCTTTTGCTCATTCTTCTCTTCCCGCTGCCATGTGAAGAAAGATGTGTTTGCTTTCCCTTCCACCATAGTTGTAAGTTTCCTGAGGCCTCCCCAGCCATGCTGAACTGCAAGTCAATCAAATGTCTGTCCTTTATAAATTACCCAGTCACAGATATGTCTTTATTAGCAGTGTGATAATGGACTAATGCAGCAGTTACAGCCGATAGATGGCACTGGAAGCCATGATCATAGAAGAGATAATGGAAGAAAAAATCCTCCCAAGAACGCTAAGTTCAGGTAGATGAGGAGGAAATGGCCAGGTAACTAAGAAAGGTGTCCTAGCGAGGTGGTATATGCAAGCCCAGAGAAAAGCATGTGCTAGGCACTGTGACAGACACTGGGAGGCTGAGTAAAACAAAGACCAAGTGATGTCCATTGGATTTGAAAACATGAGGTTTGTTGATGGATGATTGTAACAAGATCAGTTTCCACTGGGTGTGGAGGTGGAAGGCAGAGCAGAGAGCATCATTGAGAATAAAAGGATGATGCTGAAGTTCTCTTCTGTGTTATGCTTCTAGTTTTATTCTGCTGCGCCCACCATAGTGGCAACCTCTGTTGTGCATTTTGTGTGTGTCTTTTTAAAATTTATCAAAAAATACACAGGTAAATATCCAATTCCTTCTCTATTTTTTAATTTTCTAGAATAACATAGTAAGTAAAAGAGGAATAAGGTGAAGTGAGAATTTACACATATTGTGTAGATATATTTCTTGGTGAGTTTGGCTGTGAGTAAGGGATAGAGAGATGGTACAGAAACTGGAGGGGTGAAGATTTGCCTTTTCAAAAAGGTAGGCAGTAGAGCATGTTTGCTTGCTGATGGGAGTGGTTTTGTAGGGAGAAAGGAAGGACTGACTCTATTCCAGGAGAGAACATAACTAAGGAGGTACAGTCTTTTAGAAGGCAGGGATGAATTCATGGGATGGAATTCAGTGCCCAAGAGGAGAGTTGGCCTTCATTAGGCCTGGGGACACATCCTCCACCATAACAGGTTAAAAAGAAGAGAAGGTGAGTACAGATATTGTAAGCTTGAGCATGGGTGGTGAGAAGCTCAGAGTTTGCTTCTGGTGAATTCTGTTTTTTTCTTAAGTATGAGGAAAGAAATGATATATGTAGGAGGAGATGTGGGAGAGAGAAGTTATTCACCTTGGGGAGTGGGAAGGTGATCCTGTCAGAGAAAGATGATCAGCTCTCTGTGCAGTGGTAAAGCCCTACTAATTCTTGGGATCACCACATTAACAAGAAACCCATCATCTCAGTTGTGCAATTGTTTCCTCTAGCAACATACAGCTGCTTGGGGTCAGCCTCAAGGAGGAAGATGTCTGGTGTTTGCAGGAAAGTATGATGAAGGAGGATATGAGTGAATGAGTTGGTAGGATTTGCCAGGAAGTAACTGAAATGATTATTCATGAAATCTAGGATGAACAAGAGGGAAGAGAAGTCAGGAGAGCCATGAGAAAATTGTGGGGACAGGAGGATGACGTCAAAGATTTGTGGTGGGAGTGGTGGGGCTGTTCTGCAGCATGTGATCTGGACTGATGGAAGGTGGTGGTCAGGGAGTGGGATGTTTAAGCTGACATTTCACAGGTGATATTGTTTCTGCTGATGAGAAGATTCAAGCTGTGACTGTCGGAGTGGGCAGATGAGATAGAGTGGAGGAAAAGGTGGAATGGGAATGGCAACACCAGGGTGCTGGATGTTGAGACCAGTGATGATAATGACAGGAGTTGGGGTGGACAGAAAACTGAGCCAAGAGTTCAGGTTGTCAGGATTAGGGGTTGTGGTCGGGATGTCAGTAGTTTATAGCAACAATGAGAGGCTGTGAGTTTGCAAGAGCTTGAGTGTTTTATAAGAGCAAGGGGGAGAGATAGTATATACGGAAGAAGAAATGCAGAGCACAGACAGCTACCCCATCTCAAGACTATGAGGTTGTGAGTTATGAGAAAACAAACAACCTTCCTTTTGAGAGGGCTACAGGAGAAATGCTGTCTCAGAGAACAGCCAGATTTCAACTAAGGCAAAATATGTAAAAAGAACTTACTAAGAAAAGGGTGGAAATTTAGGGTGTTTGCTGATCCCAGAGCAGGCATCCAGAGGGTTACAGTGAGAGGATTTGTGGGGCAGGAGTTGGGTTAGGTTAGAGTTAGGTTAGAGAATGTTACAAAGCACCATGAAGATGTGAGTCCCCTTACTCAATGTTTTCACTGTAGAACCAAGCTTACAAACTAGACTAACTCATGGGTAACTGGCCATTCTGTAGGATTGGTTAGGAGTAATCTGTTTCTGGTCAAATTCTCTAAAAGTCAGGCCGTGATGATGTGAATATAGAGTGTGGCTTTCTATGCTTAGGAAGTTACCCAGAACTATTTCCCTCAGCAAGGGTTGTGGACAGGGCAGGTACTCCTAGGGCAAATGAATTCCTGTGCAAAATGTAACCAGTTCCAACCCCTTTTCAAAGCAGAATTTTTCTCTATGGCATGGTCAGTATCTTGTGTTTAAACATATTTAATTAATGTGACATTATTAGTAGAGTCTAGTTCATATTAGTGTTGGCAATTATCAGCATAAATGTATTATTATGTTATCTTAAAAAGGCCATATAAAATGTCAATAAAACACCATTTCTCCCTTTAGATTAGCAAAAGTAATAAAGATTGGTAGCATCCATTGCTGGTGAAGGTGTGGGAAATGGATTCCACTATATACTACTGGATGGGTACTGAATTGTTTCAAAATTGTGGAGAATAATTTGTGACATCTGTTACAATTTCAAATGCCCATATCCACTGACACTGAATTCCACTTTGAGAAATCTAATCTACAAAAAATTCTCATTGTATTTTAGGTGCATAAAGTTATATTTTGGGGAATGCTGATTGTAGTACTGTCGAAATAGCAAAAAATTGAGAATAGCCTGCTTGTCTATCAATGGAGGAATGGTTTTAGAATTATGTCTTTTTACCAAGAAATGCTAGACAGCCAAGAATTTGATGCACGACAATTATGGTAAAAAAATTTGCTTGTTCTACAGAAGATCATTAATGTTTTGTGACTATATAAGCTGTAACAGTGGATTGTTTTCATGTGTAGGTGCTATTGTTAAATACAGGGACTGTTTCCAGGTACAGAATATGAATCATAAGTTTGGGTGGGCCGGGCACGGTGGCTCACTCCTGTAATCCCAGCACTTTGGGAGGCCAAGGCGGGCGTATCACGAGGTCAGGAGATCGAGACCATCCTGGCTAACATGGTGAAACCTCATCTCTATTAAAAATATGAAAAAATTAGCCAGGCATGGTGGCGGGCACCTGTAGTCCCAGCTACCCAGGAGGCTGAGGCAGGAGAATGGCATGAACCTGGGAGATGGAGCTTGCAGTAAGCCGAGATGGTGCCACTGCACTCCAGCCTGGGCGACAGAGCAAGACTCTGTCTCAAAAAAAAAAAAAAAAAAAAAATTTACGATGGACATTGGATACGATTGTGATGAAGGTCTGCGGTCCTAGAGCTACAGATGCATGGTAAGAAATTAGAACAAACTGGAGATGGGCCATGGACTCTGCCTAGGAGTGTTAGGAAAATACTTTGACTCCAAGCCTTAAAATACTCACATGGAGTTGGCGCTCACCTCATTCACACAATCATAGAGCTCCCTGGACACTGAACCTCTAAAGGGAAAAGGTCTACCTTGGAGCAGGAGCATCAGGGTTTGCTTGGGAGCATGAGAGTCGAGCTCAGGGCTAGGCCTGGGCCAGGCCCCGGCAGCACTGCTACTTGGGAGGAGCCACTTCACTTTCGTATTAGTTATTAAAAATAGAATTTAGGCCTGGCACGGTGGCTCAAACGTGTAATCCCAGCACTTTGGGAGTCTGACGCGGGCGGATCACTTGAGGTCAGGAGTTTGAGACCACCCTGGCCAATATGGTGAAACCCCATCTCTACTAAAAATACAACAAAATTAGCCGGGCCTGGTGGCACGTGCCTGTAATCCCAGCTACTTGCGAGGCTGAGGCAGGAGAATAGCTTGAACCCCGGGAGGCAGAGGTTGCAATGAGCCCAGATCACGCCACTGCACCCCAGCCTGGGCAGCAGGATGAGACTCCGTCTCAAAAAAACAAAAACAGAAACAAAAACAAAAAACATAGAATTTGGATCCTTCGGTCAGGTTCTCCGAAATTCTTTTGAGGTGTCCATGGTCAACTGCTTCAGCTTTGTTTTGGTAACCCCCTGTCTGAAGTTGCATACAGGCTGTTCTTCACCTTGTTTCCAAGGCTGAGGAACAGAAAGTAGCCTCTGTTTTGAAGAGGTGGAAGTTAAGTATACATTTATTTTTTACTGTGACTTGTTCAGGACCACATTTTACAAAATGCCTTGTTTCCTTTATTGTTTTTGCAAAGGAAAGTTCTATTAATATTGTTTTACTTTGAATATAGAATAGTCTTTTAAATTAGGGCTTATTTTGAAAAATTCTGACTTTAATTCAAATGTATGCCAATACCTTCCAAAGTAAGGTAATATTCAGAGACAGTTGTTTTGCTCAGAAGCTACAAATATTATTCTACCCATCTTTTTTGTTGACATATGACCTCACTTCTACAAATATGCCTCGGAGTAGCATGGTTGGATCATAAGGCAAGCATATGTTTAGCTTTAGTAGGTATTGCCAAACAGGTTTCCAAAATGATTGTAACACTTTCACTTCCTCCAGCAATATATGAGGTTTCCAGTTGCTTCACTTCCTCACCAACACTTGATATTGTCAGTCATCTCAATTTTAGTAACTTGGTGGGTGTGTAGTAGTTTTAATTTGGTGGTTATATGGCTTTAATTTGCATTTCCCTGATGACTAATGATACCATCAGGGAATCATTAGCTACTGGACATATGGATAGTGTGTTTTTTGAAGTCCTATTCAATTGTTTTGCTCATTTTAAAATTAGGTTGATTTGTCTTTTTAATTGATTTATAGGAATTTTTATACATAATATTGTGAATATGACTCCTTTGTCACAGAGCAAAGTTTTTTCCAATCTGTGGCTTTTCTACTCACTTTCATAATGGTGTCCTTTGATGAGCAGAAGGTCTTAATTGTAGTGAATAGCATTTCATTACTTTTATGGTTTGTGTCTTTCATATTCTGTATAAAATATTTTATCTATTTCAATATTATGAAAGTACTCTCCTATACTTTATCTCAGAAGCTTTATTGTCATGCTGTTTACATTTATATCTGTAATCTATCTCAAATTAATTTTTATGTATGGTGTAAGGTGGGGGAGTCAAAGTTGATTTGTTTTACAGATATAATTATTCCAACAGCATTTATTAAAAAGGGCATTGTTTCTACACTGAGACTTTTGTCACAATTCAGATGATAATACCTGTGTTGATTTATTCCATTGACTATATTTTCTATTCTTATGCTAACACCCACAGTATTTTGATTACCTTTGCTATATAGTTAAGTTGACATCTGATAGTAATGTTACTGGCAGTGAACCCATGTAGGTCTATAGAATCCTCAATTCTTGCCTCCTCAGAAGAAAGAATTCAACAGAGGAGCACAAGGCAGGAGAGACTGAGGAAAGTTTTAGAGCAAGAGTAAAAGTTTATTAAGAAACTTTAGAGCAGGAATGAAAGGAAGGAAAGACAGTACACTTGGAAGAGGACCAAGCGGGCGACTTGAAAGACAAGTGTGCGGTTTGACTTTTTGACGTTGTTTTACTTTGGCATACTTTGGTTTTATGTTTAACTTTGGCTTTATATGTTGGCATACTTCCGGGGTCTTGCGTCACTTCTCCTTTGATTCTTCCCTTGGGTTGGGCTGTCTGCATGCACATGCTTGAGTCCACTTTCCCAACTCCAGGAAGCTGCTGATCACTAGTTTCAGGTGTTTTCTATGTAGCAGGAGATGGCCTTTCCCTGGCACTGGCTGTGACCAATTATTATTTTAGAGAGACAGTTAACAACGGCCTGACCATTACTGACCATTACCTGATTGTCACCTGACATTCCTGATGTGTGTGACAGGAGGTGGGGGGGGAGTGTGAAGTCGGAGAGAGCCCTCTTCTACCCTGCTTATGCCTGATGAGCTACCTACTATAACAGTAAGACTTGCAATTTGCTCATTTTCTTCAAACCTATTTTGGCTATCCTAGGTTCTTTGTATTTCCAAATAGATTTTACAAACATTTTGTCATTTTCCATACAAAAAAACCTGTAGTGATTTTAACTGTGATAACATTGATTCCATGGATCAATTTGGGGAGGATTTACATTATTTTATATTTAATCTTCCAACTCATGTGTGTGCCATCTCTCTCCACTAGGTCTCTACTTTCTCTCAGCAATATTGTATAATTTTCAGTGTAGAGGGTTTTACATTTTTCATCAGATATATTCCTAGGTATGTGATATTTTTGAGTGCTATTGTAAATGGTTTATTTTTCTAAATTTTATTTTCTAGTTGTTTGTTGATAGTATAAGAAATAGAATTAAGCAAATAACACAGGAACAGAAAACGAAATACCACAAATTTTTACTTATAAGTAGGAGCTAAACATTGAGTCCACATTGACACAAAAAAAGGGAACAATGGGCACTGGGGCCTACTTGAAGGTGGAGGGTGGGAGGAGAGTGAGGATCTAAAAACTACCTTTGCCTAGTACCTGGGTGATAAAACGATCTTTGCACCAAACCCTCATGACATGCAATTTACCTGCATAAAAAACCTGCACATGTACCTCTGAAACTAAAATAAAAGTGAAAAAAGAAACGGAATTGATTTTTGTATATTTACTTCATATCTAGCAACTTTGCTAAATTCATTTGTTTATAAATCTTTTGTATTATAATTTTTTAACTATAATATTTGTACCATCTGTTAATATACAAGTGTCACTTCATTTATCTTTATATAATTTATTTCTTTTTCTTTATTTCTCTGGCTAGGACCTCCAGTTCAATGTTGAATAGGATTGATGCTAACGGACATTTTTATCTTGTTCCTAACCAGAGGGAAAACCTTCTATATTTCACCACTGAGTATGATTTTAGTGTAGGTTTTTAACATATATGGTTCTTTTGTTTCTTAGTATAAACTATTTAAAGAGGGATGACTGTTGACGAGAAACACTTCTTCTGTTTTCTAGCAGTTTCTTTCACATGAAGGAAGCTCAGTTAGTTTAACTCCATGTCTTTCTTTGCTTTTGTTCACTTTGTCACAGGGATGGTGGAATAACTTATCTGCTTCATAAATCTGGGAGGAAAAGAGCAGGCATGTTCCTTTCAACTGCTCTCTTTATCTTTCTCTTAGGAATCCCCTGTACTTGCCCAGGATTCAGTGATGCTATGACAGGCAAGCCTACCTAGATCTGAGATTCAGCTAGCAGAGCTGGTCTTTCTGGCTCTGAAGCTAAGCTGCATCCTCCAACTTAACCTTTCATAGTCATGAAGTTGATATTTTAATTTCCTATCTGCCTTAATATTTGTTTTACTCTTCAGTTTGTTCAAGAGCCTGAATGCAGAAAGAGGTAGCTCTCACCACTTCTGAAACTTTAATAGCGGTATTAAGAGATACTTTTACCTTTATTAGTTTCATTATATTCAGTATTTTAAAATAAAACAAATTTTAAATAAACTAGTCACAAAGAAGTTTTAACATCTGTCAAAGAAATATATTTTTAAAGTATGATCTTCATGGGCCATTTAAGCCTCCTTCCTCTTCTGCTTATCCAGCTCTCTTTCCATTACCCTTTCCTTCTCCATGTTCTTCCTGCTGTACCTTAGCCAAGCTTCATCCCTGACAGAAAGCTACACAGTACCCTTCCCTCTTTGAAGTCCTAGACTTTTTTCTCAGCACCATCAGATCGGCACAGCTAATTTCTCCTGTAGATCTTTCTTCCCTGGCTGGCCAAGGGTGAAGCCCTCCAAAGCCAAACCCCACAGGATTGCTCCCTGGACTTACCACAGGAGTTCTACCACTTCTACATTCCCATAACATTCCTTGAATTAAATTAGTCCCTCAGGTCCTCTTTATCTTATCTTTGCATTGGGAATAATCATAGGATCAATCTCATAGAATACCTGTGAATATTGAAAGAGTTATTTGAATGTAAAAGCACTTAGACCAGTGAGTGCCTGGCTCTCAGTAAACTCCTATCACATGTTCACTATTCTTATTAGCTTATATTATTGCATTTATTGGGCTTTTAAATATGTTATTTTATACTTTTATCAGGATGTTTTGTGATAAAAATGTGACTTATTTTGCAACTTATTTTTTAAGCTTCATTAAAAACACATCTGGGTCTTGTGCTTTTCTTGCATTTCCTTTGTGCTAGTTGAATTTGCTATCTGAAATACCACAGCAAAACAATAATATTGAAATTTCAGTGTTTTTTTTACCTGTGTTTCTGAAATACTATTAGTCTGATGCTTTTTGAAGTGTTGATATTCTAGATATAATAGATCTATCTTTATCATACAGAGATTTTACTTCTTTGAGTATTTGGAGAAAGAGATAAAGAAAGCTTCCCTCAAAAAAATAGAATGTAACTAATTTGGTCTCTGAAAATCTGGGTTAGTGTCCTGGCTACTGCATTTATTTATCAGGTGGGTGATTTTCATTTCTGATTCTGTTTCCCTACGTCAATGAAATGGAAACAATGATGCCTCATTTTAAATGCAGCATTTAGTTTTCTCCTGCATTTCAATATTCAGATTAAAAATACCAAAACAATTGTATTTACTTAATAAAAATACTATTTAAAAATAGTCAAACCACTATTATACTATAAATTGACTTTGTAATCACTGGTGTGTATGTGCTTGTATATGTGTGCGTATATGACATTGTTGAGTTAGTAACTGCACAACAGAGTGTGGACCAAAAGAAGGTTCTCTATAGATAGTAATAGGTGCTGCTGGATGGAATAGGGGTTACAAATAGACAGAAACTTGCAAAACTGGTCAATATTTACAGAGTGGTAATCAGTTGCATCACATGGGACACAACTTGCATATTTACGGACAAGAATTATTTGCATTACTATCTATTTTCTGCAACTTTCAGGGCTGTAAAACAAATCCCAGAGCCAATGAAAGCATAAAATAACCAAAATTAATGAGCTAGTCAGTACTCTCACTAAATTTCAAAGTCTCACAATTTTTCCCTATACTACATGTTTACTCAAATAGAACACTATTCTTATTAATCCTTTATTTAAAAGAGGGCTTGAGTTAATTATTTAAAAATATATGCCTATGTAGCTCATTTAAGGAGTATTTGGGTACAATATTTTTGCTTGGAAAAGAGCTTGAACCAAGAGGACAAAATTTCGGATAGAAATTTTTTTAAAGGTAATTGCAGCTTCTATTCAAATCAAGGGATGTGGAGCAAGATGGCAGAATAGGAGGCTCCAATGATTGTCCTCCCCACAGGGACGCCAATTTAACAACTATCTACACACCAAAAAATACCTTTGTTAGAACCAAAAATCAGGTGAGCACTCACAGTACCTGGTTCTAACTTCAAATTGCTGAAAGAGGCACTCAGGAGATAGAAAAAACAGCTCTGAATTGCTGATGTCACCCCTCCCCCACCCTGCAGCAGCCGTGGTGTGGAGAGTTTCTCTGGGTGCTGGGGGAGGGAGAGCACAGCAATTGTGAGGCAATTGAACTCAGTGCTGTCTTGTTAGAGCAGAAAGGAAAACTGGACAAAAATCAGCTGATGCCCACCCACCGAGGAAGCATTTAAACCAGCCCTAGCCAGAGTGGAATCACGAATCTTAGCAGTCCAAACTGGAGTTCCTGCAAACCTCACCACTGAGGGCTACAGTGCTCTGTGTCTCCAAGTAAACTTGAAAGGCAGTCTAGGCCATAAGGCCTGCAACTCTTAGGTGAGTCCTAGTGCCAAACTGGGGCCAGAGACAGCGGACTGGGTGGCATGTGACATAGAGACACCAGCTGCATCAGCCAAGGGAGTGCTGGCATCACCCTTCCCCTAGACCCAGGCTGCACACCTCCTGGCTCCAGAAGAGACCCCTTCCTTCTGCTTGAGGAGAGGAGAGGAAAGAATAAGAAGGACTTTGTCTTGCATATTGGATAGCAGCTTAGCCACAGCAGGAGAGGGCACCAGACAGAGTTGTGAGGTCCTTGTCCCGGGCCCTAGCTCTCAGATGACATTTATAGGCATACCCTGGGCCAGAAGGGAACCCAGTGCCTTGAAGGAAAGGACACAGTCCTGGCAGAATTCATCATCTGCTAACTGAAGAGCTCTTGAGTCCTGAATAAACATCGGTGATGTCCAGGTACTACTTTGAGGGCCTAGGGTAAGCCTCTGGGACTTGCTGGGTTCAGGTGAGACTCAGCACATTACCAGCTGAGGTGGATATGGGGCAAAACTCCTTCTGCTTGAGAAAAGCAGAGGGAAAAGTAAAGGGGACTTGTCTTGCACCTTAGATACTAGCAGTTGGGTAGAGCACCAAGTGGGATCCTGGGGTCCCCGATTCCAGGACTTGATTCTTGGATGGTGTTTATGGACCTGCCCTGGGTCAGAGGAGAGCCCACTGCCCTGATGAGTGAGTCCCAGGCCAGGCAGCATGCACCACAAGCTGACTTAAGAAAACTTTGGCAGTAGTCTGGCAGTACTCCTCGTGGCCTGGGGTGGTGGTGGCTACTGGGTGGGGCTCCCCTATCTTTGGAAAGGAGAGGGAAGCATGGAAAGTACTGTGTCTTGTGGTTTGAGTGTCAGCTCAGCTACAGTACAATAGAACACCAGACAGACATCTGTGGTTTTTGACTCTGATTCCTGGACGGCACCTCTGCACTCATCTGGGGCTTGGGGGACCTCACCACCCTGAAGGGAAGGATGCAGGCCTGGCTGGCTTTGCCACCAGCTGCTTGTAGAGCTTCAAGTTCTTGAACAAACATAAGCAGTAACCAGGGAGTGGTTTCAGCAGGCCTTGGGCAAGACCCAGTGCTGTGCTGGCTTCAGGTCTGACCCAGCGCAGTCATAGTGGTGGTGGCCTCAGGGGTGCTTGTGTCACTCCAGCCCCAGCTTTAGGTGGCTCAGAACAGAGAGACCATGTTTATTTGGGAAAAAGTAAAGGAAGAGAACAAGAGTCTCTGCCTGGTAATCTACAGAATTCTCCTGGATCTTGTCCAAGACCATCAAGGCAGTACCTTTAGGAGTATGGAAGAACCACAGTGTTACTGGGCTTGGGGTGCCCCCTAAAGCAGATACGGCTTAGATTATAACACCCAAGTCCTTTCAAATATCTGAAAAACCTTCCCAAGAAGATATGTACAAATAAGCACAGACAGTGAAGACTACAATAAATACCTAATTCTTTAGTGCCCAGACACTACAGAATATCTGCTAGTATCAACACCATCCAGGAAAATATGACCTCACCAAATGAACTAATAAGTCACCAGGGACCAATCCTGGAGAAACAGAGATATGTAACCTTTCAGACAGAGAATTCAAAATAGCTGTGTAGAGGAAACTCAAAGAGATTCAAAATAATGCAAAGAAGGAATTCAGAATTCTATCAGATAAATTTAACAAAAAGATTAAAATAATTAAAAAGAATCAAGTAGAAATTCTGGAGCTGAAAAAATGCAATTGGCATACTGAAGAATGCATCAGAGTCCCTTAATAGCAGATCTTATCAAGAAGAAGAAAGAATTAGCAAGCTTGAAGATAGGCTATTGGAAAATATAATACACAGATGAGACAAAAGAAAAAAGAATAAAAAACAATGACACATGCCTACAAGATCTAGAAAGTAGCCTCAAAAGAGCAAATCTAAGAGTTATTGGCCTTAAAGAGGAGTTAGAGAAAGAGATACGGGTAGAAAGTTTATTAAAAGAGATATTAACAGAGGAAGTCAAACTATTGCTATTTGCTGATGACATGGTTGTGTACCTAGAAAACCATAAAGACTCATCCAAAAAGCTCCTAGAATTGGTAAATGAATTCAGCAAAGTTTCAGGATACAAAATTAATTAATGTACACAAATCAGTAGTCCTGCTATACACCAACAATGACAAAACTGAGAATCAAATCAAGAAATCAATCCCTTTTATAATAGCTGCAAACAAACAAACAAACAAACAAAAAAACAACAACTTAGGAATATACGTCACCAAGGAAGTGAAAGACCTCTACACGGAAAACTACAAAACACTGCAGAAAGAAATCATAGACACAGCACTGTTTACAATAGCTAAGATTTGAAAGCAACCTAAGTGTCCATCAACAGATGAATAGATAAAGAAAATGTGGTATATATACACAATGGAGTACTATTCAGCAATAAAAAAGAACGAGATTCTGTCATTTGTAACAACATGGATGGAACTGAAGATCATTATGTTAAATGAAATAAGACAGGCACAGAAAGACACACATCACATGTTATCACTTATTTGTGGGGTCTAAAAGTCAAGACAATTGAATTCACAGACATAGAGAGTAGAAGGATGGTTACCAGCTGCTGGGAAGAGTAGTGAGGGGCTGAAAGGTAGGTGGGGAATAGTTAATGAGTAAAAAAAAGAAAAAATAGAAAGAATGAATAAGAACTACTATTTGATAGTACAACAAGGTGACTTTAGTCAGTAATAACTTACCTGTACATTTAAAAATAAACAGTATAATTGAATTGTTTGTAACTCAAAGGATATATGCTTGAGGGGATGGATACCCCATTTCCTATGATAAGCTTATTTCACATTGCATGCCTGTATCAAAACTTCTCATGTACTTCATAAATACATACACCTACTATGTACCCACAACAACTAAAAATTTTAAAAAGAGAAAATAAATATATAAATGAAATCTACTGTTAAAAAGTAAATATTTCATAAGTATCTACCATGTTAGATGAATAATAATGATACCTTGCCTTTATCAGGCATATCCCATACTTATCCACCCACAGTGTTGTGGTTTGGCCCTGTGTTTGAGCAGAGAGCAAACTCATAGGATACCTGTGAATATTAAAATTATGTCTGATAGTATATTTTCAGAAGTCTGGGTAATTCAGTCTAGAGAATAGCTATATATGAGGTTTTGTGATTTATTAGAATCCACTTAAGTTCCCTTTTTTCATATCCTTCTTTTTTTATTTTTATTTTTTATTTTAGATGGAGTTTCGCTGTTGTTGTCTGGGCTGGAGTGCAATGGCGCAATCTCGCCTCACTTCACTGCATCCTCTGCCTCCTGGGTTCAAGTGATTCTCCTGCCTCAGCCTCCCAAGTAGCTGGGATTACAGGCGTGTGCCACCATGCTTTGCTAATTTTGTATTTTTTTTTTTTTAGTAGAGATGAGGTTTCACCATGTTGGTCAGGCTAGTCTCAAACTCCTGACCTCAAGTGATCCACCTGCCTCGGCCTCCTAAAGTGCTGGGATTACAGATGTGAGCCACTGTGCCCGGCCTCATATCCTTTTAAGGCACCATCTGGTCTCTTCTAAACTCCCTTGAGTGGTTGATTGAAGGAAAACATCTAAGAACAAATAATTTTCTTGGAACAGTACATTCTAAGTCTATATTTTAGAGACATTTTGATTAAAATTATTTTCATTATTATGAAGACATTCAAATCCTCACATGTCTCTGGTTTACTGGTTGTAAAGAAAAAAATCCTCACATCTCTAACCTCCTTATTTTAAAACATGATCTTTTTGGAAGCTATTCCTTTCTCACTGCTTTTGGTGGATTTGCCTCTGAGGCCTTTTCTTTTTTAAGTTTACTACTTCTTCATATTGTTGGATAGATATTATCAAGTCCATGGTCAAAAATCATGCATTAGCCCATGGAATCCCTTAGCACTCAGAGGCATGTTCTATACATGATTCCAACAAAGTTGGTACTCCCCTCTCACAGCTGACAATATTGAAAAGGTCAGATAGACAGTGATCATATGGTTCTCTTTGTGGGAAAATTTATGATGTATGTGTGTGTGTGTGTTGTAAGTGTGTATATCTAAACATACCTGGAGTCACCAGCAATATATAGCAGGTCCATCAGACATTTTCTGTAAACAGCTCCTGGACTCTGGGGCAGCTACTCAACTCTGCCATCACAGCATAAAACCAGCCATAGACTGTACATAAATGAATGAATGTGGCTGTGTTCCAATAAAACTTTATTTACAAAAGTAGGCAGAGTCGCCTGAGGTTGTAGTTTAGTGATCTCAGAATATAGTATAGTTCTAGACAAGAAATCAGAATACCAGGTGCTCCCACTCTCAGTTCTGCTTCTTCCCAGTTGAGTACACAGCTTAGTTCTCTCTTGTACTATTTGAAAGAATAGTGGTGTAAACTTTAAAGCACTATGCAGACATCTAAGATGGTATTCATTTAATCTTTCATTTAATCAAGAAATATATATCAAATGCCTGCTGTGTCAAAAACTTTCCTAGAACAACAAAGTGATTGTAGATAAGAATGAGTCACCTAAACATTGGAAAAGGTACCAATAATGGGCTGTTGCATGATTGTCAGGTTGGGGTCATAGGGTAAGATGACAGCCTGAGAGGTGGGAGTGGGGTTTTCCCCTGAAGGGAATTGATGTTCACACAGTCATACATTTTGGGAAGTGATTAATTCTGGGAAGGAAATGAGTTGGCACTTTGAGTAGGGGGTGGTCAGACTTTTTTCTCTCTCTGGGGCCAGGAAGTATTGGGCCACGATTCCAAATCATGGACAGGTCTAGATGATTCTGTTTGTGGGGGGTGAACCGTTTCCTGGCTATGTCGGTTTAGGCCCAGAGTGACTGGTACCATCAAGTTCATGACTTTCCACTTAGCAGTGACAGTGACCCAGGGTAGAAGCAGTTCTTGTCTGCAGCAACCAGCATCAAGGTTCAGGGTTGTAGAGTTTCAAGGCAGCAGTGTCCCTTCCCAGAGTCCAGGGTAGAGTGTGAATGGTGGAGGATCATGCCACAGTAATCTGGAAGAAAGAATAACTTTACTTTGTAGATATCGGCAGGAGAGATGTGATACATTTTGACGTTGTTGTTACTCAGAAGCCCACAGTTTAGCAGGGAGGCAAATGTACAATCATGCTGTCATAGTGAGTGTAGTAAATTTTTAGACAGAAGTGAGAATATCAAGGTCCAGGTTGCATGTCTAATTTAGCGGAATGGTTCTTGAGCAATAATGTCTGAGTTGAAATTTTATGAATGAGGTCAAATTAACAAGATGTGAATGAAGGGCAAGGACCTTGTGGACAAAGGAATCAGCAGGCACCAGGTCAAGTAGCCTCAGGGTAGTGCAGTGTAGTGTGGTTAGAAATATAGCTCTGGAGCCAAACTGCAGTGGTTACATCTTAGCTCTTCAGCTCATGAGCTGCTGAAACTTAGACATACTTAAGCATTTCTTCGAGCCTCTGTTTCCTCATCTGCAACATGGGAATGGTCATCTCTATCTCATAAGGGTGAGATGCAGTAGACTACAGTATTTGAAGGCTTCCATGTGGTGCCTGAAACCTGGCAAGCAAGCGTTCAGTAAGTGATAGTAATTATATCTATTTACGTAACATAAAGCGGTTTAAGTAAACACATCAAAGTAATGAATGAGGAGGATGAAAAGACCAGATGCAATTGAGGACTGTGTGAGTGTATGAATGTAATGTTGGTGGTAGAAATGAAGCCTCCTTCAGTGTTTTCTTGCTGTTTACTCATCCCATTGTATTGATCCTGTGATGGATTGTGACCTTTCTTCCCTTGAGTACTGTGCCATGCGCTGACTGCATCAGGCCAGCTGGTAAAATGAGACTCATTGTGAGAACGGAAGGCATAGTCAGAATGTCAAGGAGGTTAGGTCATCTGCGTCCCTAGCAATGGAAAGGAAATGATGAAATACTTCAGCTGGTTTTTGTTTGGAGCCTCCTGGTTGTGAAGGAGGATCAGCCTTCAAATCAGCTTGTTCCTGACTAGTTTAGCTGATATCCCTGCCTGGTAATTCCCTCTTCCTGTTGCAAGTGAAATCTAAACATTTCCTGAGTGCTGACTTTGTGTAGGACACTGATTTGGGTGCTGGGATTTGGAGATGGATTCTTCTTGTCTTCTAAGTGCTCATTTCTAAGTGAGAAAAGTGTTCATTTGCAGTGCAATCAGTGCTGCTTCTAGAGAGGCACAGGGAGAGGACCTTGATACTGCATCTCGCAAACAGTCAGTTGGTTATCTAGTCCAGTTTTCCCTGCAGGATGAAACCATCCTTTGAGAGTTGGCCTGACAGAGACCTTTGTTGATCCAATGGCTGGCTTTTCTGAATGCAGATGGGAATAGGCTTCAGTGGATTTGAGGAACTTTCACTTTTCTCAAACTTGCATTGATTCATTTTTTCCTACTCCTCTCCCCAAGGTCTAACTCCTTCACAGACACTGAATATGATAAAATACCCCAAGAGTTGTACACTTTCCAAGCTTATTCTATGTGTTTGTTCTCCCAACAGCTTCCCATTGTACAGCTGAGAAAATTTAAGTTTACAAAGTCCATGTGACTTGCCAAGGTCATAGAGTTAGTAATTGCTTCAGCTCAGATTGAAACTGGCTTCCAGTTGCCAAGGCCACTATTCTTTCCCATCTGCCACCCTCAGACTTGTTTTTTTCTCTTTCCTTGGCTATAGGGAAAGTACAGCCCCCATAGAAGTTTCTAAACTGCATCCAAAGCTTTCAACATGTTGTCCAGATTATTCCTAGTGTTGCCCAATATTCCCAAGGGAGACAGTTGGATCAAAAGCAGTTGTTAAAAATTCAGTGGTGATCATTACAAATGAATACCATCACGTTGACTTGATGGTTTTGTAGTGTTTAGACCCTCACATTTGCATAAGCAGCAGACAAGGAAGACCAAGCCAATTCATGAAAGTCCACTTGGGGGAAACAGAGAAACATAACGGATTACCAGCAATCTTCTCCACTTACCAGAAAAAGTCAACCAACTAGTGTTCTTCAGATTGTAAGGTGCACCTGAATCTCTTGGATCATATTAAAATGCAGATTCTGTTCCAGTTTTTAGGTATGTATGAGATGCCTGCATTTTTAACAAGCTCTCTGGTGATACCAGGCACCAGGACATAACAGCAAAGATTTAAACCACTGACTCTTAATATTTGGCTTAAATTTGGGAGCTTAAAATAATCCTGATGCCTGGGTTCTAAATCCAGAGATTCTAATTTAATTGCTCTAGGAAGTGGCCTGGGATTTCAGGATTCTAAGGTATACCAAGGTTTGATTTAAACTTTCTAGTGTATTTCAAAATATCTAGAAGAGAGGATTTTGAATGTTCTCACCTCAAAGAAATAACTGTTTAAAGTAAGGGATATGTTCACTATTGCACAATGTATACATGTATTGAAATATCACACTGTGCTACCTAAATATGTACACTATTTTTGTGTCAATCAAAAATAAAATAAAACTTAAAAAACTTTCTAAGGTTAATCTCACTATTTCTAATCACAAAATGACTAGAATAGCATATAGATATCTCAGAGATAGGAAGGGTGATGGATTCTACAGCAAATATACCACACCTTGCTCAGAAAAGGGGTTCAATAAAGTAAGCAAAGATTTATTTTTTTTTCCTTCCATGTTCTCAGATGGCACAGGTAGATTCTGCTTTCTAAAAATTTCACCTTTCTCTAATAGGCATTCTTATCTCCTGAGCCCTGAAAATTCTTTTTTTCTTTCTTTTTTTTTGAGATTGAGTTTCACTCTTGTTGCCCAGGCTGGAGTTGCAGTGGTGCAATCTCGGCTCACTGCAACCTCCTTCTCCTGGGTTCAAGCGATTCTCCTGCCTCAGCCTCCCGAGTAGCTGGGATTACAGGCATGTGCCACCACGCCTGGCTAATTTTGATTTTTAGTAGAGACGGGGTTTCTCCATGTTGGTCAGGCTGGTCTCGAACCCCTGACCTCAAGTGATCCACCCACCTTGCCCTCCCAAAGTGCTGGCATTACAGGCATAAGCCACTGTCCCCGGCCTGAAAATTATTTCTAAGAAAAATAGAGGCTTTCAATGAACATTTCCATATTTTGAAAAGAACTGTTTTTTTTTTTCTTTTGTTTTGGTATGGCTTGATATCTTTTCCTTAAAACGGACTTATGTTTAAAGTGGTTTTCTTTGATTATTCATTTAAGAAATATGTATTGAATGGCCATCTACTATGTCCTAGGAATTGGGCTGGGCTGTGATTACCCAGTGCTAAATAAGATTGGTAGGGTTCCTGCCTTCTGGGAATTTGAATGTTGGAGAGGAATGATAGAGAGAACCAGGGGTGAAGGGTAAAGTGTCATGCAATTAACGATGGGGAAGCATGGAAGGTGACAGCAAGGCATTAAGTGAAGCCAGCAGAGTCAGGAAGACTTCTCTGAGGAGGTGACATTGAAATGGAAATCAGAACAATGATAGGAGTTAATCAGGCAAAAGAGTGTGACAGGAGTATCCTAGGCAGAAGGAAAATTATCTGCAAGCTTCTGGTGGCTAGGCAGAGCATGGAAGATTGGAGGAACTGGAAGGAGTGCAATGTGATTTGATCATAGAGCACAAGGAGGTGGGGCTGAGCACAAAACTAGAGAGACATTCAGGAGATAGATAGGGAGAGACCTGGTGGAAAGAGCTTAGAGTTTAGGAAGGCTATGTTCATAGTGACTGGAGCGTGGAATGTGGAGTTAGGCAAACTTGGTCTTAAATCCCAACTCTACCGTCCATTGACTGTGACATTGGCCATGCTCCTCAACATCGCAGACTCTCAATGTCCTTATATAAAGAATGGGGATAATGATGCCTATTTTTTTTTTTTTTGAGGAAGAGTCTTGTTCTGTTGCCCAGGCTGGAGTGCAGTGACATGATCTCAGCTCACTGCAACCTCTGCCTCCTGGGTTCACACAATTCTCCTGCCTCAGCCTCCCAAGTAGCTGTGATTACAGGCGCACACCACCATGCCCAGCTAATTTTTTGTATTTTTAGTAGAGACAAGGTTTCACTATGTTGGCCAGACTGGTCTCGAACTCCTGATCTCATGATCCGCCCGCCTCGACCTCCCAAAGTGCTGGGATTACAGGCCTGAGCCACCGTGCCTGGCTCAATGATGCCTATTTCGTTGGATTGCTTTGAAGATTAAATAAGTGAGTGCAGGAAAAGTCATAACATGTAAGAGCTTGATAAATGGTTATTATCACTATCAATTCCAAGAACAATCGGGAGATGCTATTGCTGTCTGGAGATGGGATTTATAAGGAGTAAGACTGGAGGCAGTGCTGTGAGTTAGGAGGTATTGAGAGTGGTGGCTGGAACTAGGAAACTGGAGGAATTAGTTGGGTGTTAATTGAGTAGGAAGTGAGAAGAAGGATATTCAGAGACTGAGATAGTCCTTGAGATTTGGAATGTAGGAATAGTGTTAAGTTCAGGATGAGTATGGTGGGGTTGGTTTGTACATAATGGTGAGGTCAGTTTGTACATGTTGTTATTATATTCATGAGGAATCAGTTGCAGAGAACAGACTTCGCGTTAGCTTGTTTGGCAGGAAGGGGTTTATCACAGGGTGTTAAATGGCTTGTAGAATTGTCAGGAGGTCTGAGGAAACAGAATCGAGATTGAGCTTTCAGGAGAAACCTATAATGCGACTCCTAGGAACTGGGCTGCTATAGTAGCTGCTGTCTCTTCAATAATCTTGCAATCAGGAAGCCTGCCCCTCTAGAACCACAAAACTGCTGCCGCGAACAGGAAACCACTACAATCAGGAAGCCGCTACTGCTGCCGGGCTCCAGAACCAGTGCACATCTGCAACAGACTACATCAGCAGAACGGATGCTTCTCCCCCACCACCTAGGCTCACCCCAACTACTAAGCTCGTATTTGAACATGAAAACCTCTGCAAACGAAGCTGCAGAAAAACCAAACACCTCCACAGCTGTCCTTGCTAGCTGGATGGACAAACATTCCAAAATTCTGTCCATTTCAGACTAAATAATACTAGAGCCTGAGCTGCAAAAGAATAAGGAAAGTATATTTTTAGCATTCCAACATGTGGAGCAGGAGAAGGCACACTAGAATAGTATTTTGGAAATGTGGGTTGTGACTTAAGAGAGCATCATAAAATCAATTCAGGTCTTCACAGTAAGTTATTATTTTTTTTTTTTTTTCTTAGTCCTCGTTGGCAACATGACCTTTCTTCTTCTGGGTCATGGTAGAAAAAAAACCTGGAAAGTCATTATACTATACATTGAGTGACAATCTTCCATCGCAGAGTTTCAGGGGAGAATTGTGAGAAGAGCCCATGAGGAATACAGACATTTGATCTTGGGGGAGAAATCTTCTGGAGCTGTGCTTGTCCTTCATGCTTTCTGGTGTTTGTTTACTCTCCAGGAAGAGAGCTAGATCCAGGGAAGCCCCAGAGTGCATTGAAAGGCATGTTTCAAACCTATGCTAATGAGGGCTGATTTCGCAGTGGCTTGGCAGAGCTGTAGCACATACCATGTTGGATTGTAAACTGACCTGGCACTCACTGGCACTTGGGATATGTGTGTTGAATGAATGTACAGAGCAGAGAAGTACTTAGAAAGTATGGAAGGAGCCATTCAGATTCCAGAGACTAAGCTCCAGGTCATGAGCTCTGATCACAGAGGTGTCTAAACCCTCGCTAGCCATGGTTAACTCAGTGTCTTTGTGACACCATTTATAATTTTCCAAGAGTATTTTTGCTGTATAGAAAAATGGCAACTAGGGGTGGGAGGTGTGCAAGAAGAAGATGTGCTTATTGTAGCTTTGTGTGTAACAGCAAAAACCTAAAAGCAAATTAAATGTTCTTGCATAGAAGAATGGACAAACTATGGTATATTCAAACAATTAAATATATAGTAGTTACTCTACAATAACTCTACTATCTAATTCCTTCTCAGAATCTCCAGTCACATAAAGGATGGCTCAGAGAATAGCCTAGTGCCCTAAGAGGTTTTGATGTGGACAAGAACTAAAAGGAGGAAGTGCTGAGGGAAGCTGGCAGAATCTGTCAGACAAGGGAGCCTCCCACAATTCCAGGAATACCACTTATTCTGGGATGGAAGGGACAAACCCTTAAATTAAGAGGATGGAGAAGTCAGCCTGTATCATCTCTAGAACACTCCTGAGAGATCTGCCAGGCTTGATGGAAGTCCCATTGGTTGGAAGCCCAGCAGGGAGCAGACACTTGCGAAGTCCTCGAGTGTGGTTAGTGAGAGAGCTGGCATTTGAGCCCAGTCTCATATTCCAATCTCCATTATTTCCCACCAGCCTTGATAGGGCCTCCTATAGCCTTTCTGCAATTCCTCAGGTCACGTCTTTCCAACCTTACTTTGGACAGTCCCCACATTTGGAGGTTTCCTCTGCTCTTCCCTGCTCTCGCCCCGGTCACTCTGGGATGGTGATTTGAATGTGAGACACAGGTGGTCTCTATCCTCTATAGACTCAGTACATGGTCAATATATGATTCAGAAAAGGGTTAGAGGCCAGGTGTGGTTGCTCACGCCTGTAATCCTAGCTCTTTGAGAGGCCATGGTGGGCAGATTGCTTGAGGTCAGGAGTTCGAGATCAGCCTGGCCAACATGGTGAAATCCCGTCTCTACTAAAAACGCAAAAATCAGCTGGGTGTGGTGGTGCGTGCCTGTAGTCCCAGCTACTCAGGAGGCTGAGGTAGGAGGATCACTTGAACCCAGGAAGGGGAGGCTGCAGTGAGCCAAGATAGCACCACTCCACTCCAGTTTGGATGACTCTACATTGACTTGTTATGTTTTTGTGAGCTCACTTACCATCTTCCTCTACAAGTTCTGCAAGTACACTGAGTGTGTGTGTGTGTGTGTGTGGTGGGGAGGTGGGGTTCAGAGGGTAGGAGCAAGGGAAGGAGCTCAAGTTGAGTTTTTACCAAAGAGGCATATGTTTTAGGTAGCCTGAGTTCCCAGTTAGATAAATTATTTATTTTACTTGCATAGATATCATTTTACTCATGGAGTATCATTTGCTCATAACATTCCCAGGGGCTGGTTAACCCTCAAGAGTAACAGAATTTAGTTTTAAACTTCCTGGGTTGCCTACTCCCTACATATCTATCAGTTGAGTTATTAATGATTATTCTCTTTTTTTGTTTGTTTGGTTACATTATTCATTTAAATGATGTACCCCTTGTGTCTTTAGGTGTTGGCTTTCTTAGCATTGCTTGACAGAGACTGAGATTAGAAACCACTCACAGTGCAAAAGTCAGGTACCTCTGCTCAGAGAACAGTTGGTGAAAAATGAAAATGGAATCTTTCTCGAGTTAGAATGTGAGATGGCAAAAAAATTGCTTAGTTAACACACAGTTGGGTTGCATATACCTTTTCAAGAATGCATGAGTTGGTTTAAGCAAGATTCATTTGTCCTATGCAGTTAGTGTGTGACTCAAATGCCAGCCATTTCCCTGTTTTTTTAGCCTTGAGTCTCAAAGTCTGTTTTGTTTTTTACCACAGACCATTTGGCTTGCTGAATTCAACACCTCTTCCAATGCCTGCTTCTCCCAAAGAATCTACTCACAGAAAGAGTTAAAGAGAAATGTAGACTTTACTAAATATTTCATAGAGGAGACCTAGGAGGAGGTTGACACAGCACACTGCTCAGCAGATGACTTAAAATTTTCCCTTAGCCATTTTTGTTCTCTCAAGTCCCTTTCATCCATACCACCACTGCTGATTTGTTCTTTCTTTTTTTCTTTTAAATCTTTTCTAGCTTTCCTTCTGACAAACTTTGCTGGAGTCCTACTCCTTTTCTCTCCTTCTTGAGAAAAATGCAAATTTTGCTCCATGTTTTGGTATAGCAGGGAAGCTTCCATCTTTTTTTACTGAAGCATAACATCAGGGCCTACATTCCATCTCAAACGGCTTGTCAAGGTCCTTCCACAAATAAGATGTTCCTCCAAAGATGATGTACAGATGCCAAGTTGGATATAGCTAGAGAAATCTCATGGCTACCCCAATCAGGAGAGAGGTTGCTGTTTCTCAGAAGTCCTCCTCCCCACTTCCAGGGTCATCATTGTCTCTCAACAACTTTGTGGGGATATAAAAACCCTCGCGGAACTGGTTTTCTGAGAGGTGTTTGAAGCAGGAATATATTATGCAGGGGATGGAGCAGCCATTCCCTGGCTAGATGACCACATCACTGTTGCACACTGATTGTTTGCTAAAGGCACAATGCTTTCCTGACCAGAAATGAAAAATGCCTGCTGCTCAATTATTGTCAATCTAACTGGAATAGAGTCAGGCCTCGTCAGATGGTTTCCCAAACACCCAGATGGTCTCTTAGATTCTGGATGGTCAGTGTGGTAGTTCTTTCCATTACATCCTTGAGATCCTGCTGTTCACACCATTCAGCAGGGCACCCTGAACCTTGTCCCCATATTCTGGCTCTGCTGAGATGAGATGCAGTCAGGTGTTACTAGTGTCTTCAATTATATACTGGGGTAGGGGGGCCTTATTTTGGTTGGAGAGCTTCCAAAATTGTGTCTGGAATCTCAGTTCCCAGGGTCTGGTCTTCTGAGATGGAAGAGGTTTTGAAGCAATTCAAACCCAGTCCTTTCATTTTCTAGACTTGGATCCTGAGTTCCAGGGAGGGGAAGGTATAGTGAATTCTTATAATTTTATGTTGCCTTGGCAACCATTTTGTATACAAGTTTAATTTCTCATACCAGAAGCCGGGCTTAGTCACCCTTGATATGGGTTTCTGGTTCTATACCACACCTCTGGCCAGAGACAAGAACTTAGAGGCATCTTTCCTGCCTAGCAGACTGGATTCCCCACTTCTCTGTTGCTTCCTTCAGACAGACCATTCAGGCATTTGCCAGTGAATTGAGAGTGACCACACCCTATTTCTTTACCTACATTGTTAACTGTCTTGCTGTCTCTGTCTGACTTCTTATTCCTGCCTCATGTAACCTAGAGAAGGAGGACTGCCCTTCAGACTCATTATGCCCTTTCTGTCCAGGATCTGTAAGTAAAAGTCTTTGAACTTGTTTTCCATTGTGGTGGTGTATTAAATTTGTGCTTTCCATCTCAGGAACAGGGGGCTGTCCCAGCCTGGTTTTCCCTGGGGGTTCCTAGGGGTGGGGTCATATGGAGTACAAGATCAGCCTCCTAGTGCCAGAGTGACAGTCAGACAGGCATAAACTGGGCATGGTTCAGTCACAAGTGTATCTGCCAGTATAGGGAAGTTTCCTGTGTGAGAGAGTCCTTGATCGCGACTTGGACAACTAAGTATTAGGCCATCTGCAGATAAAAGAAGTATCCCGTGAAGGGCACAGTGTAAACACTCACACCCAGCTCCCCTTCATTTCCCATTAGGGCAGAGTTGCTAGCTGCTCTGGTACTGGAGCCCCATTTTAACTGGAGGCTCTCAAAACAGAAGAAATAGATCAAGACCATACAGTGAATTAGAGGTTGGGCTGGGACATCCATTCATCCCTTCTGATTCTGTGTGGGGCTCTGCCCACCACACTACATTGCTTCCCTGCCTGCTATCTGAAAGATACTTCACTAAAAACTCTCTTTTTAACCCTGGAGCTGTATCTTTCCAAGAGACAGAAGGAGAAGTATACTATTTAATACCCTGTGTAGTTTGTCTTGGTCTAAAGTTTTCTTTTTGCCCAAGTGTTTGGAGGGATGAAATACTGTATGGTAGAGAGGCGCTTTCTTCCTGAAGGCCAAGAGAAACTGTTCAGTCTGAATTACTGTATAAGAAGATGGACAACACATTCTCAAGAGGAAAGGTGCTTGTATCTATGTACTGGAATGTATCCACATTGACTGATATGGTGGTGTTGACCTGCAGGTAATCCAGCAAGAATTGAGAGAGATTCTGGTATACGTGTTTCGTTTGCATTCCAGACTCACACACTGTCACCAGGGCCTGTTTTTTGATATGCTTGTTGATGAGAAGCTCCAACTTCAGATCGACAGAATTATTTGGGCATTGTACAAGAAACTGCAGTTGGCAAATGATGAAGTACAAACCAGGGAATTGGATCACCAGATTCCCATCCTGATATCTGACTCCATGGAGAATGCCATCTTTGTTCCAAGACAACTTGGTTTTGTTTAGATGCTTTGCCACTAGAAAGAGAAGTATAGAAAACAGAATTATTGAGAAGATTGTAGGTACGCATTGCAAAATTCTAAGTCTTTGTTCAAAGTTTCCCATTCAAGACCCATGTTTTCTGTAATGTTCCAATCATCTGAATATCTTCCATGTTACTCCCTCTAGAGTCTACTTATTACTCAAGGCACAGGTATAAAACCACCCCTCTTCCTTTTCTTCAATGCTGAAAGCTGGAGGTTCAGAACACACATGGTACTTTACTTCTACCTCCTATAGAATGGTTTTCCACTGAATCATTATCATATTATATTATTCTATGATGAATATGATGAACTTTCCCTTTTCAGACTATAAGCTCCTGGACTCTGTTCTCCACAAGATTGGAACTATTATGTTCATTTATCATGAATGGTCATTGCAAAAGGTATCAGAGATAGGAAATTCAATAATATTGAGTTTGATAGGCATTGCAGAAAGTACAAGGTAGGACATTCAATAATATTATTCAGTTAATATCCAATTTAGGTTTGAAGATGTCCAGGAGAATCGCCATTAATTTTCACATTAAGATGTATCCTCTAACGGTTCATTGTCTGAATTTTTGAATGCCTTTTTCCCTTCAAAGGGCAGCCAAAAATAATTGTGCAGGTCCCCCATGTGCTTATTAAGGGGCTCTTGCCATCTGGGATTTATTGAAAAGCAGAGAATTAGCAGACCCTCTAAGCTGACAAGTTTGTGTTGGAAGGTGAGTCTCTAAGTCCTAACACGTGAAAATTAGCACTGACTGGTAAGGGTGACTTTCAGGGCCAGGAAGCTGGCATGCTAGTTTTAATTGCTTCCATGCTTTCCCTTTAAACCTCGTTGCAATTCAACTGAAGAGTGAGAACTAATCTAACTGCAAAATTGAATTTTTAAAATGAGCAGGATGGCTATTCAGAGAATCTTGGCCATCTCTTTCTCACTCTGCAGTCTAAAGTGCCTCTTATTGCTTCATTTGTAAGGGGCCTCTTACCTGAAGCACACTGCAATATGCAAATCGGCCCTGTGCTGACATGTTCATTAAGCTGTCAATCTGGGGACAAGGCAATTTTATGGTTCCCTTGTGAATAACTTCATAGAGGCAGAGATTAAGTGCCTGCCTCCCTTGCATTAGGAAAAGGACTGTGTACTTTGCTGAAATTGGTAGGTAGCTGAATAAGGAGGGGTGAGGGGTGAGGGGTGGGGCTGGTGGTGGCAGTGGTGGTGGGGACCATGAATGCCCACAGAGGCCAGGTAGGCAACATAAAGGAGTGAATGGGACTGAGGAAAGAGAAGCCTTGTAGCTTTGGAGAATGACGCTCTCCCCGCTAAGACATTCAAATTCAAATTACAAAAAAATTTCCTGCAGACTAAACAGTACACATCTGCAGGTCACATTTGGCCATGGGACTCTAATTATGACTTCTGGCTTAAAAGTTGCTGAAAAGCCACAGAAGCGGTTTTCATATGTTTAGGTTTCCTGGGCTTGGTTACTGACCTTGGAGGTAGGCCCATGACTTCTTGAATGGAGCCCTTTTCAGGATACATAAGAGGTCTTCTGAGCAATTTCCTAAAAATAAGGAGACGATGCATTAAAATGTCTTTTGCCGTTTTGGGATCTGGAAATACCTGATCTTTTTCTACAACACTTTGATGGAGACAATTACCGTTCTGTTTTCCATTTTCAGAATAAGGAGAAAAGCTCTTTATTTCTCATTTTGCCATCAGGTATTTTAGGATTTTAATTTTTTAAATTTATTTTTATTGATTGCTTCCACTTGGACTTTTATGGAAGACTGTGGAAATCAGGGAAGGAAACAAATATGACATCCATTCCTATAATGTGTCAGGGGCCATTTTTTGGCACTATACGTATTTCATCTCCTTAATCTTTGCAGCAACTCTGTGAGAGGGGTATTATTAAGCCCCTTTTACAGATGGGAAAAAAATCTGGGGGCCACGCAGGTGAAATACATTGTTTCGTGGTGCCTTGCCAGGCAGTGGTAGTGAGAATGATAATACTGATAGTAAATACTGTCAACTTATCTACCACACACCAGAAACTAGTCTGGGTACTTTTACAGCTGGGTAATATATCAGCTAATCTAGTTCTCAGACTAATCCTGCAGGGTTAACTTTGATGCCTAGAGGTGGTCAATACCATCGCCTAAGTTCAGACAAGTTTGTGTAAATGCTGGAATTGCCCATGGCTAATTCCAGAGGCCAGGTTTCCTGTTCTAGGCTATTTTGCTAGACAACGAAGATAAAAACATCTTGGTGTTCAATTTTAAGAGGACACAGGGTTAAAGAAATCTTAACAGAAGTCCTGCTATTTGGAGCTTCCTTGGCAGAGGCAAACATAATATTATGTTATTATGGTATTTAAGAAATAAAAATATTTTTCATATATTCACTAGTGATGGTGGCTTAGCTTTTTTTTATTACAGTAACTACTTAATATTTTGTATGCAAAGATTCAAGTTATACATTTCCTGCAATGACACTTGAATTCAACTTATTCAGAGCTAATCTCTTCTTTGATCCTTGGTTTCCCCATGTGTAAAACTGGACAATCTTTGACCTGACATGGACATCTTCTCAAAGATGTCACCAGAGATGACCATGTAGTCCATCCATCAGACGGTAGGCAGCCAACGGCCCATTCAATGGAGCAGCCACACCCTGGGATATTTGCTCACTGCATTGCCGAGTAGTACCTGCTGGGCTCACAACCTTTCCCATTGCAGTCTCTGCCCAGCCCTGAGAAAGTCCCTCCTGGCCATCCTCATAGCTTCATGGGGGCTTTGGAGTGGTTGAAAGTTAAATGAAGAGTTCCCTCTGCTGTCTGAACAAGCTCACTGCGAGAGGCACTCCGGGCAGAAGCAGGGGCAGTTTTCCTCCTTATCTGCTGCATCCACATAGAGCTTCTGGTCCAAAGCTCTCTTGGTGGTGAGAGCCAGTGGGTCAGCTGTCATCCCCTTGGTTTCATCCTCATGCATCCTCTGATCAGTGCTCTGGTCCTGCCTGTTGCAGCCCACAGCCCACACTCTTGGGGTTTGTAGTCAGAACCCCAACACTAATGGCTGCTTATGCTCCTAATGGACTGTGACTATGGTTAGAGAGTCCTCCTGGCGTAGCCTCCTACTCTAAGCTGCAGAACATCAAGCCAGGGAGACAGACCTGGCTGTCTGTTTGCATGGAAGCCCTTTCTGACTCCTTTCGCCTGCAGGATCAGGCCCAAGCTCCTCAGCATGGCTTTCATGGTCCCCATTGTTCTGACTCCTACTGAACTCTCTGGTCTCACCCCTCACCTTCCCTCCTCCCCTTTCCCTTTATGTTCCAATAGTAATAATAACGAGGAGGAACAGTGATAATAATATGAATGGTCATAACTAATACATGTTGAGTGATAGCCATTTTCCAGGTACTCTGCTAAGTATGCTACATGCATTATTTCATTTAATTCTCACAATAACACGATAAGAGAGGTACCATAATTAAGTCTATCTTGTACATAAGGAAATGGACCCTTTTAAAGGTTAACTGACTTGTTCACATTCACACAGGTAGTCAGGGGTGGAGTAGAGATCCAAACTCAGGCTGCCTGACCGCTGCCCGAATGGATTCCTGACTGCTGTCCGGGAGTTTGGGGCTTTGCAGTCCCCCTAAACATACCATTTAGGAATGTTGATTTATCATTACACCTTGGCACTTGCTGGGCTCTCTACCTGGACTGCCTCCTTCACCAGGCAAGTTTTTCCTTGTTTGAAACACAGCCTAGCAGTCAGCTCCTCCAGGATACTTCCTTTGCCTATTTGCCCATTCTATCAGACAGTGAACCCTCAGGGCAGAGACTCCTGTTTATAAACCCCCACTGCCCAGTCTAGCAGATGCTCTGTAAATATTTGTTGAATTGAATCACCTAGTTCATCTTTCTTGTTTCCCTCTGTGGATACAGAGTAAGTACTTAGGACAACAGTGAGGTGAATCAGGACGCTTGGCTTGCCTTTTGCCTGAGGGCTAGAATAACACAGGGCCTCATTCTCCCACTGGCATTGCAGGTCAGGCTAGATTAGATGGGAAGATAAGATTCATGCCTTGGGCTGAGGCCAGCACAAAACATCAAGAACAGGCTCTGCTCATTGGCCGAAAGCCCTCTTACACTGTTCTCCTTACCCCTTATGGCAGGTGAGCCTCTGTAAACAGGTGGCTGGAGAAGTGCAAGCCCAGGCTTGCCTCTCACACGTTCTGGTTCTTTTGTTGTTTTTTCCCCTTTGGGTTGACCTCAGTTGTAATTCTGAGAAACCCGAGGATGGAAAAAAAAAACACCTTATTTTGAAACATTTGCATTTCCTGAAGTCAAATGGCATGGTATATTTTAGTTTTTCTTTAAAAATCATTTAGATGGTTTCTAGCTAAAGGGAAAAACACAGGCAGCCCTTTTAGGAATGATGTTGCCAGAGCTGGTTCAGAAAGGGGCTAAAAGCAGGACACTAGAGGAGCTATTGAGGGAATGGGCTGTTAAACTTGGAGAAGACCCCAGAGAAGGGCACAGCCTCTGTCCTTTAATGCTTGATGAGGCTGTCGGCACACCGTGGGGCCCAAGCACTAAACCTCCAAGTGGAAGAGGAAGGAGATGAAGCCCTCAGCTAAGAGCTAACACTGCTCTAATCCCCATTTCTCAGATGCAGCAATGGAAAGACGTACACTAAAAACACCTATGTCACACTGTGAGTCACAGTGCTGGCAGCTCACAGAGTTGACCAGTCAGTGCTGCTCAAAAAAGAGGTGGGCTGCTTTGGAGGTCATGAGGCTCTTATCAAGAGCTAGATGAACATTTCATGGGTCATCAGCCGTGTGGCCTGAGTCTTCTCATCACCCTGTGAGTCTATGATATAACTTTCTTTTTTGGTTAGGAAGACAGAAAAACGTGACTTATAAATAGTGGCATTACATGCAGCTGAAATTCTGCAATGTCCCTGGAATTCTGAAGGCTGGGAGCAGAGGGAGCAAAAAGTGATGCCTGGAGAGGTTTAGTTTGAAGAACAGAGCATCAGAGTGGGGGAAGTGAGAACTGTCTGCAAGTCACGGCTGAGTTGATGACCTGGGAGTTAGAATCCTGGGATTTCTCCTCTCTGGGCTCTAGTGTCCCTATTAGGTTTGTGCAAAAGTAATTGTGGTTTTGGCATTAAAAGCAATAACAAAAACTGCAATTACTTCTGCACCAACATAATAGATGAAGAGCAGTGTGGATTTGATGATCTGTCTTAAAGGGCCTACCTAGCTTATTTCAGCAGGCTGTATAGACTCAGCCATCCCCTATCAGACCTGCTGGTGGTGGGGGTGGGAAGGTTTGGGATGGGGAGTCGGTCCCAGCTGCACCTGTCTATCTTTATGGGCATGTTGCATTACCCAAGGTAGGAGACTGTGTCTTCACACATTCAGGTTTTCAGACACCTGCAGTAGTAGAACAGAATATTTTAGCTCTGAGGACAATCTAAGTTATGAATAGTCTGGTTCTGTAAGGATTTGCATAGTTTGGAGAAATGAAAGTTCCCTGAGATGGCCTGGTTCAGGCTTGGTGAACACATAACCCATGTGCTCCTCAATGTTGCCCCTATGGCAGGCTGATCCTAGGTCATCCAGAGAGTTAGTGAGAGAGACAGGACCAGAGACCAGGGCTCCTTACTCTTTCTGTAGGGCAGTCTATCTTTCAGACAACCCTAGCACTGCCTGAACTTCCCTGAGGACCAAAGCTTTCAGATGCATCAGCTTTGTAAATCATCTTTCCAAGCTTTAGCCTCTTCTAGAAGGATCATGGGACTTTCTGTGGTTTTGTTTGAGAGGCTGAAGAGAAAGATGTGCCAACAAAACCCTCCTGGCCAGTTTCACACAGAGGAGAGAGATAGAAAGAGAGGTTGCTCGAGGTGGTGAAAGGAGCATATTCTAGAAGGTCAAGATTATGGAAACCTTAAGACTAGCTCTCACCTTGAGATTTCACAATATTAGACAGAAAGGGTCACTAAATGCCATGCTAACAGAGATCCTAGTTTTAGGAGTGGCGAGACTACCCAGAGAGACTAGGGTCTGGCCCAAGACTCCACAGTAGGTAAATGGTGGAGCTGGGTTCAGAACACAGGGCTTCTGACTTCTAATCCAGGGCTCTTCTCTGACTTTCAGTATTCCTGTGGAATAGGAAGGGTTAAATGCAGGAAGAAGTGGGTTTGCAGCCACTACAGACACTGGAACTGAAAACTGACAAGACAGCTGGAGGTGCTGGGAAAACAAGCACTAATGAGCTCCTGGGTTCCATCTTGTGGGAGAATGCCAGCAGATGACTTCAGGCCCATGTGCTGAACACTGCCAAGTTACAAGTCATGGGCACATAAAGATGCAAATATGCTCAAGGCGGCTCTACCATGGCAAAACAGACCAAGCCAACCATCCCGGCCAGATGGTATGTGGTTTGAGTGCCAGGTACCTTCCAGATGTACAGCACCTTTGATATAAGAACAAGGAAGACACGATGCATCGCAAAAAGAGCACCTGAATTCTGGTCATAGCTTTTAGCTCTGGATCTGTCATTTCCCCTTACTGAGCCTCAGCTGCCACATCCATTAAGTGAGAATTAAAACAATCAACCTAAATGTATGGATGTCATGAAGATGCAATGAGACCGTGGATGTCAAGTGATCAGTGTGGCCTGTGGCTAGAGGAGACACTCAGTAAAGTAGATTCTTTCTGCCTTACTCCTCTTTTCTTTGTTGTTATAGTGGCACAGTTTAGCAATGCCACTTAGCAGAGTGAATTGGCAGATGAAATGCTCATTAAAATGAAGCTCATGACATTATTTGATGGACGGGAGCTTCTCAATTAAGTACCTAAGTGTTTAAGGCTATCTGATGCTTCCAGGAATGTGTGCTGAATCCTCTTTACATTTGTTGAAAAATGTTTTAATCCTTCCAAGAAGGAAAGGGATTATCCTAATGACTCTGCATCTGCCATGCCCTGGCTTCTTCATTCCAGGCTTCAGGGACAATATCCAGGAGAGTCCCAACAGTGACATCTAGAGGACAGTCTCTCCCCTCTGGATAAAATTTGGATTCAAAGTGAGTCCTTAACCTGAGCAAGGGTCATTTCAACTATTAGGTTGGTGCAAAAGTAATTGAGGCTTTTGACCAATTCCTTGATATCACTAAGCCAACTAGTAATAGAGAGATAAACTGCAGGATGGACCATTTGTTAAACAAAGGACCACTAGGTGACCCTGATTTCCAAAAGGATTTGGAGAATGCCCATATGAACACACTTAGTGCTGACTGAGCACATAGGAAGTGATCAGTAAATATAAATTAAGGTCAAGTTGGAATTCCTTTAAATAATTTAAATCCTGCCTCCCCCCGCCCCCTGCCCCACCTACTTTCCTTGGGATGTTAAGGTCTTTTCAGTCCTGACTTGTTGCAGTGTATCTGCAACAGTTAGTAAACCTGTCTGACACTATGGGCATTTCCTTGGAATTCATTTATACTAAACACAGGTTGAATTGACATTACTGTGGGTAAGTAAGAAGCATCTTTAAAGTCTATAATTTAAAAGGAAAGGTGAGTCTGGAGACATAGGGTAAATTTTGCTAACATTCTAATAACCTTAATAAAAAAACACTCCCTACCTGTTCAAAATGCAAAAGTATGGCAGCAATTTTAGAAAGTTCGTTTTGGGTTCAAATCAATTTTAGAAAGTTAGACAGACTTATGTTCAAATTCCACGTCTGCCATTACTAGCTGTGTGGCTTTGCAAAAATCATGCAGCCTCTTTGAATTGTCCTGTTTTCTTCTTAAAAGTGAGAATAATAAAATAACTGTCATGGAGAGTTGTAGAGAGGATTAAATGAGATAATGCATAAAAATGAGCCTGGTGTCTACCACCCAAACTATACCAAACAGTGGTTGAGTCCTGTGCCCTAGTCCATGGTTTGTGCTGCTTGAAATGTAGAAACTTAAGCCAACACATGTTGTGTCTAGATAGTTTGAATGAAATACATAACAAAACAATTTCAAGGAATGGGCCTGCTTTCTCTCCCTTACCCTCCCTCACTCTGTTGCCAGGCTGGAGTGCAGTAGTGCGATCTTGGCTCACTGCAATCTCCGCCTCTGGGGTTCAAGCGATTCTCCTGCCTCAGCCTCTTGAGTAGCTGGGACTACAGGCGTGTGCCACCATGCCCAGCTAATTTTTGTATTTTTTTTTGAAGACAGGGTTTCACCATGTTGGCCAGAATGGTCTCGATCTCTTGACCTTGTGATCCACCCGCCTCAGCCTCCCAAAGTGCACGTTGCCTCTTGACTGCTTCCAGTGTGGTGTTCCGCTAGGGCGGCTGTCATCTGATTGTGACCATGGGACATGAGGGATAGTTGGGTCTTAGTGAGAACCTAGTCTTGGATTAATGTCACTGCCTTCAAGGTGCAGCTTTTATTGTTTCTTTGGGGTGGGTTCATTTGGTAAAATTAGAGAGCCAACCTCACTTCGTCTTCTTTAATGCCATTTTCTTTTTAGCAAGTGGAGGGGCAAGGAGGGTAGCTGCCACGCCTTATAAAATTGCAAATGTTAGAATGTTAAAGTGGTCAAAGAATCCTAAGATATTTGTTTGATTCATAGAACGCTATAATCAAAGCAAAATCCATCTCAGGGTTAGGACATCTGGCTTGTTCCCCTCACTTCTGATATTTTAGAAAACAGGAAACCCAAGACCCTGAGAGGGAAAGTGAATTGCTTCAAGTCCCAAGACTTGAATGTCAGCATTCCAAATTCCTGGGCCAGTCCTCTGCATTTCATACCCCAACTTTGGCTACAGACTGAATTCAGGCGAGGGTGGAGTTGTCAGGACCCACACGAGGTCTATCCACTGTTCCAACTTCCTTAGGGCCTCCAGGAACCTTTGGGTGTTGGAGGCTACATTACATTTGTAGGAAAGACAAATCTGTCTTAACTGGTAGGCAGTGGGGAAGGAATTGTCCCAAGGCACATGACCCTTCAGCTGCAAAGCCAGAGCTGAAATTCAGCCTCTAGAACCCTCGCCATGGACCATGTTTCCCCTCAGCACTTCACCTCATTCAAACCCATGCGTGTGGCCCTCTGTGACCCTGAGCTTGGTAACAGAGAGTGCACTTCTGAGACATGAAAGCCAAGAGCTGGGGGCCGCAGGTGCCGAAGAAGTGATAGAGCTGATAGAGCCCTGGAAGGGGATATGTAGACTTGGCCAGCAGGTAGGGGCACTGGAAGGATTTGCGGTACTGAGTTTTCCCAGATGGTCTACAATACAATCCCAGCTAAGCACAAGGGCTGCAAGGTGGATACGCTGGATTTGAGGTCTCACCCCTCCTAACCAGCTCTGAAATTTTAGGCAAGGCAACAAGCCTGTCTGTGCTCCAGTTTCCTTACCTATAAAATGGGGCTAATTATGATTCCTGGGGGCTTACTGTGAGAACTGCATGAGTGAATTACTAAGTACTCAGCCAATTCTTGGCACATAGTGATGCCTGTCAACGTTCATTATTCTCACTCTGCCGTGGCCTCATACGGATGCAATGAGGGAGTACAAGAAAGAACACTGACTACAGAATTCTTCTAGTGCAGGTAAGAGCTATCATTTGGTGGGGTGATTTGTTATAAAAAGGGCCAGGGTATATTGAGAAGGCCCAGAGGTGAGATCAAAGGACCAGAATCATTCTGCAAATCAAAGTCAGAACAATTTGAATTTCTGCAGAGTTTATGAGGGAAGTGGAAAGTGGAGGGGAAATGGGAGAAGGACATTAAGACAGGAAGGAGAGTGAGTCAGTTCAGGTGTCAGAGGGCTGAACCCCAGGGAGGATAGCTGTCCCTTGAGAAATTCCCAGTGGCTGGAATAGCTGAGGTCTTGCAAGAACAGAGGGACCTAATATTCAATTCTGTGTCATCTGCTGGGCTGCACTGGGATGTGCTACACTGCCCTACCAGCTTCTCTGCATACCCCAAATCCTTCTGTAGATGTCGCTATTCATAAATGTGGGTTACTATTCAAACTTGGAAATCAAGGCAAAAGTGGCTGTCTTCTCTGATTTGGGCAAATAAGCCAGAAACCATGTGCAGACATGAGATTCAAAATTTGGTGGAAGCAGAAAAGTGAAACAAGGAGTGATGAGGAGAAGGATGAGCTTCACTCTCTTTACAACATTCTCCTTGGTTCCGTGACATTTGTGAAATGAGATGGGAACATTTTATCTGGATATGAAAGAACAGAGTGGATCCTATGCCCAAAGGACATAGGTTCAACCAGGTATCAGATGAGGGTCCAATTGCTGTCCCATTTCATCCTCATGGTGGCTTCATGCAAAAATCATTATTAACTCTGTCTTCTGGGTGAGAAAACTAAAACCCAGAAAGGAGAAGGGTGTGGGGGAAAGGTTCTCCTCCCAGGCGCTCTTCCTGGCTTACTGCCTGTGAGGTGTCAGTTGGCTGGGGGCTATCCTGGCCAGGAATGGGAAGCTTGTGATAGGACTCAGAAATCCTTTCATTACCCAAAAGGGTTTGATTTTTGGTGTTTCCTCTGTAGCGAAGTGTATCCTGTGTTTTTTCTTTAGCATGTGCACATAGCTCTACATCCCAGGCTCTGAGCCACTGCTGATTTTCTGCTGATGGTGGAAGATTTTCAACAGCCAGTGAAAAAGGGCTCCCTAGAAGGTGTCTAGCTTCTGCCCTTTTCCTTTCTAGTGACAAACCACATGCTGCCCCTGAAGCTTCCTCCCAAGAGTACCTGAAAGATGGTTCCCCTCTGCCTGGAATGTCTTGCAATGGCTTTTTTCAAAAGGGACAATTTACTGCTTCTGTGCCTGTTTAAGCTGGGTTCGTTGGGGAAGGAAGCTGTGACTTCAGATTTCCTTGAGATTTTTGTTAGGTTTTTTTTCTTCTATTTTTACATATTGTACAAAAGAATTATAGTCTCATAAAGGGTCAAAGCTGGAGAGACTCCTCCAGGGCATTTAGTACATTGCTGTTATATTACAGATGAGGCTCAGAGAGGAGAAAAGACTTGTTGATGTGGTCAGTTCTGGAGCCCAGGAATATTTTTTCTACCTCACCCTACTACAGTGTCTCTGCAGATTGCTGAATTAAGGGGATGTTGACTTGCATTAAAAGCAAGAGAAAGTCAGGTACTGCCTCCAGCAGGTCACTGGCATCTCATGGTGGAAGCCGGTCATGCAGGGAGAAGAGGGAGGAGCCCCGGATTCTCACTTGGCCATTAACTCCTTGTATGACCTTGGGCAAATCACCTGGCTTCTTTAGGCCTCAGCGCATCATCTGCAAAATGGGAAGACTATTCCCCATGTTGCTGTGGCTTGCTCACAGGGTTGAGGTGAGAATGAACCCAAAGGAGGTATGGGAAGGTCTTTAACAAAAGTTTCACAGTCCCATGGGGATTATTGAGTTGGTGCAAAAGTAATCATGGTTTTTGCCATTGAACATAACGGCAAAAGCTGCAATGTCTTTTACACCAACCGAATATTATTAGCATTTAAAAAAATCTGGTTGTGGAAACATTGAATTGTAAACTGAGGTTGGTTTTGATTACTTTGTGTTCTGATATTCCCATTCATGGTCCAGATAAGAAGAAATGTGATAAGTGATTTCGTCCATGGTTGTGAAAAGTTTGGACTTTATAGACCCAGGAAATTTCTCCCCAGAATGAAAATTCAGAGACCAATATGAAGTGGACAGCTTTTTATTTTGCCTATTGTGATGATTAAAACAAAACAAAATAACTCTGGCAAAAAACAAGCCAACTTAACTCCTGTCTATATCAACTTCATGTTGTAAAAAAAGGACATTTTGACACACAAAAATGAAGGACCGTCTCAGAGGAAGAGTGCCTCTTACATTAGATATAGTTGGCCCTGTGAAAAGGGGGCTACCGTGTCCTTATTTTTTGTACTTCACTTTGGACTGATGAAAACTTTATCAACTTTATTATGGTACCAGAATACTAGTTAGAGCCCCTATGCTTGGCGACTTTGCATTGAAGTGCTCTTTAGGCGAGGAAACTGAGATCCAGAATGGCTAAGGTCTTATTACCTAATCAAAACTATCCTCGTCACTGAGACCGTGTTCATGTTAAAAATCCCTTCTCCCTGTCAAAAAATGAAAAGTTTCCATCTTCCTTGGAAAGTCTGGGTGGAGGTGGTGGTGGAACAGTGGGAGTGGGGAGGGGCAAGTTATATTCACTCAGAGCCTTTTGGTTTTTCCAAAGCTCCGTGTGAACGTGCATTACATGTTTAACTGAAACATCTGTCTCCAAAGCCTGCAGTGACTCCTCCAATTCATAAGCCAAATCCAGCCCACCACCTCATTTGATAAATAACGTTTTATGGAAATGCAACCGTGGTTACTTATTTGCGTGTAGTCAGCCTGGCTCAGCACTACAACAGCAGAGCTGACTAATTGCAACAGAGACATAGTGACCCCCAAAGCCTAAACGTTTACTATCTGGCCCTTCGTAGAAAAAGTTTGCTTACCCCTGCATTCTACTATGCTCCTTTTAATATTAATGTGACTGTTTACATAGACATGGTAGGAACTGAGGTCACATGCTAAGTAATTCCAGCCAAAATGAGATATTGTTGACAAGGCTATGATTATTAGTCTGCCTTGAAAGATCCAGAATCCCTGTCTTTTGGGGACTTTTGCCCCTATTTTTGAAGTCTCTGGGTGATAAACCACAGGAAAGGCATGGGCAAGGGAAACTTGAAGGACACTCCAAGTGTGATGCTGTGAGTGTGAGGAGCTGTGTCCAGTCATCTGTGTCCTCTGGTCTCAAGGACACTCTTGTGCCACTACCCTGGTGCCTACATTAACTCACTTCCTTACTTTTTGCTCTGAGCTTTCTGGCTATCCAGCTGTGTTTGCCATCTAGGTTCTAAAGGTTACAGGACTGAGATGGGAGTTGGTGTTCTTGGGCAGAAAAGACACTGTATCAGAGATGAGGACATCTTTCTGGGTTCTAGGCTTGGCTTTGTATGACCTTGGACGAGATACTTCACTTTCCCTCTCTGGGTCTTCCTTTTCCTTCTCTGAGCAATAAAAACATTAATCAGGTCATCTGAAAATTTCTCATCATCGATGTTAACTGAACTCGGCATATCATCTCTCTGAGGCTAGTAGAGACGACGTGTTAATTAGTGACTTCAATGATTGGAAATATAGGAGTGAGGAGGAAGTCTGTTTTCACAAGTCCTTGACTTCATTATGCATTTTAGCTATTACTAGTTATTTAATGATTACTATGTGCTGGTTGCCATGCCAAGCAATTTACAGATGAGATCTGAATGGCTTCTCCAATACCTTGATGAGGTGAGTATTATTATTATTCCCATTTAACAGATGAGGAGTTGAGGCTCCCCAGTGGGAAGTCAAGCCAAGATTCATTCCCCCATTTATCTGATTTCAGGTTTCAAGCATTTAACACAACACTGCCTTGCAGTCCTGCCTATGCCAGAGGTAGAATTTTCATTAGTGGGAGTGTCAAGAGCTGGTGGGAGACTTGTGGGGATGAGTTCAGGAGCTGCTAAGATGAATTCAGGTGCATCAGCTCAGTCCTGAACAGCCCTTGCCTCCACCCCTACCCACTTTACTGTTGGGTCATGTCATAGAGTTGTTTCTGGTTGATAATCAGGTTTCACACTTTATGGCATTTATCTAGATGACTTACTACACATTTACACCTAATTCCAAGATCTTACCTCCTTTGAGGGGGACGTTGTCAGGTGAGTTGGGAATGGAGTCCTGGAAGAAAAGAAAGAAAAAAGCAGCATGAGGTGTGACATTCAGTTGAAACAACTTTTTTTTTTCTTTTTCATTTTGTTGTCCTTAAAGTACTGTGCAATTTACAATTCATCCTCCACCTGAATTTTAAAAATTAATTCACTGATGTAGTTTCCAATGGGCTTTCTATCCATTTGTTTGACAATCTATTAGAAATGCAAGATGAGGATTACTGTCCCCGTTCCACAGGCAAGAGACACGGGGTTGAGTGAGATAAAATGACTTGCCTAGGGCCACATAGTTAATTTATAGAAGATCAGGGACCAGAGCTGGGACTTTTTTTTTTTTTTTAGACAAAGTTTTACTCTGTCACCCATGCTGGAGTGCAGTGGTATGATCATGGGTCACTGCAGCTTCATCCTCCTGAGTTCAAGCGATCCTCTTGCCTCAGCTTCCTGAGTAGCTGGGAGTACAGGTGCACACCACTACACTCAGCTAATTAAAAAAAGGAGTCTTGCTCTGTTGCCAGGCTGGAGTGCAGTGGCACTATCTTGGCTCACTGCAACCTCCGCCTCCCAGTTCAGGTGATTCTCCTGCCTCAGTCTCCAGAGTAGCTGGGACTACAGGCACCCACCACCACACCCAGCTAAGTTTTGTATTTTTAGTAGACACAGGGTTTCACCATATTGGCCAGGTTGGTCTCGAACTCCTGACCTTGTGGTCCACCCGCCTCAGCCTCCCAAAGTGCTGGGATTACAGGTGTGAGCTATCACACTCGGCTAGAGCCAGGACTCAACTCCCAATCTGGTGCTTTTCCCCCCTCCATATGTTTGGGTGTTTTTTTCTTTTTTTTTCCTTCTGGTCAACATGAGAATAATCAAGTATATCATAAAAGTAGATGTGTTTTTTTTTTTTCCATGTTTGATTCATCTGTGAACGTATGTTGTAAACATACCTGGGAAGGTACATCTCTATGTCTCCTGTGGTTGGAAATTCTGAATTAATTGTGTGTTTATATGCCAAGCATTGTGAGGACACCATACATAATTAAATTGGGTCCCCATCCTTATGGATTTATTACAAGTTTATATTTAAATATACAAATATGTATACACATGTAGTATACATACAAATGCATATTATATATTTAAACATTTACATAGTATATTATTTATTCTGTAATAAATATATACATAAATATTTACACAAATAAGAGGTTGATAGAAACAGATTGTCTTTTGAAGGAGGGAATCCTGGGCTGGGGATTGAAGGTGACTAAAGGGAGGTTCTAGTTCAAGGACTCTCAACAAGGAGTTAACAGAAGCAGAGAGGCACAGTTCTTTTCCCCTAATAAATTCTTCAGACACTAAGTTTCACACCCTGATTGTCCCTCCCCTTTCTCTCCAGCCATGGAGACACCCATACAATATTCTGCCAATAAGGAATGAAGTATTTTATTCATCTTTTGACCTGCCCAGGTTGGAATCTCCTGTATTGCATTGAATTAAAATATTAGTAAAGACCTAGAGAGGTGTGAGCGTGTGTATGCGAAAAAACCAACTTCCTAACCTCTACCAAAGCAAGAAATTAGCAGCCGCCCACAGCTTATTTTCTTAGTGTTCTGTATGAACACTAGGACCATCTGGAGTTCCCCTATTATTGTAACATTTCCCTGGGAGGTCTGTCATTTGCCTTCCGCTGAAAGCTTGTTTTCTTATGAATGGATCTCTTCTCTAGTGCAAGAGGTTGGTAGTGAGTCAAGGAGGTCTCCTGAAGGCAAAGCCCTGGCACAGCACCAATCTGGAGATGGGGGAAGTCAGCTTAAACATTTGGGCCCTACCTTCTCAGGGGAAGGGAGGCAAACTTGTCCTGGAAGGCCCTTCCTACTGTAACAGTCTACGACTTTGTTGCCTTAGTTGAAAGCTTTTAACCTAACAAAGCTAAGTTTTTGTAGTCTTTCAGTTATGCATGCAGTTTGCAGGAAAACTTGATATCACAAAATTCCCCTTTATGTTGCCCTTGTGAGACAACACACAACATTTTAAAATTTAATAAACAACTTACAACTTACTGCCAAGCGTGACCATTGATTAGCATGATGTGCAAATGCACTAAGAAAAATATCTGCATTGAAATGTCTTACCACAATCATCAAATTCATCAAGCTGCCCAGGGACATATACAGGGACAGTGAGAGAGGCTAGAATAGCAAACCTGGTACAGCCATCATTGCAGAGGCTGCTAGCAGTTCGGGAAGTCCTAGAGAATCATTCATGCAGCACACCTTGAATGAGCACCTGGTCTGTGGTAGGAACTACGTTAGTCACTAAAAGACATCCTATGGATTTTATGCTTTAGTCATTAAGGCAGCCATTTAAAAAATATAAATAAATGTGTAATTAGAATTGCAGGTTGTGGCAAGAGCTATGGAGGAAAAGAATCATAGTGCTTTAAGGTAGTGCTGTTAGAACTTCAATGTGCATATGAATCACCTGGGAGTCTCGTTAAAATGCAAATTCTGATTCTGCAGATTTGGGGGGAGTTTAACATTCTGCATTTTTTTCTTTTTGAGATGGAGCCTCACTCTGTCACCCAGGCTGGAGTGCAGTGGCGCAATCTCGGCTCACTGTAGCCTCCATCTCCTGGATTCGAGCAATTCCTCTACCTCAGCCTCCCCAGTAGCTGGGACTACAGGGGCCCACCACCACCCCCGGCTAATTTTTGTATTTTTAGTAGAGACGGGATTTCGCCATGTTGACCAGGCTGGTCTTGAACTCCTGACCTCTTGTGATCTGCCCGCCTGGGCCTCCCAAAGTGCTGGGATTACAAGCGTGAGCCACCGCACCTGGCCAACATTCTGTATTTCTGGCAGCTTTCGAGTAATACTGACACTCCTGGCCCACAGAACACTTTGAATAGCACAGCTGTGAGAAGTAATATCAGAGAGGAGGACCTAATTTATATGGGGGTCAAGGAAAGCCTCTTTTCTCTCTGTCACTTGAATGCATTCTGGTTTCCTAATTTCAGACATGGGATGTCAAAAGCAGAGCATCTCAAACAGGAAAGAAACCTGTCATTTAAAC
This sequence comes from Homo sapiens, assembly GCF_000001405.40. Taxonomy (NCBI): domain Eukaryota; kingdom Metazoa; phylum Chordata; class Mammalia; order Primates; family Hominidae; genus Homo; species Homo sapiens. The sequence goes on from NC_000009.12 coordinate 114,921,201, forward strand.
CTTCACCCAGGGCCCAGGAAGTCCATGACAGAAGCGTGACTATTCCTATTTTGAAGAGCTCTTGGGATGAGGTCTTTACAGCTTCTCCTAGCTACCCATGGTAGTCAAGATTAGACAATCAAAGCCAGAGGGAGATTGAGACATCTTTCAGTCCATCAAGCTAATTTTATGGAGGAGGAAACCAAGGCACTCATGAGTCAGAGGCAGATCTTGGACTGAAATTCTCTGGTGTACTTTCCACTGCCCTAGGAGAGATGCTGTTTCCAGAAACAAAGGATAGAAGAGCTCATTCCTCCCTCCTCCCCTCTCCCATAAGCAGTCCCTGCATTTGGAGGTGGAGAAGCAATGTCTAAGGAGATGATGGCTGTTGAAATTCAGTGAAGACTGTTCATAAACAGGTATTACACTAAGTGTTGTTCACCAACTCCTCTTTGGCAAGATGTCCCCCAGTCCTAGAATTCTCTCCCTAATCTTGTCTGGGGATCTGGGTCCTAGCTCAGGAAATGTGAACTATCTTGCTCAATGACTTGGCTTTGTGTAAGGTAGTGCCTAGGCTGAATGCAGGCACAAACAAATGGACTCTCCCAGGTTTTCATTCTCAGCTCCACTGAGTAGCTCAGGAAACTTTGTCTCCGTGGTTATCAACGAGGTATACTTCCTTAAGTGTACTTCCTCTGTTTTTGGCCTCTGTAGATGTCTGATGAGTATTCCCAACAGTAATAAAGTTATTTTCATGTATGGAGGGAGGAATGGTCATGTTTAACCTGTTTGTCTCCAGGTAAAATGACCCCCATCCCAACCATCTTCCTTGCCTTGGAGTGTTTTCTTCTCCTTTAATCAGTGGTTAGATGGCTAATCATCCATCTTTCCACTGGGTTATTGTGGACATCATAAGATATTATAAAGTGTTAGCAAGTATTTGAAAAGCATAGCTATTTTGAGCACTGCCTTGGTGTTAATGATGTGCTTAATTTGCCTCAATACCTTGAAAGGCTTGTTTCTTTTCACAGAGGAATGATCAGCAGATGCAATGAGCTCCTGAATTTGCTTTGGACACAAAATGCCCCCGTGGACCAAAAATGATCAAAGGCAGCTCTGTTTGGAATATGCCAGGGGAAGTCCACATTCCTTTCCTTGTTGCCCTCACATAGTCTTGTAAGGTGGGCTCTGGCTCATGGCCCAAAGGGACTTTTGCCAAGGATACCTCTTATTTTCAAGCTAATTCATTGGGCACTTAATGAGGGTTACTCTACATGCACTATTTCATTTGGCCTTTAACTTGACCCCAAGAGTTACGGATTCATCAAGACTTAGAGAAGTGATTTCATAATGTGATAATGTTTATAGAAGGTCCCACAGGTGGCGAATAGCACAGAAGGGATTCAAACTTAGGTGTTTGACTTTGAAGGCACTGCTCTTCAATGTCCTGCTACATTGCCTCTCTAGATGAGGGCAGGATAAAGCTGAGCAGAAAAATCTCCTGAAATTTCATGGAAAAGTGAATAGAAGTCATAGAAAATCCTCAGGGGAAGACTATTTTTACTGGGAGCACATGGTCTGCCAAAGTGAGAAGTGGACCACAGTGGCTTAAAGCAGTGCTTCTCCCACTTTAAAAGACTGACCAGCATCGGGGGATTTTGGTAAAAGCAGATTCTGACTCAGTAGGGAGGGGCCCTTAGGTTTTGCATTTTTGATGAGCATCCAGGTGATGCCAATGTTGCCAGGCCATGGACCACACCTTGAGTAGCAAAGTCTTAAATACACTACTCAGTAGGCAATCAGAACACCTGAGGTCTTGAGAGATGGCTGTAGGAGGCTGAGTATAGATTTGGGCTCAGATATGGGCTTAGGAAATCTTTCTAGTTTGAAGATGGCAGTGATATCCTGTCCTCTCCGTCTCTTCTATCAAATCTTTTTATCATCTAGTTCCGTTTCTTCTCCTCTGTACAATCTGGACTGACTTCTGGCCCTACCATTCCTCTCCTCACACCTGGGCTTGCCTTCTTATGGGCTGTGCCACTGCTTTCTCTTTTGCCTCACCTGGAATATCCTGCTCCTCCTCCTCCTGCCACCATCTTTCCAATGGGGAGCTCTTCTCTACAGAAGAATGACAGCTAATAAATTTGGAAGGAGTGACAGACTTAGGCATTCCCTCTTTTTCAACCCTCAGTGCATTAGCTGATTCAGACAAGGATCATTAAGAAATGGCAAAACCACCAAGTGAAGAGTATTTATGTCTTCAGAGTATTATCCCATACATAGATTACTTTTCTTTCTTTTTCTTTCTTTCTTTCTTTCTTTCTTTCTTTCTTTCTTTCTTTCTTTTTTTTTTTTTGAGATGAAATCTCACTCTGTCACTCAGGCTGGAGTGCAGTGGTGCCATCTCTGTTCACTGCAACCTTGGCCTCCTGGGTTCAAGAGATTCTCCTGCCTCAGCCTCCCTAGTAGCTGGGACTACAGGTGTGTGCCACCACATCCGGCTAATTTTAGTATTTTTTGTAGAGACAGGATTTCGCCATGTTGGCCAGCCTGGTCTTGAAATCCTGGCCTCAAGTGATCCACACACCTTTGCCTCCCAAAGTGTTGGGATTACAGGCATGAGCCACTGCTCCTGGCCAGATTACTTGTTAATGAGAAAGAAAAAATGTTTTACAAAGGCGATAGTTGGTGGTCACCGCTTTAATCAAGTGACTAAACCTATAGTCAAAAAAAATGGGACAACCTGACATATGTCTCTAGCTGTGCTACAATAAGACGTATATAGAATTACCTATATACTATTCTTACTAAAAATGTTTCATCTGAGTATAACCATGAGTTAATACTAAGACAAATCCAGGCTATGAATGGATTTCTACAACAGAATTGGCCTGGACCCTTTAAAAAAAGGTCAATGTTATTTAAAACAAACACCAAAGGGCAAAGGAGATTTTAGCTCGGTGCTTCTCAAACTTTAATGTGCATACAGATCACCTGAGGAGCTTGTTAAAATGCAGATTCGGATTCAGGAGATCTGGGGTGAGCCCTGAGATTTTGAATTTCTAACAAGGCCCAGGACCACACTTTAAAAAGCAAAGTTCTAGATTAAAACAGATATTATCATAACACAGTATGTGACCCTAGATTGGTTCAAACAAACAAAAACACAACAGCCATACCTATAAGACATTTTTGAACAAGTAAAGAAATTAAAATATGGACCATATATTATTATTAGATGATATTATTGAATTAATATTAACTCTCTTGGCAATGATAATGGCATTGCAGTTAGTTAAGAGATGGGTACTGAAGTACATGTGAGTGAAAGGTCATGCTGCCTCCAGCTTACTTTCATATCCTTATATAGAGAGAGCAAAAATACAGCAAGATATTGACACAGCAATCTAGGTGCCAAGGTTATATTAGCATTTGCCATTCCACTTTTCTGTAGGTTTGAACATTTTCAAAATAAGACTTTGGGAATAAGCCATGACTGTTGTAATTCTTGGAAGCCTGGCTTTTGTTCTAGCTCTTCTACAAACTCCTCCTTCATCCCAAGCAGAAATGACTTCTCCTTTGCTCTGTGGCATTCTGTGCCATTCTGCCCGGAACCCAAGAACTTGGTGTTTGGGCTTCATCTGCTCAATTTAACAGAGTTCCCAGAAGACAGGGTCTTGCCCCTTCCACTGGGGACCTCCCCACATAACCTCACACAGGGCTCGCTCCTGGGAAGATTTACAGTGGATTTTTCTGGATTGCTAAATGGAATGAATGTCAGGTGGAGGGAGTACCTTGGGTAGTGGGAAGTGTCATGGGGCATTCCAAATAACTTCTTCTTGTGCCGAACTCCTATTAGCTCAACAGGGAAGGCACCATGTTCAAGAGGCTAAAGAAGAGGTGTAGAGTCAGCAAACAAGATGTGGGGTTTTATTGGGGGCTTACATACAGGGGAGAGAGTCCAGTGGCAGTGAGCTGAACAGGAAAACTGCTTTACGGACAGAAATGATCTCATGGCAGCAGGCTGGACAACATATTCACCTTATATACCGTCCAGTGGTGGTGGGTTGGGCAGGAAAACCACAACCACTTGCAAATAGCATGCAGTTTCTATAGCATGCTCACTTAACAGCCTCCCCTTAATGGCCTCCACCTGGCAGCCTTCATGTAACCAAAAACTCAGGCCTCAATCTCCTGTATGGCCCATGTTCCACGGGATGGGCTGGGGGCTCAGATGTTCCTCACAGACAAGGAATGAGTCTCCAGGTTGACCACTCCTGGACTCTCTAGCTTGGAACACCCATTCAGACGTGTCTGCCATATGTGGTTATTCTAAGGGTATGCTTCAGTTATTGCTATATCAGGTGTGTTTACCCTACACTTCTATTTTGTATCTGAGCTTAAAAATAAACCCAAAATACCACACCACCATCACCACCACCAATAATTACTCCCCTTAAACAGGTGCTCAGCTCCACTGTTGGTGTGGAGATAATTTAAAAAGAGTATTATTATTATTATTTTTAAAAAAAGAATTTTTTTTGCTTATAAAGGGAAAAGAGGCAGCTTCTTTCTTGAAAGCCTACCGATTGTGAACCCTATACTCCAACCTTTTGGAATGTAACCCTTTACATTCTCCCCTGGGGCTAGAGAAGCCCAGTCTCCTGGTTTACAAAACAAAGACGTCTCTAAGGTTGAGGGCTTCAGAGGCTTTTTGAAATGTAAACACCTACCTGTGGTGTTAACCTAGGAGTCTATCTCATTGTCTATCTCATTATGTATTCCCCTGTCTCTTGAGGAGATAAGAGAAGTTTTATTTTTTCTTCTTTTGCTTTGCTAGATTAATTGTGTGAAATTTCATCCTGACTTTGTAGTCTGTTGCAGGCTGCCTATTTGCATGTACAATTGTGCTTGCTCAACAGTAAATCATTTTTTTCTTTCCATATTGATGTAAAGAAGTGTCTGTTGGTAGGACTTTTAATTCCTCAGGGGTACACTAGTACAATCTCTTTGGAGACAGACTGACATTTATTGAAGCGAAAATGCACATTCCTCCTGGCTAACACGGTGAAACCCCGTCTCTACTAAAAATACAAAAAAATTAGCCAGGCGTGGTGGCGGGCACCTGTAGTTCCAGCTACTCGGGAGACTGAGGCAGGAGAATGGGGGGAATCCGGGAGGCGGAGCTTGCAGTGAGCAGAGATCGCGCCACTGCACTCCAGCCTGGGCGACAGAGCGAGACTGTCTCCAAAAAAAGAAAAAAAGAAAATGCACATTCCATTCCTATCACTAAAAATTTATTCCCCAGATATACTTGCAGACACGCACAGAGGGCACAAATTCTAGAGAAAACATTGATGTCTCTCACCAGGCACAGATAAATTATGAAGCATTTACACTTCGTACTATGCGACTCTTCAAAAGAATGAAATGAACTTCTATGTACTGACATGGAAGGATCTCTAAGATATACAGTGTGTTGTCAAGTGAATAAAGCAAGATGCAAAATTATGGGTTTATTATAATGACCCATGGGTTTATTATATATTATAATGTGTACTGTGTATTTGTAGATGCACAGATTTTTGGAAGGACACACAAGAATCTGTCAATGGTGGTTATCTCCGTGAAGAGGGATTAGTGGTTGGGTGGGGAAGGTGTGAAGATTTTTACTTTCTTTTCTCTTATTTGCTAGTTACTTTTCTTAAACCATGTAAGTATAGTATTTCCTAATATAAATATTATAAAATATATCAATATATTATAAAATATTAAATAACATAAAATATTATTTTATAATATAATATTTATAATATAAAATGTTTATTTTATAATATATTTATAACATAAAATGTTTATTTTATAATATATTTATAATATAAAATGTTTATTTTATAATATATTTATAATATAAAATGTTTATTTTATAATATAAAGTAATATTATTATATAAAATAGTATTTATTTTATAAATATGCTGGCTTAAATGTAAATAAAACAAAATACAACCACCACTGAGGCTTCAAAAATATCACAGGAAAGAAGTAAGTTCCATAGTAACTCAAAGACAGGGATTTTGTTGTTTTTTTTCAAGGCTTTAGAACAATGTCCTGCACACAGTAGATATTTAATAAATATTTGAGATAGAAACCTAAGTTCCTCCTTTGTCTCTCCCAAGGAGTTTAAGCTTGGAGTTATCTGATCTTCAAGTCAAACCTCAAGGCAAGCTTTGTTGATTTCCCTACACTTTCTCTGTCTTCTCTCCTCTGTCTCTTTGCTCATGCTGTTCCATTGGCTAGGAGTGCCTCTCCTCTGCTTTCCCTTCCCTGCCTGTTTGAAATTGTTCACATTTCTCAAGCCAACCTGAAACTAATCCCCAGGAGTTTTTCTTAAACCTGTCTGGAAAAATATATTCTCTCCTTAACTTGTGGTGTCATGGTATCCCTTTAATCACTCATTATATGTTATGACTTAGCTGTTTTAAATTTTGTCTATACACGTGCCTTGGGATAAGAATTGTGTGACTTCTTGTGCCAGTAAAACCATTCTTATGGTTCTCCACCCCTGTTCCCATCACATACAGAGTGCTAATTGACCATTAACTCATTCCATTTTTAATAATGGTGATGTGAGTCTAAGCTCCTTGGCTTTCTCCCATTGATTTCTTTCCTAGAGTTTCTTTTAGAGTCTCTTCACTTGTCTGAGTTCTTCCTGTTTTCAAGTCAGTCTACATTCCATCTTCCTATAGGAAACCCTTCCTGATAACTCAAGTTAATGGGAAAATGATGCTTTTTTTTTTCTTGTTAGGTCTTACAACAGTTAAGGTCTGAGGAATTTATTGAAAATGATATGTGCAATGCATTTGACACTTTATATACCACGGCTACTATTAACATGGCAAGCCTTAATTTTAAGGAAGCAACTGATATTTCCTGGTCTAAGAAATCACAGCACACCGCACTGTACAATCAGATTGCACAGTGAATCTTTTCATATCCAAACATGAGGGGTAAGTCAAGGAAGTGGATGCACAAGAAGATAAAGCTCCCAAGAGAAGAGTGGGTGCAATGTTTCTTAGTGCTTCTGTGGCTGTCTGTATTGGCAAAGGGGATGCTGCTTGCATCAAGCAATCAAGCAGTATTGGCTCTACCACTTTCTCAGGGTGACGTAGTTCAAGCCCTGTTCCCTCTCTGCTCCTCATTTTCCACATTTACAAAAATGAGGCAGAAAGATCTGCTCTGGTTCTTTTATAGAAGAAATCAATTCAACTAAAAGTTGGATATGAATGAGCTCTGAAGTTCTCTCTAGCTTTATATATCACCATCGCCACCCATTTTTCCACCATCTCTCTCTCTCTCTCAGCAGTTCTAGTTGGATCCTTTAACTAAAGAACTTCTTAAAGGACACTTCAATTTCTTTTCTTTGGCCATTGCTATAAAATGACATACCCTTGGTTCACTCCAAATTAGAATTACAGAAATTGCAGAGCCCCTGCAGAAGAAAAGATGTCCTAAAGTGTTTTCAAGATTATTATACTTAATAGATGTAGATAAGCCATTAAATTATGAGTTTTAAGAATTCCACTATCTAAATCAAATATTTGCAACTCCTTCTTTTCACTTTTGTAGAGATATGAGCTTCAAAGCTTCCATTTAATTTCAAAGCTTGATGACACTTGAGAAATAGATATCAAAGCCTTTTAAAGCCTAGTTCTTTCCAGCAATTGATAAGCTATAGAGTACTTGGCCTAAGAAAACTGAAGAAAAACCAGAATAAATTCAGCAGGATTATAATACCACGAAAAGTAGGCACTATGAAGTAAGAAACAGAAATATTCTCACTTTGGCAGGTCATGTGGGTGGGTGCAGCTCTTAAATTACCCATTAACAACTTCATCAAAAAATTCATGAGCAATATATGCTATTACTACAGCATTTTCTATATAATATATACTGGTAGATTCTCTGTAAACACCAATTTTCTAAAATATGAAGAAGCTTCCTCTTTCTCCTCCTCTTCTGTTTTCAGAAACAAATCTTACCATTTACTTCAAAGTAAATCTCCGAAGACAGTCTGACCCTGTACAGTGTGTACCCAACGATTGCTTAGTATTGTGAGGAACATCAGAGAGAACAGGTGCTAAAAACCTTTCAACTTTCTGCTTCTATGTGCTGTTTCTTTTTTTTTTTTTTTTGTGACGCCCTAACTTCTTCAAAGTTGTGGCTTAAGAGGAAGCTTTCGATTTGTCTTGCTGGCTTTAACACCAAAATGTCCAAAGCTCTAAGAAGCCATGGTCTTCTCTTTCGCCTCCTTTCCTTCTAGACCTTGGCCTCTGAAACTTAGCTCCTTGTATAAAACAAAAGCAAAAACAAAACTCTTGGCAATGGGTGAGGCCTCAGAAACCTCCAGGACACTCAGACTTAGGATATAGAACCTCAGAATCCAGTCTGAAGTCCTTGAAGACATGATAACAACTTGTGCAAATGTGTTATCAGGTTTCTCTATTGCTTCCTTCCTTGATATGGGTCTCTGGCTCATTAAGATTTAAATCTTAACTTTAAAAGGCCAATAGCTCCCCTCCACTGTTTTGCTCAGACAGATCTGCAAAGTTTTAAGATGATGGTCTAACAATATTTTTCTCAACAAGCCAAATTATTTTAGAGAGTTAAGTTCCTCTTTCTTTTCTCCCTTTCTCATATATATATATATATATAATATATACTGTATAATATAATATATATTATGTAACATAAGTGTATTACGTTATACAGTATATACTATAGTATATATATATATATAGAGAGAGAGAGTTTATTTATTTAATTTTATTTTGTGCTCTTAACCAACAAACGAATATCATTTGTTCCCAGGGCTCTTTCTCTCGGGAAAACAACAAGAAAAGGAAAGGGAGGAAGAGGAGTCCACTTACCGTCCTCTGAACGACCAACACCATAATAGTGGCCACCGTGAAGACAAGGCACAGAGCCAGAGTGGCTGTGGTCAAATAGAAATAGCTGCGGCTCGTGGTCCCCAGGTGGCTGGCCACGGAGCCCGCCGGCACATGCATGGCTGTGTCTCCAGGAGGGGCCATTCCGTTGAGTGCTTGCTGCAGCCCTGGGTCCATTCTTTATATAGTCTTCCCCACATCACACCTTATCTCTCTTCATCTGATTCAGTTCTGGGCCCATCTCTGTTCCAAGAAGGATTCTCCCCCTGAATCCTGAATCATGTGACTTGGAAAAAAACCTTCACCTGCTGCCTGGTGGAGAAACTCTTCTCTGGGGGCGTGAGGCGAGAGGCGGCAGCAAGGGTGGGGGAGAGGTTCATTTTTCATTGCCAGGGATTAAGTTGTGTGCAGAGAAACTAGCTACAGAGAAGGTGGCTGATGTCAGAGGGCGCGTAGGAAAATGACGGTTCCCCGACTGTGTGTGTGTATGTGTGTGTGTGTGTGTGTGTGTGTGCATGCGTGCGCACACACAAAGCAACTTCTGTTTCGTTTAGACTCTGCCACAAAACGCCTTCCTGTTCAAGAAGCTGCACCTTCTTTCAGCGAGGCCTGTGGCTCAGAAGACCTCCCCAGATAATGAGTCCTTGCTGGGTCTCAGGGAGGCCGGATCCCTCGGACTGCAGTGTAATAACTCCAAAGGGTTCGGTTTGATAGGCTACTGCTGAAAAAGGGACATGCTGCAGGTTCCCTGGGGGAAAAAGGGCACACAAATGGAGATATTTCTCCAAAGGGGGACTGGCTCATGGCAGTATGAAATTTGGGGTTCAAAGATACTGTCAGAAAGCAGGAATCTGGAAATATCAATCTTTTGAACAAACACTCCTGCAGAAGTTTTGGGATCTGTTAAACTGGCAGATGAACCTGGACCTGCCGTAAAACTCATGAAGAGGGGAAGGAATTGGCAGTGAGATGGTGTGGTGTGGAATATGGGGGCTGTGTGTGTTCTGCGTGGTGTACTATGTAGTGTGTGTGTATTTGTGGTATGGGGGTATGTGTAGGTGTTGTGTGTTCTCTATGGTATATGTATGCAGTGTGTGTGTGGTGTGCATTTGTGATCTGCAATGCATGCCGAGTGTGGTGCGTATGTAAGTGTTGTGTGTGGTGTGTATGTATGTGTTGTGTGTGGTGTGTTGTGTCTTGTGTATGTATGTGTTGTGTGTGTATGTGACTACTATAATTGAACCTCTACTGTCTCAGGCACAGCGCTAGGAGTTACATGTGGCTTCATTCCACTTCCACCTCCACCCTCCGAGGCAGGCAATGTTTATTTTTTACAGATGGGAAAACTGAGGCTCAGGGAGGATGAAAACTATCTCAACCTAAGTCGCAAGTGTCGATCACTGAAAGAACTTGGGTGCACTTTGCAGCCTGCCTGGCTGAAAGCTCGTGCTAAGTCATTCAATCTTCACTGCACCTGAAAGCTAAAACCTGAAGTGTGGTCTCAGCCCTTTCCCTTCTTAGCCTTGGGCCATCATACAAGTCTTTATGGCTTTCTCTGTTCCCAATCTGCATTACAGTCATCAGGAAGACCAAGCGAGATGATGTCAGAGTACTCCATGAATAAAAATAGATTTGGGGATGGTGTTGGACAATTCCTGTTAAACATCCCAAGCTGTCTACTGGGCTAAGTCTGGAATTTAGATACAATAGACAGATTACCTGGGGGACAGAGTCAGATCACATCTGTGGTTACTAATGATCTCCATTTCAAAATACCGTTTAAAATGTTAATCACTGCATAGCTGCTGCCTCCAGATGTGGGCCTTTGAAAGCTCCATTTGGTATCACCGTGGAAGAAGCTCATTCTGCATAGCACCTCCTTTCCTTTCTGCTCACTTTTTGTCTGCAGCGCATCACTTTGAGCCAGCAGAGATCCCAGATGCCCCTAAGGAAACGTCCTGTGTCTAAAGCCAAGCTTGGATTATTACCACTGCTGTTCTTGCATAGAACCAAAACTTCTGAGCATCTCCCAAATTAGATCAGGCTTTAGGATTTGGTCTGGATATTTCCTCCCAGTGAGTCTGTAAAAGCATAGATCCTGGAGACGAAAGAGACATCAAGAGATAAATTGTTTTCTTGGGCTAAATAGAGTGGGGGGCGATATACCCATTTTACAATCAAGGAAACCGAGGCCCCCGTGATCCCAATTGAGTTTGGTTTTGAAAACAGTGTGTTCACGTTCGTTTGGTCCGGTAATTAAGGTGGGAACGAGGCAAGCCAGTGTTTTCTGGGGCATGTACCTGGCTGATTTGGGGAGAAGGCTGTGTCCTCTGGTGGGCACGGACAGTGAGTGGGTAGCAAGGGCTCTGTGGTCTGCCCAGAGTTGCTGAGAACCAGCTGCTCCCTTGGCCCTCTTGTTCAGCCTCTTTGATCAAAGTGGAAAACTTCTGATTGTTGAATGGAAGCTGTGGGTGTTGAAAAATAAAAAGGCTTTGCTTGAAGTTCGGGTCTTCCTGAAGGCCTGTGGGGCTGAGAAGGGCAGTGGAAAAAAATGTTTGTCTTACAGTTACCCGTTTTGCATACAATACAATGTCCTGGGAGGGAAGGCTGACAAGGGGGAAAAATCACCCTTTGTTTTTACTCAACTTTCTGAGCAGTTGAGATTTTCGGATCAGTTCCTAGTACAGTAGTTTGTGGGCTCAATTCATTCTTTTGCTGTGACACTCCTCTACTCACAAACCTTCAGTGGCTCCCTATTTCCCACCCCCATTGCTCTAAGCCCCTCTCTGCTTTCCAGCTGTTCTAGAATCTAGCCTGGCCAACATAGAAATCCATGACCTGTGCTAACTGGCTTCTTTCTGTCTTCTACTCAAGCTGTACGATGTGCAGATGGAAGGAGCCTTTATAGAATTTCTTGTTGAGTAAGTTTTAAATCCTTTCTGGAAGCAAAGCTGTATAAGGAATATAAAAACATAAGAAAACAGGGCTGCTTTGGCTGAAGCACAGGTGGGACAAAGAGAAGGGCTAAGCTTCACCTGCTCATTTGCCCTTTTCTGGCATGGGGTCTCTCCAAGGTGAATAAAATTTAGAAACTTCAGAAAATTTGGCTTGAATCCTTCATTCCACAAAAGGAGGAAACTGGGACACAGAAATGGGAACAACTAAAGGAAGTACATACCATCAGGGAGAGAGACAGGTGTAAGAGTCCCTTCTGCTCATTCTCTCTCCTTTTTTTTTTTTTTTTTTTTTTTTGACTGAGTCTCGCCCTGTCACCCAGGTTGGAGTGTAATGGCGCAATCTCGGCTCACTGCAACCTCTGCCTCCTAGGTTCAAGTGATTCTCCTGCCTCAGCCTCCTGAGTTGCTGGGATTACAGGCACACACCCCTAGGCCTGGCTATTTTTTTTTTTTTTTAATCTTTTGTAGAGATAGGGTTTCACCATGTTGGCCAGGCTGGTCTTGAACTCCTGACCTCGTAATCTGCCTGTCTCGGCCTCCCAAAGTGCTGGGATTACAGGCATGAGCTACCGCACCCAACCCCCTCTGCTTGCCCGGCCCTCTCTGCTCATTCTCATGTCGGCTCTGCTAATATTCCAGGTGCATCCAGGCTTCCTCTCGTGTTTTACTTGGCTTTCCACTGCTCCTGTTCTTCCTCTCCCTTCCAGCCTTTGCCAACCCGCCTCACCATCTCCAGGAATGCTTGCCCAGATCTCTCAAGTCCACCAACACCCTCTCTGGAATGCCTCTATTTTCATGCCACATAACCTAATTGTCTAATTATCTACTTCTCTTGATGTGGAACCCAAGTGTGTAAACACATGTAAATGTTGCCTTGCTCATAAGATGAGAGTCCCTGAGGGCGGTCTGCACTTTCCTAGTCTTCTAAGTCCTTGCATCCCACCTTGCGTTTCTTGCTGCTGGTCATATATGCAGGGTTGACCTTCAATCTATGCTTCATGTTTATGGAAAGAGAAAGTTCTAGAAGAGTGGCTTATGTAAAGGAATTGTGTGGTGGCATTCTTGCCTCTCTCTTCTCAACTGTACTCCGTGTCTCTATCTTTCTCCAGAGAATGGCCTCATGAGAGTGACCACCCAGCCTCCTTTCAGCCTGGAATTGGCTGCTGAGATGTGGCTGCAGTGCCTGAGACTCAGTGGGCAAATAGAACTAACGTCTCATCCCTTCAAGAAGGAAAGCCATTTTGAAAAGTAAAGGGAAGCCAGCAGTAGCCATTCCTCCAACATTGCTTTCCTGTATAAGGGACTGGGAGATCTCTGTTGTAGAGACTAGAGGCCTTCAGGTGTAAGCCCACACCAGCAGTGGCAGCAGTAGCACCTGGGAACTTGGTGCCACTTTAAGACCCTCTAGACCTACTCTAATTCAGAAACTCAGGCTGGGGTCTGGTAGTCTGTTTTAACAAAGCACCCCAGGGAATGCAGATGCCTGAGACCATTTGAAAAACACTGATTTAGGGAAACAATCTCCAAGAGATCATCTGGTCCAAAATTTAGCCTTTGGACAGGTAAACTACCACCTCCATTGTGTAGGTAGGGAAACTGAGGCATAATAAAAGTTATTGTCTGGGGCCATGTAGCTGGGTCATGTTGGTTTACAGACTAGTTTTTCTGCTCCCTTTATTGAGCCCTCTTTCTAACCTTGACTACGGCTGCAGGCTCTAGAAATACCTTCAGAACCTTTCTGGAATGCAGATATATTTGGAATAGAATGGAGACATTTTACTCCATTTAAAAATCATTAGATTGGTGCAAAAGTGATTGCGGTTTTTGCCATTAAAAGTAACTTAATAATTTTATCCATTTAAGATTATCTTTTGATGATCACTGTACATGGTAGGAATATATATTTTTAAACTATGGGTATATGTGAGACAAGGACAGACTCACCCAGGGTATATTCAAGCAATAACACATGTAACTAAATGGCCTTTTGAGGAGGGAGGGTCCTGTCCCTTTAACTTTAGAGCTCTTTGTCTTGCTGGGGCTAACTTGAAGAGATTGGATGTTGGAGTCGAGCCACAGTGACACTTCATTGAGAGGGCCCAGTGAGGACAGGGGCAGTGGGAGGAAGATTTGGAACAGGGCTAGCAAACTGAACCATAGGCCAAATCTGGCAGGCACCTATTTTTGTAATTGAAGTTGTATTGAAATGTAATTATATCCCTTTGTGTATACATCTATGGCTTCAATTCCACTACAACAGCAAATCTGAGTGGTTTCAACAGAGACCTCACAGCTGCCGAAGTCTAAAATATTTGCTATTTAGACCTTTACAGAGAAAGCTTGCTGACCCTTGGTTTAGAGTATTAAAATAGACTCAAGGCAGGGTAACCGAAAGAGATCTGGGAAAAAGAACAGAAATGCATTTCCTAATACACTTCCATGCAGAGAAAAAGGAACTCAATTCCCTATTGGTAGGAATGTAAACCAGTACAGCCACCATGAAAAATCATACGAAGAGTCCTCATAAAGCTGAAAATAGAACTACCATTTGATCCAGCAATCCCACTACTGGGTCTCTACCCAGAGGAAAACAATCAGTATATCAAAGAGATACCTGCACTCATATGTTTACTGCAGCACTATTCACAATAGCAAAGATGTGGAATCAACTTAAGTGTTCATAAACAGATGAATGGATACAGAAAATATGGTATATATGCACAATGAAATACTATTTGGCCATAACAAAGACTAAAATCATGTCATTTGCAACAACATGGATTAAACTAGAGATCATTATCTTAAGTGAAATAAGCAGGCACAAAAAGACAAATATCACATGTTCTCATTTACAAGTGGCAGCTAAAAAATTGGGTCACGTGGAGGTAGAGAGTAGAAAGATGAAGAATATAAACTGGGAAGGGTGAGTGCAGGGGGAGTGGGAAGACAAAGAGAAGTGGGTTAAAGCGTATGAATATACAGAGGATAGAAAAAATAAATTCACTGATTGATAGTAGAGTAGTATGACTATATTTAAACAAAAATATACTTTACTCAGGAGCTGGACACCCTAAATACCATGATTTGATCACTGTGCATTATACACATGTAACAAAATTTCACATGTGGCCCATAAATTGGTACAAAAAAAAAGGCAACTCTATAAAATCTTCCCTAATGTCTAAATTGTTAACTCATGCTTCATGTGAGAAGATTCTTTTTGGAATTCACTAATTGTAGAGAAGCTATGTGTTCTGGTTGGTGGATGACAAAAATAGATTACTGAAGAAGACAGAGCTGATAGAAAGGTGGGACAGAAGCCATCTGGGAGTTAGATAGATATACTTCCAGTATTGGTGATATATATATGTGTGTATTTAAATCATATATTTATCTATTGATCTATCATCTATCTATCTATCTATCTATCTATCTATCTATCTATCTATCTATCTCCCTATCTATCATCTTCCTGTCAACCTTAAAAAGGTTTTGAGACAATGTAAAATAAATGCACAGGTATATACTGAAGCCATTAACACAAAGTAAAAGGTAGGAGTCAAGATATAAAAGTAGAGAGTAAAGTGAATGTATTAAGAAATCCTGTCTGATAACAGTTTTAATAGTTAAGCATAACATGTATATTTATGAGCTTCCTGGTAACCAGGGAAAAGAAGCAGATACATTGGATTGCATAACTCTCTTTGGTCATAAAAAGCAGATGAGCTTAAAAGGAGAAATGGATATATTGCTGGTTATATTAGCGCTTTGAGATATGCAACATATTCCAAAATACCAGATGAATGTAATCTATGAATTTAAAGCATGCCATTGCAATGAATTAGGATAATGGCAGATTTTACCAAGTGGAAATACTGAAACTTTTTTTTAATGTAGTTTTATGATTTTTAGTGATGCAGGACTAATGATAAACTAATACTAGGGAAGTAGGAGATTCAAGGAAATAAAAAATAAAAAAGAACATCACTTTTCTGGCTTCTGGGGGCTTCCAGTATAGCTGAATGGCTAGAAAACTCTATTAGTTACATGGTCCTTAATAACTCCATTGTCATTCAAAGAAGAGAGATGAGTCTGCATTCTTTGCAAAGCTGGGGAAAGTCCTTCTATATCGATTAATAATGGATAAAGGAAGAGACATCCATTGGGTATTTGAGAGCTTAATATGTGCTAGGTGCTGCCCATGTAACAATGAGCAAGTCAAACATTATCTCTGCTTTCATGAAACTTACAGTAAGGTGGGTAAGACAAGAAGTTAAATAAGTAATTATTATATAACCTAATTTATATTAATAACAGACAATTCATGGTGTTATGTGTACACAGTAGGGAAATCTTAAGCTGATCTGTCATTCTCTAGGGGACTTCATTGAGGTTAACTCTTCTACCTCTACACTAGCTTGACGAGTAAGGCTCCAACCCAAACTCTTTCTAGTTCATTTCACTCCCTTCCTCTTCCAGTTTAAAATCTTTCAACATCTCCCCGTGCCTGCAAAATCCTGGTCATGTTTCCTTGGAAGGCCTCCCTGGCCTTCCCCTTAGCTTTGTTTTCAGCCTCTGATTCCACTCCCTTGACTCCAGGCACACTTCTTTATTCCAACCCCAGTGCCTGACTCCATTTTTGTGCAGGCGGCATCCTCATTGTGACATCGAAAACCCTTTCATACATCTTTCATTAAAAAAAAAAAAGTTACTGCTCATATATTGCCTCATTTCTGTGCTTCCTCCCTCAACTTCCAGTAAGAAAGAAATCCTTCTTTCCTCTGTAGGGTTTCATATTATGCTTCTACCTGCAATCAATAATGATGAGAGTACTAATTACTATTTTACCGTCACAACAACGGCCTACCTTTAGTGAGCTCATATTACGATTTTATGTGCTAAGCACATGATGCTCATAATTTCACTTAGTTTGACAATAATCCCACTAATGCTATTATTCACATTTGGCAGATAAAGAAACTGAGACTTGGAGTGGCAAAATGGCTTTTCCAAGTTTTTACTGCTACTAATTGACGGAGAAAGTAACAAAACAAAACAAAAACTTTACATATACCAACTCAGTCCCCTAAGTAGCTAGGATTGCAGGCATGTGCCACTATGCCTGGCTAATTAAAAATAAATTTTTGTAGAGTGGAAGTCTCGCTATATTGCCCAGTCTGGTCTTGAACACCTAGGCTAAAGCAATCCTCCTGCCTTGGCCTCCCAAAGTGCTAGTATTTCAAATGTAAGCCACCACACCTGGCCAGGGGTGAGCCTTTCTTATGTTGACTTGAAGTGTGAGACTCCAAGCTAGCCAAATAAATCACTGGGCTACATCTCCAGAGAGGAACAACTCTCCCTTCTTTCTTCTCAAAGCATTGTTGCACAGGTCTGCCTGATTCCAGAGAAAGTTGCTGTAACCAGTATGTAATTATATTACCTGTATTCTAGGTAGCTATGTAGGCCTCTCCCCAAATGCAGTGTAAGCACCTTGAGAATACAGCATGTGGTTTGTACATGTTCATGCCTAGCAGGCTCCTAATAAATGTTTAAACTGTACATTTACCTAGTAATTTTAAATACAAAATATCAGGAAAAACACGATTTGTTTTAAGGCTTTTTTTTTTTTTTTTTTTTTCATTTTACAGAGATCCAAAAACACAGGACCATCCCAGAAAAGAGATCTCAGCTCAGGCCTGGCTTTTTCTCTGGTTCCCTCTTGCTGACTTCCATCCTCCAAATATCTGTCTCTCCCCACTCTGCCTTTTGCCTCTAAGTGCATGTACTCACACATGTTTTCGAAACAGAAGTAGATAGAAAATGTTGCACATAGATGTCTCAGGGGACTGGTGCCTTCTTGGAATGGTTCCTGGAACATAATTGGTGTGCAAAAAGTTTGGATGAACAAACGCTATTTCAAGAAAGAAAGAAAGAGAGAGAAAGAGAGAGATCTGAATCTGAGTACATTTTAGAAGTTCAAGATCTGAAATTTTTTGAAAAGAAGAATGGCTAATTTCTGAGTTACTCAAACTTTTCACATGTACCATCAGTCAAGGCATCTGTCCTCTGGTTATGCTAGATTTATAGGCTTTGTTGGGGACGGAGGCAGGTACTGAAAGATCTAAAGCTTTGTTTCCTGATGTTAGCAAAATCAGGAAGTGACCTTTTCTCTTTAAAGTGGGCTTTTTCTTTTTTTTTTCAATTTCTATGAAATAGGAAGCTTGGTGGTGTTGGTTTTGAAGTAAAAATCAATGTATCTCTGCATGGATAGGGCAATTGAGTAAGCTATATCAGATTGGACAGGTACATTAGCTGTACAGTGGTGCATATATTCAGCTGTGAAAAGACAAGCAAAAGAGAAACAGGTGAACCACAGCATAGAGCACCAATTCATTTTACAGTGATTTTTTTCTTTTTATACTTTTAATTACTTCGCCTTCTTAACATTGAACTTTCAGCTGTGCAAAGAAAGGGAGGATTGGAAGACAGTAATTGCCCAAGTGTGGGTGTTTGCTTGATGCCTATGGGCAGAGGGGCCAGAGAGGGGATAGTCAATGTGGGGGATGCAAAAGGTGTTGAAAATGGAAAGACTGAGTGGAGCAAATTTCTCTGGGAAATTTGTCCTCAGTGAAGCTATAGAAGACTGAATATTTGAAGAATAGTTCAAAGAGGTGTCTAGGAAATGCAGATCTGGCTTCAACTCCCCTTCCACTTTCTTCTACTCCAAAACAAACATCTATGAAGCCCTGCAATAAGGTAGGTGCTTGCAGCCTTTAGGGGGGCCACTCAGTCACCCCAAGTCTCAGTTGTTTCCACTGGTAGCGTGATAATAATCATTTTCACTTTTAGAGTGGTTAAAGGATGGATATTGTGTGTTTAAAACACCTGAATCTCCTTGTATAATACATAGCGGGCACTTAATTTACATTTGTTGAAAGGATCTGAGCCTTTGCTTTCATTTTTCTTTTCTTTTTTTTTTTTCTGAGGTAGGGTCTTGCTCTGTTGCCCAGACTGGAGTACAGTGGCATGATCACTGCATGCTGCTTACTGCAGCCTTGACCTCTGGGGCTCAAGCCATCCTCCCACCTCAGTTTATCAATCAGATGTCATTTTCCTCATTAACAATGCCATTCCACCTTTATCGGGGAATAGCTTCCAGGGAATAGTGCTATAAGGTTACTCCATAGTCATTTTCCTAAAGAGAAAGCAAAGGCATTTTATTAAAACTTGACGTATACCTATGTCTTTATAGCAAGAAAATAAAATATAATAATAGTAACAAAACAAAACAAAAACTTTACATATACCAGCTCAGTGCCCTAAGTAGCTAGGATTGCAGGCATGTGCCACTATGCCTGGCTAATTAAAAATAAATTTTTGTAGAGTGGAAGTCTCGCTATATTGCCCAGTCTGGTCTTGAACACCTAGGCTAAAGCAATCCTCCTGCCTTGGCCTCCCAAAGTGCTAGTATTACAAATGTAAGCCACCACACCTGGCCAGGGGTGAGCCTTTCTTATGTTGACTTGAAGTGTGAGACTCCAAGCTAGCCAAATAAATCATTGGGCTACATCTCCAGACAAGAACAACTCTCCCTTCTTTCTTTTCAAATCACCCAAGACAATCTTTTCACTTTTCTCCCATCTTCCACACTCCCAGTTATCCATTTGTAAGCTGTTGATTTCTTTGGGGGCATTGTCCCCATAAACTTTTTGTAAAGCATCATTGATTTCACCATTCTTCCACTCAAGCTTCACCAAAAATTTGATGTTTGTTCTTGCTTCCATTCTAGCAGAATTCACTTCATTCTGATATGGGAGCTTTTCAAACTATATTTCCTTTTTAGTGCCTCAAACTAAATCTGTTTCAGACATGTTATAACAAGTTAGTATGAGTTTATTTTGGTGCAAAACATTTTTGAACTTCATGGAGTTTGTTCACAATATGCATTTTTCATAAAGTTTTTTGAAGACCTCTTGTATTTATCTCTTTTGTTTTCACATTTTATGTATTTTCATTTCAAATAAAAAATGTGTGATTGTATTATTTTTATAATACAATGCATTATATTATGTGTTATTTTTTATAAAGAAGGTACTGGAAACAACTCATAATCCTTACCCATAGAGAAGACTATAAGTAATATCTTGGGACCATATGGAATATATGTTATATGGTTGTTTTCATTTTTAATACATGTGGTTTCCTATTTCTCATAGGAAAATCTAGTATTTCCTTATCTAAACACCAGGCATGACTTCTCACTACCTCTTTCCAGGGAATGTGGAATATATAAAAATAAAATTAAATTTCTCCCTCTGAAGCCAGCCCACAGAGTAGTTGACCCAGCCCTGTGTGCCCTTTTCTTTGTTCTCCAAAAAGTTGCTTTCCGGGGTAGCCCATTCTGTTCTTCACTTCAAAAGATGTTAGTATAGCTGATGAACAGCTGGACAGAATGGGAACTGGGAGAGAATAAAGTATCAGTCTAAGGGCCTCACTGTGCCAATTTGGCAACACTATAGAAGACAATTCCTCTGCTGTCAGAGAGCTGGAACCCATGCATGGCTGGAAAAGCAGGAAGGACTCTCTTGGCCTTGAGCTTCTCCCATGAAGTCCTGCCTTTAATTTCCCTGTAGATGTTTATTGGAGGGTCCAGGCTGAGCGAAACTGGCCCAGCTCTCCTGGACTTCATGGGACCAGGGGAGCCTTGTGTTCTAGTCTACATGGATTTTCTCTTATTGTCTTTTTCTCTTGCTTTCATGTGATGGAGCTTGGTAAACATTTCTGAGGGAAGGTAATAAAGCCTAACTGTTAATACACTTAAAACATTGAGGGAAATTGTTGTCTAGGCTGTGTTGGGACTGGAGGCTATTTGATTAGCCATAGTCCTGGTTCATTCATACCGCTGCCTCTCAAACTTTAACTGTGCGTAAGAGTCATGGTGAGACCTTGTTAAACTGTAGATTCTAATTTAGTAGGTCTGTAGGGGAGGAGGTTGACTGCATTTCTCACAAGTCCTGGGAAAATGCTGATACTCCTTCTCCAAGATGCATACTTTGAATAGCAAGGAAAAGTAATCAAAGTCACATGACCACAGTGGTCAATTTCACTTAGAAGAGTGTTCCAGAGGAAACACAGCAGGCCAAGAGGGCAGCATCAAGCATATCATCTTTTTGGTGTGAGTCTTCATGGCAGTCCAAGGGCCAGGCTCCTCCTCCCACCAAAAACACAGGTGTTGTTGTTGTTGTAGAGACTACAAGATTAAGTATGGGAACCATCCTAGCTTAAAAACTCAAAGCTCCATAGGAACCAATATCTGTTATAACAGCATCCAGGTCTTGCACTATGGGAAGCTCAAATCTATGCCTTCCCTCCAGGTATTCATATTCATTCACAATTTGCCCAGTGTAGAATCAGTTTATCAATCAGATGTCATTTTCCTCATTAACAATGCCATTCCACCTTTATCAGGGAATAGCTTCCAGGGAATAGTGCTATAAAGTTACCCCATAGTCATTTTCCTACAGAGAAAGCAAAGGCATTTTATTAAAACTTGACATATACCTCTGTCTTTATAGCAAGAAAATAAAATATAATAATAATAACAAAACAAAACAAAAACTTTACATATACCAATTTGTTTTAAGTTCATGAGCATACAAGGCCACCAGGAAGTCTACAATAACCTGTCTGCCTTGCAATTAGAGTGAGGCCATGTGGCCAGTTTGAGGCCATGGAATATGATTGTGAGTTAGGTATTTCTCTGAGCAATTTCTCAGCCAGCTAGATGGCTGCAGGCAGATGATCCAGTAAACTTTACTTAGTAAAGGATTCCAGGGAAGACTTTTGGGGATGATGAAGCCTCAAGGTGGAGGGAGAACAATAGAATGGGCAGAGAGGTGTCTGGTAAGAATTGTGTATGATATAACTACCTTAACCCCATAATTTATTGTTTAAACCAGAATGCCTAAGAGGCAAATGGGGGGCTCTTTTATTAATAACCATAATGAATTACACTGAGACAACAGGCATAAATGGAGATTTTCCTAGCCAAACCATGACATATAAGGTCATTCTAGCTATAATCCCTGTTGTTATCATCCAAGAAATTCGTCAGTGAAAAACAATGTGATTTATCACTGCGTTTAGGACTGTGTGTATGTGTGGGAGGGAGGGATATAATGAAGCATTGAATCTGGCTTCCAGGTAGATATGGGGCAAAATCAGAGACCGTTCATGGTGATCTATTCACATTTGAGTAGCATGAATGAGAAAATTCAGGGCTACAGAGGAGATGATGTTCCAATGTCACATCACAAGCTGATGGTTGAACCAGGCCTCAAACCCTTGATCTCTTTCTTTCTTTTTCCACTGTTCCACTCTGCCTCTTTGCATTAGTCAGGAAAATACCAGGATATGCAGCAGTGACAAATAAGCCCTGAAATATCAGGGGCTTAATAAAAGAAAAATGTATTTCTCACTTGTTTGAAGTATAATAGGTGACAAGTAGCCCTGTTAACCTACAAGGTGGTAATGGAGGGGAAGACTGTGGAATATTGCACACGGGATATTTTTTGGGTCAGGCATGGGAATGACATATATATGTGTATATATATATATATATATATCTATATATATATATATAGATATATATATCTGTATATATAAAATCTTTCTCTCTCTAGCACTGCTGTCTGCATTCGATTAACCAGGACTCAGTCATGTGACCTGCATCCAAGTACAAGTAAGGGAAATGTGCTCCTTCTGTGTGTCCAGGAAGAGGAAATAATGTGGTGGACATAAAGCGTTTTCTTTGCACACTTTTTCAGAACTATGCTTTAACAATTGTGTAAGAAACTATATAAGTAAGGTTGAAGTATCCATGAGTGCAGCAAATTGTCCCCCACCCCCACTCCCATCCATTGCAGGAGACTGCATTAGTCTTCTTGGGCTGCTATAATAAAATACCTTAGACTGGGTGGCTTAAACAACAGACATTTATTTCTCACAGTTTTGGGGGCTGGGAAGTCAGAGATCAGAGTGCCAGCAGGGTCAGGTTCTGATGAGGGCCCCCTTCATGGCTTGCAGATGGCTGCCTTCTTGCTGCATCCTACATGGTGGAAAGAGAGGGAGCAAGCTCTCTGGTCTCTTCTTTTTTTTTTTTTTTTTTTTTTTTTTTGAGACGGAGTCTCGCTCTGTCGCCCAGGCTGGACTGCGGACTGCAGTGGCGCAATCTCGGCTCACTGCAAGCTCCGCTTCCCGGGTTCAACGCCATTCTCCTGCCTCAGCCTCCCCAGTAGCTGGGACTACAGGCGCCCGCCACCGCGCCCGGCTAATTTTTTGTATTTTTAGTAGAGACGGGGTTTCACCTTGTTAGCCAGGATGGTCTCGATCTCCTGACCTCATGATCCACCCGCCTCGGCCTCCCAAAGTGCTGGGATTACAGGCGTGAGCCACCGCGCCCGGCCTCTGGTCTCTTCTTATAAGGGAACTAATGCCATCACAAGATCCTTCCCCTTATAACCTCATGTAAATCTAATTACCCCTAAAGGCCCTACCTCCAAATATCATCACATTGGAGGTTAGGGCTTCAACATATAAATTCTGGGGGGACACAAGCATTCAGTCCACAACAGATAGCTTCTTTCATTTCCTTCCTATGCCCCGGATACTCTGCAATTGGAACTATGCACATTTGGGTTGTGGCCCACCTGTGAATCTGGGAGCTGAGATCTCTGGTCATGTGTCTTTTTGATGCATCAGCTTCTTGAAATGCCTACCTTTAGAGCTCTTGAAATAAGGAGGATGAAGGAAATTTATGAAGAGGGGTGTGAAATTTATGAAAAGTGATTACTATGGCACGAAGGGAGAGAGGTTGTCTGTTCATTCATTTAACACATTTTTTGAGCACTAAATGCAAGACATTATTCTAGAACTAGAGACACAAGGGTGGACAATAACAAACATGCTTGCTGCATGTTTGAGAAAAACATCCTCAAGGAGTTTTTTCTCTTATTTGGCAACATATACATTATTTTTGTGTTTATTTGAATAATATCTAATTATGGGTTATAATTAGTGCTATGAAGAAAAGGTACTAGTCATATGAATGGGCACGATCGGGGCATCCAATCCAATTTGGGGTATGTAAAAACTTCCTGGAGCTAGTAATATTAGATTAGAGATCTGAAAGATAATTTGGAAGTAGAGTAGTAATTGATGATGTGGTCAATGATGATAATGATGATGGCATTTATTGAGACCTTACTATGTGTCAGGCTCTGTTTTATGTGCCTTGCATGTATTATCTTGATTATTTCATACAGCAGGGGTGTCCAATCTTTTGGCTTCCCTGGGCCACACTGGAAGAAGAATTGTCTTGGGCCACACGTAAAATATGCTAACACTAGCGTTTGCTGATGAGCTAAAAAAATTGCAAAATACCTCGTAATGTTTTAAGAAAGTTTACAAATTTGTGTTGGGCTGCATTCAAAGCCATTCTGGTCTGCGGGCCATGAGTTGGACAAGTTTGCCTTACAGTCATTCTACAATCTAGTTATTAATATTACCCCCTTTCTGTTTTTTTGTTGTTGTTGTTTAAAGACAAAACTAGCTGGAGAAAAGAGAGTTGCATTTCCTACCAAAAAGGAACAAGTACAAAGACCCTGTGGTTGGAGAGAACATGGCATATGACACATTTGAGGAACTGAAGGAAAGTATTTGGAATTATGCTGTGTATGATGCTAAAGGAAAAAGACTTCCTCCTTTCCCATCAAAGTGACAATGTGTTGGGGAGGGAGGAGAGAAGGAAATGTGGAAGTTTGTGTTTCGGTGTTAAATGTAATGGTCTATAAATTATACTTCCATGTAATATGAACTTATGGAAATTTTGATTTAAAGAGGTTGTGTCTGGATTCCTTGCAATGGTACTGCAAGATCTCAGAGAAATGTAGACTTTTGGAAGATGTGTAAAACCCCAATTCCAAGAGAAGGGGACTCAGATTTTGCTAGTATTTTCCATCTTTTGAAGCTAAAAAGTTGGGTATGGGAGCTACTGAGGTTTTTTAAAGAACAGAGTTTAAGGAGAATACTCCCACTCAACCTCATTTAAATCTGCAATGTGTATTGGGGAAGATAACAATTTTGTATAATACAGTGATAGCTTATCTAGTCTGGCTCAGCGTGTTTCACAGGAGGTTAATGGGAAAGACTTTCTCATCTCAGAAAATGATCAGCTCTCTTTGAAGTTAGAATTTGAGTCTCTATGCTAGGCAGCATTTTGTTTTCATTTCATTGATTTAGATGTGAAATGTTCTGGCATTTCTTAATTCTGCAGAGGAGGTTTGTTTCTTTGAAGCTGAGATGTATGTGTGCATAATTATATGTGTCACACACATATTGACACATGTCTACATATCTGATGGATCCATGTGTTCACTCATTTATTAGCAAGTATTTATTCAACATCTGTTATATGCTACATTCTGTGAATGCTTCAGTGAGCTCACTAAATAAGGTTCCTGTTTCATGGCCATGGAGTTCACAATCTGAAGGTGCTTATAGACATAAGCAAAAAGATAAATGTAGAATTAAAAATGTTATTGACTACTAAGAAGAAAAACAATAGGTTGGTATGTATGAGGCAGAATAATCAGAGTGTCTACCTAAGAATGAGTGGTGTGTTTGGTAGCTTCTGTTTGTCCCAGCAGCCCCTTTTCCCACCCTTCCTCGCCCTTCCTGGGAGCCTTTCTGCATCGACTGCTTTAAAGGGTTCCTCTGCGTCCAGTGGGGATTGGCCATTGAGATGGTGGGTGAAGAATGAGGCTGGGTTATTTACTTTCCTGGCTCTCTCCACGTCATATCTCTATTTGATTGAAACTCTCCACTGAAGGCCATCAATTCTCAATTCTTTAAGGTGGCCCTTACACTTACACTCTCCAGGTTCTGGTACATTCCCTTCCCTCCTGCTTCCGGCCTCCCCAGCTGATGGTAGCCATAGGGTACCACACTATCTCTTGTTGGTGTCCCTAAACCCTGTCCATAACTTTGTATATGGCTTCTTTGTGAACATTTTACCCCGTTTGGAATATGACACCTGTTTCCTGCCGAGGCCCTGACTGATGTATATCCAAAAGGGTCTTTTTGAGGATGTGGCTTTTAAGTTGAAGCCTGAAATGTCGGAAATTGTGGACCAGATGATTAATGGGAGGAAGTGGGTTTTAGAAGAAAGAAAGAATATGTATGAAGGCCCCCCAGGATGGAAAGAACTTTGTATGTTCAAGGAACATACAGAGGAGGGACCTACATATAGGGACAAAGGGCAGGTGGTGCTGGATGAGGCTGGACAAGTGAATAAGCACAGCCACACCCAGCTTCGTAGATGCTGTTAGGGAGTATAAGCAGGATAATCAATGACACTGTGTTTAGCTGAGCTGAAAAGAATAGGGAAGACTTTCTGGAGGTGGTGGACTTTGAGTTGGACTTTAATGGACAGATAGAACTGTATTAGGCTGTGGTATTCAAAATAGCTGTTCTGAGATTAAAAAAAACTTGTGCTTGAATGTAAATCAATACATTACTTTCTTCATCAAGGCAGCCTTGCATTGGGCCACCTGGCATTCATAGGTAGGAGGTAGAGAAGAAGAGAGAGAAAGAGAAATTTGGTAAAGCAGGTGCAGTCAAACCAGATCACAGAAGGGTACAAATAGTAGGATAAGGAGTTGGGACTTTATGCTGTGGGCAATTGTGGGACATTAAATTTTCTTTTTAGAAGAATGGCAAGATTAGAGCTATAGTTAGAAAGATAATCTAGCATGATGTCATGGCTGGGTAGATCCAAGGGAAGAAAGTGTGGGGCAGTGATCAGAAACACTGTGGAAGTTCAGTTCTCTCTTTTGTGGTTTCATTAATTTAACAAGATTTGTTTTATCTTTGAAATGATGGCTGTGGCCTAAAATGTGCTATTATTTATTGTCATCTTCCCATGCTAATTTTTGGTGATGATGCTGACTTTTGATGAACAAAGCCAGGAGTCTTCAATAAAATAAAACAGAAGTCTTGAGAACAAAAGTCAATTGTGGTCTGCTAATTTTTAGCATATTTATTTATTTATTTTTGGAAGTAAGGAGAGTGTCTATTCTGTAAATGTTGACTTGGGCAAAATATGAAATTTTACACAGACCTATCACTTTCAGAGTAATGTCAAAAGGATCACGTAGAGAAATTTGGTGAATTATCAGCAGGTTAGTTGTAGATAAAAGACAGCAGGCTGGGCACAATGGCTCATGCCTGCAATCCCAGCACTTTGGGAGGCCGAGGCAGGCGGATCACGAGGTCAGGAGATTAAGATCATCCCGGCCAACATGGTGAAACCCCGTCTCTCTAAAAAATCCAAAAAAAATCTGCCGGGCATGGTGCCACATGCCTGTAGTCCCAGCTACTCGGGAGGCTGAGGCAGGAGAATTGCTTGAACCTGGGAGGCGGAGGCTACAGTGAGCTGAGATTGCACCACTGCACTCCAGCCTCCTGGGCTACAGAGTGAGACTCCATCTCAAAAAAACAAAAAACAAAAAACAAAAAAAAAACAAAAAAAAGAAACACCACAGCAATTACTTTTACTATAAAGGCTGCAAATAAGATTTATAGAAGAGAAAGGGGTGAGGTGGAGAAGAAGAAAACAACTGCAGGCAGTCTAGGGAAAAAGTGAATCTCGTGTGCACATATTCTGGGTAAACTAATTAGCTGGTATCAAGTAAATATTTCAGGGTGGACAGTATTTCTTTGAGAAGACAGGCTAGAGATGTCAAGGGGAACCATTCCCATTGTTTATGGATTCTCTGGAAAGCCTGGAGAGTCTGGTTGAGGCACACATGTGATGGGCTTCTTCTCTGTCCTCCTGCGTCCTTGCCGCGGCACCTTCACCACTTTCTTCATCAGAACTTCTCAGCTATCAAACTGATGTTATCAAAGTGATGGGAGTAACATAGTGCTGAGCATACTGTAGGTGCTCAATAATGCTCTTTAAAACACATGCACTTATGGGCACACACAAATTGGAGTGGTGACAAATGCCTAGTCACACGTCAAAGAAGCCTGTAGAGCAAGCATGTCCAACCTACAGCCCGCAGGCTGCATATGGCCCAGGACGGCTTTGAATGTGGCCCAACACCAATTTGTAAACTTTCTTAAAATATTATGAGATTTTGTTGTGATTTCCTTTTTAAGCTCATCAGCTATCATAAATTAGTGTATTTTATGTGTGGCCCAAGACAATTCTTCTTCTTCCAGGGAAGCCAAAAGATTGGACACCTCTGCTGTAGATGGTTCTGTTTGGTGACTGGCTTTAGCTAAGGGAATAGAGTTATCATCAGACCTGATGCTCCAGGCTCTTTCCCTCCCAGCTTTGTGTGTGATTCCTCTAGAATATACATCCATGCTTCACTCACATCTGCCGTTAATAACCTGTCGATGGGATCTGTACTTTACGTGTTCTGTGATGTGAACATTTTGGACCTTTTTCATAGAATACTCTCCTATCTTAAGCCTGCATACATAATTACTATAATTTCTTTCTTTCTCTTTCTTTTCTTTCTTTCTTTCTTTCTTTCTTTCTTTCTTTCTTTCTTTCTCTTTCTTTCTTTCTTTCTTTCTTTCTTTCTTTCTTTCTTTCTTTCTTTCTTTCTTTCCCTTCCTTCCTTCCTTCCTTCCTTCCTCTCTCCCTCCCTCCCTCCCTCCTTCTCTCTCTCTCTTCCTTCCTTTCTTTCTTTCTTTCTTTCTTTCTTTCTTTCTTTCTTTCTTTCTTTCTTTCTTTCTTTCTCTCTTTCTTTCTTCTTTTTTTTTTTTGAGACAGAGTCTTGCTCTATTGCCCAGGCTGGAGTGCAGTGGCGTGATCTCAGCTTACTGCAACCTCCACCTCCCGGGTTCAAGTGATTCTCCTGCCTCAGCCTCCTGAGTAGCTGGGATTACAGCCACCCTTCACCATGCCTGGCTAATTTTTGTATTTTTAGTAGAGATGGGGTTTCACCGTGTTGGCCAGGCTGGTCTCGAACTCCTGATCGCAGGTGATCTGCCCGCCTTGGCGTCCCAAAGTGCTGGGATTACAGGTGTGAGCCACTACGCCTGGCCTTACTATATTTTCTATAAGGCCAGACTCCAAATCATTCTGAAGTCACTTCTTGAAGCCATTTCCTATTCCCTCCGTTCACAACAGTCTCCCTTCTCTAAATGCTTCTTAATAAATTTACCAACACATCTCCTATATATTTATTACTTTTGTCAATTCATTCAGTAAACATTTCTTGAAAGCCTACTCTGTTATTTAATGAATGTTTACTAAGTGCCTTTATTATTATCATTTTTTTGAGACAGAGTCTCGCTTTCTCGCCCAGGCTGGAGAGCAGTGGCACAGTCTCGGCTCATTGCTTACTCCGTGCCCCTGGGTTCAAGCAATTCTCCTGCATCAGCCTTCCGAGTAGCTGGGATTACCAGCACCCACCACCATGCCTGGCTAATTTTTGTATTTTTAGTAGAGATGGGGTTTTGCCATGTTGACCAGGCTGGTCTTGAACTCCTGACCTCAGGTGATCCGCCTGCCTTGGCCCCCTAAATTGCTTGGATTACAGGCGTGAGCCACCACGCCTGGCCCTTTATTATTAAATATATTATTCCATTCATGACTTGAAGCCATTCTACAGATAGGGCTGTTATTGCCATGTTACAGATGAAGAAGCCTGCACTTGGGAAGATTATGTGGCTTTCTAGAGGCAGACAGCTAAGTGGGTTAGTAAGGTGACCAACCATTCTGATTTGCCCAGAACTGAGGGGTTTCAGCAATTGTGAACTTTCAGAGTCTTGGGCAAGCCAGAATGGTCAGTCAACTGACCTAGATTTAAACTTTACTCTTTGCCGACTTTGACCTTAGGCAAATTTCTTCACCTCTCTGAATCTGTTATTTCATCTGCAAATTTTGGTCCTGAGAAAATTAAACAGATCACGTGTATACAATGATTAGCACAAAGGAACAACTCAAAAAGTAGCAGCTATTATTATCCTTAAAAGGCTTTGGGCTGTTAGTTATTTGGAAAGTTTATGCCTGGGATCTGTGCTTTCAGCAAATCTAAATATGTGTGGCCTGAAGTAGAGGTGACAGCCTCAGAGGCTGTTATCACGTTCTTTTCCTTTGCAACTATATAGAAGTTAGAGAGAAAGGAGAAAGCAGACATTTAACAAGCAATTATACAATTGCTTCATTAACTGACAATATTATGAAGAAACACCGGGTTTTCTGTAAACCTATGGAGGGAGATAGGAGTGTGACTGATCTGGGTAGTCCAGGAAGGCATCTCAGAGGAGGTGATTTTTACTAGCTCTGAAGGGCAAACAGCTGGGTGACTGTGAGTATGGAGGGTTTTAGGTGCTTTCAGTCAGAGGGAATAGCATTTAGAAAAACCCTGAGGCTGGAAGGAGCCTGGCATGATTGAGGGTCTGAAAGGTGGCTCTTGTGGCTGGAATACAGATAGAGAAGGAAAGGAGAGGCTGTAGTTTCTGGCTGTGATTCTGGACCCTCTGTGGGTCCTTGAATCAACCTGACTGTGCCAATGTCAGGGGTATTGTTTCATCATCACTACTATAATCTGCGTAATCACAGCACTTGTCCATAGAGCTCTCACTATGTATCAGGCACAGTGGTAGGCACCTTCCATGCATTATTTTATAGGAACTTCCCAACAGCCCTGGGAGAATGGCATTGTTATCTTTGTTTTACTGATAAGGATACTGAAGTTCATGGAGTTCCTTGACTTGCCCAAGTCATACAGTTAGTAAGTAGAAGAAATGAGTTGGAAGCTAATTCCATTTTATTGTACAACCCCAGTCTCTTTATACCACACTCATTGCTTCTTCCAGTCCCCCTCTTCCTCCTCAACTCCAACACTCAGCAAAGTGCAAATTGGTATTTGCTCAGCGGATTATTGCTATGATTATTATTTTGGTCAGCAGATGGCAGGTTTAGGACATCACCTCCCCTAAAAGTGGTACAAATAAGGAATAGGAAACAACAAAATAAGACATCCTGCATCATGAAATAGGCATCTACACTATAGGAAGATGAAATAGAATTGAGATAAGCTATTGGATGATGGATCCAAATGAATTACCTACAAATGAATATTCAAGGACAGAGTGAAATACTAAGGTAAATCTGTCATCTTTGAGTGACATCACTTTGGCCACTGGATGTCACGCAAAAATTCCACACCCAAATCCTGGCTTATGCATTCAGATGTTTAAGAGCTGCTTCACTAATTTACTGATGAACACTTTGTCATATGTAATTGGATATAACATATCACCTCCTTGGTTCGTTGGGAGGACTAAATGAAAGCACTCATATGGAAATATAATGTTTGGATACATAAATGAATTTTGCTTTATTATTTTAACTTAGCCAGTGGTTCTCAAAATGTGGTCCAGAGACCCTCAAGTATCCTTGAAACACTTTTAGTGAGCTCACGAGGTCAAAACTATTTTCACCGCAATACCAGCATGTTATGGTTCTTTTTCAGACTCATTCTCTCCTGTAAGTGGAGCTTTTCTGAGGTTGCATGATGTATGATATCTGCAACGGACTCAAGGAAGAAGCAGGTATGAGAATCCAGCTGTCTCATATTAAGCCAGAGATAGAAGAGATTTACAAAACTCTAAAACCAATGTTGCTCTTAGCATTTTTTTAAATGTTATTTTTTCATAAAAATATGTTAAACTATTTCTGTAACTCTTTACCTATTAATTTATTTTAAAATAATAATAACCCATGAATCCCACTGCAACAGGATTATTGCTGTTGTTTTAAAATAAATTAATAAGTACAGATTTTTTAAGTTTCTCAGTTTTTATTTCTAATAATATTCATAGATAAAGCCGTATGCACACAAGTTTTTTGGAGTCCTCAATTTTTAAAAGGCTACGGAGTTTTGAGACCAAAATGACTGAAAACTACTGACTACATTAACGTTTAGGAGACATTGTTGATTCTGTGCTGCCTACTCCCAGTGCAATAAAAGTAATTTGTAATTAATCCTTAGTAATTCTGACAAGAAAATGCCAACAGCAATGATGTGAAGGCATCCTGCTGCTTTTAAAGGAAGCAAGACTTAATATGCAGAGAGTTAAGAGCTATTTCACAAAAATAATTACATCTGGGTTCACTTTAACCCAAGGGCATGGATTGCAAAATGTAATTAGAGCACATTTTCTCAAATATTAATTGCTATTTCTTTAATAGAGGAAAATCATAATAGAAAAAAATAAAAAAGGAACTCCACCTCTCGGAATTTCACTATGCCAGGCTTCTGGCCAAGGGCATGTGATGGCTTCTTTTCAGCAGTCTTGAAGGGGTCTCCTCACAAGCAAAGCAATGCAATCTGCATTGTGATCCTGATTCTGCTATCAGCTTGCTGCTCTCCCTGGGTTCCATTTTCCTCATGGAGGTAGGGAGAGAGTATCTCTTGGGTCCTTCCTTGAGAGACTCATCTGTATTGAGACATCTGAAACAGAATGAGGAGCGGATAAAGAGGGCATTTAGGAAGCCAATGCAGTGATGGCCAAGACCAAGACTTTGGATTTAGTCAAAGAGAGGCCCATAGGAGCCCAAGGAGAGATTGTAGGAAATCTTGCATCCAAAATTCCAGGAGGGATTAAGGGAAAGTAGTGGGTATGTATAAGGAGCAAAGTAGGAGTTTACTTGAGAAGAAGAAGCTGTCACATAGTTGATGAGAGCAGGCAATCCCTGAGTAGCACATGGCCACTTCCAAATCCAGCAAGGACATTGGGGAGGTCCCCTTGCTGGCTTATGTCTAAGCTTGACATGTCATCCTACAGGAAACACATACAGTCTGGCTCCACTTTCTGACAGTACGGTAACTTCTTTTGTTAGGTTATGGACTGGAATCTGTTTATAGGCAAAAATCTTAAAAGGAAGAAACATATGCCAAATGTTGGTCTCAGTCTTGCGACACATTCTTGTGTTTATGGCATCATCCAGTGACTCAGCGTTGCTTTTTGGATAGGGTACAAATGCTTCATGGTCTCTTTCCTGCTGTCTTTGCAAGTTTGCTCCTGAGGGCTTCTGCAGGCACACTCTCCCCTTCAGCTGATCGTAACGACTTCAGATCCTTTAAGTCCCAACGGAGCTCGCTCTCACACCCAAGCCTTTGCACATGCTGGTCCTTCTACCTGGAGGCCCATTCCCCTAAACTGGCTGACTGGCTAGCTTTCAAGTTCTCAGTTTAAATGTCATCTTCTTAGAACCACCTTCCCTGCAGACTAAAGTAAGCTTATAGTTTATCTACCTCCATTATTCTCTCTCATGGTACCTCGTTTTAGGGCTTCATAATACCTATCATATTTTATAATTTTTGAGATTGAGTATTTTTGGAAATTAACTGCCACTTTATCAAGTTAAAAAACATGCTGAAGGTTTATAATGAAAACAGCAGTGCTCTGCCTATGAATCTCTACCTCACTTGGTCCTGCTCTCCAGAGAAATCACTTGGAACTGTGCTAGCTGTCTCTTCTAATACATGCCTCAGTATTTCTAGCAAATATGCTTATATTGTTATATATTGATTTATTAATATTAGACTTCTACTGATTTTCTGCTATAAAAGGAAAATTTAGATCTTCTATACATCTCTTCATTTCTCCTCTTGCTTTAATATTCATTTCACAATTTTTGGATAAATCCAAATCATTGTTTATGTTTTTATGATTATACAAAAATTATTTGCAGAGTCCAAGTAGTATACTAGGATCATATATTTTCTTGTCCAACTTTATTCTTCCTAAAATTGCCTGTTTACCTCCAGTTGGTGTTGTTTGTTCTACATTTATTTTTATCTTTTTTTCACCCATTCCATCAGATCACTAATTAGTTTTTCCTTTTAAATCAGGCGTTGGCAAACTCTTTCTATAAAAGATCATATAGTAAATATTTTTAGACTTTTTGGTCCAGACAGCCTCTGTTGCAACTACTCAACTCAGCTGTTAAAGTCATGGGCAATATGCAACTGAGCTGCAGACAATATGTAAATGAAGGGGGGCAGCTGGCCATGTTCCAAAAAACCTTTATTTACAAAAGCAGGTGGTAGGCAGGATTTGGTCCACGGACTGCAGTTTGTCAACTCCTAATCAAAATGATAAAATAGACCAGATATTATTTTTTTGTAATGCTTTACTTTCCCAAAGCCCTGTCCTAGAGCCCCCTTGCCTGCGTTGCTATCTGTACTGCTGGTTCTCTTTGTGTCCTACCCTGCTGGCATCCTGGAACTTCCCCCCACTGTTTTCCTGTTTTAGACCCCTTGTTTTTTGGACCTCCGCACTTCCTCTTTCTTGTTTCATTCCTTGGTTTAGCTGGAGGATATTCTCAAGTAACCTCCTAAAAAAGAGGGTGTAAAAGGGAGGTAAATTTTCCGAGTCTTTCTATGTCTGGAAATGTCTATATGTTCCTCTTATGTCTTTTGATAGCTTAGCTAAGTAATGTATTCCAGATAAAATATTTTGTCAGAATTTTGAAGGCTTTCTTCAGTTATTTTCTGACTTCTAGCATTTCTGGCAGATGACTGATTGCCATTCTGATTCCTGTTTGTATATGATCTTGATCTTCTTCTCTCCTTGCCCTCAACCCTTTGTCTGAGAGGTTTTAGGAACATGTCTTTATCCCTGGAGTTCTGAAATGCATGATCATGTACCCTGGCGTGATCATTTTCAATCTCATGTCTCACTTGTGTCCCAGTCTGTGTCTGATGTACGTGAGTCTGGAATTTCTTCAAAAGATTTCTCCAGATGCTAGCTTTCCTATCTTCTGTCTGTGGGGTTGCCATCAGGCTCTGTGGGGCCAAGGGAGGGAATCTACCAATTTAACTCTTCCTGCATTCAAATGTGCGGCCTCATATCTTGCTCCTTGCCTCTGTGGGCATCAGGTCTCTAAGAGCCACACTTTGCAGGTATGTGTAGGGTTCATGAGAATGATTATGTTCAACATTCTCCTCTCCAGGCTTGTTAAGTTGAAGTTTTCTCAACTTTTCAACAAAGTTGATTATTACTCATGTATCTATTCCCTGTCTTTCAAAATTTGATTAAAATTTGTTGTTCATTTATACCTTAAAATAATTTTTGGTTCATTTTATTGGGAGAAGAAAAAGATATAACTGCTTATGACCTATCTGTTGTGTTTAACCAAAGTTCACAATTTGTCTCTATGTATGTGTTTTTTCTTTTTTTTGAAATGAAGTCTCACTCTGTCACCCTGGCTGGAGTGCGGTAGTGCAATCTTGGCTCACTGCAACATCCAGTTCCCAGGTTCAAGCAGTTCTCATGCCTTAACCTCCCAAGTAGCTGAGACTACAGGCACCCACCACCACACCTGAATAATTTTTGTATTTTTAGTAGAAACGGGACTTTGCCATGTTGGCCAGGCTGTCTCGAACTCCTAACCTCAAGTAATCTGGCCTGCCTTGGCCTCCCAGAATGCTGGGATTACAGGCATGAGCAACCACACCCAGCCTATGTATGTGTTTAGTGGTCTAAAGCCTGTCTGCTTTCCTGCTAGGAAGAGGCTGTGTCTGTTTATTCACCCACTGTATCCATCACACCTGGCTCCAAGTGGGTATTCTACACATATTTGACAAATGAGGGACTACATATTGAGTGAAATGGTTTGAGGAAGAGGCCTCAGGTGGGAGCCCAAGGAGACGATGCTGGGAGACACTGATCCTGTTTTATGAAGAGCCTTGAGTACTCAGGGCAAGGAGAGTGAATTTTTTCCTGGTTGGGAGCTTGTTAGTATTTTTTCAGTGGTGGGAGAGGTGGTGATGGTAGGGTATTTTGATCAAAGCAATTTCAGAAATAACTTTTCTGGTTGTGGTATGAAGGCTAGTTTGAAAAGGGTACACATGTAGGAAATAAGATGCTATGAACCGACGAGAGCTTTTGAGAAAGGAAGAGTGGGACTGCAGAAAGTTTAGAGAAGAAAAATCAATAGGACTTTGGTTCTGATTTAATATAGGAGGTTAAAGGTGATTCTCAAAAACGCTTCCATCCAGGCATGGTGGCTGACACCTGTACTCCCAGCTCTTTGGGAGGCCAAGGTGGGCAGATTGCCTGAGCCCAGGAGTTAGAGACCAGCCTGGGCAACATGGTGAAATCCTATCTCTACAAAAAATACTGGTTAAGGACATGGTGGCAGGTGCCTGCAGTCCCAGCTACTTGGGAGGCTGAGGTGGCAAAGTCACTTGAGCCTGGGGAGGTGGAGGCTGCAGTGAGCAGTGATCACACCACTGCACTCCAGCCTGGACAGCAGAGTGAAACCCCATCTCAAAAGCAAAATAGAACAAAACATGATGGTTGTCTTAGCAGAAA
This sequence comes from Homo sapiens, assembly GCF_000001405.40. Classification (NCBI taxonomy): domain Eukaryota; kingdom Metazoa; phylum Chordata; class Mammalia; order Primates; family Hominidae; genus Homo; species Homo sapiens. The sequence continues at coordinate 114,957,495 of NC_000009.12, forward strand.
GAAAGAATATGAAAGATTTTGGGGGGATGGGGAAGAATAGATAATGGTTTTCATTTGTCATACTTGAGGCAATAAAGGAACGTCCAAGTGGAAATGTTTAGCAGGCAGTTGGCTATATTAGAGGTGGGAAATGAAAACAGGTTAGAGAGTTGTTCTCGCAGAGTAATTCAAGAAGAGAATGACATGAAGAAAGATGATTACTTGCTTAAGGTCATAAAACTGATAATTGGCAGGGCCCACACTGGAAGTCAGATCTGGCTAAACTCATGCCTCATGTTCAACCACAATAGTGTTCTGACTCTACAACTTTGTTGAGATGCAGCCAGAAGAACAGAGACTTAGCACTGGCCTTGGGGAATACTCACATTTAACAAGGCAAATGACTTCTTAAGAATGAAGGTGCAAAATGCAATCGAAAGCTAATGAGGTATGAGGGGAGAATACTGATGCTCCAAGAATGCCCTAAAATCTGGACAGGAGGGTAGGAACTGGTACCTTGGGCCAGGCAGCTTGGCTAGGCCCATTTGGCTTTAGCGAGGGCTGAAGTCTCCCACAGGCGCCTCCTGCTTTCACTCTGAGGACTTCTCCAAGACCATCAGTTGCACTTTCTTTTCATACACTTTCCATTCTGCCCACTGCTATGGTTCAAGCCAGAGAAAACTGTGGCCAAGTAGCAATTCTGAGAACATAAGCACGGCTGACATCCTGCCTGGTTTCTTCCACTCTTGCTCAGCCCAGAGCAGCCTGAGAGAATTTTGGTGAAGTGGTGTTTGGGGATTTTCAGAAGTGCCCTTGCAGGGAAGGGCTCCTGGGCTCTTCTCTGCCCTAGACCCCCTCCCTGTCGCATGCCTTCGGGTTCATGGCATGGGCTGGGGGAGGAAGAGGAAGCAGATGCCATGAGAGTGGGGGCGTGGGCATGTAGGTTGTGAAACAATATGAGAAACCTCCAGAGCCAGCAAAGAAAGTTTTATTTTTGGAATTTGGAATTCAAAGTTTTTCACACTCAACATTTCTGTGACTAGCAGGTGAGATAAAAATCTATGTCATTCCACTGGTTTTCACCTTTGTTTTAAATTATCTGATTTTAAACAGAAATTATTATCAGTCTGATATTGTTTCCTTTTCTAAAATGTGGTTTAATTTCGTAAAGAGCCGAGTAGGACGGCAGAGCTGAATCATAGGAAATGTCAGCATGCAAGCTCTACACCCATGATTACAAAACGGTGTTCTAGTAACCTTGGTGCTCTCCTTGAAAAAGCGTTCCTTAATCCTAGGTTTTTGTTTTCAACTAGGCAAATTTTCTCTTTGTTTGTTCTACCATATGATGTCTTTAATTTCATGCGAGAGAACTAATCATGGATCCTGAGTTTGAATCCTACTTTCTCCTCTTCCTTCCTGGGTAACAGTGGGACAGTTACATAACCTCTGAGCCTTAGTTGTCTCCCTATAAATGCAAATAAGAAGATGGACGACACACACACACACACACACACACACACACACACAGACACACACACACAACTGGCACTTAGTAGGTGCTGAAATCTTCTTACTTCCTATCATTGAACAAGATTGGATAATTTTTTTTTTCTTTTGGCGGTCACTGACTCACCAAAGAAAAAAGAAAAAATATCAATTTACTGTATGTTGTTAAATCAGGAGAGACAATTGTGGGTGTTTGTGTTTTGGATCTTATTTTTAGACATTACAAAAATGTTCCATGCACTGGATTTTGAAATTAAGAATGAGGAAACATTATTTATATCTGAATCATAAATTACAACAAACGAAAATATTACACGTATGATTTCAGTTCTATATTACAGGTATTTAAAGGGAAGGGAGAGAGGGAAAAGGAAGGGAAGGAAAAAAGGGGAGGTAGCAAACATACAAAATTGGCAGAGATATGAAAGACATGGCAAAGGTAAGAGACAGTGGATGTAGGTGCCATTGTTTGCAGATAAATATTTTTGGTTTTCCCCTAATTAATACTTGATCTATGGGTGCTAGAGTTATGTATTTGCTGCTGTAACTTCTCTTTGAAACCCATCTATTCATCCATTCATTTATCTGCCCCCCTTTCATTACTGTTTGATTTAATAAACAACTACTCAATATATCCTTTGTGTTTGGCCCTTTCCTAGGTGCTAGCAAGGCAAGAAATCAAGCCAACCTTGCTTTCCCAGAGCTCATAGTCTTGCAGGAGAGACAGACAAGTAAACAAATAGCAGCAGAGAATAATAAGTGACTGACTTGGATTTGGGGTGGTGGAAAGTCTTCATAGAGGAGGCAATTCTATGCTAAGACAGTGTGGTGGGTAGTTAAGAGCACGGATGTTACAGGCAGATAGATATGGGTTTAATCCTGATTTACTAGTTGTGTGGCCTTGGTCAAGCTGTTTAACCTGAGTCCTCACTTCGTATTTAAAAGGAGGATAAAACACAGAAACATAAAGTTTAGGCAAATTGTGAATAATACACATAAAAGCTTTGTATGTTGCTAGGCACATGATAGACCCTAAAATTGAAACCATGATTTTCATTTCAAGGTACGGGATCTTTAGTTTATTAGAGTCTTAGAGGCACTCTGGGAAAGTTGGATGGGGTTGAGAGAACGTGTCTCTGTGGAAAAAAATGGGTTATGTACTATTACTGACTTTTCAACATTTCTGTTGAAACTTTTTGAAAACTTTTCTGAATCACAGTAGCTTAAGTATCAATGTTGAAACTTTGCTTTGGGGTGCATTCCCCTCTGTATTTCCTAAGGTTGGAAGAAATCAAACCAAGGGTGGGCGATTGACTATCTTTATCGTAGATTACCTCTTGGTTAAAAGACCCTAAAGCATTAACTCCTGAGATTAACTCTAAAGCATTAACTTCCAAAGCTCTTTGGAAGGCCATCAGCAACACCTGCAGTGCAAAGCTGTTGTCAAGCCTGTAATTATGAGTAGCACCAAGGGTACCAAATGGTGACGATATTCTAGATCTGGTTTCACTCTCTTAGCACAGACACTCATATACAGGATGTAGAGAAAGCAAGTAAAACCCTAAGATTAAAATAGAAATGGAAAGTAATCATTTTTTAACAAAGACCACTCTGAAGTTAGCTGTTTCTTCCACAGGAATAACATTAATCACTAGGGGATAGAAGTGTAATTCATATCAACTCATTGGCTCTCCAGTTTATAGTTGTTTCTTCTCATGTAATGGCCCCTGTAACGCAGTGGCCAGATTTCCTCGTTGTCCTTGTGCCCATGGCCACAGTTGATTCTAAGGCAGTTGTTCTCAAACAGGAGTGTGCATCAGAATCTCCTTGTTACAATAGAGTTCTGGATCCCATCACCAGTGTGTCTGACGCAGCAGGTCTAGGGTGGAGCTTGAGAAGTTTCATTTCAATAAGTTCCCAGGTAATGCTGATGCTGCTTATCTAGGGAGTGAGCCTTGAGAACCACTGACCTAGGAGAAGGTAACTGAGCTCTCTGTGTTCTTCCAGTGCACCCACCACCTTCCATCCTCATTCCAACCCCACTTTTCACATGTTTTCCAGGTATATTTTCCATTGGTTACAAATACAATAATTTTAATAAGTACTGGAGGGGAGCTTGTCTACAGCCTGGAGAAGAAAGGGAATCAAAGTGTGAGGGGAACATCAAGGTGTTCTCTAACATCAGAAATCTGTGTGTCAAAACAAGAATAGGAGGTAGATCTTTTCAACCTGCCAATTTTCCCTCCCTCAAAGGAAGACATTTTTAACAATTTTTAAATGTCTGAAAATAGGCAGCTTTTGGTTAAAGATGATATATTAAACAAATTCATTTATCCTTGCACCTTCTTAAATAACAACACAATGCTAGCAGCTAAACTTTTGGCATAGTGTGCAGCATAAACCCTCAAGGACAAAAAGAAGGGTAGAAGGGATGATAAGAATATTGAAAATAAGAAAGCAGATAGGCAACTGTTCCAACTGGCTTCTGTAGACCTGGGAATTCTGAGCTGTAAGCAGCAGAAGCTGGAGAGCGAGGGGATTTGCACACCAGAGCCCCAGAAAAGTTCTGGATTCTGGAACTTCTGAATGAGGTAAAATTGGGCCTAAAAGGAGGAGTGACTGAGAATCTGTATAAAGAGCAAGAGAACTTCTAGGTCCACCCTACCCACTACATCAGGTGATGTCTTCTCCTTTGCCCTGGCATGTAGCTGGAGGTTTACTCTCAGAAGGCAGTGAATCAGAAGAGCTCTGGACTGGTGGACACCAGGCACAGTTGGAAGAAGGGGTACTTTATAGAAAATGGTTGGGGGATTAAATGAAAGTCAACTTATGGAAACTTTACACTTTAGTCTTCTTCCCAACTTGAGCTCCCAGAATGTTGGCCTCCAAGTGTATGCCTTCCAGATTAGTAGCATAATGCTGCGATTTTAGAAGGTACAATCTTCTAACAATCTGTAGCTATTTTCACAAAAAGATTGAGGGAGAATGGAAGGGGTTTGTGGTGCAAGAGAGGCCTGCAGAGGATGTCCAAGCTGAGTTTAAAGTCAGCCATATTTACTGAGCAACTATTCTGTTCCAAATAACAAGCTGTGAGCTCAGATGATTCCCCAATAAGAAAGATTCAGTGTGCCCATCCCTCATTGAATTAGATGGGAAGGTTGGAGGAAGGAACAGTGCATACAGAGGGAGATGGTGGAGAAAAGACATGCTGAGTTTGTGGAACAACAAACAGTTCAGTATTGTTGGCATGGAAAGTATAGATGTGTAGGGAGTATGGGAGGGAGGGAGGGAGGCCTGAAAGATGCTGCTTTGCTTATGTCCCTCTCTTTCTTTGTATGTGTTCTGTCACAATGCATATTATTTTATATGCATCTATTTTGAATCTTCATAAATGTAATCCATTCTCATTTTTAACTTTTTTCATCAACGGCATTTTTTTTTTTTTTAGATGGAGTTTCACTCTTGTCACCCAGGCTGGAGTGCAGTGACACGTTCTTGGTTCACTGCAACATCTGCCTCCCGGGTTCAAGCGATTCTCCCACCTCAGCCTCCCCAGTAGCTGGGATTACAGGCGCCTATCGGGGGAACCCACCCCCAATATTTCAACGTAGGTTCTTTCTATTTTCCATAAGTGTCGGCTGGCTGAGAAATAAAGAGTAAGAGTACAAAGAGAGGAATTTTATAGCTGGGCCGCTGCGGGTGACATCACACATCAGTAGGACTGTGATGCCCACCTGAGCCTTAAACAAGCAAGTTTTTTATTAAGGGTTTTAAAAGGGGAGGGGGTGTAAGAACAGGGAGTAGATCACATGCTTCAAAGGGCAAAAAGCAGAACAAAGATCACATGCTTCTGAGGAAACAGGACAAAGGGTAAAAGGCAGAACTTCTGACAAGGGTCTAGGTTCAGTGGTGCGCATATTGTCTTGATAAACATCTTAATAGAAAACAGGATTCGAGAGCAGAGAATCGGTCTGACCAAAAGTTTACCAGGATGGAGTTTCCTAATCCTAGTAAGCCTGAGGGTACTGCAGGAGACCAGGGCGTATCTCAGTCCTTATCTAGACTGCATAGGACAGACATTCCCAGAGCGGCTGTTTATAGACCTCCCCCGAGGAATGAATTCCTTTCCCAGAGTATTAATATTAATATCCCTTGCTAGGAAAAGAATTTAGCGATATCTTCCCTACTTGCACATATGTTTACAGGCTCTCTGCAAGAAGAAAAATATGGCTCTTTTTGCCCAACCCCACAGTCAGTCAGACCTTATGGTTGTCTTCCCTTGTTCCCTAAAAATCATTGTTATTCTGTTCTTTTTCAAGGTGCACTGATTTCATATTGTTCAAACACACATGTTTTACAATCAATTTGTACAGTTAACACAATTATCATAGTGGTCCTGAGGTGACGTACATCCTCAGCTTATGAAGGTAACAGGATTAAGAGATTAAAGTAAGACAGGCATAAGAAATTATAAAAGTATTATTCAGGAACTGCTAAATGTCCACGAAATCTTCACAATTTATGTTCCTCTGCTGCGGCTCTAGCCGGTCCCTCCGTTCAGGGTCCCTGACTTCCTGCAACAGGTGTCTGCCACCAAGCTTGGCTAATTTTTTTTAAATTTTTGGTTAAATACAAAGAGATGGGCTTTTGTCATGTCAGCCAGGCTGGTCTTGAACTCCTGACCTCAATTGATCTGCTTGCCTTGGCCTCCCAAAGTGCTGGGATTACAGGTGTGAGCCCCCATGCCTGGCCAAGGGAAATCTTTTTTTTTAAAGATCCATTTGTGTTGCTATGAAAGTAATCTAAGCCATTTCTTTGAACTCATGCCTGATATTTTATGGTATTTTATGATGTGGCTTTACTGATTTTTACCTACTCATTCTTCCAGGCATGGTTGTCAAAGTTATTTTCCATCTCTCCCCTGACTCCCCAGCACTCGCTCCATAAAAAGAAATATAGCAATGAACATCCCCAGGAATGTCCTCTGATAAAACTATATGAGAATTCCTTGTGTTATATACCCTGGAGAAAGACTGCTGCTGTGTGCATATGGATTGAGGCTAAATATTGACAGTTTGTCCTCTAGGATGGCTGCCTTCTGGGTGGTCCACCATGGAAATGGTGGCCATGATATTCCCCATTGCTGCTAATCTAGTTTTTTTCACACAGTTTTAGATTTTTGGCTAGTGCAAATGTCATTTTCTCTGGGTCCAAAATATCATTTGCACTTCTCTAATTGCTAACGATTTTGAACACCTCTTCATAAACTTGTTAGCTTTTGAGGCTTTCTCATCTGTAAATTGACTGTTTATATCCTGTTACCATATTTCTATTAATATTGGGGCAGCTATCTATTTCTTCCTGATTTACAAAATTTTCTTATGTATTTTAGATATTAAGCACTTGTTGACTTTAGACCTTAAACATGTACTTTTTCAATCACTCATCTATTTGTTAACATTGTCTTCTTCAACTTTAATTATCTTCTTCATTAAACAAAAATCCTTAGTTACAATATAATCAAATTTGTCAATTTTTTATGGTTTGCGCTTTTGGAATTTTAGCTTTTGCATACCTAGGTTACAAAGACATTTTTCCATATTTTCTCCTACTAACTATAGTTTTAGCCTTCATATTTAGATTTTCAATTCTTTTAGAGTCCACCTTTTGCATGTGATGTTAGGTGGGGATTCAGATATATTTTTCTCCACATGGTAAGTGTATCAGTCAGACCTATTCAGAAAAATGCATGTCATTTTTAGTGTTTACAACAAAAGAAATTTAATGCAGGGACTTCGTTACGTGAATGATGGTAGATCTGGTGAGTTAACCAGGAGATGCTGAGGCAACCCAGACCTTAGCAACAGCAAGAAGCCACTATCACTCTTAGGCTTAATAGTAAAGAACAGGAGGAGCCAATGTTACTGGAACTTGGGACTACTTGGTAGAATTGGAATTCATGAAGGAGTTTTTGGAGGGAATGGGAATGAACAAAGGGATGCCACTGCTGCCATAAATGTCATCAAATGCATGAAAAGTAGGAGAGAGTACCCTGGATTATTTCTTCCTCTTTCTCTGCAGTCTTCTCCATTGCCTCCCGTTGGCCTCACTGGATGAAGGGCAGGTGACAAGAGAGACTAGGAATGTAGCCTGCAGCCTGCAGCCTGCAGCCTGTGATATAAAGCAGAGGAGGGCAAGAACTGTATTTGGGGTCAAACAGGTCCAGGGTCAGCACAGTGGGCTGATATTTCCCAACATCATCTGCTAGAAACTACTCTTTCCCATTGATGTATGGTGTCACCTTTGTTATATATTAAGCCTTCAAATGTACATGAAGTCTATTTAGAATCTATCTGTAAATATAGACTAGATTCTAAATAGACTTCATGTACATTTAAAGACTTAATATGTAGACTCTAAATTAGAGTCTATTTCTAAACTCTCTATTCTGTTTGATTTGTCTATTTATCTGTTCTCATGCCAATTCTATTTTCTTTTAATTACTATGGCTTTATAGCATGTCGTATCTAGTAGGGGAAATCCCCTTTCTTTACTCCTCTTTTTTTAAGTCGACTTAAATATTCATGGACCTTTATTCCTCTATGTAAGTTTTTAGAATATTTCCATTTTTCAGCTCTTCTGTATCTATTATTATTTTAAAGTTTTCCTCATGGAAGTCTTAGGTATGTGGCAGCAGAAGAAAAAAGAAGTATAAATAGTATACTGTCTCGGAAGTGAGAAGGGTCACTTTCACTCACATTTCTAGTCATAGTAAGGCACATAGTCACACTCAATTTCAAGAGGATGAGGAAGTGCAATGTTTCTGGTAGGAGAATTGGAAATCATTGGTGGAAAACATTAATAGTGACCAAAGTCTGCTATTCTGGTCAGCAAATATTTAGTTCACTGACCTTCTTACATGCAAAAGACAATCATGCCACCCCAAGACAGAGAGAAAACACAACAGTTCATACAGTCTCTGGAATCAGCTAAAAGTCCAAAGTAGACTAAGTGATGCTAGGTGGCCTCTTTACTAGATCTGGATGTGCCTTCTCTCACTCTGGTAATTTGTAAACTAAAAGGAGGGGTTTTCTATGCTCCCCTTCTCACATACCTAATATACAGAGACCACAAAACCAAAATAACTCTTCCCATTGGAAAGGAAAAAGAGGGGAGATACATAACTAGGTGTATTCTTAATGAAATGAAAACATATATCCAACAAAAGCAATTGTACATAAATGTTCCTAGCAGCATTTTCTATAATGGCCAAACATAATGTTAATGTTTAACAAATGTTAAAAACATTATATTATGCTAAGTGAAAGGAGCCAGTCACAAAGTACCACATATTGTATGAATCCATTTATATGAAATGTAAGGATAAATGGGTGAATTGTATGGTATGTGAATTATATTTCCATAAAGCTCTTAAGAAAACAAGCAGACAAAAACAAAACAAAACAAACAATTATTGGTCTACTGCAGTTTAAATGAGACATATTTGGCTGGAGCATGAGTGATTATATCAGAGCTGAAGACTGCCTTTCAATTGCAGGTCCTGCCTCAAGATGTAGCCACCGAGTCTCAGAAAAAGAAAAATGACCTTGAGACTTGAGACGGCATAACCTGGTGTTGAGTCTCTGTGTCATATATGCTCACTTATGGCCCCACGGACCACTGGGGTTATCTTGCCATTAAATCTCCCTGACTTCATTCACAAACCCCACCCTTAATTATTTCCTCTGCTGGGGATAATCTTCAGTTATAAGCACATGTTATTACTATTATTATATTTTATTTTATTAGATGAGTAAGAAGTGTTTTACTGTTGAAAAATTGGGGCTGAATGTGATGGCTCATGCCTGTAACCACAGCACTTCGGGAGGCCAAGGCGGGAGGATTGCTTGAAGCCAGGAGTTTGAGACAAGCCTGGGCAACATAGCAAGACCCTGTCTCTATAAAAATAAAAAAATAAAAAAAAAGAAAGAGAAAAATTGGAAAATACTCAAAATGACAACAAAATTATTAAAAATCACTTACAACTCTGCACCTAGAAATAACTACAGTAAATCTTTCAGGATGTATTTCAGTCTCTGAAACGGAAAGGCTAGGAAAATGTAAGCAACCTTATGACAAACAACACTCCCATTTTTACCCCAGTGTTCTGTATTAATCTCTCTTGTAGAACTTTCTACATTTTACTATAGTTATTTTTCAGGGATTAGTAGAACAGGAGTCAATTGACTTATGTTTTAGTTCCATCTTTGATTTGCCAAATCTCCTTTTTTTTTTTTGTTTGAGATGGAGTCTCCCTCTGTCACCAGGCTGGAGTGCAGCGGCACGATCTCGGCTCACTGCAACCTCTGCCTCCCAGGTTCAAGCGATTCTGCTACCTCAGCCTCCCAAGTAGCTGGTACTACAGGTGCACACCACCATGCCCAGTTAATTTTTGTATTTTTAGTAGAGACGGTGTTTTACCATGTTGGCCAGGATAGTTTCGATCTCTTGACCTCGTGATCTGCCTGCCTCAGCCTTTCAAAGTGCTGGGATTACAGGCGTGAGCCACTGCGCCCGGCCCAGCTTTTTTTTTTTTTTTGTAGAAAAAGAGAGAAGAAATTGAAAATTATGACAGTGGGTTTGGAGTTTCTCCTGTAAGTGATTGGGAGCCATTGAAGGATTACAAGTAGTTGAATAAATCAAAATAGTTTTTGAGAAGGAAGTTTCCCTGGAAGAATGATGCATGAGTGTAAGTGAATGAGAATAACATTTACAGGTATGCTATTGTACTAAACTTATTATTTATGATATTTTACTTGATCCTTTTGGTTCTATAGCATAGGGGTAATCATCCTAAGGACTAGGCTCTGGTTTTTTTTTTATCTTGCCCAAATTCCTATCTAAGGAGTCTGTGGAGTCATGCCCGACAAACCATAAATTCTCATCAGATGGGTTTTATTTAACCCTATATATCGTGACTGACTTTCCAATATGACTCTGGCATAACATTATGTGACAAAGAAGGAAGTAAACATATTTTACTTTGTTTGTTTGCCATTTTTTGAAATGGTCCTGCAAAGCTGTCCTTTGTAGGGGAAAATGTGCATCTGTAAAGAATCTCTATTAACATAGCCAGATATTTTTCTTCCAGGCCCTCCCAATCCTGAAGAGATTAAGTAAGACTCTAGCACCTTTTAAAGGTCTGAATAAAAAACATTTGTCATCTATTGTCTCTAAGGGCAGCTACTATATGACTTCAAAAGAACCTTGGTCTCCACAATCTTTTATCTTAACCTGAACATTTCCTTTCTTTTGATCCCAGGTCTTTAGACAAGCTCAACCAATTGTCAATCAGAAAATGTTTAAATTTACCTGTAGCCTGGAAGCCCCGCCTCCCCTGCCCTTTGATTTGTCTGTCCCACCTTTCTGAACCAAACCAATGTATTTCTGAAACGTATTTGATTGCTGTCTCATGCCTCCCTAAAATGTATAAAACCAAACTGCACCCTACCCACCTTGGGCACATATTCTCAGGACCTCCTGAGGGCTGTGTCATAGGCCGTGGTCACTCATATTTGGCTCAGAATAAATCTCTTCAAGTGTTTTACAGAGTTTGACTCTTTTCATCCACAATCCCCCAGTTAGAGATAAGAAATTTAAAACTTGGCTGGGTTAAGCAATGTGCTCAAGGACACACAGCTAATAAGTGTTATAGTAGGGAATTAAATCTAGCATGTCCAACTAACTGGTTTCTTTCTAGGCACAGAGGTTGGCTCAAGAGGTATTTCAGCAGTCTGGGTGGGCTCTGTTCCCATTGCATAATGAGAAATTATAATAGAATATTTAGCAAGCTGCATTGTTGAAACAGCAGATTGGTTGATGGCTGTCCCCAGGGGTTTTTCCCTATGACTCATATACAGTTGGGGAATCCTGAGGAAAGCTCAGCTTTTACTTCTTGAAATTTAAGGTCCTGACACTCTGAGGTGATTGCAGACAGAGATCTGAGTCGTTGACAACAAAGAGATTAAGGGAGGGACCTTGGGTAAATCCCTTTGTCCCTGGACCTCAGTTTTCTTAACCACAAACAATTAAATGATCTCTGAAGCTTTCTTTTGTTTTAAGACTCAAGGATAATACTGAGTGCCTAATGTAATGTGAAGTTCTATGTAGAGGCTTAATGATAGCGTTACTCATTTATAGGGATTAAACAGAATGTCCACAAAGAACTGGTTGAAAATAGGCTGCAAAAATGGTACAGAAGATATGTGTTCTTAGTTACTCAAGTTTTATGCATTCACTAGACTGTAAGATTCAGGTGGGGGTGGGCTGTATGCTTGTTCATCCTACATCTTAGGGGCCATCACTAGTGTCTTGTAGATAGGGAGCCAAACAATTTTGTTGAAAGAAAGAACAAATAATGCAGAAAGGCTGCTTGTCCCCGAGTATTTGTTCTCCACTTCTTCCTCAATAATGCACCACCTAGAATCACCTGGATACAGAAGCCCAGAACAAACTACATTTCCCAGACTTCCTTGCAGCTAGATGTGCTCAATTCTGACCAATGGGATGGAAATAGAATTAATGTTGACTTTTTTTTTTTCCAGGAAATCTTAGAGTGAGAGGACATAATTTTCTCCTTCCAATATCTCCTTCTGGCTGACTAAGATAAAATGGATAAATGGGTAAGATATTTGGAACTTGGATCATAAAATGGAGTTACATGTTGAGAATTGCAGTGCATTGAGAAGCATGGTGTCCAGGTTATCTGCCAATAGTCAAGCCTCTATGCAGGCTTTTAACTGTGTATGTTTACATAAGCATGAGAGACAGATATATTTCTATTTTGTTTAAAACACTCTTATTTTTGGTTTACAAATTGTTGTAGCTGAACTTAATACACGGGAACATTTTCAAAAGAGGGCTGGGCACAGTGGCTCACTCCTGTAATTCCAGCATTGGGAGGCAGAGTTGGGAGGATTGTTTGAGGCCAGGAGTTTGAGGCCAACTTGGGCAACATAGTGAAATCCAGTCTCTGTAAAAGACTTAAAAATTAGCTGGGCATGGTTGCATATGCCTGTAGACCCAGCTACTTGGGAGGCTGAAGAAGAAGGATCACTTGAGCCCAAGAGGTTGAGGCTGCAGTGAGCTATTATTTCACCACTGCATGCCAGCCAGGGTGACAGAGTGAAAAAGTCTCAAAAAAAAAAAAAAAAAAAAAAAAAAGAAAAGAGTACACAACTTTCATAATTTCATAATTTTTCTTTCAAGAACAGCTAATAAAAATATTTTGAGCTTGCTTACCATAAACTTCACAATCATGTATGGTAGATTTGATTTTGGGTGATGATCAGGGAGTGCCTACCTAGTTGGCCACTAGTTAATTTTTGTATAAATACAGGGTTTGCTTGATCAACAACTTGAATATTTTATACTAAGTATCTAAACTAATCCTTTTATTTTCACTGAAAACTGTTATATTTCCATTTTTTACATGAGGTTGTTAATATAAAACCAATTTGTTTTTGTGAATGAAGTGAGGAAAAGATCCATTTTTTTTTTGAAAAAAGAGATAGCTCATTATTCCAAACCACTTAATTTATAGCATTTATATACATATTTTTGCTGCTGATTTAAAATGTACATTTATCAAATGTTAGCTACTTATATCAACATTTATATTTGAAGGACAATGACTAGGAATTTTATGAATTTCATAAAAAATATAAATTCACAGATCCAAGATACTCAATAAACCTCAAGCTGAAATAACACAAAGAAAGCCACACAAAAAACCCATATTAATTAAATTCCTGAAAACAAGTGAAGAGAAAAACCTTAAAAATAGAAAAAATATGCATAAAGAAACAAATATACAAATTAATTTCCCCTCAGAAACTATGTATTTCAGAAGAATGGAAAAACATCTTTAAAATGCTGAAAGAAATTATAAACTTAAAATTGTATATCTGACCAAAACATTATTCAAAATTAAAGGCAAAATAATTTTTTTTTTCTGGAAAAAAAAAAAACCAGAAAATTTGTGGCTAGGAGACCTGCATAACAAGAAATGTTTTTTAAAAATTTAAGTCCTTAAATGGAAGAAAAATAAGTGATGAAAACTTGGATCTACACACAAAAATAAAAAGCTCCAGACATGGTAAATATAAAATACTTTTTTATTTGTTAAATTTATATAGTTCTTAAAAATAATTGATTGTTTAAAGCAAAAATCATACCAATGTATTGAGAATTTTAAGCTATGTAAGAATAAATTTTATAATAAAATAACTCACAGTATATTAGGAAGTGAATACTGTTGCAAGATTTTAAATTTATATGTGAAGTGATATAATGTTAATTGAAAGTAGACTGTGATAAAATTAAGATGCATGTTATGAACCTTAGTGAACAAAGAAATAAACAAAAAAGTATAGCTTATAAGTCAATAGTGGATTTAAAATAGAATGATAGAAAATATGCAATTAATCCAAAAGGAGGTAGGAAAGAAGAAAAAGGGGAAGAAAGAGCATATGGGATAAATTCAAAACACATAACAAAAAGATAAATTTAAACCCAATTATGTCAATAATTATATTGAGTATAAATAGTCTAAATGCTCCCATTAAAAGGCAGAGATTTCAGATTGGATAAAATGCAAGACCAACTATATGCTGCTTATAAGGAAACTATTTATAAATATACAGATAAGTTAAAATGAAAAGTACTGAAAAAGATACAATATGCATATACCAATCATAAGAAAGGTGGACTGGATATATTAATATCAGATAAAGTAGAATTCAAAGGAAGGAATATTATCAGGACTAAAGAGGGATACTTTATAATGATGTGAACATCAAGAAAACATAACCATCCTAATTTGTACCCAATTAACAGAGCTTTAAAATACATGAAACAAAAATGAACACAACTCGAAGAAGAATTAGACAAATTCACAATTATATTTGTAGTCTCCAACATTCCTTTTCAAGTAGTCGACAAAAAAAGACAGAAAATCACCAAATATAGAAGAATTGAACAATATCAACCAAATTAATCTAATTGACATTAATAATAGAACTCTCCACCCAACAACTGTAGAATTCACATTCTTCGAAGAGCTCATGAAACATTTACTAAGGTAGACTGTCCATTGGATCATGAAATAATTCTCAATAAATTTAAAAGAACTAAAATCAGGCAGTGTAAGAGCATATTATGTATCAACAGTAGAATTAAATTAGAAATGAAAAACAAAATGATAATACCCAAATTATCATTTTTTTGTCCAAAAAACGACACACTTCTAAACAATCCATGGGTCCAAAAAGATGACAGAAAGGAAACTAGAAAATATTTTGAACTGTAACTTAGAATTTTATCTATAAATGTTAACATTAGAAAAGAATTAAAAATTAAGCTTCTACCTTTAAGCACTGTGATAGCTGCTTCCCTCAAATTTTGATATGTTGTGTTTCATTATCATTTCATTCAAAATGCTTTCTAGTTTCAGTTGATATTGCATGTTTTGGGGAGTGACAGAGATCAATATCACCCTTAAAGACCTAAAGGACACAGGTTAGGTGGTCTCCATCATATCTGCATCAATTCATCAGGTGGTTCCCTATAAAATCCAGGTGGTTTCCGGAGAATGACACACAGTACTACAAACTCAGCATAGCAGGAAACTTTATTTCAGCTGTTTTACAAGATGTTGCATGTTTTATAGAATAAATTAACAAGGTCTGATATATGGCATGTAGCCACTGGTATGACAAACGTGTTCTTTTCCATTCCTGTTAGAAAAGGGAATGAAATGCAGTTTGTATTCACTTGGAACATACAGCAGTATATGTTTAGTCTTGCCCCAGGGCTATGTTAAATCTCTTGACCTCTGTCATAATGTAAGTCTGAGGAAATCTGAACCATCTGAACATTAGAAAAAATATCACACTGGTGTATTTATGATGTCGTGATAATTGGGCAATATAAGCAATAACTGTTAAGTACACTAGAGGGGCTGATTAGACATGCACTCCAGGGAATAGGAGATAAATCCTATGAGGACTCATAGGCCTACTACATCAAAAAAATTCTTAGAGGTCTAATTTATTGAGTATGCTCAGACATTCCCTCCAAAATGTAGTTAGAATGATTGCATCTCATACTTCCCACCACAAAGAAGGAAGCATATCTGCCCTCTTTGGGTTTTGGAGGCAGTATATTCCACACTGGGAATATTACTATTGACTGATACAAAAGGCTTCCGGGTTTGAGGGGAGCTTGCAGCTAGAAAGTGCTGTACAGCAGGTCTAGATTTTGGTGCAAAAGTCCCTGATGCTTGGACCATAAACTCCCACAACTATGCCATTTGCAATGGAGAATTACACTCCTAGAAAGACAGTTCCTGTTTTTCTACTTGGAAGCCCATGTAGAGATAGTACACATTACCGTGGGTCAAGTGACCTTGTGGCCAGCACTGCCATCATGAAATGAGGTCCTGATTTCTGTCAGACTCATCAAGTTATAAGGTTGTGTGGACCCAGTAGCAATCCATTGTAAGGCAGAAGTAGTAGTATGGGATAATAAGTACTAAGGCCTGAGTCTACCTACACATAAGCTACACAAACATGTGACTCAGATCCCCATGCCATGTACCTTCATTGCATTAGCATCTCTCCCTTAGTTTACACCTATGGATGCATAAGTGCAGGTGGATGGTGATGAGGAAGTCTCTTATGATAAGCTCAGGAAAGAAGTAAAAACCTCAGCTTGCTTTAATGATGGGTGGCTTGGTACACAGAAGCAAGCTAAGATGGACAACAACTGCATTATACCCTCACCCAGCAGAAACAGCAGTGAGAGAAAGCCCTCTCACTGTTTTGAGACAATGTCTCAATGTTTTGAGACGAAGTCCAATGCTCTGTCTCAGTTCTATTCAATGAAGCTGCCTACAGCTGAAAGAAACCAGAAGGAGCATGCTATGAAATCTGTTAATTTGAGTGTTCAGTGGAAGGTGATTGGGTGAAAGCAGACTTGATGGGATGACACGCTTCTGAGTTTAGGAGGGGCTTCTGAGCAGAGCCCCAAATGGTCCGGAGCTGTGGCTCAAGTCTGGCTGCTTGCTGCTCAGAGACCAAAGACATGAAGTGAGGTGTGGTGAAAGGAAAGGAGTTTTATTAACCAAATGCTAGCAGTTGAGGGATGGCCAGGCTCATGCCTTTGAAAGACCATTCCAACATTTTCAGCTGAGTGAAGGGGTTTAAGAAGGAAAAGGTGTTTCTAGGTATTTTATTTTCTTTGAAGCAATTGTGAATGGGAGTTCACTCATGATTTGGCTCTCTGTTTGTTTGTTATTGGTGTATAAGAATGCTTGTGATTTTGCACATTGATTTTGTATCCTGAGACTTTGCTGAAGTTGCTTATCAGCTTAAGGAGATTTTGGGCTGAGACAATGGGGTTTTCTAAATATACAATCATGTCATCTGCAAACAGGGACAATTTGACTTCCTCTTTTCCTAATTGAATACCCTTTATTTCTTTCTTCTGCCTGATTGCCCTGGCCAGAATTTCCAACACTGTGTTGAATAGGAGTGGTGAGAGAGGGCATCCCTGTCTTGTGCCAGTTTTCAAAGGAAACGCTTCCAGTTTTTGCCCATTCAGTATGATGTAGGCTGTGGGTTTGTCATAAATATCTCTTATTATTTTGAGATATGTCCCATCAATACCTAATTTATTGAGAGTTTTTAGCATGAAGGGCTGTTAAATTTTGTCAAAGGCCTTTTCTGCATCTATTGAGATAATCATGTGGTTTTTGTCTTTGGTTCTGTTTATATGCTGGATTATGTTTATTGATTTGCGTATGTTGAACTAGTCTTGCATCCCAGGGATGAAGCCCACTTGATCATGGTGGATAAGCTTTTTGATGTGCTGCTGGATTCGGTTTGCCAGTATTTTATTGAGGATTTTCGCATCGATGTTCATCAAGGATATTGGTCTAAAATTCTCTTTTTTGGTTGTGTCTCTGCCAGGCTTTGGTATCAGGATGATGCTGGCCTCATAAAATGAGTTAGGGAGGATTCCCTCTTTTTCTATTGATTGGAATATTTTCAGAGGTACCAGCTCCTCCTTGTATCTCTGGTAGAATTCAGCTGTGAATCTGTCTGGTCCTGGACTTTTTTTGGTTGGTAGGCTATAAATTATTGCCTCAATTTCAGAGCCTGTTATTGGTCTATTCAGAGATTCAACTTCTTCCTGGTTTAGTCTTGAAGGACTCTTCGAGGAGAACTACAAACCACTGCTCAATGAAATAAACGAGGACACAAACAAATGGAAGAACATTCCATGCTCATGGATAGGAAGAATCAATATCATGAAAACAGCCATATTGCCCAAGGTAATTTATAGATTCAATGCCATCCCCATCAAGCTACCGATGACTTTCTTCTCAGAATTGGAAAAAACTACTTTAAAGTTCATATGGAAGCAAAAAAGAGCCCGCATCGCCAAGTCAATCCTAAGCCAAAAGAACAAAGCTGGAGGCATCACGCTACCTGACTTCAAACTATACTACAAGCCTACAGTAACCAAAACAGCATGGTACTGGTACCAAAACAGAGATATAGACCAATGGAACAGAACACAGCCCTCAGAAATAATACCACACATCTACAACCATATGATCTTTGACAAACCTGACAAAAACAAGAAATGGGGAAAGGATTCCCTATTTAATAAATGGTTCTGGGAAAACTGGCTAGCCATATGTGGAAAGCTGAAACTGGATCCCTTCCTTACACCTTATACAAAAATTAATTCAAGATGGATTAAAGACTTAAATGTTAGACCTAAAACCATGAAAACCCTAGAAGAAAACCTAGGCAATACCATTCAGGACATAGGCATGGGCAAGGACTTCATGTCTAAAACACCAAAAGCAATGGCAACAAAAGCCAAAATTGACAAATGGGATCTAATTAAACTAACAAGCTTCTGCACAGCAAAAGAAACTACCATCAGAGTGAACAGGCAACCTACAGAACGGGAGAAAATTTTTGCAATCTACTCATCTGACAAAGGGCTAATATCCAGAATCTTCAAAGAACTCAAACAAACTTACAAGAAAAAAACAAACAACCCCATCAAAAATTGGGCAAAGGATATGAACAGACACTTTTCAAAAGAAGACATTTATGCAGCCAAAAGACACATGAAAAAATGCTCATCATCACTGGCCATCAGAGAAATGCAAATCAAAACCACAGTGAGATGCCATCTCACACCAGTTAGAATGGCAATCATTAAAAAGTCAGGAAACAACAGGTGCTGGAGAGGATGTGGAGAAATAGGAACACTACACTGTTGGTAGGACTGTAAACTCGTTCAACCATTGTGGAAGACAGTGTGGTGATTTCTCAAGGATCTAGAACCAGAAATACAATTTGACTCAGCCATCCCATTACTGGGTATATACCCAAAGGATTATAAATCATGCTGCTATAAAGACATTCACACGTATATTTATTGTGGCACTATTCACAATAGCAAAGACTTGGAGCCAACCCAAATGTCCATCAATGATAGACTGGATTAAGAAAATGTGGCACATATACGCCATGGAAGACTTTGCAGCCATAAAAAATGATGAGTTCATGTCCTTTGTAGGGCCATGGATGAAGCTGTAAACCATCATTCTCAGCACACTATTGCAAGGACAAAAAACCAAACACCACATGTTCTCACTCATAGGTGGGAATTGAACAATGAGAACAGTTGGACACAGGAAGGGGAACGTCACACTCCGGGGCCTGTCGTGGGGTGGGGGTAGGGGGGAGGGATAGCATTAGGAGATATACCTAATGTTAAATGACAAGTTAATGGGTGCAGCACACCAACATGGCACATGTATGCATATGTAACAAACCTGCACATTGTGCACATGTACCCTGGAACTTAAAGTATAATAATAAAAAAAAAAGAAGGAAAATGTGTGTGGAACATGCGGGAGTGGTGCACTAGGGTGCGGGTGCAGGTTTGCACATCTTGTTCCAATGGCTGTCTTCAGTAATTGCCCATCTGGAGGTCTGGTTTGAGTCACCCTGACTTCAGCCCGGTAGTGATGGGCTAAATGTTTGTAACTCCCCTTAAGCAGGAGGATTCTGTAGCTGGGTCTTTCTGCCTGGTTTGTTTCAAAATTGGCCTGTGGAATTTCTAAGCAAGAACAGAATTAGGTAAGTGAGTACTGTTCACGAATGTACCTGGTGGAAAAGGGAGAAACAAAGAGCTTCAAAATATGTTTCAAGGCTGAAAGCAAGATAGGAAAAAATTGGCTTTTGGGACTACTTGGGATAATTGGTTACAGAGTTACACTTAGAAAACTAAAGAATAGAATCTCCAAATAAAACCAAATAAGAACCAGAGAAGTACCTTAAAAAGATTAATGTCTATTAGGCAAGTAAATCCTAGTCTGGGGCTTAATCTGAAAGAGATCTTAATGGGTCTGAGCACATGTATTTCTGGGAATAGCCATAGCAGAATTGCTTGTGAGTTTGATGCAGTGGAAACGCCTTAAATGTCTAATAGGAAATTAAAAAATAAAGTATGACGCAGCTACAAAATAGAATATTATACAGTCAATAAAAACGATGATGGGTCATTTGTTCTTAATAATTTTTGGTTCATAGACACCCCCCCTCTTTTAGAGACAGGGTCTTGCTCTGTCACTCATGCTGGAATATAGTAGTGCAATCATAGCTCACTGAAACCTCGAATTCCTGGGCTTAAGAGATCTTCCCACCTCAGCCTCACCAGTAGCTAGGACTACAGGTGCACACCACCATGCCCAGCTAATTAAACTTTTTTTGTCATAGAGATGAGGTCTGGCTATACTTTCTAGGCTGGTCTCAAACTTCAGGTCTCAAGTGATCCTACTGCCTCGTGCTTACAAAGTTTTGGGATTACAGGCATGAGCCACTGCACCCGGCCACATAGAACCTTTTAAGGCTTCAAGAGCCATAGAACTTGTCCCCAGAAAAAGTTATGCACATACACATAAATGTCAGCTTACAATTTCAGAAGGTCCTTCAATTTACCTGAAGCCAATCCATGAGACACTACGCTAAGAATACCCATGTAAGATATATTTTTAATGACTTGGACAGGTGTTTGTGACAACATAATTTTTCCACAAAAATACAGTTTACAAAATGGCATGTATGGGATGATAGAATTTGATTAAAAATGTAAATATCTTTCTATCTATGCAGAAAATGAATCTGGAAGAATGTCAAAATGCCAGTAGTGTTATCTTTAAGGGTGAGATTTTTGGATGATATTTATTTTCTTCTTAAGCTCTATTTGTATTTTATAGGTTCTATAATAATTGTGCATTAATTTGTACAATAATTTTAAATAGTCAATTTTAAAAATCTGAGAAACAGTTGAAAAAAGTTGGCAGTTGTGAAAGTAGGGTGTACAGGACAGCTCAGAGCTGTGAGGACTCTGGAGGAAGCCAGGTGCAGGGCAGGTGTACCCAAGGGCCCTATAGGGTACACCTGTGGAGGTAGGTCTAGAGGTCTAGCTCGTCCTGATCTGAGCTACCCTGTCTCTGCTCCAGTAGGGGAATGAAATCTTGAACAATTAGTTAAGCACAATAATTTATCTCTTTGAGGTATGGTCCTTGGGGCTCTGCAGAGCTCTCTCTGGAACATGACATTGAATCCCACTTATCCGAGTGAGTTAGGAAATAGAAACATATCCAGGTAAAGAAGACAAGGATGGAGTCCATGCTACATAAAGACCAGTGGAAGGTACTAAGGGCTGGCCAGAGAAGAGATGACTACAGATGGGCAAGGTCATTGTTTTTGTGTGTTTGAGGACTGTCTTGGAGAAGAGGGGATACAGTCGTTGTGTAACAATCCAAACCAGTGTATCTTAGGCACTGTATTTTAGGCTGTGTTCTGAGAGCTGGAGAAATAGGTGATGCAGTTCTTCTGCAACAGAGGATTTAAGGAAGCATTCCAATGTGGTCTAGTGTGGGCTATAATGAAGATTTGGAGGAGGAGCTCTAGGAAAACAAAGGGGCAAGTGAACTACTCTGCCTGGGGAAGTTGCAGTACATTTTATGGTATAACAGAATTTTTCTAGTTTTAGAAAGGTGACAAAGAATTCTAGGCAGGGCAGAAACAGCAACGTATACAAAAGTGAGAGGCATGAAAAGGAGGTTACAAAGGGCAGAAGATGCAAACAAGGCTGGAGATTTGGTGGTCTCCAAAGTGTAAAGAGTCTTGAATTCCATGTTAAAACATTTGGACCTATGCTATGGACATATTCTATAGAAAGTATCCATCTTGTGATGGAACTAGGTCCAATGATAGAAGATACAGCAATTGCCTTGGGAGATAATGACTGTCCATCAAACAGAGGCCAGTAAGCCCTTTGATGGGTATAGACTGAAGAGAAACAACCACATAACAGGGCATTTGTCTGGACTTTGTGATCTCACCCACCCTCTGGGAAATGTCCCAGACTTAGCTTTTCAGGAGGTATATTTGTGTATTTCCCTCTGCGAAAGACAGAGCCTGGAGGTACTATATATTTTTGCTTTCTAAGTTAGAGAACTTTTTAATATCTTGACAGCTTATACCAGAATTCATCTGTGAAGTGTATCTAAGTCTGCTTGGGCTGTTGTCACAGAATATCACAGACTGGTAGCTCATAAACAACGAACAGTGATTTCTCACAGTTTTGGAGGCTAAGAAGCCCAGGATCAAGTTGCTGGAAGATTTGGTGTCTGGTGAGGGCCTGCTTCCTCATTCATGGACTGCTGTCTTCTCACTGCATCCTCACATGGTGGATGTAGCAAGGGAGTTCACTGGGGTCTCTTTTATAAGGACACTACTCTCATGCATGAGGGTTCTACCCTAACGATCTAATAATCACCTTCTAAAGGCCCTACATGCAAATACTATCACACTGCAGATTTGGGTTCAACATATGAATTTGGGGAGGGGGCACTAACATCTACTGACATTAGGATGTAGTAGAAGGAGTCCTTCTTATTTGAAAGATCATATGTGAAGCCTCTCTGAGTAGCAGGTAAGACCCCAAAGGGGTTGTCAGGAGTTCAAGCAAAAGGAAAGCTATAGCTAAGCTGTCCAACCTGAGAATATAAGAGGAGTTAAGAGATATATGGGGAATAGGAGAGGTCAGTGGTTTACAAGGGGATGAGAGAAGGAGGGACTAGAAAGATGGTCTATGGCTGAGGACTCCACAGGGTAAACAGAGGTAGAGCTTTACAACAATATGCATTGTTGTGCAAGTTGCCTTTGCTCAACTGGTTGGCTGAGGCAGCTGGCTGGGTTTGCAATTAAACCAGTGTCCTGATCCCTAAGTCGTATTTTCTGGGTCTGCACTTGAAGGAGGTGTCCCTATGGCCTAGTAGTGACCCTGGGAAGAGCATCTTATGGAATTGCCTTATGATAAGGTGGTTGTTATGGATTGAATATTTGTGTCCACCTCAAATTCACATATTGAAATACTAATTCCCAATGTGATGGTATTTGGTGGCGGGACCTTTGAGGGGTAGAGAAGGTTAGATGAGGTCATGAAGATGGGGCCCTTATGATGGGATGAGTGCCCTTATAAAATAAGGAGGGAACACAAGATCTCTGTCTGTCTCTGCATGTGAAGATACAATGAGAAAGTAGCTGTCTGCAAACCAGGAAGAGTGTCCTCATCAGATACCAGCTTTGCTGGTACCTTGATTTTGGACTTCCTAGCTTCCATAACTGTAAGAAAATGAGTGTTTGCTGTTTATGCCATCCAGTCTATAGTAATTTGCTATGGCAGCCCAAACTAAGACAGTGGCCAAAGGAGGGCTTCACAAGGGGGATGCCTAATGTCCAATTTGAAGTTGTTGTGATATAATAATCCTTTTTCTAGCTACTAAATAAATCTTCAAGTAAGTGCACTATACTTATTAGCTCTTTGTGCAAGATGAGTGTATGGGTGTGTAGAAATTGAAGAAAGGCGGGGTTTCTCGTCTGGATTGTAGCCATGTGGACAAAACAGCATTTGCAGAATCAGAAACCTAGATTTGGAGACATCAGAATACAAATCCCCCATGCTCCCGTCTCCCCTTTTTCTTTCCCAGAAATCTGCAGGCTTTGGTCTTCCATGAAGCATGGAGTTGATCGTTTGAGCCAGCCTTATCTGGATTTTAAAGGGCAGGGAGGTAGCAAGTGACATCAGGATTACATTTTATTGTTTTAGTGCCTCCAGCGAGATGTCATGAATAAGTTTATTTTATGACTGTGTGTCTCTCGCTTAAGTAAGCTAATATTGCATCATGGGTAGTTTACACAAATCATTGTTTTAAGGATGCAGTTCAAAACAAAAATATATGAGCAAACTGAAATTCTTATCTCTAAGATCCAAAGGATAATAGTTCATTTATGCATCACATCTTCTGGAATGTATTTTTATAGACTGTAAATTGGATAAGATAGCTGAGTGCAATGCATGGTAGGGAAGGATAAATAATAAGAAGCTTTAGGTTCAAGACCCAGCTCATGCTAAGTTGCTGTGTGAATTTAGGTAATTGTAGTCCTCTCTGATATATAATTATCCTGTAATGTTGGAGTGTTGAACAAAAACGACCTCCAGGATCTGTATTAATTAAGACTAAATTAGTTGTATTAAAGGAAGATGGAAACGTCCTTCTTCCTCATGTAGAGGTCTCAAGATAGGCTATAGGTGTCTCTACTCCAAGAAATCCTCCAGGGTCCAGGATCCTTTATATTTTTCCTAAAGCAGGAAAACATACAAAGCCAAGCAAAATATCTAATGATTAAATATGTAACCTGGAAGCTGCACATAGTACTTCAGCTCACATTCCCTTGGCCTTAAGTTTGTCACATGGGCTCACCCAATCTGCAAGGTAGATTAGGAAATACAGAAATAGAGTCTATATTCTTAGCTGATATACGTTGCCAGCTAAAAACTGGGGTTCCGTGATTCCGAGAGAAGAGGATAATGGGTATTGTAGAACAATTAGAAGTTTCTGCCACAGGTTCCTTCCAGAACTAACAGTTTAAGATTCTAGGTGTTGTCAACAGTTTTGATGATCAGATATCAAATTACTCTCCATCTTTAGGGCCCTTTCTGCTGGATGATGGTTGAGATGACTTGATCACAGAATTAGCAAGTAGTTTAGACCAGTGCTGTCCAATAGAAACATAATATAAGCCACACAGAAATTAAAAAAAAAAATTCTAGTAGCCACAGTAAATAAAGGAAAAAGGAGCAGCTAAAATGAATTTTAACAATTAATTTTATTTCATCTAATCATGTAAACACTATTAACAAGTTATTTTACATTTATTTTTTCATACTGAGTCCTTGAAGTTTATTTTGTAGTGTACATTACAGCACATCTCAACTTGAACTAGCTGCATTTTCAGTGTTCAGTAACTCCACATGTCTAGTGACCACCCTGTAAGACAGTAAATTTGTAGACTGTGTTGGCTAGAATGATAGCAACACAGTGTACACCATAAATTTTTCTATTATAAAGGGAATCCACTAGTTAATTAATTTAGATTTAACTCCATATTATAATATTCATTAATATGAAAGAGAGCATCATCTTTTCACCTGAGGCTTTTCTATGAATAAGTTAACTATGGACTATTCGCTTTCTGGATCATCAGATCCAGCTAGTCAAGTCAGATCATCTATCCAACTAGTCAAATTGGATAGAAGCTGTTGGAGTCCAGCTCTGCCACTTACCAGCTCTGTCATCAGAAGTAAGCTGCCTAACTCTTCTGAGCCCAATTTTCTTTATCTATGAAAATGTCACATGTTAAAGTATTTTTTATCTGTATTTTTTGGAAGCTGGACTCAGCAGAAATAGCACTGGATAAAGAATAAAGAATTTGGATTTTAGGTTCAACTTTCCCCTGGTTCTGTGAAACTAGCAGCATCTTCTCTTTAGATCTTACTTTTTCCATTTTGAAAGGTGGGGTGGTATGTTAGGTGCTTATCAATTCCTCTTCCCTCTTTTCAAATGGAATCATTTGACGTTATACTAAAAGGTTCAGATTTCTAGGATATCATTAGGGAGGTAATTGCTTTCTCAACTTTCAACTACTCTTAATAATTCCATAAAAGGGAGAATTGGAATCTGGAAGGCTGAGGCAGCCATAGTAGCACAATATTTCTGAATTGATGCATTCTTTGGAAGAAAGAGTGGGAAGGATCAGGTAGAAAAATCTTTTATGGTAGTGACTGGTCCCTTAGCATAAACATTGAAAAAAAAATCCCAAGGACCCTCTATCAATTCTGTTGGAAATGTATATTGGGGAGTCTTTCTGAAAACGGATTTGGCAACATATATCAAAAGATAGAAAACATATATGTCCTTTCATGTAACGATTTTATGTCTAAGAATTTAAGGAAACAACCTGATGTTCACAAAGATGTATTGATAAGTGTTCATTGCTCTACGGCTGACAACATCAGAAAATCAGAAACACTCTGCCTGCAAAAAATAAGGACTTAGTTAAAAAGTTATGGTACAGGCATACATGAAGATATTATTAAACCATTAAAAGCCATGTTTTCAAAAAATATTTAATGATGTAGGCAAATGCTTTACTACAGTATTGACCATAAAACATCACTAATAATATGATGTACTCAGTCATATGGTCGGTCCCAGACTTCTTTTTAAGTTGGCCCCTTCCCAGGGGGTCCCCTCATGGTTCCTAACTTTATTTCTTGCCCTCTGGTCCCTGTTTCTCCTTTCCCTCTTCAAATGTCCTCGGAGTGAAACTTCATTTTCTTACAGGTCAGAGTCTCTTACCTTGATTTTTTTGATATTTTAGCCTGGATAATTCTATGTTGCAGGGGTGGTGGTCTGTCCTGTGCTATGTAAGATGTTGAACAGCACTCCTAAGCTATGTGAATTAGATGTCAGAAGCACCTTTTCCCGGTGAAGATAACCAAAAATGTCCCCAGACATTGCCAAATGTTTTCTTGGGGCTCAGTCACTCCTCCACGCTGCTACTGAGTTTGGTGGTTGTTTAAATTTGGTGATCAGGGACTAGGAACCAAGGTCCAATATGACTTTACCATTTGTTCCAGAAAATTCTTGCCCAGGAAGATAAAGCTGTAAACCAGTAAATAACTTCATTGTTAACCTCAGGCACTTCATGAAAACCCATTTATTCTGCCCAGGCCAATTGGATGCTCATCTGGGTAGACATCATCTCTCTTAAGACAACAGGTTGCCCAGCTGGAAAAACCCTCTTGCTTTATCAAACATCCATTTACTTAGGAAGACTACCTCCAAGCCTCTAGCCTCTCAGTGTCCACCAATCCTAAGATATCAGATGACAAAACCTGCCTGCAACACTGGAATCCAGACCCCCAAACCCTGGACCTCCTCTTTCTAAGACAAACTAAAACTTGTTCAAGGCAGTACTCTCCCATATTTGGTCAGTAAAAACTGGTCTTTGCTGATAAACAGTGGTCTATCTGGGGAATTGGCAGTCCCCCAGAGCCTTTCCCCTTTATTTATTTATTTATTTATTTTTTTTTTTGAGATGGAGTCTTGCTCTTGTCACTCAGGCTGGAGTGCAATGGCATGATCTCGGCTCACTGCAACCTCCGCCTCCCGGGTTCAAGCAATTCTCCTGCCTCAGCCTCCCAAGTAACTGGGATTACAGGCGCCCGCCACCAAGCCCAGCTAAATTTTGTATTTTTAGTAGAGACAGGGTTTCACCATGCTAGCCAGGCTGGTCTTGAACTTCTGACCTTGAGATCTGCCTGCCTCCACTTCCCAAAGTGCTGGGATTGCAGGCGTGAGCTACCGCGCCCAACAGCCTTTCCACTTTTAAAGAAGGGAACACAATTATAAAGCCCTCAACCCATGATGCCCACAAAAACCAGGAAGAAATTTTGAAACAGCCACTTTTCTGCATCTAAGGCCACATAAGATTCCTAGGCATGGTGTCCCCACACTGCACTCCATAAGTAGAAAGGAAGCCGCATGAGGATTTGTGTTCCTCCTGCCCACGGAGTGTGAGCATGTGTGGAAGAGGGTTAGGACCACAAGCTTCATAAGCACAGGAAGAAGAAAAGCACAGAAACACACCCACGCAAATACACACATACATACATATATAAACATAGATATATACACACATACACATAAGGTGGAATTATGGGTGATTTCATTTTTATATTTTTCCATATTTAAAATTTTTTCTTAATGAACACGTCTTCCTGTTAATAATTACTCTTCTAATCTTAGATGAAATAATATGTTAATATAATCCTATCTTGGAATATATCGGGAGGTCCAGTATATTGGCTTTGAGGAAGTGCCAAAGAGGTGGAAGGCTGAGTCCTTGGGATCTTCCTTTTTTCTACACGGCTCGGGAGACTGGTAGCAAACTCCGCTACAGAGTTGGGAGTGTATCATTTGTACCAAGTGTTAATTTGAAGTGTGAAAGGAAAAGATTATAATTACCTGTCCTTTTAAACTTATGTTTTCTTTAATAATCTCATGGTTACTAAGAAATACACTCAGCAGTGAGATGGGATGGATAAGCTAAGGTGTATATGACAGGAAACGATGTCCAGGCAGCAAAATTAGTCGTGCAGTTGTATGCTCACAGGCATCGATGGATGTCTAAGCTGAGTAAGTCCTTGATACAATAGGTCAGTTTAGTGATGAACCCTCTGGGTTTCACCTTGACACTACCACATGCTAATTTTGTGACCATGAGCAAAATGCATCACCTTTTGACTGCAGTTTCTTCACCTGCAAAGGTAAGAGACTTGTACCTGCTCAGTGAACCCCATGAGTTTGTTACAAAGACCAAAAGAGATGATCCATATATACATGCTTAGGAAGTAGTTCAAATGCATGGCTTTATGGGAATACCTCTCAATTTTTCAAGCACCTCTCTGATATTAACATAGATTATGATAAACAGCCCACATCCAATTTAAATGCTGGGGCTGTTAAGCTCTATGGAGTGCTTGAGGCAGAGGTGTAGGTATTTGGGGATCTCCACCTTATCTTGGGGCACCCTGCCCTGGCATGGCACCAGAGACCTGGCTACAGGCCCCTAGCTTACAGCCTGGTTCCCCCAGGGCTGAGTGCAATACCTAGGAGGAATGTTTAGGAATGCCTGCCACAGCTGCCCACCATCTCTTATTAACATTTCATGCCTAGCGTGTAAAACTCAAATTGAATTTTCCAGGGTGGAGTCAAGGAATTAAAGGAATGAGGAGCAGCAGATAGACAGATAAGCACATCTCATGCTTCCATCCATTATTTATTTATTGGGTGCACACCATTTTCTAGTAAATATTATCTCGTTTACTAGATGTTATCTCATTTACTAATACTCAGAGAAACACAAGTGAAGGTCTATGTGATTGTAGCCATTTACAAGCTCCATGAATGTGACCTAGGTCACAGAGCTCATCAATAGCAGAGCAAGAATTCACACCCAACTGTGTAAATTCCATACTGCCTTACCCTATCTATCTGACATTTGGGATTTGTATATTCGCCACAGTGGAGTAGCACAACATTAAGTAGTAGATTTTCTACTCTATTCTTTATATCAACTACAGGTGGCCAGAGGGCAGAGGACAAAGGAGGCAAAAAGAAATGGGAATGTTAATATTTAGTGGTCTTATTCGTTCCCCCCAAGCAGAGTAAATTTATGCTTGACTATGCAAAGTGCTTAACTATGCAAAACATCATGGAAGTGAGTGACATTAATATCAATTACTTCCCAGGGATTAATGCTTTCTGTTGGTTTTCTCTGCAACTATCCACATTTTGTTTCCCCACAATGTCATAAAACAGTGTTAACTTAAGAATGCATGCATACCATTTCACAAAAGTAAGCAAACATTACCTGTACTCCTTATATAAGTTGGTCCCTCTCTGGGTATACCCCCTTGCTTTGTGTACCCCTGCCTGGTCTCCCGAAGTGACAGCTCTAATGCAATAATACATGATTCTGTCTTGGGCTCCTTTTGCCCCACTGCAAGCATCACCTACATTTATGTAACTCGAGGAGCCCACAGAAGTGTTTTTTTTCTAGGTGATGTCTTTTTTTTTATATGTATATATCTAAATAGAAGAATGGCTAACTTAAATTTTAAATTTATCTCAACAGATAACCTGTTTGATGTCTTGACAGGCACCCTACTATGAATATATTATATGTCATCATGGGGAAAAAAAAAAAGGTTGGGGTTTGAAGCCAGAGCAACTTGGACTTTGAAGTCTGGGTTGTAGTCATCACTTGTGACCAGGCCATTGTTCTCTCAGACAAGGATGTGTCTCTCCTTGCCTCCTGTTTCACCTTCACTTACCTAACCTCCACACTGCAGCCAGAGTGATTTGTCTAAATCATCCCTCTGTGTAACAGGCTTTAAAGTATTCCCCTTTTGTATATTCCAAGTTTTCTGGATTTGTCACCGGTGAGCAGTGACTATCTGGGCTGGTGGCATGGGGGTAAAAGAATTTACCAAGACAGCTGTAGATGAAGAAAGGCAGATTTATTAAAGAAAATATGAAAATAAGTTGCGAGTTTGCAACAGGCAGCTGGTAAGAGAGGAGCCGACTGCAAGAAAACAAAGGCTTGCTGGGGATTTTATAAAATGGTGTTCATGCTGTATGCTGAGGAGGGCTTTGTGCAGTGCTGATAACGCCAAGGTTGCAGTGAGCTAACTTGCAGGTGTCTGGTGATAAGTTAGGTGCAGGAGGGCTATATGTGCTGGACCATGGAGAGAGGTGGACTTATAGCTGATCTGCTTTCTTCTTTTTTCTTTCCCCTGGTCCCACCAGCCTGACTTCCTTTCCCTAATTAGGACTCCACAGTATTGACCATGCATTTCTTTTACATTTATAAAAAGGCTAAGCATGAGAATGGATAAGTAAAATGTGAGGGTACACCTTACAGCAGTTAAGATGAATGAAGTATGTCTTTATATGCAGTAGTGAAGGTACATCTCCAAATCATTGCAAGGACTGAGAAGAGCATGTTGCAGGTGGGTTACTAATATTCAATATATGTTCAGTTTTGGGCATACAAAAGAGTAAAATAAGACTCCAGGTTTAAAAGGTCCAGTAGATAGTATTCCCTTTACTTGCCAGAGTTCAAAACCATCTCACTCCGGGGTCCTCTGGTCTAACTCTCTGTGTACTCTCTTAAAGGGCCCTTAATGTGGATTGAGGTGAAAAAAGGGCATCCCCTCCTATGATGGGATGAGGATGAGGAAAAGCAGAGCACCCCAGAAAATTCTTTCTTTTAAAAGAGAAAGCCAGGCTGGATGTGCTGGCTCACGCCTGTAATCCCGGCACTTTGGGAAGCTGAGGCGGGTGGGTCACTTGAGGTCAGGAGTTCAAGACCAGCCTGGCCAACATGGCAAAACCCTGTCTCTACTAAAAATACAAAAATTAGCCGGTACAGGTGGTGCAGGCACCTGTAGTCCCAGCTCCTCCGAGTCTGAGGCAAGGGAATCACTTGAACCCGGGAGGTGGAGGTTGCAGTGAGCCGAGATCACGCCACTGCACTCCAGACTGGGCAACAGAGGGAGACTCCGTCTCAAATAAATAAATAAATAAAGCCAAACATACATAGGCACGATGGTAGACTTAGTTGTCATCCATTTTGCCATGTGCTTGTCACTGTGTCTCAGGTCTCTTGTCTCTTTATTCTCTGGAAGAATTAATTGTAAGCCATTTCATAAAGCTTTTAGATGGGTGATGGGGTTATGTTGACCACTCATCCTCATGTCTACCACAGGATTTCTGTGCTTCAGAATATCCAGTATTTGATAGGTACTGCTTTGTAAGTGGTCTTTAGGGTTTTTTTTGGCACAAACTCCCAGGTGGTAGGAGATGTGAACATGGTTTTACACTTCATTAAGCCCCCAGGTAGGCAATGATCAGGCCCCACTATCATTCATCCAGAGCATGGGTCTCTGGTGCTTAGCCCTGCACTGGGCACTAAGACATTCACAAAGCCAGGCTTCCGGCTTTGGGGTTTTCATCAATGGTTTAAATTACCTTCCTAGTCAGCTCTCTGCAACTGTCCCTTATGAAAAAGCTAAGCCTCAGTCACAGGGTGACTCACCAGGATTACACCACGTATTTCCCCACTTTGAGGCCTTTGCTACCTATGTCCCTCTGCTTGTGGTGACCTTTCTTCCACCAATGAACACATACTCACCCCGAAGGCCAGAACGCCTTTGCTGATTCCCATTGCACCTCTCCCATCTTGACCATCAAATCCTTCCTCTGTGCACTGCTAACCCTTCTCCAAGGTTGCCAGGTATTGGATGTTGCTGGGCGCATGTCTGACTCTCCCAGTAGACTGGGAGTTCAGTGAGGGCAGAGGCCTTGGCTTTTTTCATTTACGTATTTTCTGAGATGCAGTGACTATCACATGCTGGAAGGGATGACACTTGAGTCCGCCATTGTGCCATGAGCATACTTGGCTCTTGGTACCTATAATTGCCGTTCCCCTGCTCCTTCTTGGGGTCCTCTCTTATCAAAGAGAGCTCAATTCATTTCTGGATCCTAGAGGGTTCTCAGGAAGAGTGACTATGTAGATGTGGTGGAAAGAGAACCAGCTAAAGAGGCCTGGGTTTGCCTCTCTCCTCTCTCAGCTTCCTGGGCATGAGCAAGCCACTTTTCCCTCTCTGGGCCTCAGTCTCTGCCTCTCAGTGGGGACTGCCACTCCCAGCTCTGAACATGTAAGAATCAGTTGCTGTTTACTGTGCTTCTTTCAAGTCAACCTCCCCTGTCTTTCTGTCTCTGTCTCTCTCTTTCCCCTCTGTCCTTCCTCTTAGGTGCATCATAAACCAAGAGTTTACAGTAAAAGCACAGGAAGAGCTGAGTGATGTGTTCTCTTCAGGAAAGTACCTGGTCCCCCAGGGAGCTGGGGGCGCCTCCAGAGCCCCTGCCTCCCGAGCTGTGGCTCCTGAGGACTTTCAGTGTAGACCTGGCAACCCAACCTTAGCCTTTGATGTGGCTCTGACAGTGCTCAATGCACAAGCAGCTCAAATTCAGAACCGTGGAAAGGCTTGTTGCTTTCTGTCACTGACCCTGGAGACTGATCAGAGGTTAGGGTGATGGGGGGACAGCCTGGGGGTCTCTCAGGGGAGTGGCACAGAGCATGAATCTTGATAATCACACACACATGATCCCCAGACTTCAGGTAGGACCAGCTTCTTCTTTCACTCAATCTCTCCTAAAGAGGAAACCAGACCTGCCCTTGTAATCTTTGTGCATCCTGAGAAGCCATGCGATGCCCAGAGGAAGTCCCTGAAGGGCCATCATATTGAACAATCAGCCCTTGAATCTTCAAGGGTGTCTGTGTTCTTATAAAAAACTGAGAAATCCTAAATTTGTTTGTTCACATCTTGTTTTTCTTGGTAGAAATGATGGAGGATTCTGAAGATGTGGTTTCAACTCATGGCTTTCATTCATTCATTCATTCATTTTCTTGGCAAACATTGGAGGACCTATGTTATGCAAGGCACTGTGCTGGGCATCAGGAATACAAAGGCTTTATATAGGTAGGTTGGTAGATAGACAGGGATAGATAGATAGATCAGTGGAGACGGAGATATGGATCTAGTTTTAGATCTATATCTATATCTTGCAAGGCTTAGAGTCTGGTAGTAGATGCAGGCATCATACAAATAGTGACACAAATAACTGTGGTAACTTGCCAGAGGGAAAATGATGGTGAGCCATGAACCTATAAAATGAAGGAATCCTGATTTATCCTGGGAATTAGGCAAGGTTTCCTGCATAGGGCCATTTGAGCTGAGTATCAATGGAAGGAGACCCCCAAACCTCCTGCTACCAACACTCATCAAACTAATTGTAATGTGGGTCCTGGAATTAGGCTGCTTGAGTTTCAGTGTCTCTACTAAAAAGTAAATAATTTTACAAAGTCATTGAGGACTTAGTCTCCCTCCTTTTACAAAGTCATCCAACCCCAACCCTAGAGTATATCCTTCAGCCTCAGGTCATAAGATGGGTGCTGCTCCTCCAGCCATCACAATTATTTTCCGGTGCAAAGAAGGGCAGGACCAAAAGCCAGAGGGGACATTTCGTTTCAGAGAAGTTAACCATGACCTCTACTCATTGAATATTACCTACAACTCACCGGGCAGAACTGGATCTTACAACTACTTCTATTTTCAAGGATGTTGGCGTGTGCACGTGCATGTTTTGTGTGCGTGTGTGTGTGTGTGTGTGTGCAGGGTTGGTAGGAGGAATTTTAAATCGAGTATTTTGCCTTTTTGAACCAAATCAGAGGAGACTGGGTGGAAACCAGCTCTGTCTGCCAAGGCTCTAGTTGACATTTATTTCCTTCATTTCCTTTTCATCACCTTTATCTTTTTCCTGCTCTTGGCAACACCGACTGAAATTACTTTTGGGAAATGAACGTGCTCCCAGATGGAAATTCCTGATGGTTTACCTTCTCAAACCCAAAGAATGAACCTTCAGGATTTTGAATCCTAAGCAGAAGAGACAAAGCTAGCAAAACAGTGGGAGTACATTCATTTCAAGGAATGGTCAGAATTATGCCTTCATTTTCTGCTTCTTAGAACCCTGGAACTGCTTGATTCCTGTTCTTTTCAGACGCAGACTCTGTGTTTTTTGTTTGTTTGTTTGTTTTTTTGTTTTTGTTTTTTTGGTTTTTTTTTTTTTGAGCTTTCTTTCAGATCCAAGGAGCTGAAGCCTCTGCTCCCTCTTCCTAGATGCCTCCAGTCAGAAGTACCTTCTTTACCCCTGAGCACCCAGCTCTTCACTCAAAGCTCAACCTGGTGCTCAGGTCGGTTGGCTTTTCCCTTTTCCGTGGTCGCCTATGAGTCTGTCCCCCCGTCCCACCCCCATCTAGTAGACTGTAAGATCCTTGAAAGCAGAGGCTGGGTCTAATTCATTTTAAAGTCTCTAGCAACTAGTATGGTGATTAGCACATGTGGTTTCTAAATACATGTTTATTGTTGTTGGTTTTGGCAGGCCCAGCAGGGTGCTGGCACTATTATAAGACAGAAAAGCAGAAGCGGGTCTTGGCCGTGGAGGGGCTCCTGACCATGTCTCTAGACCTCTTAGAATCCTACTAGCTGATGGAGTTAGTGACTTCTTATTTTTCAGGAAGTTTTGACTCCTGGAGCCACCTTTCCCTCTATATTACAACAAATGCTGCTGCTGCGTTCTTCTTCTTCTTCTTCCTCCTCCTCCTCCTCCCCCCCTTCCTCCTCTTCTCCTCTCCTCTTCTTCCTCTGCCTCTTCTTTTTTATTTTCTCTCTTTTTTTTTTTTTGAGATGGAGTTTCACTCTTGTTGCCCAGGCTGGAGTGCAATGATGTGATCTCGGCTCACTGCGACTTCCATCCGCCTCCCAGGTTCAAGTGATTCTCCTGCCTCAGCCTCCTGAGTAGCTGGGATTACAGGGATGTGCCACTATGCCCAGCTAATTTTGTATTTTTAGTAGAGATGGGGTTTCTCTATGTTGGTCAGCCTGGTCTCAAACTCCCGACCTCAGGTGATCGGCCCGCCTCGGCCTCCCAAAATGCTGGAATTACAGGCGTGAGCCACTGCGCCTGGCCTTTTTCTTTTCATTATCCTCTTTCTACCCCCTCCTCTTCCTTTGCTGTTATAATCTTCATCATCACCACTGTTAACCCATACCAAATACCGTGCTTACTATGTGTCAGGAATGTTCAAAGGATTACTGAAGAGGGTAAGCCCCTTGCCCAAGATTACAGCTAATTTATGGCAGGGTTTGGACTCAAACTTTAGTAAGTTTGGCTCAAAATCTGTGTTCTTGACCCCCCACCCCCTTAGTCACAGGTACTGACAGGGAACTCTGGGGAGGATGGAGAACCTCTCTGGCCATGTCCACCTCTGCTTGAACTCCTTCCATGGTCTGCAGTGCCCACTGTGGTGTGCACAACTGCTGGCCTGATGGCTCCTGCTTTCCTCCATATGCAGCGAGCTGCCTTTCATGCCGTTTGTTTTCTGTTCAACTTCACATGCCCCAGGTTCTAACAGAATCAACCTGCTGGTCACACCAGCATGCTCTGTGCTTGCCTGGCCGGATGCCTTTACAACGCATTCTGTCCACCTGAAACTCTCTTCCCCAACCCGCCTGGGGAAATTGTACCCTTCATTTAAGACCTATGTCAATGACGGAGGTACATGAAATCCTCCCGGATTCAGGCCCACCTCCCCATTTTCAAACCTTAGCTCTCTCTTCTCTAAAGCTCCATGGCACTTCTGATTTTCTTTTTGTGGTCTCAGGAAGCCATGCAGGGAAGGGACTAAGGCTTTACAGACCCATGCACTCTGCTAAAATCCCTCTTCAACCCCTTGCTAGCTTTGTGAATGTTGGCAAGTTACTTAGCCTTTCTAAGTCTCTTACGAGCTGTGAAAAGGACATACTTTGGGAATATGAGATGATTCTAATAGGATGGCTCATACCTCTGCCCTGACCCTGACACTGTTTTTCTTACATCTGCCACCCACCATTTTTCTGAGGCAAAGATGCTAGGCAGCCCACAGGCCTGACTTTCTATCCTGTATCTGCCAGGGAACAGATCATCTTCAGTGATAAGAACATTGGAAAATGACACCCTTGGCTGTATCGCTTCTGTCTCATCTGCTAGGGTGCTTATTGCCCTGACAGCAATTTCCTATGTCCCATTCCCTCTGTAGCTGGTGGGCAGCACCCTAGATATGAATATCTGCTCCATTGAGGATAGGAATTCTATTTCAATGGCTTTGCTACTGGTTTTTTTATTGGTAGGTCCACAAACCTTGCGTGGAGTGGGAGGGATGAATGTATGTGTGGAAGAAAAACAACCTAGTCCTAGTTACGGAATTGGCTTTAACTCACTGTGAGATCCCATCAAGTCTCTGCCCCTCTGTAGCCTCAGTTTCTCATCTATATAATGGGTTGCTGTGACTCAATCCGTAAGCAGCTTCCACCTGGATCAACTTATTAGGGTCTATGAGTTTGTTTCAGGGGAGTCAGCTTGGCTTCTGATGCCCTGTGGTGTTGGAGGAGGGGTGGTTGTTGGTGGCAGGTCAGCCTGAACTATACGAGTCTGCAATGTGTGTGTGGGTAGTGGTAGAGGAGAATTGGACTGATGCAGGTTTCTGACAAGGGGATATGTGATGGCTATCTTGAGACAGTCACTGAGAATTCATTACTACTTGGAATTCTTGAAGACATTGCGGGCAGCCTCTGTACATTTTCTTAAAGGCATGTAATTAGCGTTCACTGAGTATCTGTTGTATACTCATATGGTTGTTAGGAGCTTTACGTTTGTATTTATATTTTTCACATGGATAGTTGGTTTACTCACATACTTTATGTCAGGGCACAGCATCATCATTGGTACAAATAACATCTCTTGATTTATTTTTATTTTATTAATATTATTTTCTTCCCCATACCCTTGATCACCTTTCCTACCCTCTTCGAGCCCATCCTAAGGATATGCATATTTTTTAAAATGTGCAGTGTTTATGGTGGATGTATCATGTCTTAATGTACATATATGATGGTGTGATATAGATCTTATTCAGTTTCTTATTCCTTCACTTAACATTTTAAGACTCTGTCCACATCAATGGATACACTTTTATCTGACATTTCTAACTGGTACATAATATCTCTCAGTGTGCAGCCACTACCTTGCATGCTTTCCTTCTCCTGGGAATGGTGTGTACATTGCCTCCAGCTCCCAGTGATCAGAAGCAGAGATGCAGAACTGCTCTGTGTATGTCCTACATGAACTTCTTCCTTCCTCCTACTCTTCTTTAAAGACAGCCACTTGCTACTAACAGAGATAGTTTCAGGTGCTACATAGTGTGGCTATTAGTAACATGGAAATATATTCTATTTGCACTGTGGAGATCCTATCAGTTCTATATTAGTAAGTTATGACTACCTCTCTTTGCTTGCTAAAGTTCCCTTTTTTAATAGATCAGAAACAGGCCTCAGGCTAAATTATTTTCAGGCAGCACACTTTAGCTGAAATTTAATCATGTTGGAAATCTAATTAAAATGTAATTTAACAAATGTATTTATTTAAATGGTTTCTTTTATTTTAATA
The DNA here is from genome assembly GCF_000001405.40 of Homo sapiens. Classification (NCBI taxonomy): domain Eukaryota; kingdom Metazoa; phylum Chordata; class Mammalia; order Primates; family Hominidae; genus Homo; species Homo sapiens. Next base: position 114,995,161 of record NC_000009.12, read on the forward strand.
AGCAAAGCTGATTTTTTATTTAAAGAAGTGACACTTCATATTCAATAGAATCTAAAATGCCACTGATTATAAAAATCACTATTATATATTCCATTAGGAAAGAAGAATTATTCTATTAATTAAACCATCATATACCATTGCTTGTAAGAAGCATGCTGTTTTCAGAGAGGTTAAAATGTGTATAAATGTACATCTGTTTCTGTTTTCTTTGACAAAAAAGGTTATTTAAGTAAAAAGAAAAAGATTGGCTTAATACAAAATAGTAATAAATGACACTTTGGGCATTAATTGAATTTGGCAGGAATGATGACACTGGCAGAGGAATGTCTGGAGTCTGAGAAAGGACATTATGTCCTGGGGATGATCATCTCATCAGCCACGTAAGGGAGGTATTGTTATTTCTGTTTAACAGGCAAGAAAAACCTGGGGCAGAGAGAAGTGGCCTTCTCAAGGCCACAAGGTTAACAGGAAATTTAAACTCAGGCAGGGAGGTCAGAAGGCCCACTTCTAGGTACCAAATTCCGTAAGCCTTGTGACCCGATTCCAGCGTGGCCTGTCTCCTGCACCTTCTCTCTGAGAGGCGCTGACAAGTGCTCAAAACCTGGCCCGTTTCCCTTTAATCCCGAGCCCTTCAAAGCACCTGAACCCTCCCATGTTGGCAACCTCTTATCACTCCCACTCAAGTGTGACTTAGTGTGTTTGTGTTCGGGTACCTTTCTCACAGTGGCTATATTATTATCAAATGGGGAAGTCAAAGGATGATGAATGGACGTTTCTCCACTGTGGACTGCACTAAGGGATTGCGACAGAGAATAGTAATAGTTGTAGTGATTTCTTTGTTAGTTACAATCTCTTCCTTTTTTTTCTTCTTTTTTTTTTTTCAAGAGGTTCCTTCTGTCACCCAGGCTAGAGCACAGTGGCACAATCTCAGTTCACTGCAACCTCTGACTTCCGGGCTCAAGTGAGTCTTGTGCCACAGCCTCCTGAGTAGCTGGGATTGCAGGCATGTGCCACCACACCTGGCTAATTTTTGTATTTCTAATAGAGACAGGGTTTTGCCATGTTGGCCAGGCCGGTCTTGAGCTCCTGCTCCTGGCCTCAAGTGATCCACCTGCCTCAGCCTCCCAAAGCACTGGAACTACAGGTGCGAGCCACTGTACACAGCCAGTTACACACTCTTTCACTTATATTTTTATTTGATCTTTATCACGTTTATGTGAGTAGGCATTATCCACATTTCACAGATGTAAAAATTGACAATACTAACTTGCCCCAAATCACACAGTTACTAATTGGTAGAGTTGTAAGTGGAGCTATGAAGGCATTGCCTCTTGCTTTTTCAAAAATTAAACATTTTATTCAGAGATAATTGTAGATTCACATGCCGTTGTAAGAAATATATCAGAGAGATCTGAGAGAGCTGGTGTAGTACTGGCTTTACCAGTTTCTCCAAGTTGTAACATCTTACAAATACAGTACAATAGCATAACCAGGTACTGGTATTGATGCAACCAAGATACAGAACATTTTAATAGATCTATTATCTGATGTTGCCCTTTTATTGCCACCTGGCCTCTCTCTCCTGAACCCCTCCCACCCTGACTCCTGGCAACGATGAATCTATTCTTCATTTCTAGCATTTTGTCATTTCAAATGTGTTACATAAATGGAATCATACAGTATGTAACCTTTTGAGATTGGCCTTTTCTCACTCAGCTTAATTCTCTGGAGATTGATGCAAGGTTCGCCCCTTTTTCTTGCTAAGTACTATTCCCTGGTATGAATAAATCACAGTTTGTTTATCCAGCTACCTGTTGAAGGACTTCTGGTTTGTTTCTAGTTTTTGGCTATCATGAATAAAGCTGCTGTGAACAATCATGGACAGGTTTTTGTGTGAATATAACTTTTCATTTCTCTGGGATGAATGCCTAAGGGTACAATTACTGGGTTGTATGGCAGTCCATATTTTGTTTTATAAGAAACTTCCAGACTGTTTCCAGAATGGCCATACTATTTTACACCTCCACCAGCAGTCATGAGTGACACAGTTCCTCTGCAACCTCACCAACATTTGTTTCCTTTCACTACTTTTTATGTTAGCCATTTTGATAGGTGTGTTGCTAGACCTCACTGTGGTTTGAATTTACATTTCCCTGATGGCTAATGATGTTGAGCATCTTTTCATGTGCTGAGTTGTCATCTATTTATCTTCTCTGGTGAAATATAGTCATGCACCGCCTAACGATGTTTCCATCAATGACGGACCACATACATGATGGTCCCACAAGATTACAATGGAGCTGAAAAATTTCTTTTCCCTAGTGATATCTTAGCCATTGTAACCTTGCAGCAGAATGCATTACTTATGTGTTTGTGGTGATGCTGGTATAAACAAACCCACTTCACTGCCAACTGTATAAAAATATTAGGTATATATATAACACTTGATATGCGATAATTATAATAAACAACTGTGTTGCTGGTTGATACATTTACTAACGTTGTTATCATTATTTTAGAGTATACTCCTCTTCTCTTAAAAAACGTTAACTGTAAAACAGCCTCAGGCAGGTCCTTCAGAAGGTATTCCAGAATGAGGCATTGTTATCATAGGAGAGACAGCTTCAGGTATGTTATCGCCCCTGAAGACCTTCCAGTGGGACAAGGTGTGGAGGCGGAAGACAGTGATATTAATTATCCTGACCCTGTGTAGGCCTAACCTAATGTGCGTATTTGTATCTAGTTTTTAACAAAAAGTTTTAAAAGTAAAAAAATAAAAAAAATAGAAAAAGCTTACAGAATAAGGATATAGAGAAATCAACTATTTTTGTACAACTGTACAATGTGTTTGTTTTACACTAAGTATTTTACAAAAGACTCAAAAAGTTTTAAAAAATTACAAAGTTTATAATGTGAAAATGTTATAGTAAGTTAAGGTTAACTTACCGAAGAAAGAAAAAATTTAAAAAATAAATTTAGCATAGCCTAAGTGTACAGTGTTTATAAAATCTGCAGTAATGTACGGTAATGTGCTAGACATTCATGTTTGCTCACCCCTCATTCACCAACAGAGCAACTCCTAGTCCTGCAAGCTCCATTCATGGTAGGCACCCTATTCAAGTGTACCATTTTTAAATCTTTTATAGTTTATTTTTACTGTACTTTTTCTATGCTTAGATACATAAGTACTTACCGCCGTGTTACAATGATCTACAGTATTCAGCTCAGTAACATGCTATACAGGTTTGTAGCCTAGGAGCAATAGGCTATACCATATAGCCTAGGTTTGTAGTAGGCTGTATCATCTAGGTTAGTGTAAGTGAACTCTATGATGTTTGTACAACAACAAAATTGCCTAATGATGGATTTTTCAGAATTGAGTGTGATGCATGACTGTACTTTTTTCCTCTGAATTCCCTTCCATTTTTCCCCAACATCCTTTTTTTAAAATGGAAATTTTTATTGAGATAATTATAAATTCACATGCAATTATGAGAAATAATAGAGATCAATAATAAGAAGATGAATAACCTAATTAAAAGGTGGGCAAAGAGTTGGAATAGACATTTTTCCAAAGAAAATACACAAATGGCCAATAAGCACATGAAAAGACGCTCAACCTCATTAGCCATCAGGGAAATGCAAATTAAAACCACAATAAGATACCACTTCACACCCATTAGGAGGTCATAATAAAAAAAGACTAATAATAACAACCGTTGATGAGAATATGGAGAAATTGGAATCCTCCTTCCAATGATGGGTATGTAAAATGATGCAGATGTTTTGGAAAACAGTCTGATAGTTTGTCAAAAGGTTAATTGTAGAGTTAGTTACCATAGATTCAGCAATTTCATTCCTAAGTATATACTCAAGACAACTGAAAACATATGTCCACTCAAAGACCTGTACATGAATATTCATAGTAACATTATCCATAGTAGCCAAAAATCGGAAAAACCCAAATAATGTCTGTCAAATGAGGAATAAATAAATACAATGGATAATAATTTAGTAATAAAAAAATGAAATATTGACACATGCTACAATAAATGTTCAGTAAAATAAGTCAGTTATAAAGGACCACATAATTTTATGACTCTTCTTATATGAAATTTACACAATAGGCAAATCTGCAGAGACAGAAAGTAGATTAGCAGTGGCCTATGGCTTGGGAAATGGTGGGGTCAGAAAGTAATGGTTAAGGAGTGAGGGGTTTCTTTTTGGGATAATGAAAATTCTCTACAATTGATTGGGGTGATAGACACAAAACTCTGTGAATACACTAACAGTCATTGAATTGTAGAATTTGAACGAGTGAATTGTATGGTATTTGAATCAATAAAAAAACAAACTGTTTTTAAAAATAGAAATAATACGGAAAAAATCTGTGTACTCCTTGCCCAGTTTCCCCCAATGGTAGTATCTTGCCAAACTATAGCACAATAGGAAATTAAGACAAGGATATTGAGATTGATGCAATCCACTGGTCTCATGTAGATGTCCCCTGTTTAACTCGTTCTCTTTCCTCTGTCTCTCTCTTTCTGTGTTTACTTGTATACATTTTATCACAAATGTAGATTTGTGGATCCACCCTCACAGTCAAGATACTGAACAGAGTACTGCCTGTTTTAAAGCTCTGTTCACTGTAGGTTCTGTCTGAAGCAGCACTCCAGAGACCTTTAGTTTTTCCTCACTATTAATAATCAGACGTGAGGCAGCTCCCCCACTTGCCTCCACAGCTTCCCACCCCTCCTCATCGGGGTCAGAGGCAGAACTCACAGAGAAACATGAATTCTCACCCACACAGGAGGGATGCAAGTTTGGGATCTCAGGCACCATTCATCTAGATTCTAGAGTCACCCACACTTAGGAGGAGGAAAGTATCTTACCAAAGGAAGGAACGTGAATTCTGGAAGAGGGATACGCCCCCGTGTCTCCATACCTCGCTTTTTCCTCCCACCAATTTCGGAAGTGATTTCTATAACTCCCAGGCCCGGTCTGCAAATTGTCAGCGCTTTTGGAGATCCGGTATTTATTGGGTCGCCACTAGCAAACACTCTCAGGGAAAGGACTGGCAATGAATCATCTGTACTAATCCCTGTGTTTTCATCAGTCTTGCTTCGGTGCAAGGGGACAGCCCCGGTTGTTCTTCTATATCATCATCACTTTGGTTTCTCTCAAAATGTTTGCTCAGAAAAAGCCCAGAGTTTGGCCTCGGTTCACTTTGGACTTCCAGGGGAATTTCCCGTCCTCCTTGGACTCCATGGGTGAAGCTGTTTGAACATTCGCTCCTTACTCAGCAGTGCAGATGGCAAAGCCGGTGCCAGCACAGATGTCTTTTGGGATCAAAGACAAGCTTAGCAGAGTCACATAATTCGAGACAAGAGATGTGGGAAGGAGTAGTAGTCATTACTCTCCATCTCTCAGCTCTGATTCCAGTGACCCCAAATCACCTGTCCCATCATAGTTGACTACATGCTAATCCCTACTTCACCCCCTAACTGGATCTTATAATTCAGCCAAGATCTGGCTGTCTAAAACGTATCTTTGTGCACATGCACCCCATATGACCTTACCTGTGGCCCCTGAACTCTGACCACATCACCCCTTCCAAACCTTAGACCCCAGACCCATGATCTCAATTAAACTTAGCATCATGACTGGCACATGGCAAAATATCCAAAAATAAGTATTAATGCTAGTGTTTATAATTATACCTCTGATTAACTGAGCACTAATTATACCTCTAATTGTGCATCAGGCAGTATGCCACCTCTTTTTAAAAAAATTTTATTTTTAGTTCTGGGGTAAATGTGCAGGATGTGCAGGTTTGTTGCGTAGGTAAACATGTGCCATGGTGGTTTGCTGCACCTATCAACCCATCACCTAGGTATTAAGTCCAGCATGCATTAGATATTTTTCCTAATGCTCTTCCTCCCCCCACCCCACCCCCCGACAGGCCCCAGTGTGTGTTGTTCCACTCCCTGTGCCCATGTGTTCTCATTGTTCAGCTCCCACTTATGAATGAGAACATGCGGTGTCTGGTTTTCTGTTCCTATGTTAGTTTGCTGAGGATAATGGCTTCCAGCTCCATCCATGTCCCTGCAAAGGACATGATCTTGTTCCTTTTTATGGCTGCAGTAGTATTCCATGGTGTATATGTGCCACATATTCTTTAGTCTATCATTGATGGGCATTTGGGTAGATTCTATGTCTTTGCTATTGTGAATAGTGCTGCAATGAACATACATATGTATGTAATTTGTAATATAATGATTTATATTCTTTTGGATATATACCCAGTAATGGAATTGCTGGGTCAAATGGTATTTCTCGTTCTAGATCTTTGGGGAAGCCACCTCTTTTATAAGCACATTCTCACAACTGTGTGAAACAAATAGAAGCTCAGAGATGAAAAGATGTGTCCAAGATAACATAATGTAATGGTGATAAAAATTGTAATAATAAATTATAATTTCTCTCTTTTAGTCATAGTTTCCTGGCAACCTCCTACCTCCTTCAAATTCATTATTCCAGAGAACAGGTACTTGACCTCCTTAGTAAAACCATATCCTTGCAAACTGGTTCTTATAGAGAAGAAAATAATTTGCTGAATTCATGTATCTCTCATTTGTCATATCAAATACTAAGCACAGAAGACTCCTCAACATTTACCTCTGTATACCATTAAGGCTCAGCATGAGGTTGGCTCAAGTGGTATTAGTCAGGGTTCTCTAGAGAAACAGAACCAATGGGAGATATATATATGAATGAAACAGAATGCATTGAATATTCAGAGAATATTCAGAGAGAGAGGGAGAGAGAGAGAAAGAGAGGGAGATTTGGGTGGAGGAGCTGTTTAATAACTGGCTTGCATGATTATGAAGGCTGGCAAATCCCAAATCTGCAAGGTGGGCCAGCCCACTAGAGACCCAGAGAAGAGTTGATGGTGTACCTCCAGTCTGGAGGCCATTTGCTGGCAGAATTCCTACTTCCTCAAGAGAAGGCAATCTTTTTCTTAAGGCCTTCAACTGATTGGATCACCCACATTATGTAGGGTCATCTGCTTTACTCAAAAATCTACTGATTTAATGTCAATCTTATCTATAAAATAGCTTCACGGCAACATCCAGACATGTTTGACCAAATATCTGGGTACTGTGGCCTAGTTACGTTGACACATAAAATTAGCCATCACAGCAGCCTAGGATTTTATGGAAAGGAGAAGGCAGAGCAGGAGGAAAGAGAGAGGATGGAACCGTCCCGTATTCTAGTTTGTAACTGCCTGGGCACTTGAACAACAAAAGAGAAGTGCTTAAGATAAATGAAGCAGGTATCCAGAACAGAGGGTGGTTCTTGCTTCTACTCTGCTTGGGGAGCTGCCAGGAAAAGCCACTTCACAGGACGCTGCAGTAATATCAGGCAGCTCCCCCAGAGAACATGGCGGTGTAGTGTCTGCCAATCCAAGAAAGTCTCAGCAGTTTAGCTTTCTCAAACTGTTCTTGGTTCCTGTGTGCCATGGACAAGACCTAGAAGCAGCTGAGAGCTTCTAGGGAGTATGATGCTCATTAGAGGGTCTCACCATAGCAGGGCCAAAGTGGCTCTGTAGTGAAGGCTGCACAGACAACAAACCATCTGACCTGAGGCTGAATGGATCCATGGAAAGTCCCCAGAAAGGTCTGGAAGTAGTGTGGCTGAGTTAGCCAGGGAGCACCTGGACTTTGCCCAAAAAGAGACAGCAGACTCCAAGTTTCATCTGCCAAAGACTTCGGTTGCAAACACGCAAACACTAGCAGGGCAGATGCAAATAGGTCAACAGTGTTCCTTCTGACACCAGCATTCAACAGGCTCTGTGACTCAGGGCTCCAACACACAGAAGGCACCAAGGAGAGGAGCTGGTGACGGCCGGAAGAAAAACCATAAAGATTGGACTTTTTTTTTTTTTTTTCTAGAGAGACTAAAAAGTTCCTAAAGGGACTATTTAAAATTATTGGCTCAAACTAAGAATAAACTACACAGAATTCATTTTTTTATTTTTGTCACAAAATTTTTATTTTTGAGACAGGATCTCACTCTTTCACCCAGGCTGGAGTGCAATGCGTTATCGCAGCTCACTACAAGCCTTGATCTGTTGGGCTCAAGTGATCCTCCTGCCTCAGCCTCCCAAGTAGCTGGGACTACAGATGCATGCCACCAAGTCCAGTTATTTTATATTTTTTTATTTTCAGTAGAGAGGAGGTCTTGCCCAGGCTGCTCTCAAACTCCTGGGCTTGAGCAATCCTTCCGACTTGGACTCCCAAAGTGCTGGGATTATAGGCGTGAGCCATCGCACCTGGCCAAACCGTATAGAATTTAAAGTCTACACTTTATCTGCTAACTGAAATGAAGACTTAGATTCATTAGACAAAGCAATATATATCAGAGTTGAAGTGTGGGTACACTTGTGAACTTGTCGCAGTGGTAAGTGGTAAATACAGAAGTTTGAAAATCAGGTCTGTGTAACTTCAAACTGTGCTGTCTCCTGTACAGTGTCATTGCGGTGAACTGACAGTCCCCAAGAGCCTTCATCACCACTGGCTAACCTGCCTCGATCCTGTTCTCTAGCCAGGGCCTTCTGAGGTTTCCTTAAGGTCAACTTAGGCTAACAGGTGAAGGACACTTTCACTTCTTTGTATGACCCACTGCTATACTTTCTAACTTTTATTTTGAGAAACTTATAAAAAATACAGAAGAGCATTCATAATACGATCAATCACACATATTGCCACTATCCAAATTAACAAATGTTAGGATCTTATCATATTTCCTTCTAGCCTTATCGTATTTTCTTCTGATGTTTAAAAACATCAGGAAAACATTGCAGATGAAAATACTGTTTCCTTTGACTATGATCCCTGGACTCATTTTCCTTCTACCTTTCCCAGAAACAACCAGGTTCATAATTTGATGTGGATTCTAGTCCATTAAAAATATATAGCTTTTTGCACACAAATCACACTAATGCATGCATCTATGAAAAATACAAAACATTTTGTGTGTTTCAAATTTAATTAAATGGTATCCAACTGTATATAATTTGATCACTGCATTTTCACTTAATCTTAGCTTTAAAGACTACATGTTAATGATTCTAGTTATTCATCTGCTACATTTTATTTGCTCTCCTTTTGATGGACATTTGATTTTTTTCAATTGCTTATAATTTATAGCTGGAATTCTTGTGGACATCTCTGTATATGTTTCTATGAACATCTGTATGTGTCTACCTTTGGTATGCTTCTGGAATGGGAAAGCCTGGCTTTCTCATACTCGTATGAGGTAGTTATCACACTAGGAGCTCAATAATTTGTGTGTGCCCCTGTCTGTCCACCTAGACACTGAGTTCCTTGAGATCAGGGGCCATGTTTTATTCATCTCTGTATTACCAGTGTCTGACATATGATTTTGAAGTAAATGAATAAACACAAGCAAAAATGAGATGCCTGCATCCCTCCCTCTGTTTCACAAAATAGATTCATCCTCACCCTGGCATGATGAGAGTAAAGGGAATTCCCTTCTGCAACTTACCATGTGCATTACTCACAGGATTGCATTTAATGACCACAAGTTTCTGAGATGTACCACTTTACAAGTGATGAAACTGAGGCTTAGAAAGGTGAAACATTTGGGAAGCTGAGGCAGACAGATCACTCGAGGTCAGGAGGTCGAGACAAGCCTGGCCAACATGTTGAAACCTTGTCTCTACTAAAAATACCAAAAAAAAAAAAAAAAAAAATTAAGCGGGCATGGTGGTGTGCGCCTGTAGTTCCAGCTACTCAGGAGGCTGAGCCAGGAGAATCACTTGAACCCAGGAGGCAGAGGTTGCAGTGAGCCAAGATCATGCCACTGCACTCCAGCCTAGGTGACAGAGTAAGACACGGCCAGTAAGGAGTAAGGGTGAGAAATGAACCCAGACCTGCCCAAATCCAGCACCTATGGCCTCTCCATTCTCATTTGCTCCCTCTCAAACCATCGGACGTGTGCTGTGGAAACATTCTGATCTTTTGCCTTCATAAACATGACATCAGCTTGAACAATTCTCTCCCCTTCGATATAATTTTTTTCCCCTCAGAGTCTGGGGAAATTACCTTCATTAATTATCCCACAGCTTTGACTAATTAACTCACATCCTTCTCTCTTGTGCTTTGAATCTACGTGTTAGAATCCTAAAATGTTAGCAGGATGCTTTGGTATAAGTGAGGCCAACCTCTTCATTTTAGAGATGGAGTGGATGGCACATGGATAAGGAGACAAATTGCATTAGAAGCTGAGTCAGCCCCGGGTCTCCTGGGACTGGGTCTGGTGCCCTGTGATCAGTCTTTTAGATTATCTGATGGAAGTGGCTCTCCTCCGACAGGGAGGAGAACTAGGTAATGTATGGGTTTGCCTTCTCACTGATATTCAGAGTAATAGAGAAGAGACTGAACAAGGATCAGGGTCCGGGAACCAAGGAACATTCTATCAGTGAAATCCAGCTTGGAAAGCACTGGATATAATCTCCAAAGGAGATTCTGAATTTGCTGGACTAAAGTCAGAGGAGAAAGCAGGCTTGACTGCAGAAGGAATATATTAGTCAGGGCAGGCTTACTGCTGTAGCAAACAGCTCCATAAGCTCAATGGCGTACCACTATAAAAATGTATTGTTTGCTCATTGCTTCTGTTGTGTTTGATCTCTGCTCTGTGCAGTTGTTCAGGAGTGCTCTTTCCATCTTTGGACTCTTCCCTCTCCAACACCCAGTACATAAAGTCAGCACCAGCGGGTATAGGAAGCCCATGGTTAGTCCAGGCGAGTCTGGGGCAGAGCTTAGACTAGAGCAGGCATTCCTGGTTTCATGTCCAGTGACTGGTATTTCTACCACACCGTCCTGCCTTTCAACATCTCTGCTCCTCAGGTTGCTCCTCTCTGAAGTGGGAATTATATAGCCTGCTCTGCCCACCCCTAGGGTTGTGAGTTCAGGTGCTAGAATTGTTTTTGTAAATGGGTGCATACTGTGCAAATATAAGGATGGCTGTGGTTTCTTTTTTACATGACATGTAGCCAAGCATCCTGCTTGCCCCTACCTGGGGTCCTTTCCCTTACAGCTTTGAAAGTAGAAGACAAATTTGAGAAACATTCCTCATAAATGGGAAGACAGCTGTAATGTGTCCTGTCAGGACTTAGTCTGTGGCACAGGAAATATCTCCTTTCAGGCGGTGCCGGTGGACCCATGTCGTGTGTGCACTTTGACACTGAGGGTCAGTTCCTACCTTTCCCAGGCCCTCCCACCTTCAGCCATCAAGCTTATATCTTGGGGGTCAGTCATTGACCTTGAACCTTGGCTGCAGCACCATCAGACCCTGGCAGGGTAGTTGGTTGTCTTGAGCATGGAATTTGGAATCCAGTAACTCTGGATTAAACCTTCATTCTAGTGTTTAGTGGCCTCACTTTCCTCATCTATAAATGGGGAGAATAACTTATAAGGTAGTTTTGAAGTCTAAGTGAGCTCATTATGAAAACTGCTTAGCAGACTGACTGTAAATAGACAGCATTCAGGAAAGTTGCGGTTATTTTCATGCCATATCCAATGTGCTAGAGATGAGTTCTGGGTGCTTGCATAATGGTTGAGTCAGACCTGCATCTTGTGGCTTCCCTGTTGGCCCTGTTTCTATGAGCAGCCTTCTGGCTCAGTGTCCCTTTCCTGCCAGTCCCAATTCCTGCCCTGAGCCTTAGTCATCTTAGTTGACGTCTAAAGACTATGTAGCCCTGGTGAGGCCAGAACCTATGCCGCCTCCAGCACTCCCCAACCCTGTCTGCTGGCTTCCCATGGTAGGCTCCATCACCTGACTGCCTGGGTACAGAGGACTGAAATGTAAAGCTTTTCCTGAAGCTGTTCACTGTTTGGCCCACATAGACCTAACTGATTTGGTCTCCTATGGATTTCCTGGTTCTCACTATGTAACCACAGTGAGCTTCTGCCTCAGCTCGTTAGGCCTAAAGAAGAGCCTGAGACAAGGGCTTGGGAGGTGCCCCCAGGATATAGGGGTGAGGGACCAGGAGTGAGGGTAAGACAGGGAGGGAGGAAAAGCCAATATGTGCTATACTTAATTAGTTCCTGCTCTGGGCAACCGTGGATCCCCATGAGGCCCCTTCTGAATTGTCCTGTAGGAGCCTGGGACATTTATCCACTGGTCTTCTCCCTCACTAGCTGACGTTCCACTTTGAAAATATTTCTGGCTCAGATCTGAGTGGGCTTCCCATACTCTTGAGAAAGCCCTAAGGCAGAGAAGTGGAGAGCCTTAGAGGCACATGCTTGCAGGAGAACCTGACCACTGCATCAGCTCTGAAATCAGAGATGATATGAACACAAAAATGTCAGCAGAAGCCGTTTTACTCAGCAAGCTGCTTCCTCGCCAGGCTTTGTGCATGAACTATGCCACGGACCACATTGAAGGTCTAGGATCATGTTGCCTTTTCAGAGAGGTCTTTCTTGACCTCCTATTTGAAGGTGCCTACCTGTGGTTACTCCATCCCAAGCAATTTCATTCCTGTGACCCTTTTCTAGCATCCTAGCTAGTGATGCTTAAAATCTACCAGCCCACATATGTATCTAGGTCTTGGGATAGGTTTAAACAAGACACACACCAGACTTGGGCTGGGGTCATTATGTAAAAAGAGGAACCGGGTGCGGTGGCTCATTCTTGTAATCCCAGCACTTTGGGAGGCCAAGGTGGGTGGATCACCTGAGGTCAGGAGTTCAAGACTAGCCTGGCCAACATGGTGAAACCCTGTCTCTACTAAAAATCCAAAAAAAATTAGCCAGATGTGGTGGCGGGCCCCTGTAATCCCAGGTACGCCGGAGGCTGAGGCAGGAGAATTGCTTGAACCTGGGAGGCAGAGGTTGCAGTGAGCCGAGATTGCACCATTGCACTCCAGCCTGGGTGACAGAGCGAAACTCCATCTCAAAAAAAAAAAAAAAAAAGAAAAGAAAAAAGAGGTATAAGATGCCAATGCCAGTCCAGTTAGCAGGTGTAAAAGGAGTGCTAAAGCTTTGGTTGATTATCAGATGTTAGAGTAGAAGACGTCAAGAGGTGAGGGGAGCAAATCATGAGACGACCAGACAGCTCAGTGTTATTTGCAGACAATGTTGGGCTGATAGGAAGCTCTCTTGGGAATGGAAAAGATGCATCTTCTGGTCCCGGTTTAGGCCTATGTAACAGCGCTTCTCTGTATGGGGTTTTGCTCCCTCAGTGTGGCCATGGAAGGATAGGAGAAGTGACCACTTCCTTACACACCTCAATGAAGATATATGTCCATCTGCTTGCAGTTTGTTTCCAAACTCTGAAGGCAGCGAGATTCTCGGACCTGGAAATAGGCTCTTCTGAGTCTTGCTGCAAAGAAAAATGGCTTCTGTAGACACTTCGTATGCAGCTTTCAGTGGCCCCTGGGATTTGGGAGACTCCAGACTGGAGAACAGCAGGGTATGCCTTCTGTGGACTAGTTTCCAAGCTGCTAGTGAGAGAGCCTTTTCTCCATCAGGCCAGCTCAGCAAGACCTACTCGGCTGAATACAGTGTGAGTCACTCTCCAGACTGTGGTCAGGAGCTGAGGCTGCAGGTTTCCCTTTACAGTGACCTCATAATCCCTGTCTCAATTCCCCCATGCTGCAGAAAAAAAAAAATCTCCATTCTTCAGGAGAAGTCTGCAGAATGATGTGCCTGGCTTGTAGGCAGAGAAGACATTAGGTTGCTTGTCCTTTCATCCTGTAGGTTTGTTTCTCCTTCAAGCAGAATTGCAACATGAAATGATCTCTCTTCTCAGCTTTTTTTCTTGCTGCGGTCAGGTTCTGCAGTTTCTGATGGTGGAATTTCCATGATAGAAGGAAAATGGGATTTACTCCTTATCATTACTGTAGGCATCCAGACTGTGTGGGCTGACTTTTTGCACCATTAACAGTGTATTGATTACGCTCATAGCCATCTTCACAGCTCCAAGATAATGGGGTTCTAAATGAAAGCGCTCCATTTTAATCCTAATTGTATTAAGTGGTGCACGTCCTCAATGATGTAGTTTTAAAATTAACTAACCTCTCTGTGTCACAGTTTCCTTCTTTGTATAATGGAGATTATAATACTACTTGCCTGATATGATTTTTGTGAGGATTAAGTGAGTTTTTACATGAGAAACACTTATAAAAGTGCTGGCATATGCCAGAAACTGTGATAAGTGTTTGATGTTATTATTTTTAGCATCAGCATGCATTTAAAGATGGTGAATCTGAGGAAAAGAAGTCACATATCTTTTTAAAAGTGGTAATCTGTAAGCAATTTCATGTTTTTAATATTCTTCTATAGTACGTTTTTGCAGAAGGACTTGCAATGGTTTATGGATTAAAGAGAAAGCAGTGTTCAATCATTGGGAAGAAAAAGAGAACAGAGACCAGTGGAAGAAACTAGAACAAATTATGCCATAGACATAAATGTGATGATTGGAATAAGTGGCCAATGAGTTCGTCCTTACTTACCCTGCAGCTAAAGAAGCTGGTTGACACATATTTCATTTCCTGATTACAGCATCAAATACATTCATTTTCAGAAATAAATTCTTTGGGGGCTTGGTGGGGCAGATGCCGTAGGAATCTACCACGTGGTTCCCTTAAGTATAAATGACTTTGAATACATTTTATTGTATCTCCTTGTTTAGCTTTACTATGAAGAGCTGTTAAAGATGTGAACCTCTGGAAGATCAAGGACTTTGCCTTATGGAATGCAAATAACCAAAGTAGAAATCATGGTATAAATGAAAGACAAATACAAGTGTTGGCTGCAGAGTGCTATCTCATACTTAGCAGGGATGTACTTAAGTCTTACATTTGCTTCCTTCCCTCTGTCCTCAAACTCCTCCATAAAGCACTTGATCTATCTGTCTGCTCTTCCTCCTAAATTAACTGAGAGCATTTGTATTAGTTCCACTTGTTAAGCAGCCAGTCAAATGGTTATTGATCATTTACTTTGTGTGAAGGATGTCTGTAGAGAGTCAAGGGAGATACAATTTACTGGGCACCAATTATATGCCAGACACAGACTGGGACACTTTATATACACCACTGCATTTGTTGCAATCATATGAAATAGTTATTATTATTTCTGATTTACATATGACAAAATTTGTATCTCAGAGACATTGTGTAATGTGAGCAAAGTCACATGGCTACTTTCATAGCAAAACCAGGACTTCAAACCATCCATCAATTGATTCATTCATTGATTTTGCATATTGCTATCATCTTTGCCATGTACTGCTGATACAAAAAATGCTAAGGAATGATTCCTGCCTCCAACACACCCTCAATCTGGTCAAAGAGGCAATTTCCTGACTCCATGCCCAGAAGTCTTAGGTATAACCCAATCTCAAGCCTTGGTTTTGAAGACATGTGTTACATGATATACATCCAGCTATTTAAATGTCAATTGAATGCCCTTGGGAATTATGTGGGAAAAAAGAAAAGGATTCAGTGGTGACTGAGGCTGGAGGCTGAATGCTATTAAAACATCATATCTCTTTTTACACTAAAGGTCTCCTTTACAGGGATGAAGTCTTTGAGCAAGACTCTTGTAACTTTCTAAGTAAAGTTTAGACAGTCTCACCTAAAAGTGAAGTTTTGCCTGGAGCAATCTCTTGCAGAAATTATCCTGATCCAGGAGGCAGTGATATTCTCCTGCAATGTAACATGGCCGAGGCTGCAGATTTCTTTTCCAGTAAGGAGCTTGCTTTGGAGAAACTAATTAAACCTGGAATTTTTAGAAGGCTTAGGGTTTTGTCAACTTGCAATTATGGATCCTTACCAGCATGTTCCCTGAGGGAAGGACTCTGCCTGTGCAGGGGAACAGTCAGCACTTCTGTGTTTATTCTCCTTTCTGTCTCCCCCAGGAGTCATCTTCTTAAGAATAACATCTGTGTTTTGTGATGTCTTGACTCTTTCATGATTGTCCTTCCTTTTGTGGCATTTGAAACTCAGGCTGGAGACTGAAAACCTGGAATAGAAACGTTTTTTGACAGCTTTCATGCAACAACTAACTCGACAAGAGGTAAGCACACTTTAGGGCTGGAGGGAATATTACAATACCACTTTATTGAATGTCTGAACCACCCCCAAGACCTAGAGTTCTTCCAATATCTTCCAGTATCACTTCTATAACAGCTTGTTTGTTCTTTGGATGGCTTTGGTTATTCAAAGTTCTTTTCTTATTGGAGTGCAGTTTGTTCCCTTACAGATTTCATCATCAGATTCTAGTTCTTCTCTGTCACACAATAGAGTATGTCTGTTCTCTCCTCTCCATGACAGATGTGCAGAGATTTTAAGACAGAGACTATGTCCCTGCTTATTATTCCATTTTTTTTCTAAAGAGGTGGAGTTTCTGGTTGTCTCACTATCCTGGTGGTCTAAATATGCTTCATTCTAAGGATGATAAATATATTAGTAAGACACATCTATTAATTGAATGGAAACTTCTTTCCTGGTAGCCTGGTCGTGACCTCTGAATCCTTTCCAATAACCTCCAGGCAGCTATTATAAATTTATTTCTTAATATAGAGATCTTAATTGTGCAACTACTATGTTCAAGTGCTATGCATTGGGGATGCAGCATTGGAGATGGAGTGCTGAACACCGCAGCCTGCTCTGGAGCTAACCGAGACTTGCAAAAGAAAGATGAGCACTGAGCTGAAGGCTCTTTGATACCTTTGAATGTGGCTTTTTGGTGGAGACACATTTTCAAATCTGACTCTGATGCTCACCTGAAGGGTGTCCAGGTGGAGAGTGATCCTCAGCTCCTGCTGAGCTGGGTCTACTGTGTCTCTTTCCCAAACCACTTTCACACCCAGAAGATCTGCTCTGCCTTGTTCTTTGCTGGCTACTCAGAAAGCCCTGGTGGCAGAAAAATACATGAAAAGCCGATGCCTCTGGGGATAAGCAAAGCTTCATTTTACACTGGGAAACAGAGGCCTTTATTGGAGAAGCTGTTGAGAGCATAATCAAGTGAATCCAGTGTAGCTACGCTCCTACCATACCTGGGAAATTCCCCCTTGCTCTCTGCCCCCATCATCTGAGTAATCTATTTTAGTTAAAGATGGTAAATCAAAGGCTTGAAAGGTCAATTAATTTTGCCCCCTTTCCCACTGATCCATGAGAAATGGTGATTCTCAGTGTAAGGACCTCTGTCCTAAATTGAGAGAATGCTCTCCAAGAGACCACGTATGAAGTCTCTGGAGAAGTTATTCTGGTTGGAAATATAACAGGTTCTGTTTTTGAAATGACCGATATTTATGGTTTTTTTTTTTCTCTAAATATCCTGCTGGATCTCTCAATTGTCAAACAATCTCTGCCCATTAACTCGTCCTTCCTTAGGAGAGGCTGCCTCTGTTAGTTCTTAGTAGAACAATTCCTTTGCTGTTTCTTTAAATTACATTCTTAGGTTCCTATCTGTTGAGGTCATGGTGTGGGGTGAGTGAGAACTGAATTCAAATCTACAATGATTACCTGGTGGCTTCAGGAAAATCACTTCCTTTCTGAGTTTGTGTCAGCTTTAAAATGATGATCTGGGAATATAGTTGGCACTCAACAAATTGAATAGACAATAAGTGAGGCTACAGATGGCTGCATTCTCCTCTTAGGTCATATATTCAGTCAACACGTAATGATTGAGAAATAATAGAACAGGCTCTGTTCTGGGTGCTAGGGCCACGGCAGGGGGAAACATACAAAGTGCCTGCTGTCATGGAGCTTGACTCCTAGAAAGCATGCACATACATAGGTAAGCCAGTACTGTGTCAGGTGGAAAATGCACTATGAGTACTGGGAATGGGGAGGGTTGTTTGTGTGTGCATGTGTGATCTTGCACATATAGGTGTGATGTGTGTGTGTTTATGTAGGATGATGAGGATGGTCTCGCTGAGAAGATAACATTGGAGATGGCTGAAAGAAATGAGTGAGCCATGCATGTGTTAGAGGAAAGAGCATTCCAGGAGAAGGGTTTGCTGTGGGAGTGCGCTTGCTGGGTTTGAAACAGCAGGGAGGCAGCGTGTCTAGAGTATCATGAGAGGGGGGTTGAGGTCAGGGAATATAGGCCTTGAAGGCTACTGTGATGTCTCAGGCTACTTTCCTCTGAGCCGTAAGGCCGGCATTGGAGGGGTTCAGCAGTGGAGTAGTAGACCACAGCTCAGTGTTCCTACAGGACCGCTCTACAGCTCTTTGGGGTCATAGACTGGCTCTAGGAGGCAAGTGCTGGGGACACAAGGCCCTTGACTTTATTCTCAACATTGCCCAAGCTGCTTAGAATAATCCACAGGGATCATCACCTAAACCAGGCTTCAGAGATGTAAAGGAAAACAACAGCAACAGCAACAGCAACAGGAACAAGTCCACATTTTTAGATGTGCCTCACCCTGTGCTAGTGAGTTAAGTGTCAGGGCAGGAGGATCAAAGCCTTCTTGCTAAGGGGCCAGAAACAAGCCAAAGGGACAAGCACAGAACAACAAAAAATGTGCATGTTGGGCCTTCACAACCAACAATACGGTGCTGTCAAATCAGGTGAATGAGTGATGGGACATGGATACAATGGAGGCATTAAACATGTTAGACAACGGTTGGTGGTCCTTGCCAAACCTGAATGGAGACTGGACAAAGGCCAGAAACTCCCTGTGTCTCATGTTCCTGTCCCCCCACCCCAGTGTACACCTGCAAGAGGTGATCAGTGAGGTGGTAGGGTGAGGGTGCTCGTTTTTGTGTAGCAGATGGGGAGTCAAGAACATAAAAGGAGGCCTGCCAAGTTCCTTCCCACTTCTGGGAAGGGTTCTAGCCTCTTATTGAGAGAAGGATTAGCATGAAGGCAAAGTTGTTTACCTAAAGATGTCTATGAGCCTAAGAAGTCCGGTAGACATCAGCCCCATCCACTTCAACACATCTACCAGGAGTGCCTGGTTAGTGCCCTCCCGAAGCCAGGTGGAGGCTGCCATCTGCTGGTTGACTTGAGGATTTTTACCCAAATGTTTAGTTTGCCTTTCAATTTTTAGTGAGACAAACCTGTGTTGACAGCATTTTCTCCAGGCAAGATGCTGTCGGTTTTCTCTTTTAAACTATCACAGATTCTCATCAGGGTAGGTACACTTCATGATCATTTTGATGGATGCTCAGAAGAATTAAGCAATTAGACCAAGATGATCCAGTAATTGGAAAACATGGGATTTGAGCTCAGCTCTCACTAAAAAGATGGTGACTGTAAAGAAATTGTTATAAACACGTTGGCTTTGCAAACTGTAAAGTGTTATGAGGGAACCAGTAAATGGCAGGTGCTCCAAGTGTCCTAATTGGAAGAGTGAATGAAAGAATAATTGTGCAGAAGGATGTTCCTTAAGGCATTGTGACTCAAGGAGTCAGAGAACCCAGCTTTGACACTTGGAGGCTGAGTGAACTTGGGGGAAGTCATTTCACTACTCTGAGAAACAATTTCTTAACCTGTAATTGCAAATGTGCTGGGCAAATGTGCTAGGCAAATGTGGGAGCTGTTTTTTTTTTTTTTTTTCTTGACAGAGTCTCGTTCTGTTGCCCAGGTTGGAGTGCAGTGGTGCTATCTCGGCTCACTGCAACCTCTGCCTCTTGGGTTCAAGCGATTCTCCTGCCTCACCCTCCTGAGTAGCTGGGATTACAGGCATGCGCCACCATGCCCAGCTAATTTTTGTATTTTTAGTAGAGATGGGGTTTCACCATGTTGGCCAGACTGGTCTCGAACTCCTGACCTCAAATGATCCGCCCACCCCAGCCTCCCAAAGTGCTGGGATTACAGGCGTGAGGTACTGCGCCCAGTCGGAGCTGCTTATTTTGACTGCATGTGTGTGGTTTTATTTTCCTGTAAAATGTTGAAATCCATGTTACATCCTGGTGGGATTGAAACAATTCTCAAGAAAGCCTTTTTCTACTTCCTTTACAGAGATTGTAATTCCTCTGGGAGTTCCCTAGGGAGGGAGGAGGATGAGGGGAGTGAGCCCTCTGCTGGTTGCTTATATGTCCTGCCAGCCCAAACCTGGGCAGCAGGCACATGCAGGGCACCCCTGGTACCCCATTGAGGCTGGGGGGCACAGGTGGCCAGGGGCACATGCATCTCTAGTGAGGAAGCAGGCTTTCTAAAGAGCAATGTTGATGATGCCATCTGGGGCTGAAAACCCTTGGCAACTCTCAGCTGGGCTCCAGGACGCCAAGCCTTCAAGGCAAGGGTCTACCTCCATCCTCACCTCTGCTCCCCACACTGTCATCCCTTGTGTCCATCCACAAGCCTCCCCTTGGCCTTACCACTGGTCTTCATTTCTAGCTGCAGTCACCTTGAGGGAGGCTTCCTGATTCCTTCCCCACCCTAACCTAGTGCTCCAGGAGTTAATGGGCCCCTGAATCCAGTCTCCCATATCCCTAACTAGCCTGCCTTAATTAAAACTGATGCCCACATCCAGGAAAAATCCACTATAGGAGTTGAGGGCTGCTCAGGAACAAGGGTGGGGACATAGAGAGCTCTCTGGGACCCTAAGCCCCATGAATTTTACTTTCTAAATATCTCTTAGAACCATAGCTCTGTCTCCACGACACCACACTTAGCCAGGCTCTATCACCTTTCACCTGGATTCCTACAGTAGCCTCCTCAAAGGTCTCTTCCCACTTTGCACCTCCCAGCCAAAATCCAAATGCAACAAAAAAGATGGCTTAAAAAAACAGATGTGATCACAATGCTCTCCTGCTGAAAACTTCTCAGTTGCTTTCCATTGAACTGAAGAAAAAAAGCAAAATTTTTATTCTGGACCAGGAAGATCTGCGTGGCTGGGTTCCTACTGACTCCTGAAACCTCATCTTCCACAATGCATCTTTTGCACCTATGCCTCTGGCTTTCTCTGTGCACAGCGTGACAGCCATAGGACTATAGAGATACCTGCCTTTTGCCTTCTGCCTCTCCTGCTTCCTTCACCTGGTTAACTCCTACTTGCTCTTTGGATCTGGGTTCAAATGTCTGTTCCTCAGAGAGCCTTCCCCCTCAGATCCCCTTTAGACGTCTTCATAGCTTTTTATATTTGCTTCCAAAGCACAGCCCTCAGTTTGTAATCACACATTTGCTTGTCTGATCATGTGTTTGTCACTGACCTCTCTGGGGCACAGAGGCTGCATGGAGGCAGGGAATGTGGTTGTTTCACTCACATAGTGCTGAGCATAAGCGGGGAGGTGCTCAACACTGATTTTTAAATGAAAAGAGAAGTGAGAATCTTAGAAGGAGACCGACGAGGACAGCCCACAAGGAGCTCTCGGATTTTCCGGGCTTAGGCAAGGCATGGTGGGAAGACCAGCTTGGGTGGGGCAAGCTGAGAATGGGGAAGGACTGGGCTGTGTAGCCAGCTGTTTTGAGAGCATACAGGTCATAGGAGGCTCAGTGAGGAAGAACCTGCAAGGTGTGTCTCTCCTTCTGGAGAACAGACAGTCATGCCACACTGCAGAGGAGTATGCAGCCTGGATTTTCATCAGAATCTCCTGCCTGGTTGCTGTGGTGCCTGGGATGATCCCCAGCCTCCTCTGGACTGCTGCTTCCCCATCTTCAGAAGGAAAGAGATGAGCACGAATTCAATGCAACAAATATTCATTGAGCTCATCTTCTGTGCCTCCTGAGGGTTTCTCACAGGCCCACCCTGTGTGACCACCCTACTTTGAATACTGTGACCCTATCCCCTTACCCTAGTCCCCTTTGTCCTTATTACCCTTGAATATACCATTTAATTTGATCATTTATTACATTCATCATTCATTGTGTTTTGTTAGAATATAAACGCTATGACCACAGGGATATTTTCCTCTTTTTTTCACTGACAAATCCACACGGGAGGTGCTCCACAAGCATTTGTGAAAAGAATGAAGTTCTGTTTTCCAGTTAGTGTGGCTTGTTGAAAGGAATAAGATATCTTCACTGAAAAGAACTTGGATTTTGGAATCAGGCAGCCTGGCTGTGAATCTTGGTCTGACCCCAGTGGCATGGCTGCGAGAAGCCACCTGACCCCTCTGAGGCCTAGTTTTCTACATGACATGGAATAGTTCGATTTGTCTCACAGGTGACTATGATGCTTAGGATACTTTGGATATTTAAAGTGTCAAACACAGTGCTGGGACTACAAGAGGGTCAATAAATGTCACAGGCTCATGGTTTAGGGAGGAAAGTATTAGCCAAGGTATCTGGCTTCAAGGACCTGAAATAATCTAGGACTACCTAAGCAGAAAAGGAATTTTCTGGAAGGATATCAGGAAGCTCATAAAACTGACAGAAAGTTTGAAGAAGCAGGCACAGAAAATTATCAGGAACCAAAGGAGGCCAGGTAGCAGGAATCATCAGCCAGTCTGCCTTTGTCACTGCTGGAAACAACTGTCACCATTAGAGAGAGATATGGCTATACCCTGCGTGGTGCTGGGCCACAGATCCCACGGATAGATGGCCTCAGTGCTAGATTCTGTGGGGGAGCCAGTCTCCTACACTCTATGTTTTGCATTCATTGCTAAAGGTTAGAAGTCCCTCTGTGGGCATCTAATTGGCAAAGCCCAAGTTACGTGCCCATGCCCTGGCTATCAAGGGGAGGAGGAAAGAGTATTTTCCTCTGTGGCTTCCTTGGTAGGAGGCAAGGTTCTCAAATTTCCTAAAACTGGAAAGGACTTTGGATGCTGGGAAGCCATTAAATGACCAATAATCACTATAGGAAGAGGGGCAGGAAGTAGAAATCATAATGGATAAGGCCAGCAGGCAGCTGTAACAGTGGCACTCAGTGCTCCCAGGGGTGGGCGAGCCTGCCGGGGTCCCTGAGGAGAGTTAAAGGAGAGGGGGTGGAGGAGAGCCACAGAGCCTAGCACAGGTCCCCAAGTCTAGCAGCAGCTAGGGTGCCATGACTGCTCCTAGGCTAGAAGGGGCAAGTGAGAGAGCACTTTTCTAAACCTGAAGAGAGAGTTGCATGGAGACAGTCAGTTGACAGTGGCTACGGCTCTCTTATGTGGATGCTGACAGCCCACTGTGATGCTGTATAGATGGAGCTGGGCAACAAGTGCCCTGACCCACCCCCACTCATAGTCTCTTCCCTTCAATGTCCTGCTGGCTTTTCCCATTTTGACATCCACCTGGAAGCTGGGAGTCATTGATGCAATGAAAATAGGGTGGCCTTGAAGTACACAGAGCAGGGAGAAGGGGAGCAGATGAGAGAAGGAACAAAGGGAAGGTCGAACACCCTGGAAATTACTTCCCAATAGAGATATTTTGACTGTTTCATGGGGGCAGGGGTAGGGCCCAGGTCTTGAGGGTGAAGTGGAATTTTAAGAGAACTTTCAAGATGGAAGAGGTTTCCTGAAACAAGCCACAGAGCCAGAGGCTGAAGGACACGTTTGAGAAATGATTAGCTCACACTAGAGACTGTGGTCTTTGAATGCCATGGCCTCAGACCCGGTTGCCTGCCCTGTCCCCATTTGGGTTATTACTGACTCCTGTTTGATGTGGCTTCTTCACCAATCCAAATTTGATTCTTGTGTGGCTTGTGGGGAATACCTTCAAGCTTAATTAAGTACATCTACAGTTCTGGAGAGGAGATAGGACTTGGGTTTAGAGACTCACAAGTCAGCAGCCAGTGGAGAGGTAAGCCTCCAACTCGAGGCCTGGTTGCTACAGGGAGCCCGTTTGTTTGGATTTATATAGCCAGGAGAGCGTTGCTATGGCTGAATTGCATGCAACCGTTCTTATGATCTGGAACAGCACATTGTGTATCTAACATGACAGCATTTATTAAAGCAAGATAAACTCAGCAACAAAGGATATGGCTGGAACCATAAATTCCTCTGATCCTTGCTCCAGAGCCATCACATTCCATTTGAATGAGGCCTATCAGCCCAAACTTGACTTATTTTATTAAATAAGTCAATTTTCTGAAAATCCCTAAGAGAATGAACTGGGAATTACTCTCCCCCCATATACCCTTGTTTAAAAAGAGAAATGTTATGCGTTGAGCAGTTCTGACTCACTATATTTGCTGAGGACTAACAGACCTGCCATCCAGGCAATGGGTTCCCCATCACTAGATGTGTTCAGTCTGAGGCTGGAGGAATATGGGCTTGCTCCCTTTTTGGGGACTGCAGTGTAGAGGAGAAGGCGATATTCCTAATAGACATTCTTCCTAGTTTTCAGAGTTCAGGATTGTAGAAGCCTGAGGAAGCATCCAGTTGAACTGCCCCCATATCCCATTCTGCAACCTTCACTCTCTTGCCACAGCACACATTTCCCCAAAGAAGGAGAGATTTTCATTAAGGGACCGGGAAAGAGCAGGAACATTGGAGCCAGAAGACCTGGGTTTAAATCCAAATTCTATTATTTATTGAGTAGTAGCCACAATCAAGTCATTGGGTTTCTATGAACCCCAGTCCATCTCATATAAAGTGATAATGATGATAGCTAACATGTACTAGCACTTAATATACACCGGGTACCATTCTAAGGGCCTCAAATGGATAACATAATTTATTCTTCACAAAAATGTTCTGAAATGAGAAGTATGAGTGTCCCTACTTTACAGAAGAGGAAACTGAGGCATAGAGAGGTTAGGGAACTTGGGAATGGTGGAGCCAAGAATTGAACTCAGGCAGTCTGCCTCTGGGGATCTTAGCCCATGTGTGGTAACAATACTTACCTCAACTATATCATAGAGTTTCTAGGAGTTGCATTAGAAAATGAGTATAAAAGCATCTTTTAAACCATAATCTATTAGTCTTGGAAATACTGAGCAAGATGCTGAATCTCAAGTTGTAAGCTTTTTTTTTCTTTTCTTTTTTTATTTAGAGACAGGGTCTCCCTCTGTTGCCCAGGCTGGAGTGCAGTAGTGTGATCATAGCTCACTGTAACCTCTAACTCCTGGGCTCCAGTGATTTTCCTACCTCAGCCTCCTGAGTAGCTGGGACGACAGGTGCGCACTACCACGCTTGCCTAATTAAATTTTTTTTTTTTTTTTTTTCTGTAGAGACAAGTTCTCACTATGTTGCTCAGGCTGGTCTCAAACTCCTGGGGTTAAGCTATCCTCCCACCTTGGCCTCCCAAAGTGTTGGGATTACAGGCCTGGCCTGTAAGCTTTTCCCAAGTGTGTTCAACTTTATTTAAAAAAAGTGCTTCCCTCTCTCCCAGTCTTTAGTCTCCTTTCCACCCCTCCCACTTGACCACTATCCCTACTTACCTTTCCTATCCCAACATTCCCCGCTTTGTTCAAATGATTGGCTTTGGTGAAATTCAGACTCAACAATTCAAAGCAAAATAACAAACTCAAAAGTACTTGTGCTTTTATTTAAAAAAAAAATACAATCAGGTACTGTCCAGAAATGTTTTGGAAAGAAAGATCTCTTGAAAAATCCTTAGTTTTCATCATCATCATCATCATTATTATATTAATAATATTAATCATATCCTTAAAATGGAAACAGTATTGCTTTTCTGGTTTCTGTTGTATGAAATGTAAAAAAAGGGATGGCTTCCAATGACACATTTAATCTTTGCTAACAAAAATAATGACAATTAATTATACAGCTTCATGTAAAATACGGCTGGTTCTAAAACAAACTACCCCTGTACATCCTACCCCTCTCCCATTCCCAGAGCCACCTAAGAGAAGTAAAAAACTATTGCGATGTTGTCACTGGGAGATTTTTGCTGAATCAAACAACAAAACAGAAACATGTTGGAGACTGATGTCTTTGGTGCAAAGAAAGAAATCACAGAGGAGGTGAGGCCCATGCTGTTGCCGTTGGCCCCAGGGATCCATGGTCAGCTTTGACTCTCACCAAATGCCCAGGTGTGGACCGATGGTTGGGCTGGTTGTATTGATGCTTTGGTAAAATCCTTTCCTCGCTCTGGGCCTTATTCCTCTCTCACCCAGTGGTCCCTGGAATTTATGCCCGTTTGCGCCTGCCTTCAAGATTTCTGAAGTTGCTTGGTCTCAGCTTCATCTCAGCAAACTGGATTGAGTGTTCGTGGCCCTTCCAGTGGAACCAGTTAACGCCCTGTTAAAAAAAAAAAAGAGAGAGAGAGAGAGAGAGAGAAGGCCTCCAGGTTGGTTACTGTTAGGCGAGGTGTTCACTGATCATTGCTATTTAGTCATTCAAACTAAATGAGTTCTGTTTCAATTTGACCATTTGGTATATCACAGCTGCCTCTTGCCTATCTCTCTGTTGGTCTGGGTTGTGGAAACTTTCAAAGGAACTGGCTGAATCTGACCCAGTTTTTCACCTGAGTCAAGAGTCGCCTGAGTTTGCATGGAGCTTTGGTCTTTCCTCTTGAGGCAAAATGGTGGCTGATGAAATCTGCCGTCCTTAGGAATAGGTTCTGAAGGAGTTCAGGTCATTATTAGAAGTTCTAGAATTGAATAGCTACATACATGGTGTGTGTGTGTGTGTCTGTAATTCACGAGATTCCTATGGAGTATTTTGATAGGGGTTTGGTATGGAATAGCAGAACGAACAGCTCAACAAAACACAGTTTTACAATTTGACATATAGGGTTAAATATCAGTGTTCTTACTTGAGAGATAAATAGTCTTAAGTTCTCAATATCTTCTGAGCCTCGGTTTTACTATTTTTTTTTCTTTCTTAAGATCTGATAATGTTAGCCTTGAAAGATGAGATGAAGATTAAATGAGTTTGTAAAGGAGCTATCACAGAGCTGGGCACGTCGTAGGTGCTTGGTAAATATTACTTCCCTAGTCTCAAGTAGGGGGAAATATCCTTGAAATTTTGGCCAAAGCTTTCTACAAGAAAAAACTGTATCTGTGTCTTGGCTTCCAGGTTTCAACTTTGACTCTTCAGCGAAGTCTGCAGATGGTAGAGTCAATCCATGAAACCCCACATGGCCCCTTGCCCCACTGTGGGGAAGTTAATGGCTAGTGAGATGGGAAAAAAATAGAGACACTTTATTTGCTTCTAATTGTTTGGCATTCACTGACATGGGCAGTTTCTGAGTCTTACAGGGATGTGAGGTTTAAGAATGGCTCATTCATTTCATGGGCAAATCCGCTTGTAATTACTCAGTTACAGTGAGTATGGTAGTCCAACAGCTTGGTGCACATGCTGCCTGCCTTTGCCCTGGTTCTTTCCTCTGATAGTTCAGGGTTGGAAGCCACGCCTTCTTGTACTGTGGTGGGCACTAAAGCCAGAGAGGGAGAGTGACTTTGCAGAGGCCACACAGCAGGAGGAGCAGAGCTGGAGCTGGGGCTCCCCTCCTGTGGCTCCTTTCCATGTCATCTCTTTCTTCTTCCATAATTGAATGGAAGGATGAAAGAGAGGCTTGCTTTCTAACATGTAGCTTGTTGGTTTTTTTTTTCTTTTCCCAGAAGAACTTTGTATTATACGAGTATTTTTGAGACAAGGCAATAAAGATGATAAAATAATGCTCAGAATGGAAATATTGATGAAATAACACAATAAGATGGAAACAACACAGGACTGCTGTCAAGAAATGTCCTGTGACTCTTGCCTCCTCTGTAAAACAGGCATGAAAAACCACATCCTAATTCCTGCACAGGGTAAAAATGATAAACCCTTGAGATACAGAAGGTAACAGTGCTTTGAAAAGTGCCAGAAATTATGTAAGGTAAGGTCTACACTTAAGGTCGCAGGTGTCATTTGCTAGCAGTTAATTAGGGCATAAACATGTGTATCAAAGTGACTAATATTGAAAAGCAACAGGTCCCAACACCTGCTGCATGTCAGGAATCGCTTGTGGAGTCTATCAACTGCCTCCCCCCTGACCCCACAACAACAAAAATGCAAATATGCAAAAAAAAAAAAAAAATGAGATGCTGTGTCTTGCCTGAGATCATTGAATCAGAATCCCTGGGGTTATCATAAAGTGGAATTTGGCCCTTTGCATTTTTATAAAGTCCTTGGGATTCCAGTGAGCAGACCTCATAAGCATCCTTGTGGTCCAGGGATCAGCGTGGTGTGGCCCCAAGGGAAGATCCAGCCCTCCTCCCAGGGATGGTGACTAACTTCTGTGGAGGGACCTGGGCAGGGGTTTGGTTATGATTAAGTGGCTAGTCCCACACAGCTTTACACTTTTCAGGAATGTGCCAGTGTAGGCAAGGCTCAGAGTAAGGGAGATTACTGAATTTGATCCGTTCGCCTATTTCTAAAAGGGATCGAAAAAAATCTGTTTCTGTGATTGTAGAAGTGCTAGAGGTGTGTGTGGTGCAGGGAAAATGCCAGGGGCTGGAAGTGGGGAGAGCTGGCTCTGCTGCCAACTTCACTCTGTGACCTCAGGAAAGTCAGCTTTTTCTGGGCCTTGGTTTCTTCACAAAAGGAGGAGATTTAAAGTCTGTGGACTTCATTTTAAGGTGTTCTTGGGATTCCAAAGATGCCCCAGGCCAGGGGTTCTGTGTCATCAACCCTGCTTCACCTAAATGGCCTCCACTTTTATCTGCTTTACTTTTGGGGTTCAGACAGAGATTTTGTCTGAGTAAAGCGTTCTGTTTTTGGAATCCATTTGACCAGTGTTTGTCCTTGGGACTGTCAAGGGTTAACCTGTGCTGTTTCTATTTTACCTGGCCTGCAGTGTCCTTGAGATTGCTCACTGCCTTGGGAAAAACATGTTGTCATACAAGTAAGGTTCCTGCCTCCTAGTCTCTGCTAGGATAGGGAGTTAAATTGTACTTCCATTAGCCCCCTCCAGCTTCCCAAGCTTGGCCTGCTCTGGGCCCTCACGGTCCACTCACCTGACTGTGGTTATTGTCCCCATATCTCCCCATCAGGTTGACACGGTGACAGTTCCTGTACCAGAAAGCCCCTTTGTAGGACAGAGCACAGTTGGTGATGGCTGAATCTGTGTCCTTGTCAAAGGTGGAGAAGGATCTGCCATTGTGGTAGGCCATGGAGTCACCTGGGAGAGACAGAAAATATGGACCTGAGAAATCTCAGCTGAAATTTCCCTCCTGGACAGTAAAGGGCAGAACCAGAGGTGACAATTGAAAGGTTCTGGGTGTGGGACTGGCCTTGAACATTGATCCCAGAGTCAGCATTGAATGCGGAACTGAATGGGACATGAGTGTCACCCCAGTACTTATTTCCGACAGAAGCAGCATAATGTGGTGGGAAGAGGGCTGTGGCTGGCTTTGGAGAGTCTAGCTTCGAATCCCATCTTTTCACTTTTTAGCTGTGACCTTGCACAAGTCAAGCATCTTGTTGAACCTCAGTTTTCTCATCTATACAATGGAACCAGCACTTTGATTCTATATACTGAGTAGTGCCATTGTGACAATAAAGGTGTATGCTAAACAGGTGGCATGGCATACAAATACTTACTATGATTGTTATTTTTATGACTTTTCTGCATTCCCTTTCTATAAAGACCTCAGAGAGTAAGGTGAGAAGTATGCATTTAATAATGGCATGCTTTTCTCCCACATACAAATATTTATTAGTCATAATTAAGCCCTTCAGACATTAGATGTCCCTAAATAGTCTCTGTATCACATAGTTACTTTTTAAAGTATTCATCAGACCATGTTCCGTGATTCTTAGACAAGAAGCCCATTAACATGTACTACTATTTGGAAATCTAATTTGTAATTTAATATATTGAATTTTTGAAGCATTTCAGTACCATTGCTTTGTGGGTCTCCTCACTCCCAATCCAGACAAGTGCTGTGCACAAACATTTCAAGACTCTGAGGCATTCTACCGTCATAATTTGGAGCAAGTTGTCAAAGGAACCCAGATACCTTTTTAACTGATGATGCTACCCAGAGCATGAGGACGGCACGTAGATATTAATGAAACAGGATGCTCTCCTGCAGAAGGCCTGGGTGCAGCCAAATCACACAAGAAAATGCAGCCTTACAAACGTTATCTCAGTAAAGGGAAATATTATGGCTCATTCCTCAATGGAAGCACAAAGAGAGAGGAACAGAGGCCACATTCCTGCTGCTTAATGAATTTGCTTGCCCTGTAACATTCTTCTTCTTGCCTGAAGCCATCTCAACCAAAGAGGTATTCATTTCCAGGTAATAAAATGCCAACATTCTTTGAGGGATTCAAGAACTAAAGCAATGTTTGCCCCTGGGTGTCTCTCTTTATTATCACTAAACTGCCATCTCAAAAGAGCTTTGTGCCTCCTTAGGCTCAGCCTGGCTTTGGCAACCTTTTATCTGGAGACTTTTCACCTTATGGATGTTTTCTTTCAGGGCTCAGGGAGGCTGGAAACGTGCCAAGCTTCTATCTCTTCTGCTCTCACAAACATAACAGAAAGCCACCCAAAGTGGGCATGGGTTGCATGGGGGTGGTCCACACTCTCAGTCCTGACCCTTCTTTGTCACTGAGAACATTGTCGGATGCAGTTTTCTGCAGCCAGGATTGCATCCACCTTCTACAAGCTGTTTTACCTTGGACAAATCACTGAGCTCTTCTGAACTTCTTTCCTCCTCTGTATAAAAACAACGTCTTCATAAAATGGTTTTATGAGGAATAAATAAGATGAATGCAGGTGGAATATCTACAAAAGAGGATGGTACCTAGTAGGGCCTTAATACATGTTGTTTCCTTATTTATTTCTCCTCTTATGTGGAGCCAGGAAACCACACAAAACCACTTCAAGTCCAAGAAATCTTCAAGACTGGAATGAAGGTTATGAGCCAGACAAGGAATGCAGGGGCCACTTGAGAGGTGAGACCTTCTATTTATGAGGATGCAGGCTGAGACTAGATGACCACATGGCAGGGATGTCTTGGAAGAGATTCAAGCAGCTAGGTGATGGAGTGGATGGTTTGCTACTCAAGCTGTGGTCCACAGACCAGCAACACCAGCTATATTGGCATCACCAGGGAACTTGGAGAAGATGCAGAATCTCAGCCCCATCCCAGACAACCTGTGTCAGCATCTGGAGATTCACAAGATCGCCAGTGGGTCCATACACCCAGAGTAAATTGAGAAGTGCTGGATTGGATGAATATTAAGGCCTTTGGGGAATTTTTTTTTTAATCAGTCTACAACTGATATCTAAAACTGGGTAAGAAAGACACACTTTTTTTGAAAGATGGTCATTAGAAATCAATCCTGATTGCCCTGATTCCCAACATACTCAATGTTTCAGGACCCAAATATCTACCCAACACTTTTGAATTGTAGTTTTTCTGGATTGGCACTCAGTAGGTACTTAAATATTTGTTGATTTAATAAATTGCTGGATTAATGAGGAAGGAATGAAAGTTAGAGAAATAAACTGTAAATGTCAAGAAGGTCTCCATGGCTTTGTAGGCTCTACGTGCAGCCACTACTGTACCTGCTGTCCCACTGTACCCCTCCACCTTCAGCTTGTAGCGAGTCTTGGCATCTCCCACGCTGAACTTGTCATAGACAGCAAAGGCTGTCTCCCCATGGTCCCGCAGGTCCACCCGGAGCTCGTACTGCCCCTGGGCTGTGATTTTGTTCAGGTTGTCCAGCCCTGTGGATGACAGGCAAGGGTTGCTAAGAAGCACAGGTGACTGAGGCCCTCATTTCTATTTCACTCTGTAAAAGCGGCAACTGGGTACACTTAAGACAGGGCCAACTGGGCCCAGTGGCTCATGCCTGTAATCTCAGCACTTTGGGAGGCAGAGATGGGGTGGGAGGGGGTGGGGGTGGGGGTGGTGGGAATCACTTGAGGTCAGGAGTTCGTTATCAGCCTGGCCAACATGGCGAAACCCTGTCTCTACTAAAAATACAAAAATTAGCTGGGTGTGGTGGTGGGTGCCTGTAGTCCCAGCTACTTGGGAGGCTGAGGCAGGAGAATCGCTTGAACCCGAGAGGCAGAAGTTGCAGAGAGCTGAGATTGTGCCACTGCATTCCAGCCTGGGTGACAGAGCAAGACTCCATCTCAGAAAGCAAAAAAAAAAAAAAAAGGGCCATATCACACAGGCCTGTGCTTGAAGCTCAGTCTTGTGCTTGCTGGAGTAATACTAGGCTCAGGTAAAATCGGGTTGACATTTTTGCCCCACTTCCAACCTCCCAGTGCATTAGTGAAGATCCAAGGAGATAAGGTGGTGAAAGTACTTTTTAAACTCTAAAGTGCCTTACAGGCCAGGCACGGTGGCTCACGCCCATAATCCCCACACTTTGGGAGGCCAAGGTGGGCGGATCATCTGAGGTCAGGAGTTCGAGACCAGCCTGGCCAACATGGTGAAACCCTGTCTCTACTGAATATACAAAAATTAGGAGGGCATGGTGGAGGGTGCCTGTAATCTCAGCTACCTGGGGGGCTGAGGCAGGCGAATTGCTTGAACCCAGGAGGCAGAGGTTGCAGTGAGCTGAGATCACACCACTGCATTCCAGCCTCGGCGACAGAGTGAAACTCTGTCTAAACAAACAAACAAACAAACAAATAAAATTTTGTAAAGTGCCTTACAAATGAAGGGCAATGAATAATATAGATAAATGTTTATTATAATATGATAAACATTTTCTGGGGTAGGCAGTGGTGCATAGAACAATGTTCTCTGCAGTTAGGTGGTTGGAAAGTGTGGATTGCATGGATGAATGGATGGGTGATAGGATTGTAGTGTTGACTTAGGAGATTCCAAATTTCAGCTCAACTGTTCATTGGTTAGACTCCTATGGGCAAACCACTCAGTCTTTTTGAGGCTGTGATTTTATCCATGCGAGGTGGTGAGGAGAGCAAAAATCACCTGGTGACCATCAAGTAGGACTCGGAGACAAAAACCCCTTAACTGAGGGATTTAAAGGTAATTAGGCTTCCGTATATCTCAAGCAAGCATCTGGTTCCAGGTTTATTTCCCAAAAATTTATAGGTAACTGGAACTTCTATACATCTCTGGAATACATGCATATCAAAACTCATTTTGCAACCCTTGCTGACATTAAGGCACCAAAATGTCTACAAATGTAATCATGTATCATGTTCTACATGGCTAATAGGGTCCAAATTATCCTTAAGCTCCTGCCTTAAGGTCCATAAATACCCCTAAGGAAAAATCCACTGCAGGGGCTGTAAGTCCTTTTGCAGCATTCTTTCTTTCTAATAAACGTTCCTTTTTCAAACCTATACTGTTGTTAGTAAATTCGTCTTACCAACCCACTAGTCAACCACTTCTGACACCTGACACCTTGCCCACCCGGTGGCAATTGAGTACTTTGTAGGGGTGCTATGGGGGTTAAATATTATGGCTCTAAGAAACCCATCTTAGCACCTGGAGCACAACCTGGGGCACAGGAGGGAAGATATCAATGATATCAGTGAGGAGGATTCTATGACTGGTCCAGAGAATGACTTAAGGCTAGGTTAACACATAAGGGCTGAGTTTTGGTTCTTCCTTAATCAGATTTTACTTTTTGTGAAAGGAAAATAAAATCTTGGGACCCCAATTTAACTCTGCCAATAGGAAAAAAAATAAACTGAAAGCCGAGTCATGGGAGAAACTGCCTCTCCTTTTGTCCCTAAGCAGATGCTACAGATAAAAGGCCAGATATCTCCACAGATAGTTATTCTATCTTCACTTTATCTTATGTAAAGTGCCGATTTACTGAGTGTGAGATGAATACAAAATTGACCATTCTCTTTTTTGTCATTCTGCTTTTTTCTTTTTTTTATCTTGCAACATGTGGATTCAGTAATGTGACCATATCCCTCCAGCCCACTTTTCCCCTTTAAATACTAAAGCTCTCAACATTATCTCTGAAAAAAAAAAAAAAAAAAAAAAAAAAAAAAAAAAAAAAGAAAGTCATGGACCACAGGTTGTTCCTGTGGCTTTCCCCCTTTAAACACTAAAACTCTTAATATTATCTCTGGAAAAAAAAAAAAAAAAAAAAGGCATGGACCACAGGCTGTTCCTGTGGCTTTGTGTTCTTTTTTTCTGGGCGTGTCCTTAACGTTGGCTAAGTAAACCTCTAAATTGATTGAGATCTGTCTCAGATACTTTTTGGTTTACATTTTGATGATTCAGAGCATTTAAATGATAGTCTTTTTCATTAAGAATTTGACATTCTGTGTCTGCCACCAGAAGTAGTTCTTCTTCCTCATCTCTTTCTCTCCCATAGGTCCCTGTGGGTTAGGAAAAGTGACAAGGAGGGCAGAATCAGGCATTTTAGATATAAACATGCAGGGCTGCATTACCAAGCCAGAATTCTTCTCTGCGGTCCCCAAATCCAGCAGCATATGCCTTCCAGTTTTGGTAGAAGTTCTCGCGTCCGTTTTTGCGTCTCAGGAACACCTATAAACATATCGATGAATCTGGGTGTACTTAAGCTATTGCAGGAAAGAGGGCATCGTTGTGAGAGGAAGGAGTGTGGCACTGTGGAGAGAGCATCAGGCTCCATTCTGTCCATCCCTAATTTGCTATGTAACTTTGGGTGGTCACCTGCCCCTCCTTAAGTCTTGGTGTTCTCACCTGAAAAACAGGGATTAAAAATACCACCCAGTTTTGGGTGATAATGATGTGTCAATGTAGGTTCATTGATTGTAACAAATGCACCATTCTGGTGCAGGATATTGATAATGGGGAGGTTGTGTGGGTGGGTGTGGGGTGTATATGAAAACTTCTGTTCACTTAATTGTGCCATGAACCTAAAACTGTTCTAAAAAAATAGAGTTTATTAATTCAAAAATACACTACCCAGCTCCTATGGTAATGGGGTCGGAATAATTCATCTTAAACTCTTAGCACAGTGCCTGGTAGATAATAAATGCTTAGTCAGTGCTAATTAATGTAAGCAATGGGTTCAATGATCAACTGTCATTTATACATCACAGAGTTGTTTGATGAGGATTGGATGAGATAAACTACAAGAAACTTATCTCCCCGTTTCAAAAAGTAGCCAGCGTGTTTCCCATTCTTTTGTTTAAGAGAGAATTCCTGAGTGCCTCTGTGTGACAGGCACTATCTTGCAAGGCCTCACACATGGGGGTGTCAGAGTGCATCAGGAGGAGATCACCCTCTTCTCCTCCCCTGCTTTGCCCTCTCCCTCTTCCCCTAGGCCTGAGGGCTCTGCAGTCCCTGGTGGTACTCACAATCCATCCACCCCCATCAGAGGTCATGTCACAGAAGACTTCCAGCGCCTCAGCCTTATCACCATTCAGATAAATGGTGTAGAGGCCAGAGGTCGTGTCTCCATTCAGCATTGCTTGGGAGCAGTCCTTGGGGAAGGGGTACAGGAGTCCAACTGTGGAATAAGGAGAAATGGTGATGCTCTCAGTGCAGGAGGACTGAGCTGGAGCTTAATTCTTAGCTTAACTCTATGGACTAGAATGCCTGGGGAATTTCCAGGTGCAATAATGTGATGCAAACAATTAAAAACTCATAGAAATGGGCAATCTTGGAACTATGCCTAGTAGATGGGTCTTAGAGCTGATGATCATAGCAGTTCTTTTTTCTGATCTGAGGACATTCATCTGAGGTTGTATCATGAGCTGTTTTCTTATTTATTTCACAGCCCTAGTATAAGAGCATCTTTAGGATACATTCATAGTTAGCATCTGGCATAAGATCTGGCAAAGGGGAAGCACTTTCTTCAGCAGATGTGTGCAGAATGACTGTCCCGTGAATTTTCAAAGGCAGGGCTCTCCAAAGGCCAGCTCCTCTGGTCCTCAGGAATGGATGCCACTCTTACTTATCAATGGAACAACTTGCAGGTTTGCTATCTGCAGAAGATACTTTGTGACAGGTGCAGGGGGAGGCTCCCTGGGCATGGAATATCTGAGCCCAACTCTGACTGTAACTCACAAGATAGTCTTGAACAGGTCATTTAGTCTCTGAAAGTGTCTGCTTCCCCACTAGAACTTTGGGCATAGGGCTCACCATACCAGCTTGGTGGGAAGATCATTTGTGATTTTGAATGTGGACAGGTTTTGTAAACACTGGCATGATGAAGGAGAAAGAAAGAGACTTTCAGCTCATGTTGAACTCTGACAATAAAAGGACCACACAATTATATGGGCCACATACTGGGCTAGGAGTTCAAATGCAATACCTCATGAACACTTGCAAGGTCCTGGTGACAGAGGATTTATTATTAATCTCCCTGTATAGACGAAGAAGCTAAAGATTATAGGATGGAAGTAGCATTCTTAAGGCACACCTAGCAGGTGATAGAAATGGGGACTGAATCCAGATGGGCTTCCTCCTTTCCTTTCACCGGGATGCTCATAATCTCCCACATTTGCTTTCCTCAGGCTTCCAAGTAGTAGCAGTGAATCGATTCTTTTCAGAGGTTTGTTTGAAAATTTTAAAGTAGAAGTCAAAGGGGAAGTCAAGGGTTGATTCAGTCAAAGTTAGATCTCAAGGCTGGATGGCACCCTGGGCCTCCTTACTTGTGGTGAAGATGGTCTGGATCATATTGCTCCTCAGGGGCCCATTGAGTGCCTGGATCTTGGCTGTGTAGTGGGTGGATGGGCTCAGGTCTGCCAGGCTGTAGGAGGTGGTATCTGGACCCACAATGACTTCCTAAGAGCAGAAGAAAAAGTATAATGGCTTTTGGTCACAGAAATTCTCAGGGTATAGATAAGAAGTCATTCTATTTATAAGTTCATTTACCCATCCATTCACTTACTTACTGGACAAGAATTCATTGAGTACCCACTCTCTACCAGGCTCCATGTGCACTGCTGAGATATCAGAGATGGGGAGAGTACAGCACAAGCAAAGGTCCTTGGGCCAGAAGGTGCAGAGCAAGTTAAAATAATATAAGGAGGGAGAGACCGCATCTGGTAAGGATGAGAGCACTGCTGTAGACTCCAGGGCTAAGGCTACCACCTGCC
Organism: Homo sapiens; assembly: GCF_000001405.40. Classification (NCBI taxonomy): domain Eukaryota; kingdom Metazoa; phylum Chordata; class Mammalia; order Primates; family Hominidae; genus Homo; species Homo sapiens. Next base: position 115,032,000 of record NC_000009.12, read on the forward strand.
CAAGGCCCTGCCAAACTATATTGGGAGAATGGGATTGTAATGGTTAATTTTATGTGTTAAATTGGCTGAGCCATGGGGCCCAGATATTTGGTCAAATATTATTCTATGTTTCTGTGAAGGGGGTTTTTTTTTGGATGAGATTAATATTTAAATCAGTAAACTTTGAATAAAGCAGATTTAAAACATAAAATGAAATAATATAAGGAGGCAATAAGCGACCTCAACCATACTTAGCTTCAGGTGTTAGAACAGTGGAAAATGTTACTAGATTATGAAGGGCCTTTAAATGACAAGCTTTGAAACTTAAAGTTTATCATTAAACGGAGTGAGGAGCCCTGTAAGGTATAAATGCTAAGCTTTGGAACTTGAAGTTTATCATCACAAGAAATGGGGAGCCTTGAAAGATGTTTGGACATGCCAATGACATAAACCAAGCTGTGCTTTAAGAAGCTTAATCTGGTAGCAAGATGAATCACACAGGGTAAGGGACTTTGAGGTCAGTTAGGTCAGTGGTCCCTAAATATAGCTCTTTATCACTCTCAGAAGCTTTAAAACAATATGATGCCTGGGCCTCATCTCAGACTGATGGAATCATCAGAGCCAGAAGTTGGGCCTGGCTATATTTAAGAAACTTCCCAAGTGATTTGAATGTGCAGTCAGTTTGGGGATCTCTTGAGTTAGGAGATGATTATAATAGCCCCATAGGCATGGTAGGATTAAAACTTAAGCTGACCTCACATGTCTCTCTTCTAGAACAGAGATATCCATGACAGACAGATGTTGACCAACTCTAACTACACTTGTAGTCTGTGGCTGGTCTCTGTGCTGCTGTACAGAGGAGGTCATTGGTTTCAGTTTGCAGGAAATCCTCTTTCCACACCCTCTTGCTAGCTTCCAATTCTTTTCAGCAAATGACCTTAGTGTCTGGGATTGGAATTCAACCTACACTCCTAGTAAACCAAGCACAACGATCTTCTCTACAACCTGCAAACAGCCAGCTTAGTTTGGGCAGTCATGCATCAGTGCAGAAGCCCCTGGAAGGTTCTCCTGCATCCTGGGAACTGGGAAGGTACCTTATCCTGTTTTCTTCAATGGGAGAATTGAGTTTCAGAGAAGCTAAAAGACTTGCTCTCATTCCATAAATTGTTGGAGGCAGAGGATGATCTTGCATGCGGGTTTCCCAACACCCTGTCCAGGACTCTTTTCTCCTATACCAGGTTGATTTTTTTTCTAAGACATGTAAAGCTGGTGAATGGACATGCAGAAAAGTAAACTGGGATGAGTGCTCATTTAATACCCAGAGGCCTTTTTGCAGCCCCCCAGTTCTAGTCCCTGGGGGAAAGATCAACTGTCAGGGATAAAGCTGGGTTCATTGAATTACTTAGGAATACAATTACCTGTCAGTTCTCTAGGCTTCTGTGCAAAGCCATTTTCTAGGCAATTAGGGTACTCTAGATCAAAATGAGACTCATGATTCAGGTAAACACAGAATCCTAGAATGCCTGACAAGGAGAAGACCTTAAAGATGGATAAGTCCAAGGCATTCATTTTACAGATGGGAACACTGACACCCAGAGAAGATAAAGGATTTGCTTCAGCTCACACAGTGAGATAGTTCATTGTTATATCAATTCCAGGAAGGGGCATGATAGTTATTAGCAATGTGTCCAGTTCTGGTTAAATATGACAGATTGGATACAGCCACTCATCTCTACTTGCTTCTAAAACCCACTAAAAAGAGAGCAAGAGAATGTAAGGTATAAATCCATGAAGATGAGGGGAATGGGAGAGGAGACAGCAACAGGTGTGCCAGAAACTTGGTAGATAGAAAGTGAGTGGTAGAGAGACCATGGAGGGGAATGAATGAAGAAGGCTGAGGTTAACTAAGGAGCATGGGCAGAGCTAGTCAGAGGCTGCTTGGTGCAAGTCACAGAGTCCAGCAAGTTCAGTAAAGGAATGTGTACAAAAGCAGAGATGTCTTTAAAGGCCAATGTGGAGTGTGGTTGAACAAAGGTTTGGTTTGTTTAGAAGCTTTTTTGTAAGAAACAGACTCTAAGATCTCCTCATTCCCTCCAACAGTCTAAATGACTGCCCTTTCCCATTCAGATGGTAGGCTGAGGTTTACTCTCTGGAAAGGTTGAGCCAGAGAGGAAGTCCGGATTCAAATCCACCAGGCTCAGCCTTCAAGGAGGCCGAGGTGCTACACTGGAAACATAATAAGATGAAAGTTTGTACACAGTGAGAGGCCAGGTTTTATGGCACTGTTATTTGGGGGTCCCCCAAGAAAACTGTGGGTACTTGCCCAATCATTCTGCAGGGAGCCACAAAGTTGACAAGCCCTGCCTGAGCTAACTCCCTATTAGCTCTTTCATTCCTAGTTCAAATACAAAAAGACAGACCATGATCAACAGACATTGGGTGGATGTCTCCAACATGAAAGACAGAAACCCAAACCAAACCAAACTCAACAACAGCAGCAAAACAAAGAAACTTGTAACAAACACTGTGCAGGATATAGAATAAAATACCAGCAACATATTCTTAGAGATAAAGAGATGATGATATAGGAAGCACAAACAAAATGCCAGAAAAAGATCAATGTGTGGAGAACAAGCAAAAGATCTTGGAAATATAAAGTGAGATAACCAAAATGAAAAATTCAATAACAAGTTTGGAAGGTAAAGTTTAGGAAATCTCCTTCGCTTGTTTGAAGATCTAAAGTTATTTCAAATTAAAAGGTAAAAGAAAGAAAATTCTTGGGTAGCGAATATAAATAATATAAACACTGGATAAAAATGGTATTAACAGTTGATATCATAAGAACACGGTGAAACATATTACAATATATAATATAAAGATACCATCTGTGAGATAATACATATGGCAAACATGCAGAGAAACCTTTTGGCCTTTGTTCAACAAAATATTAAAGGATCAAGATTCCAGCTCCTAAAATGTCCTCAAGTCTTGTAAGCAGTGGTTCTTGATCTTGGCTGCCTATCAGAACTGGAGTCTGGTTAAAATGAAAGAGGCTGGAGAGTATGATTCAGAAGGTCTGGCATGCCATCCAGTCTCTACTAATTTTTTTTTTCAGCTCCCCAGATGCACTGGGGTAGAAAAACAGCATCAGGTAATTCTTCCATACTTTGAAGATCATGCAAATGCTTCAACTAGCATTGAGGAGTTGTTATATACTTAAAATACCTTGACTGTGCCATCCACTGATTCATAGACCAGCAGGTAACCGGTGACTGATGCCCGGGGGGGTCGCCAGGTAAGGAGGGCAGTTTCCGACTGAACCTCAGTAGCAGTCAAGTCTCTTGGAGAATCGAGGTCTGGAGAAGACAGGATGATTAATATCGGATAAGATCAGCAAATGTAGGGCAGAAATTCGGGCTGGGTATCAAGAAGACTGGGTTCAAGTCCTTTCCCTACCACTGAACTACGTGACCTTTGGCAAGAACTTCCTCTGTATAAATAAGGTGGTTGAGCCAGATGATCTCCAAAGACAAATTCTCTATGGTTTATCTCATCCTAAGGGCTGGATGTTTCTAACTGGCCTTGGTTGGATTTAGAGAGAAGTATACAGCTGTGAACATCATTATCAAGCCCCTTGTTTCTAAGTAAGAGGATGGATGAATGCTAATATCAATACTCACCCTGACAGAGAGGATGGTTCCTCTGTTTCCCTGCTTGCTATAGTTTGTAAAAAGCTCTCAATGTATAGAAACCTAACAAACATCTAGGAAAAATTGCCTAAAAAATATGCCTCTTCAAAAATATTTTCCTGCCTGGAACGTGGATCATTAAATACTAGGTTTAGGGCCAGTGGGAACTGTTTTTCCACTTACAAAGCCCTCCTCTTAAAATCTTTTCCTTCCCCGTGGGGAGACCAAGGTCATTTCAGTTCAAAAGGAAATAGTGTGTTTCTTCAGGCCTTGACTGAGTGGGCACTGGTGAATTTAAGTGATGCTGATGTAATCACATTGCAAGGCCCTGACTTAAGAAAGAAGAACTGGCTAGCGGTTCCTGTTTAAGATGCAGGCTGTGGGTGGGCACCCCAGAAGGGAGAGCTTCCAGCTCTCAGTGTCTTTGTACCTGTTGTGAACTTGGCAGTGATGGTTGAGCTCTTCTGGGGCCCTTTCTCTGCAAAGATTCTCAGTGTGTATTCCGTGGCAGGCTCGAGGTCGGTCAGAGCATACTCCACTGTGTTCCCGGACACCGTGCGTGTAATTTCTGGCACTAAACATGAAATACACATACCAAGGCAGTCACCTCTCACTGTCTGAGCCATGAGTGGGCTTGGCAAACCACATACACACCTCCTTCGAACATCGAAACTTTCAGTGACCCTGCGGAAAAGCAGGTCTGATTTCTGAAATGACTCACGCTCTCTTTCTCTCTCTTGAGCACTCACCTCATACGTAAAGGATTTCTCATATGGAGACTTAATTTTTCCAGGCCCCAAATCAGAAGGAAGGGGAACTGGGGGTCAGGAGATTTTTTTCCCACATGGTACTGGCTGGAATCGCTTTGCCACTGAGACCGAGGTAGAGGACGGTCGGAGGGGACATCCCCAAGCCTGCTGCCCATGCTTAATTTGTCCTGATGCATGCTCTCCTCTCTTTGTCACTTTTTCACATGCCCTTTTATAATTTACTAAGTGTCATCAAGTCATTAGGCTGAGGGGTCACAAAAACTGGACAGCAGTAGCTGCACCAGAGCCTGGCCACTATCTCTCAGGCCTGCTGGGTCATGTCCAGTGGTGGAAAGCAATACTGATCACATTGCTTGGGGGCATGTGTTTATTTCCTATTCACAGGTGACCAACCATCCTGGTTTGCCAGGGACTGCGGGATTTCCTAGGTGTGGAACTTCTGGTGCTAAAACTGAGACAGTACCAGGCAAGCGGGGACAAGTTGGTCAACTTACCTCATCATTTGTGAGCACCACCCCCTCTTCTGAACCAAGCCCCTTGTTTGCCCTGAATCTACAATCTCCATGGTTCCCATGAACTATACCTGATTCATTTTAGGTGCAACACCATCTTTCCTGACTCAGAAGAGTTTGCTCACAGGGACTATTTAAGAATTAAAGAGTAAAAAGAATAAACCCAACATCCCTCCTCCCCATCAGTTCCCCACCCCTACCTGTGCTCTGTCCTCAAAAAGACCTCTCTTAGTTGGTTACCATAACTGAATGAAAATTTTCAGAGGCTCCAGGCACAGACGCTGGTGCCTGCTCATATTGTCACTGAGAGCAAAACAATACCAAACCATAAAATATGAAACTTACCTATACCTGGAAATTGAAATTACACAATTATTTCTAGAGTAGCTCATTACAAAATGGAGGGGTTCATTGAAAAGCACTCTCTCTTTCTCCAGTCTCTTACTTATATTTGATTTTACTTTCTGGCAGCTGTAGTTTGCTGGTGCTCTAAACAAGTGTTTAATCTGTCAACTGGGTACATTAGCACTGATGGTTGCCAAACAAGAAAACATTTCTGTTTTATTTATTTATTTATTTTTTATTTTTATTTTTTTGAGACAGAGCCTCCCTCTCTCACCCAGGCTGGAGTGCAGTGGTGCGATCTCGGCTCACTGCAGCCTCCGCCTCCCAGGTTCAAGCAGCTCTCCTGCCTCAGCCTGCCGAGTAGCTGGGACTACAGGCATGCACCACTATGCCCAGCTAATTTTTGTATTTTTAGAAGAGACGAGGTTTCACCATGTTGGCCAGGCTGGTCTCAAACTCCTGGTCTCAAGTGATCCACCTGCCCTGGCCTCCCAAAGTGCTGGATTACAGATGTAAGCCACTGTACCTGGCTTAAAATTTCAGACTTTTTAATTAAATCTGCTAAAACTAGCTTCTTTTGTGGTCTCTGAAAAGTTGAGACTGCTCAGTATGGCCTGAAGCGGTCTGGTTAAGATTTTAGATTCTGGTTTTCTTCTTTGTAAAAGATGACAACTGTTTCCTAAACGGGGTGTCTCACACTGGTAGGCAGAGATACTAACAGGAGAGGAGGAATGGGCCAGGAAAACATGTAGAGGCTGGAGATGTATTTTTATTTTTATTTTAAATGACCTACCAGACTCCCTTGAGGTTTCAGTTGGGAGCCACATGAACATTACTGGCCTTTTCAACCTACCCATGCATTTTTATCATCCTGTACCAAATGTGGCAGGGAGAAGAGCGAATGGGAAGAGTTTACAGCAGGAAAGACACTCCTTAGAGTGAGGAGAGACTTGGACAAAACCTTACCTTTCTCGCCTGTGTAGGAGATGACATAACTGTCCACAGTGGCAATGGCTGGCTGCCACCTGGCCAAGGCTTCTGAGTCAGTGATGTTGGCTGTCACCAGGCCAGATGGGCCATCCAGAGCTGCAAAGAAAGATGGTGGACAGGAGGGAAGTCATTGGGTGGGACATCAGACTCTAGCTGCTCTGCTGTCCACACTGCTTATGGAGTCCTGATGTTAGGACAGTGTCAGCTGCATGGAATGGTTCAGAGACCTAAGCCTGGAGCCAGCCTGACCTGGCTTTGAGTAATGACTCCCTCCCTTGCTGGCTCAGTTACTTTGGGCCTCTATATCCTCATGTGTAAAATAGGGATAGTAATTCTGGCTGGTTTCATCTTCAGTGTTATTTTGATTTTTCCATTATATTATGGGTGGAAAGGAGCTGTGTAAACTGAACAAGGCTGAACACATGACAAGAATTATTATTGTTTATATTACTTTCCCCAGAGAAAGAACTTACACAGAGGGGACTTGCATAGTTAAGACTGCCCGAGCCTTTTCTTTTCTTTTCTCTTTTCTTTTCTTTGCTTTTTTCTTTTCTTTTTTTTGAGACAGACTGTCACTCTGTCGCCCATGCTGGAGTGCAGTGGCACGATCTCGGCTCACTGCAACCTCTGCCTCCCGGGTTCAAGCAATGATCCTGCCTCAGCCTCCCAAGTAGCTGGGATTGCAGGTGTGCACCACCAAGCCCAGCTAACTTTTGTATTTTCAGTAGAGATGGGTTTTTTCACCATGTTGGCTAGGCTGGTCTTGAACACCTGACCTCAGGTGATCCACCTTCCTTGGCCTCCCAAAGTGCTGGGATTACAGGCGTGAGTCACCGCACCTGGCCCCGAGCCTTTTCTGAGCTTTGAGTGGTATTTCTCCTTAGATGGCTTGCAGAGAACATAAAGCCAGGCTCTGGAGGCCGGTGGTCCCGGGTTCTACCATGGCTTCTCTGCCTGGTGCCTCTGTGCCCTGGGAAAATTCATTTCCCTTCTCCAAACTTCACTTTCTTCAGCTGCCAAAGGGTGACTGTTTAGTTAATAAAGACTAGCTAAGCAATGTGTGATGTGTAAGATGTACTAGGGAAAGCTCTCAATACTTGCAGTTGTTATTAAGATCTCTATTAAAGGTATTTGAAGTCTTAAGTATGGTTTTCAAATGACTTGTTCTGAGAAAGGATGGATATTCAAAGGATATTTATCCCTGGCCTCTTTTAACTGACCTCTCCTACTACCCAACATCACTTTCTCAGAAGCCAGCATGAATCTGACCATTTCCTCTTGCTTTTGCACTTACTACTCAATTGTGCCCATGCCAGCAGCCCTGGCGAGGGTGGAGGGAAGCTATCCTCAGCTCATTTCACAGAGAGGCACCTGAGCCTTGAGGGATGAAATGACTGGTCTGAGAGCCAGGATGTGGCAGGGCAACTGGGGAGCCCACATTGTCCACTCTGAGTTCCTTCCTGCTTCACTGTGCATGGACAGAATCTCCTTTAACTGGTGATGACAATGGGGCATTGGGAGGAACTACGTTCAGCTTTTGCCATCTGTTGCCGTGGAGAATCCACTGATGAAAGATTTCTTTGGGGAAATAAGGGCCTGTGAGGCAGGGTGGACGGGACTCTGGGTTCAGATGGGATATTTTAATTGTGTGTTGTCAACTCTTTCAGGCTATGAGGATATTTTTAAAATTTCCTATGAGGTCTATTCTTTGTATCCCTTAATGAGTTGGACTGGATAATTGCTCACATATCAAAGGATAAATTGTTTTGAGACATGGCTGTCTGAAGAGAAATTTTCCACTTCATTCTCCTTCAATGCAATTCATTATTTTCCCCTCTTTACAGTGTACTGTACAAATCAGGTTACACTAGGAAAGGAACTCTTTATTTTAGAAGGATAGAGAGTTTGGAGTCAGACCGACCTATGTTCAAATTTGGTTCCAGCATTTACTAATTATGTGGGCTTGGCCAAGGTATTTCATTTGTCTCAGTTGTCTCCTCTGTAAAATGGGGATGATAATAGCTGTGGGGATTAAATGTGAAGGGTTTAGTAACAGTGCCTGGAATGCAAGAGCCACCAAATAGAGAGGAGCTGTTTTGTAGCTGTCACCATCACATGCTCATGTGAAACACCTGCTTTGAGGGACACTCACAAGGGTTCCAGGCAATAGGCGGGGAGGTGAAGGTGATGGTGGGCTAACATGAACAATTGTATTTCAGGATGCTTTACAAACACAGCTTCATGTGATCCTTACCATACCCTGTGAGGGAAGCAGAATTGTGTCTGTTTTACAGAGAAGGAAAGTGGACCCTAGTAAAATGGACTGATAGCTCATGTAGTTGGTAGAATTTGGATTTAAATTCAGGTAAGTATGACTCCCAAACTTGGACTTTTTCTTTCACAATAGTCCAGGAAATGGAGGCCCAACAAGGTTAAGGTCACCCAGCTCACCAGAGGCTGGGATGGGCCAGAAGAGAGGCCTCTGGCACTCTAAATCCAGTTCACTTTCCACTAGGATCTCATAAATAAAACCCCCCTTTTTTTCCAGCTGCTGAGTCATGAGCTACAAGGCTGAAGGTGAGAAATGGCATAGGATGCACAAGTGACCTCTGAAAAATAGTAACACACACACACACACACAACCCCACCAACTCACCTGTGGTGAATGACCCTGAGACAGGTTCACTTTCCTCAAAGCCCTTCATGGCGATGATGCTGACAAGGTACTCCACGCCAGGTATGAGTTTCACCAGCCTGGTCTGAGTCTTGGTTCCGTCCACAGTTACCATGGAGGGTGTACCTGGAACACAGTAAAAGCAAGATGAGGAATAATGAACCTCACTGACACTTATTCACTGTTGCCCCCAAAAAGAGTGTATCTGATTTAGAAATGAAACTATATCTTCATCAAACACCACTTTCTTGACTTCTCATTTGCTCCTACCCTCTGGCATAAGGGAAGAAGGCTTACTTTTTGTATGCTTTTTCTATTGGTGCAGATGCCAAAAACAAAGCCAGGAGGGGCGGGGGAAAACATGAAGTCACAACGTACTAAAAATGGCAAGTTTCCGTTCAGTAGAGAGCTGGCACGTTGTGCAAATTTTATCTTATTATTTTTCCCCACAAACAATATGGGAAGCTTACTATGTAATGTATGTCAGATCTATTGCACCCATTGTCTTGGCTTAGGATTATAGACTCCCTTACTAGAGGAAATTCTACTTAAGAAAAGAAAGTTGATTATAGTCAAGTTTGTGCTGCAGTGTTTATTAATAAACACAGAAATTGTATTTCTTAGAATTTGGGGGCTAGTGAAGAACTTGCACATCAGCTGGTCAGACTTCCTATAGAGACAAAACAGCATTCCTGTGAAGAGGTTATTAACCATCCTCTCTTTATACACTTTCAGCAACAGGTAGCTTACTACCTGCCAGAGTGTCTTTAGGCAGATTTGACTGGGCTTCCTCCTTGTGGTCTCTATTATAGCCCATGCGCTTTGAGTTAGAACTCACAAATTTTCTAAGGCACAGCTTGCCATCATTTGCTGAGACAGACAGATTTGGTACCCAAAGGTAAAACTTCACATATATCCAAGACTAGCTTTTCAGATGAGTGTGCGCAGGGAGAGAAATGCCAATATATTTAGAATCTTTTGCCATTGTGTGCAAACAATACTAGAGATCTATTTCTCATAGAATTTTATAATTTCAAGGTTAAAAAAGGTCTTGTTCAAGTGACCCTTCACAAGAAAGTTTCTTCTAAGAACCTCATAGCACTTTACAAATGAGTTCTCTTCTCTCCAGATGGTCTCACAAATAAAGAATTCATTTTCTTTGATCATGATGTTAGAGGATGAAAATTATCAGGGTCTTTTTCATGAATCCATCCAAACCCACAACACTCCTCCTCTCTCTCCCCTTTCCGAGTCTCCTACCTCCTGTAATGGGCACATAGGTAATCCGGAAGCTCTCCACTTGGGCTGTGGGTGCCCTCCAGCTGACAGTAGCCGAATTTTCAGTGATGTCTGAGAAAATGACTTCCTTTGGGGAGCCCATGGCTGTCAAGAAGAAAGCACAAGAGAAGCCCAGAAACAGTTAACTGTCTTGTTCATCAATGGTTCTTCCTGAATTCCTTATTTAGGAAAACTCAGTGCCTAGAATTTGTGTCTGAGCCAAGCCTTTAGGATGGAGAATGTGGTGATCTGTGGTTAAGTTGTGACTTGCTAGGACCAATTGTTTCATTTCAGGTACAGGGCCCAGGGTTGTAGAAAAGTCATTTGGTCTAATTCAAGGGGAGTGATAGGACCATAGCTGACTTCCAAGGAATCGTGGGAGAATGGTTTCCCAGATTGGAATGTGACCCCCGTTCATTTTTGATTTTTAACATTTTCTTAAATCTTTGCTTTCTAGTTCCTTTTATTAAATAATACTAAGACTTGACAACTGTACAGTTCTTTGCAATTTATAAGGCTTAATCCTCCTGTAGAAGCCCCCAAAAAGATGTGATTATAGCCATTTTACAGAGAACCAAACCAAGGCTTCCATGAACATTCTTGTGATGTGATCTTTCTGGGTCCCAGGAGTAGGCAGCAGAGCCAAGCACAGCCTGGAATCCTGGAAATAACGTTCACACAAACACTGACCTGGGCAAACCCATTCCTAGAACTGGAAGGAGGTCCAAAGCCAAGAGAACAACCTCAGGCTCATCACCAAAGCAAACACCCAGTGGACGCTGGGTCTACCTGTGAGAAAAGCCATGCCCAGGGGGAGTTTCTGCCTCCCAAAATACCTCCCCTCAAAACCCAGTTTCCTTTGGCTTTTCTCTGTGTATTTTTTGGCTGCGATTTTTGCCCTCTTCAGCTAACCATGCCTACCCAGAGAATTCAGGAAACAATTTTCAGGCTCTAGGGAACTCACTTCCTCATCTTTTCCCCTCTCCAACCCACAGGGATTATTACATGCTGAAACCCACAGAAATTCAGCAAGGGTTTTTTTTTCTTCCTCTTTCTGCATTTTTCTCTCATCTAAGACATCTCCTCCTACAGCTTTCTTCTGTGGCCTGGTAGCCACCCCCAGACTCTGTGGCTGCCTGGGTTTTTGCCCTGCCCATGGAAAGTTTCAGAAACCACATGGGTCTCTGGAGCCTGAAAGAGCTTCATTGTCCAAATACCACTGAGAGGCTGGGTGACCTTGGGCAGGTCCCTTCACTTCTGTGAACCTCAGTTTCTCCATCTGTCCAGAGGGAAAAGTGGTACCCACCCACAGGGATGTTTTGAGGATTAGCAGAGATAACAAATGTGAAACTCCCAGCACAGCATCTGGCATGCAGTGAGAATTCAGTAAATATGATTGCCCTCTCTTTATTTTCTTTCCAATGTCCCTCTTTCCTCCATGGGCCATACTAGACTTTAAGGTGTCCCCTAGGAAAGATCGAGATGAGTCTAACTGGGAAAAAACAAACAAACAAACAAACAAAAAACAGTGAGGTGTATAAACTCAGGCACTGAGGACTTCCCTCTGCCAACCTGGTGTACTCGCACTATTGCTTTGACTGAAAACCTCATTGGTGTAGGTACATTTTAGTAGGTGTATCTTATGGCCAAACACATTAATAGCTAATATGGTTACTGTGGGTAAAGAAATTCTGCTAAATACTTGACATTCATGATCTTATGTAAACCTCGTGGCTGACCTTTGAGTTAAATTCTATTTTCCAGATGAAGGAATTGAGGTAGAGCCATGATGAAACTCCAAGGACACTGTCCCATGGTTGTTGGCTTAACCACCAGGCAACACTGTCTCCCACTGCCCTTTCTACTGCCCTGGGCACCCAGGGCTGGCAGCTTGTGCTATGGAGAGGTACCTTGTGAGTGAGAGGAGGAGCTACAGCAGGGCCTTCTCAGGAGGAAGAGGGATAGGACATTACAGAGAAGAGTTTACAATGGTATGAGGGAGGAAGAGAGGAGAGGAGAAAGGATTAAAAAAAAAAAACAAAAGGGGAAATTTATAAACTTGATGAGGTGAAGATAGAAATTAGGCATCTTCTGTGCTCAAGAGCCCCCTTTCCTGTCTTCTCCTGGTCCTGGAGCACAGGCATGTAGACACACACACACACACACACACACACACACACAAGCACGCACGCGCATGGGCACCTCTCTTTGGCTATAAGCTACTAGGCTCTAGAGAAGAAAATCAAAGAGAGGGCTTTCCAAAAGAGCAGGGTCTGCCTTGCCTTTTTTTTTTGTTGTTCTTAAAAAAAATTCAATTCATGATTATTCATTCTCTTTTTTGCTTTAGAACTGCAGGGCTTCTAGAAAAAAAAGATCAGCAAAACAAATCAATGATCAGAAGAAGTAAACTTCGAAGAACACTGTTTATAAACCAAGATCAAAATCAAGGCTCTGCCTCTGATCTGGAGTCGTTTTATGGGCAGCCACAGGGAGGAGGAGACTGAGACCTGCATCCCAGGATAGGGTGTCCCTGTTAATAAGAAACAGGGTTTTTCCCTCTTACTAGGTTGCTGCCTGGATTCTAGCATTTTCTCCAAGCCTACAAATACTGATTATTATTTTTACATGGGTGATTTCTTGCCACTTATTAGGTCCTGAAAACTTAACAATATAAAATATCTATCTTTAGACAAAAAGGAGAGGTTTTGGCAAATGTCATGCCTATGCCTGTCAGAGATGGCAAGTAGCTATATGCATTGGTTTTCTCTCATCCAGACTGCTCATTTTAAATAGTATTAGAATAAGCTGGTCATTGGGCTTTACTCCAAATCTAGCTCTATGATCATAGAAAAATCATTTCACCATTCTGGTCCTCAGAGTCTTCATGCACAAACAGAAGAGGTTGAGCTACATCATCTCTCAGGTCCCTTTTATCTCTCCTGGTGATTTTGTGGTTCTGTCCCCTGGTTCCCTTTGAAGCAGCCATCTCCAGCGAATGCTATGTCTCTGCATCTCCCTCAGTTTCATGAAATAATTTACTTGACTTGTTGGAGGTTTTTCCTTTTCTCTTTAAAAAGTCATGTTCATCTTAGTATTATTATTATTACAAAGAGTCATATTATTACTACTGTTATTATTATCATTATTTGAGACAGAGTCTTGCTCTGTCGTCCAGGTGGGAATGCAGTGGCACGAACACAGCTCACCACAGCCTTAACCTCCTGGGCTCAAGAGATCTTCCTGCCTCAGCCTGCAGAGTAGCTGGTACTACGGGCATGAGGCACCACACCTGGCTAAGTTTTTGATTTTTTTTTTTTTTTTTTTTTGCACAGGTAGGGTCTTACTATGTTGCCTAGGCTGGTCTCAAACTCCTGGACTCAAGTGATCCTCCTGTCTCAGCCTCCTGAAATGCTGGGATTACAGGTGTGAGCCATCACTCTGGGCCTAAGAGTCATATTATTAACCATCTTTTTTTTTTTTCTCCTTGAAACAGCTCCTATGGAAAAAGGTAATTAAACTCCAAGGACACTCTAGGTGCCTTTCAGAGTTGTTATGAGTATCAAAGTTAGAGAGCTTCATAAACAGTAGCATGTTAATCTTGCCAGCTCTCTCCTTTATCCTTGCTGATCACCGTACTGATTATTCACATGTAGCATTTTATAAATATTAATGTGTATAGATAGACGTGCTGCTTCTCCATTATCTCCCTACTTGGTATAGCTCGAACATTTGGCCAAAGAACAAGGAAGTGTATCTCTGGATAAAATGATGAGATATGATATGATGAGATGAGATATGATGAGATAATAGATAGAAGGAAGAATCTTTGGAACGTAAAAAAAAAAAGATGATAATTGTAACGATGATGATGCATTAATGGCAACGTGAATAGCTCTCATTTGCTGGGCCCTTGCTACCTGCCAGGCCTTCCGCTATGGGCTTTATATGAATTATCTCATTTAATCCTCACAACCCTATTAAGTAAATGGCATCATACTTTTTTTGCATAAGGACTTAGCCAAATTGTCCAAGGTAACACAGTCTGTAATTGAAAGAGTCAGGATCAGAGCGCCAGCCTGCCTGCATCCAAAGCTCCTGTGATTACTCAGCCCTGTGAGAAGAAGACCCCTGAGTCATGACTTTTCTCTGTTCTCTCCTGTTTATTTACAGTACCTGTTGTTGCTATAGCACTGACTGTCTGGGATCGCCTTCCTTTGCTTATTCCATAGAGTTCAATTTCGTATTCAGTAGCCTCTCTGAGACCTGTTATGTCCCTGGTACGTTCGGGGGCAAGTAGGGTTATTTCCAGTGGCTCAGACTGCTTTTTGGTATCTCTGATTTTGAGAACAAAATTGTCGAAGACCCCTTCATCAGCTGTCCAGGACAGACGGAAACCGTCTGGGGTGGCATCTGAAACCAGAAGGTTGTCAACTTCCGGTTCGGCTTCTAGAGGGAGAGAAAATGGTGGGAGAAGGAGGAAAGACAACATCATTTACCAGTCCGTGCAATCTTCTCTCCAGTAGGGGTATCAATATGTAGTGATGCCCCGGCTTTCAGAGATAGAAGTGTCCTGAGATACCAAAAATAAAATCATTCAACATTAACAAGTCCAGTAGAGTCAGGAGAGGGGAAAGATGGAGTAGACACATTCAATACAAGTCAAGCATATGTTTGCATATGTGAGTTTTGTCTAAAAGCAATTCAGTAAATCCACATCTGGACTCAGCATTGGCCCGTCCCACATATTATTAAATAAGTTCAAAGCCAGTAAATTGTTTACATTTGCTCTCTGTCTTCCAGTGGCTGAGTGCCCATCCCCTGCAAGACCTTTTTCTTTTCTTTTTGAAAAGACAAATAAACCAGCATTAATGATCTGTAGAGCTGCTCATGATGATACTGCTGATTACATTCTCCTTGAGCCTGCCCAAAATGGCTTTTAAAATGTTATGGTCTTTTTGCTTTGTTCTTAGTGCTGTTTCACTAAAGAAGGCTCCTACCCTTGACTTTTTTTTTTTTTTTTTGCATTCTTTCTTGTTATTTTATTAACTATTAGATAAATGTTCAGATGGTAGAACTGAGGTTGGAACCTTTTGTGCTACATACTGTGGACCCAGGGTTTCATCTTGCATTGCCTTAACTAGACAAAACTCAATGTCAATGTAGATTTAGAGCTGAGTTTCCCAAAGTGTGCTCACAGTGAACTATTCCTGTTTGATCCTCTTCCTTAAAAAGTATCCTTTGTCAAATAAGTTTGGAAAATACTGCCTGGATAAGTACTTCTTGGAGATGATGCACGTTAGGGTGTTCTGAAAAGCCGTGCAGTTAAAGATCCTCTTTAACTTTGTTTAACTCAGTCTTTCCAAACTTATTTGAACGTGGAATTTCCTCACCGAGTAGGACCTTTGAACATTCTGTGGAGCTAGTAATCTCTAGAAAGACTTTGGGAAACACAGATGTTTGACTATTCCGTTGTTAATTTCTGTAGGAATCATTAGTCTTGAGAAAATTATGGATTTAGTCCGTGTTGCAGAGTCTCTCTGATATTAGTGATTACCGATAAAATAAGTTCACATTTGGTTTTCCAATGACGAGCCCACTGGGTAAGTTTGTTAAGATCATGGTTGAGATTTTGAGATGGCAAAAGTTTTAAATACGTTTTGGAAATATACTCATTGGTATATTTCTTTTGAGAAGGCTGAAATGTAGCTGGGGACCAGCCAGGTTGATCACAAGGGACGATGATATGAGGTAAGCACACAAGAGCTATGGACAAGACAAGGTCTAAAGGATTTTGAATACAAAGCAGAAATATTTCGACCTTCTCATTTCTGGGGTGGGAGTGGGGAGTGTTCATTAAGTACATATGACAAGAGGGAGTGTGGGGAGAAGGTGAAACAGTAGACTACATTTATGGATTAAGTAGGGAATGTGAACAAAGATGTTAAAGTCATGGCGATCCGGTAGACAGATTACACAGAAGGGGACCAGGAAGAGGAACAAATGGCTCACTTGATTTGAAATACCTGTAACAATCTCAGCCCTCAAGGGCTTGGTTTGATGCCCTTGGGTGAAGCCAGAGACCATAACCTCATAGCCAATGCCAGTTATGAGGCCTCTAAGCTCCAGCTTCCTCTGGGTTCCTGAAAGTGTGAATTCCTGGGGGTCCAGCAGCTTCCCAGAATCCACCACCGTTACTAGAAAGCTGTCAAAGGCATTCTCCGATGCCATCCAGGAAACTGTGAACCCGTAGGGATTAATGTCGGAAATGGTTAGGTTTTCCAGAAGGGGCAGGGCCTCTGAAAGAAGGGAGGAGTGAAAATAACTCAGGTTAGCAGCACTGACTCTGTCAGGATAGCACACGTTTCCAAGAACACCAATAGATACCCAAGTCCATCATTCAATTTGTGTTATATGCTTAGAAAATGAAAATTCAGTAAGAACTTATTGGGTGCCAGATAGTGTTATCTTGTGCAATTCTCTTAATAGCCCATGAGGTAGGTATTATTCTAATTTCACACGTGAGCAAACTGAGTTTCAAAGAAGTTGATTGACTTAGCTAAAGTTACAAGCTTGTAAGAAGAGATAGAGCGAAGATTTTAGTCAGGTTTGACTCCAAAGGCCATGTAGTTCTTTATACAAATAGGTTGCATTTTGTTGAGTTTGGATCCCGTTGTCTACTTCCCACTGCCTTCAGCTCTTTTTTTTTTTTTCGAGTATAATTTCTTTCCGGTATACTTCATGTGTTTCTATCCCACTTCTAGTGCACAGTTTGAATCAAATTAATGAAGTCAATTAGTGAGATATCCTCACAAGCTGAAATAAAGGGAGGAGGTAAGTTTTTTTTGTGTCAAAATTAATAGCTCATGGTTATAACCCACTAAGAAATGATAAGATTTGCTAAATCTTTTGCTGTTTATTTTCCTGGATAAAGTTAGAAAACAAGAACACATCTGGGTCTTAGTAAATTCTGTCACCATCTCTCCTTCATTCGTTCACCAAACATGTATGTCCCAGGCATTCTGATTTCTCAGGTGCTAAAGGGCCTTTTCACACATTGGGATATCCAAAAGGAGTGAGCTTATGTTGGCTAAGTTTCCATTGATACTTGCCAACTGACAAGGCTTCACATTGTTATCCTAGTTAGTCTTCAAAATGATACAGTAAGGTAGATATTGCTACCTGCCTTCCAACCCCGATCACATCTAAAAAAACCAGAGAGGTTAATGACTTATCCTAGGTCATACATCTGCTAGGTGCCTAAGCTGAGATACAATCAGGTCTTCCGACTCCAAGTTCTATGTTCTTTCCATACCCAAAGCCAACCCCAATCAGTGATGGCAATCCTGAGGGATAAGGAGGATTAGTGGAGAAGGTTCAGCGTCTCTTTTCTAGGTGTTTTTTCTTTTTTCTTTTTTTTTTTCTGACAGTACTGGTAAATGCATTTTTTTTTTTAATCAGAAGAAAAAAAGGAGACAGGAATTTCAAATTAGCTGCATCTAGTTTAGACACTTCTTTTCCATTACAGCTAAATGGAAACTTACAAAGAGATAAATGCTCTTGCATTAATTCACTAATGCCTAGGGTCTAATCCATGAGACATAAAGAAAAATGTTTTAAAAAGAAGTGTTTGGTGACTGAATGAATAAGGGAATGAATACCTTCATTTTGTAAATAGAGATTTAAATTTTGCTGTGGCTTGGACTTCCTGTAGTTATTTTGAAACACTTGGTGTTTATTCTGAGGCAGTTTTTTCCACGTAAAGATTTCCCAAGAATCATAATTCTATCAAAAGCGAGGATGAAATCTCTTATACTGGGCAAACAATCTTCATCTGAGAGACAAGGGTCTCGAATTCTGTTCCTGGATTTTGTTTAGATAAGTGGCATCTCTCTTTGATAGCTGGCCTCTTTGCACCTCCACACCATCAAAGCAGTGAATTCCAATGAAAGTGAGGGCATTCAGGCTAATTAGGCAATCAAGGGCTTGTTATTTAAGAGTCCCTCCTGTTTTGTTTTTTTCTTTTTTAATATGCTTCTTTTAAAACGCAATCTTTTCACATCATGGATTAGCTGAGACAATGCTGTAACTGGATCTAGGATTCCCAAGACTGGGTCTCTCAGCTTCCTTTTCTTCTGTTATGTGGGAGGTCCTGCAAGCCGCTACAAGCAATGGCCTGATGGGATCTGTGGCCATTTCTCCCCTCCTGAGGAGTGAGAATCTCATCTCGTTCCTCCTTGTCTCAGTCCCTTAAGAAATTACCATGTTCTGCATTTGAAGACTCATCTGAATGATTTAATTCACATTAGGTAACTGGATAGGAAAAAATACTCATTTTTTAATCTTACATTAAAACACATCCAAAGTTCTCTTAAAAACGAGAGGGAGTTCATGATTGCATAGGTCTATTGTTCTATCTAGCCTTATTGGTTATTTTTAAGAAAGCCACTTTCCTAATAATGTTGGGAGACAGCAGAAAGAACCTAGCATGTATAAAATTCCTACTGGATGCTAGGCAGTTAAATTTCACCAACTCTATTTAATCTATGAGACAAGGCTCCCAGAAGTGCCTGTGGTATCCTCTCTCCATGCATAAGGAAATTAGGGTTCAAACAAGTTAAGAACTTGCTAAAATTATGTAGCTAAAAAGCTGTGGGAGAGGTTTAGAAACCACAAAAGCTTGATCTCAAAATCCTCACTCTTCCAGGACACCATGCTGCCTATAATTAAATATTTAATTGTACTAATTGACATGTCTTAGTGATGGCAATTTAGACCCTGGGAGAGACCTGGTTTAATGTGAAAATCAGATGGCAAAGTCCGTCTTCTGAAAATTATCACTAATGAAAAGGAAGAGACTTCTAAATATTTTCTGAGGCTTTTTGGGCTAGAATTTAGTAAACTGACACCATGTGCAGCCTTTGCCATTGAAGTTTTTGCTGCCACCATTTGGCAGCATTTGCCAAATTGAACATTGGCAAATGTTCAAGAAGTCAAGTTGAGTGAATGGGTAGGGCTTAATTAAACTTGAAATTTATCTGCCATCTGAGGTTGAACCTTCATCAATCTTCCAACCCCGATCACATCTAAAAAAACCAGAGAAGTTAATGACTTATCCTAGGTCATACATCTGCTAGGTGCCTAAGCTGAGATATACAACCAGGTCTTCCGACTCCAAGTTCTACGTTCTTTCCATACCCAAAGCCAACCCCAATCAGTGATGGCAATCCTGAGGGATAAGGAGGATTAGTGGAGAAGGTTCAGCGTCTCTTTTCTAGGTGATTTTTCTTTTTTCTTTTTTTTCTTTTTTTTTTTTTTCTGACAGTACTGGTAAATGCATTTTTTTTTTAATCAAAAGAAAAAAAGGAGACAGGAATTTCAAATTAGCTGCATCTAGCTGCATCTGTGTTGTCAGTTTTAAGAATAATTATTTTTTAAAGAAAAAGATGGTTATACTTTTGTCACATATATGAACTGCGTTACCTAGCATGATTTATGAACAGGATTTCGATCTTAGGCCTTTACTAACTTAGGAGTCACTTTTTAGGCAGAATCTCTAAACTAGGGATAAAACAGCCAATAAAACTGGGCACAAAAAACCCTAAAAGCTTTATACAACTCTTGAGAACGTTCTCTCCACTTCCTAAGAGCAGCTGTGAAAGTCCTCTCCTTTATAATAGTATCTGCTTTCTCTTTACTTAGAAGTTTACATATATTATCTTGGCTATCATGAGTAATGTATTGTAACCTGTGTCTGTCAATGGATGAATGGATAAAGAAAATGTGGTGTATAGATAGATCATATTTATATATAAATATATACATTCCATATGTGTGTATATATACATATATATATATATACACATATATATATAATGGAATACTTTATAGCCTTAAAAAAGAGGAAAATTCTGTCATTTTCAACAACACGGATGAACCCAGAAGACATTGTACAGAGTGAAATAATCGAGGCACAGAAAGACAAATACTGCGTGATCTCATTTGTGTAATCTAAGAAAGCTGAACACATAGAAGCACAGAGAAGACTGGTGGTTACCGGTGACTGGGGTTGGGGAGATGAAGAAAGGGGAGATGTTGGTCAAGGAGTACAAAGTTCAGTTAGACAGAAGGAATAAGTTTTAGTGATCTACTGCACAGCATGGTGACTGGCCATAGTTAATAATAACATATTGAATACTTCAAAATTCCTAAAAGAGTAGATTTTAAATGTTCTCACAGCACAATAAATAAATAAATAAATAAATAAATAAATAAATAAGGTGAGGTGATTGATATGTTAATTAGGTTGATTCAATCAATCCACAATGTATATGTATATCAAAACAACACACTATTCTCCATAAATATATACAATTACTATTTGTCAATTAAAAATAAGAGAGTACACATTTGCAGTGAAGATTGTATTTTTGTTGAATTTTCCTTTAAGATGACTTATCTCCTTTTCTCTCTGTGTTAGACAAGTGAGAACCTCTGATTGAGTACCTGTAATGACAAAGGCAGTGAGGGGTCTGGTGGGATCCCCAGCCAAGGTGGTTCCTGCCACACTGACGTCATAGCCAGTGTTCTCCACCAAGCCTGTGATGTGAGCTTGCTTTGCATCTCCTGAGACTGTGAATTGCTGGGACTCATGCAGTGAGTGAGCGTCACTCACATTGATAACAATCTTTGCAAAAAGCCCAGCTTGAGTGGTCCATGACATGTTGAAGCTTTTTGGAGTAATATTGCTAAAGATTAGCGTGCCCAACTGTGGCTTTGGTTCTAAAGAAGGAATATGGGCAGAGAGAAAGAGAGAGACATTATTAGAGGAAGCAGTGGATTTTTCCAGAATGTAGCCATAGAACATGAAAGCATCAATATCTCCAAATACATACAGAAGAGACAGTATGTTAGGCTGTGTCTACACCTGCATTGAATATGATGATAGAAAATATATTGCTTTCTCTGCAGGTGTATATTTGTGTTCTTTATTTTTATTTTATTTTTTAGATCTGTGTTCTTTTAAAGCATAAACACCACCATTTGCTAGTCATGTATGAAGAAGAGTAGACAAGCCATTAGAGTGGTAGATTGGAGTAACGTGAAGGGTATTAAGGCTACATTTTCTAAAGTTTGTACTGGGGACACAAGCCCTGTAAGATGTTCCAAGAAAAGACAGCTTTATGATTAAGTATGCATGGTAAACACCGAATATTATGTCTTACCATAGAGATTCACAAGGTGGGTTTGCATTTTAAAGGCTCTGACAGGCTGGTTCTGTCAGTAAACCTGTTTAATTTTGTTTGGCCCAAATTTCATAAACTTATTGATCAATGTATACCCTATCTGAGGAATATCCTTTGAACATCTCAAGGAGCTGGTGTTCCATTGAACATGTTTTAGAAAATGCTTCTTTGGAGTTTCCTCATTTAGTATTCTTTTTTAGTATCTACTGTTTGCACAAATTAAAGGCTAATACCCATACAAGAGAAATTTTTACAGTACTTAATATGCATTGTAGGAAAATCTATATTTTACCATTTAATACCGTAAAGGTGAAGATGGCTTCCATTCAAAATTCCCAGTGAATGCAAAGGTGAAAGAAAAACTTGAAGTTAGGCATTGAATTTTCTGCTTAGGAAACTCAATTATTGGATAATTTGGACAGATAGATGGTTTCCCTGAGGTTAAGTATCTCTTTTCTGTTAAAGTCTAGACATTCAGTTTTGAGAGCAACTCATTTAATGTTAAGGGGTCTATATGGCTAGATGTTTATGGGGCTGGCCTCCTAAATGCTCATTTATCAAATAAAACTAATTTTAAAGTAAGTGCGGCCCAGACTGTATTTTAGAGAGAGGCAACAGTACTGGAGGATTCAGATATTAAGATCAGGATTTAGGGTTGGGAAGAGGCACAATATTTCTTCCAAGGACTTGGGAGTTATTTTGCTTCAGCTCCAAAGTTTGGAGGAAAGAAGGGGCTCATTTGGATAAACTTTAATGGCACAATTATACAGCATAATTCGATGTCATAAAATCTCTAAGAACAAAAAGGATTTGGTTCAGAAGCAGAATATAGCCATTAGCATTGACATGGGATATCCTCCTTATCAATTAGTTTCAGAAGGTAACAATGCAATCATTTGCAGCTATAGCTTTGACAAATTCCCTCAACCACACAAAAGATTAAAATGTTCCAAGTGGAACTCTGTTATTTCCCTATATTTTGCTGTAGAAACAATCTCCCAAATTAAGGATGCATGCTGGGATTCTTCTCATGCTACCAGACAGACTATCAATGCCAACAGATTCACCATGCAGAATAAGACTCAGGTTCTTGAGGTCAGCTTTACCTCCAGCTGCCTCTCAAAGGGTGCAACCAAGCTGAGAAATGAGATGCAAGAAAAAACAGAGAAAGATAGTGGTAGTTAGGGTATGGTCAATGTTCCATGCAAAATGAGGGGCATTTTTCTCCCACCACTTTAAACCTTCTGAAATGACTCATGGACATGCTAGCTGCTTCCAGGAAAAAGAAACATTTTCAAAATTTAATGCTCTGAATATTCACCACATGCACCAAGATTTGGACAAGATGATGGCTTGAAAGAAGAGCCTGAGACTTTGTGACAGCTATCAGTGGGTGACAAAATGTGCTTGACAAAGTACATGTCAAAAAAGAGTAGTCTTCAGACAAAAATCACGAGAACAAGATAAGACTACTGGGTCCTCTCATGCAATTCTTGGGTTGTGATTCAGAGTCTATTCTCAGCATGCTCAGGGCACCTTTATTTTTTAAAATCCTGCTAGAGAGAAAAAGAGTGTAGATCTTTCTGACCAAGTCACCAGAAATGGCATGCACATACCTCTTTGAACATGACATAGGCAAACTTTGATTAGAACGACCACAGGCAGATGATAATGGGTGGGATTGAAAAAGATTATTCAAGATCAGATGAAAAGATGATTTAGAAATTCAACCAAAGCAAGTCAGGTTAACTTTATACAAACAAACAGAACAACTCCAGATGTGAATGGATATTTAGGAAAAAGAGGTTTGACACTGAAATTCTTTAATTTGGGGTGAGAGTTATTTTAAAGCTTTAAAGCTTTGATTTGGATGGCTCTATCAAATTTGAGAAGGATTGGGAGCAACTAGGAGGGTGAAAAGTGGGTAGCGGGTGATTTTTGGAAAGCTATTCAGAGGAAATTCAATGAAGAGTGAAGAAGCCATAATAGGAAATACCTGTGGTTGCTTGGACCATCAGGGTCTGAGCACGCTGCCCGCCAATCAGCCCATGAAGGTGGGCAGTGTAATTAGAAGAAGCTTTGAGGTTGGTGATGACAGAGCTGCGAGACACCCCAGGCACAGACAGCACCATGGTCTCATGGGGGTGATCGGAATTACTAACTTCTATAAGAAAGCTATCAAAGGCAGACTCCTGAGCTTCCCACGAGATGGACACACTGCCCCAGGTCATGTTTGAGACAGTGAGGTGGCTAAGAAGAGGTTTGGCTACTAAAGCAAGAAAAAAAAGAAAAAAGAAAGTGTGTCAATTTAAAACACCATTGTAGAGTCAAAATCAAAACACATAAGACTAAATCCATAAAGTTTTAGACTTTACCCTTTGTTAATGGTAAAATAATTTGTCCCTTGTTGAAAATCGGTTTGAGCCATGAGAAACAAACATATATGTTTGCCTAATTTTCTCCTCTAAGTTTTTTTATACTTGAACCTGGCTGAGATAGCAACTGGATAATGTTGGCTCTCTCTGCCTTATCCATGGATCACCCTGACGACAATTTGTAGCCTCATGTAGAATGAGGACAGACCCTCTCTCAACCATGGGTGACCTAAATGACAGGCAATTTTGATGCTACGATGTCAACCCTTTTCTTGGATTTCCCAGACCATGAGTCCCCTTTTTGTAAACTATAAGGAAAAATTATCCTGTGTTTGTTCTGTAGACAATATTTTTTTTTCTAGTTTGTGATTTCTTCATTTCTCCTGTGTTTGTTCTGTAGATATTGTTTCTTTTTTTCTAGTTTGTGATTTCTTCATTTACCTCTCCAGAGAAGGCACTGTCTAAATTGTGCTAAGAAT
Organism: Homo sapiens; assembly: GCF_000001405.40. NCBI lineage: Eukaryota > Metazoa > Chordata > Mammalia > Primates > Hominidae > Homo > Homo sapiens. Next base: position 115,056,334 of record NC_000009.12, read on the forward strand.
GCTACTTTGAATGTAGCATTAGAAAGGGGGGCTCCCCTTTCTAAATTCACATAGGGTTGTCTTTTACTGCATGGCAAAGAGCATCTGACTTAGTGCACATCTCACAGACACCACAAATTTAAAGTGAGAGCAGTTTATTCTTTTGTTTTTTAAACTAAGTCCCTTGTTTGAACACAACTATTCTACTTTTATTTTTGCCATTTATCATTCACTATTCTGAGGGCAAGACAGCATGTTCTGATCTTCTAGAGGTGGTGTTGGAACTGGGGTGGTCTGAATGGCATGGCTGCCTCCTGCACTCATCTGATAAGTAATCTTTGCTGTTTCCCTTTACTTTCCCAGTTGGAAAAAAATACCCAACACCATCAACATGATTATTAAATCACTGGGATATTTGGGTATTGCGAGGTCCAAGAGACTAGGAAGACAAAGACACTAAGATAATACAAAATAAAATTTACAAGACCTCTTTGACTGAGGCAGACATCTTTCAAAGTCAAGAACAGGTCTAGTTATATAGCTTTTTAGTTATGAGAGGTTAGAATTCTTTTCTCTAGATTCCATATGGCAAATTAGACTGAACTACATTTTATGCTGTAAACATCCTGGTCAGTGATAAATCAGGCACATGTCTTTATGGCAATGCATTATTTGGGCTGCTGTTGGAAAAGAGTTATGTTAAACAGCACCCCAGCCTAGCACCATGGAAGAGTTAGTGCCCTGTGGCTTGTACATCAATGGGAGAGGAGAAGGAGAGGCTTCACCCTGCAAAGAAGACTGTGGAGAGAGTGCGTTAGAAATGGGAGAATGCACATGTACCTGTCGTGGCTGTGGCACTGATGGTTTTGGTCCGGATGCTGGGAGCAAGTCCAGAGAGGTAGACAATAAAATCAGTACTAGGGGGTAGCCCTGAGATATGGGCAGTTCGTTCAGCACCAGAGATATTATATTCCACAGTCTCCAGCAACCTATTGGAATCAATAATTTCAATGGTAAAGGTCTCGAAGATCCCATCGGTAGCCATCCAGGAGAGATTGAAGCTCTCGGGAGTTATGTCAGAAACATTTAAGTTTCCAATTTCAGGTTCTTTGGCTGTAAAAGGAAGGGGTAGGGGAGAAGAAAAAAATAAATTTGAGTTAATTATTTGGCTGTGTTTTAAGATTGAGGTTGTTAATAGAACCATTGCTGGGTAGAGAGATCTGATAATTCAGGGCTATGATGGAAGGAAGCAATGTTACCAATTAGTGCCAAAGGGAGAGAAAAAGCAGTTTTGTTAAAAGAAATTAGAAAAAGGAAGGTATGGCAATTAGATTTCTCTACATGCAGTTGCCACATATAATCAGGCCCTGGCCAAGAAGATGTGCTGAATGATCTTATCAGGAACTGTTGCATCTTAACCACACTTGCCTCTGGGAGCCCTACCTCAGGGTTGCTGGCCACTGGTCAAAAGATATGAGTCCTGGCAACTTCCAGTCTCTTGAATTGCATTAAGGAAACCAAGATTACTTGGATGCCTTCCACAGACATTCTTTACTTTGAAGGAGCTCCCATCTATTCAAATGAGGGCTAAATAATTCTGATGCCATTACCTTCCCAAGGTGGTAACTTGAGGCTTCTGATTTTGTGACTTAATGGTAATTACCAATTTCTCAGTGTAATTCTTGGTATTTTTTTCATACTTTAGAGAAGGACCAGCCAGCCATTCTCATATTCTGTTAAAATAGCTTGTCCTCTCTTAACTGCTGCTATGTGGGCCAAAAAGGCTAGTATTGCATTGCCAACCAAGAGGGCTAAGCCAAGGCAAGGCAGTTTAGGCCATCCCTTTCAGCGAAGAAATAACATTTTGTCTTGAAGATGGTCCTGCCAGTGCTTTCCCCAACCATAAGAATAAAACATGCAGAGGGCAGGTAGGAGCAGGGTTTGAAAAGCTAGTACTGTCTCTTTAGCAAGAAAGAAGGCTCCTGGTCTCTGAGATCCTTCTAATAGATTTGTTGAGATACAGATCAGATGGGATTATGGAACTTCCTGCCCATAGGCCAATTCATCAGTGGCAAGAATGTTGCTATTGTTAAGAAGAAAAACACACACACATAAAAATACTGAGGACACCCAAGCCACAAGATCTGCAGAAAAGATCAGAAGTGGTGGGTGATTACTTTGCCTTCTGGGAAGGGATGGTTTATGGGTCTCAGAAAAAGGAGGTCCGGGTGCCTTCAGAGTAGCCTCGGCTGCAAATTCTAGGCATTTCAGGGTCACCGTCCTGGCAGTGGTTGCCTGTGCTTTATGTTTCTTTATCTCAGTGAAAATTAGTGAAATGACTGAGGTTAAAATGCAGAGCTATGCTCTTGCTAGATTCAACTGGGATGTACAGGTATGCATTAAAGTTTAGTTGCAATAATTATTTAAAAAGGGGAGCAGTCATATGCAAAATGAAGCGATAGTCTCTACCGAGCTTCAAACCCATGGAGGCACATAATAAAGATGAGCAACGGAAAACTGTGTCAGAGGAAGGCTGCTGACTTTGGCAGGCCCCCGGGAAACACTGAAGTCTTGTAACAGGGGTAGAGTGACGAGTAAACTATAATGCACCCTCCTGGGTCTGGGGCTGGGAGTTTGCCATCCAAAGGCCAACACTCCAGAGAGAAACTCTTGATTAAAAGAGCAAAAAGGGTATCAGTTCTTTGACATTCATAGCCCAGGACATTCCTTGTTCCAAAAGCTGCTGTGTGTACTTGTGCTAATGAATGGCTTTCTCTTTGGTACAGTCTCCAGTCATAATTGTGTAATTTCTTTTTTTTTCCTTCTGGTCTAGCTATTTGCTAATTTGATGTTCTAACAATGACTCAGTATCTGAGAGAACTGCCCGGAGGAGGGTAATTCAGTTCTCTTATTATACTGGGTGCATTTTAAAGAAACATTTCTTACATGCAAGAACCACACTACCCATATCCTTGAGGGATTTAGAGATAGAAAAGCACCATTTCCAACTAGCAAAAGACTCTCAGAAGTAAATAATCTGTGTTCCACCAGAACTCATATATAGGGAGGGAAGCTTTTAGTTATCTCCAAGCACTGGAGAAGTGAATTAAAACCATCAGGCTGATTCCTGAAACAAAAATTCATCATTCAAAAAAGATGTAGAATCAGCCAGGTAAAGTATGAAAGGCTGGGGGGCTGGAGATCAGAAAGGGCAACACCTGCATCATTCACCATCCACATGGCAAAGGCATGAGGACAAAGTCATAGCCCACAGGGAGGTCTCTGAGCATGCACAGCCGGCCACTGAAAGGCACATGAAAAGGATTCAGTTATGGCGAGATGCTGACTCCGCGCATGATCTCTTGAAAAGGAAGCAAAGAACCTTGGGGAGAAAGCATTGACAGGGAGAGGAAGTACCTGTGGAGGCCTCAGCAGAGAGTACTGGTGTTCTATAGCCCCGGATCACCCCATAGATGGAGACTCTATAAGGCGTGGCAGCCTCGAGGCCCGGGATGTCCACAGCCCTGAGGCTGCCAGGCAACGTGAGGTTCTGGGCTGCCTCCACTTTGTTGACCTCCTGCACCTGAATGACAAAGTGCTCATAGGCATTGTCAGCTGCGGTCCAGTTGAGTCTGAGGCCATCCCAGCCAACCTCAGACACGGCTAAATCTCCCAGCTGTGGGAGATCCTCTGAAGAAGGACAGAAAAGTATTTGTCAGTTCTATAAACCAAAAATGAGGAAACCAAACATCCCACAGCCCAACTCTAGGAAAGAGAGAAAGGGGAAAGATAATTTTTTTTTTTAATTCTTGGTCTCTGAGCATTTGCAATTTGAACTGTGGTTCCCTGGCCACAGTTGTCTTCAGGAGTTGAAAATGGCCAGAAAGGGAAATATCTACATGGTTTATCCTTGAGATGGCAAAGACATCTGCACCAATGCACAACCCACCGGGAGCATGCATTGCTAGCAGGTGAAATTCACATGGAAAAGTAGGATTGTGGGTTAGGGTAAGAGATACAGCAATGGTTACAAGTGCAGAATTTGGAGGCAAGTAGTCCTTGATTAGAATCCCAATACTAGCATTTGCTAGCTGCATAATCTTGGGCATGTCACTCAGCTTCTCTCTGAGCCACCCTCTCTTTACCTTTAAATGGAGTTGATGGTACTGTTTCATGGGATTGCGTGATGATTAAATGGTAATATTTATCAACTTCTTAGTATCATACCTGATACATGGCGAGTGCCCAATAAGTGTCAGCTTAATAAAGAAATCATTGTTCAAGTGTTTTCCCTTGGAATTTCTTACTCATGTCAGGGAGAAATCCCTGCTTTATTTCATTATTTATAATTAGAAAGATTATCTCATCACTAGCCACTGGCTACCTGCCTGGGTTGATAAAGTGTATGCTGTCTCAGGTGTGAACAAGTATGATGTTTTTTCTTTGGTCTTCTATCAGCTTTCAGGGATCAAAAGTTGTGTACTGGGTTCTCAGCTTGTTTCTTCTTCCACCTTTTTCTGCTCGTACTTTATGTCTAAAGGAAGAATGGCTGTATCACAGAGCAAAGCTGTTTGTGTGAAATGAGTGTGCCTACTTTTAATTAAAAGAAAGGAGATTTTTCTCAGTAAATGGTGCAGAACAGAACCCACTATTACTGCTTCTACAATGTAGAAAGGAAATTTAACGTAGTTGTTATTGGTGATTTAGAAAGTTTGGATTTAGGATATGGAAAAACCCATTGTTTTGTGGGATGCTTCTGAGGGTTAAATGCAGTCTCTCAGCCACTGTTTTGAAGGCTGAAGTGGCCATGGGTTAGAAGTTAGGGAGGAGAATATCTGCAGGGATTTCAACCAAAAATAGTTGAAAGATATAGATACTTGCTCTTGGGTATCCAAGGATTCAATGCCCTGTGAGAGTCTGAGCAACCTCTGAGCAACCTCTTGCTTTTAAGAGGGGTTATTTTCAAACTGTGTTCCACATAGATCTGGGGCTTTTCTAGAAGAACTGTGTTGAGAACATGGGTGGAGGTATCCCCCTCTTACTTCCAGGCACACCAAGAACAGCTGTTCACTTATCTGTCAAATAGTAGGGTTCCTTGGAAGATTTCATTTGCAAAAGGAGTTGTACTGCTAAAAACAAAAGTTTGCGGACTACAGAGGAAGATATGAGCATCTTGCACACAGACCACACCTGTCTCAAAGGCCCTTTTTGCTCTTGTTTGATCTGAAGATATTCCAGGCAACACAGGAATAAAACCTGGCCCCCTTATTTTTGGAATTTTATGTAGTTTCTAGCAACCACCAAGTTTATCTGTTATATAAGAGCAAGGAAAACAATTGTTTTGAATTGAGTGATTTGGATTGCATTATCAAAAGGCAGCATATGTAGAGTGGGGCATGGGCTTAGGGCTCAGCACAGAAACCCTATCACCAAAAAGTTGGCCCTTTTTCCCATAGCCCTTTTTGAAGCTATTTCTAGAAATCTCATGTACAGCACAGTTTTTTATAACAGATGGAGCAGCTCATTTTTGGTGGAAAATTGAGAGGAATTGTTTTTCCTTCCCAAATTGAATGAAAAGCATTGAAGTCAAAGGTGGCTGTCCTTTCTTGGAAATGTCCCTGCTTTTTGTATCTGTTGAGGAGAGAGTCCTAGATAGTTTCAGCAGAAGCTAACTGCATCATTTCTAAAGGTTATTATGTAGAGATCTGCCTATCAGGTGGGTGTTAGTTGGTGGCTCTGAGGCTAGTAATAAGGTTTTTCTAGAAAGTTCTGATCTTATTTTTGTGCCACAGCCCTAACGTTTGTGCTATTTTAAAAATCATGACTCTGTTGCTGTATGATAAATTTAGCTATTTGCTATTCAGTATTTACTACGTGATGGGCGCTTTACTAAGCACTGACATTCATTAACTTATTTATTGCTCACGACAGTTTCCTGAAGTAGGGTTCATTGCTGATTTAAAGATACAAAAAGGAGGCTCAGGGATGTAAAGAAATATACCCAAGAATAGAGGTAGGGCACGCTGGCTCATGCCTGTAATCCCAGCACTTTGGGAGGCCAAGGTGAGAAGATGGCTTGAGCCCGGGAGTTTGAGACCAGGCTGGGCAAAATGGTGAAACTCCATCTCTACAAAAAATACAAAAAACTTAGCTGAGTGTGGTGGCTCACACCTGTGGTTCCAGCTACTGTAGAGGCTGAGGCAGGAGAATCACTTGAGTCTAGGAGTTCGAGGCTGCAGTGAGCCATGGTCACACCATTGCATTCTAGCCTGGGCAAAAGAATGAGACCCTGACTCAAAAAAAAAAAAAAAAGTATATATCTATATATACACACACACATATATATATATACACACACACACTATATATATAAGTATATATTTGTGTGTGTGTATATATGTGTATCTATATATATACATACACATATAGTCCCAAGAATATTTAGCTAGTGAGGTGGAATTCCAACACAGACCTTCCTGAGTTAGAGATTCACGCTGTCTGTCAACAACATTGGGGTAGGATTCTGCCACACGGGTGAATTTTCTCTATTTCAATGACATGCTGGCTCCTATCATGTCTCCAGTCTGGGAGGAGGGTCATATACCTGTGACGACCTCTACAGCAAGGGGTCGAGTGCTGTGGCCCCTGACCTCGCCGTGCAGGGTGACTGTGTAAGGAGTGCCAGCCCTGAGGCCTGGGATTTCCATGGAACGCAGGCTGCCAGGAACCGTGAGATTGTGAGCCTCTTCCACCTGGTCAGCCTCCTGGACCTGAATAGTAAACTGGTCATAGGTTCCATCTGGCGTGGTCCAGTTCAGTCTGAGAGCATCCCAGCTAACCTCGGTCACTGTGAGGTTTCCCATATCTGGAACCTCCTCTGCATAAGGACACAGAGTTGCTGAGTTACTTAAAAAGGCAATTGCACGCTGGGATTCAGGTGAGATGGCATTTTGGCTAAGGTTGGGATGAGTTGTCTGGTTAGTGTTGATTATAGATGCATGATTTACAGCAGGTGTTGAGCACACTCAAACTGTTGGCACTAAAGCCAGGGTTTTTCTATTCAGCTTTTGGGAATGAAAAGTAGTTTTAGGAATTGTTCACAATTTCTATTCTTGACATACAAATAGGGCTATGGGGAGTCCTTTGGTGTTCTTAAAATGAGCTCATGAGCTCAGAGCTATTTTTTCTTCATTTACAGGTTGGGCTTTCCAACTTTTTAGATATTGTGACTGAAACTTACTTTGAAAGAAAAGCCACCTCTCACTTTTTTAAAGGAGGAGTAGGTGGAATTTTCCATGGAACTGGGCTACAACTAGGACTTAGCCAAATAAGGGATGTGACATTTAGGAAGAAGCAGAGATGATTCACTGGTATTTCCCCAATGTGGTAGGAGCTGATCCCAGTTTAAAGCAAGAAAGTGCTTTGATTCCTCCCGAGCAGAGACAAAGGGGAGGAAGTGAATTAGTGAATTCGTCTAGAATACCTGTCAAGACTTCAACAGAGAGAGGGGTTGTGCTGAAGTCCTGAGTGACCCCGCGGATGGTGATGGTATAATGAGTGGCTGCTTTGAGCCCAGGCAGGTCTGTGGACCTCAGTCCTCCTGGGACGGTGAGGTTCTGGGCTGCCTCTACTGTGTCAGCCTCCTGCACCTGAATGAAAAAGTACTCATAGGCCCCTTCTGGAGCAGTCCAGTTGAGTTTGAGGGCATCCCAGCCCACCTCGGCCACCACGACCTCTCCCAAATTGGGAGTTTCCCCTGGAGAAGGACAAAGAACTAGTTTAGTGATCAAATCACACAACAAGATCCAGGGAATCTTTAACACAAGAATAAGCTGAATAATAATATTACTGAAAAAATGTGACTTTCTTTAGATAAACATGCATCATGCAACTCTTTAAATTTTAGAAATGGAGCAAAGAGAGGAAAGTGCAGGAAAATATTTGTTTTTGTTTGTTTTTTAAATCTTAAAGAATTGCCTTAACCCTCAGTAGATGAGAGAATTTTGTGATTTTCTTTCCCTTTCATATATAGTGCCTTAACGTCCTTTAACAGGAGGGAGGCTGTTTATGGAGCTAAAGGCCCTCTGCATGGGAGCTGTGTGTTTAGTCCTGCAGGTTGAGCTCTGTACAACTCCCAAGGGTGTCATTCATGTGGAGTGAAGTATTAAAAGTTGCCTTGGGGTTCTGTAGCGTGATGGCCTCGTGTCACAATTAGACCCCATAGACATAAGTAGTGGCAGAACAAGTCCATTCCAAAGCTAGTCGTGTCTGATTATTCATGGGCAGTTTCCTGCTGGGAAAAACAGAAGCTATAAATAGAAAGGAAAGAGATACCTGTGGAGGCCTCAGCAGAGAGCACTGGTGTTCTATAGCCCTGGATCACCCCATAGATGGAGACTGTATAAGGCGTAGCAGCCTTGAGGCCCGGTATGTCCACAGCCCGAAGGCTGCCAGGCACGGTGAGGTTCCGAGCTGCCTCCACCTTGTTGGCCTCCTGCACCTGAATGATAAAGTGCTCATAGGCCTGGTCAGCTGCGGTCCAGTTGAGTCTGAGGCCATCCCAGCCAACCTCAGTCACGGTGAGGTTTTCCAGCTCAGGGGCTTGTTCTGAATAATGACAGAGATGGGGTCAGTTAAACTATTCCTCAGAAAGTTTTGCTTCTGAGAACCTGGGAATGGCAAACCCAATGCCACATCTATAGGCCATTGCAGTCCAAGTGCCAGGCTTTGTTCACTGCATCCCCTACTGGTGCTGTCCCTATTAAAACACCAGCAGGACAACAATGTCATATTTCTTTTGTGGCCGGGCATGGTGGCTCGAGCCTGTAATCCCAGCGCTTTGGGAGGCCAAGGTGGGTGGATCATTTGAGGTCAGGGGTTCGAGACCAGCCTGGCCAACATGGTGAAACCCTGTCTCTACTAAAAATACAAAAATTAGCCAGGCGTGTTGGTGGGCACCTGTAATCCCAGCTACTCAGGAGGCTGAGGCAGGAGAATCGCTTGAACACAGAAGGTGGAGGTTGCAGTGAGCTGAGATGGCGCCATTGCACTCCAGTCTGGGGGATAGAGTGAGACTCTGTCTCAAAACAAACAAACAAAAAATTTCTTTTGCCTTCATGCATATTTGGGTTTTTCTCTTGGAAATGGTATTTTCCTATTGATCAGTGTCCTGCAGATTTAGAAAACTATATGTCTATGTTAGCGATGCTCTGAGCTTCAGTTTTCATTTTGGAACATGTCTTGCATCATAATGGGGTGGCCCTCAGTTATTCTGGGGGTCTTGGTTTGAGCTGTCCGACCTTCTGTATTTTGAGACAATTGGCTCTTCTTAGATACCCTTCTTTTTTGAGAGGCCAAGGTGGGCAGATCATATGAGGTCAGCAGTTCAAGACCAGCCTGGACAACATGGCGAAACCCCGTGTCTACAAAAAATACAGAAATTAGCTGGGTGTGGTGGCGTGAGCCTGTAATCCCAGCTACTTGGGAGGCTGAGTTAGGAGAATCGCTTGAGCCCTGGAGGTTGAGGTTGCAGTGAGCCAAGATTGAGTCATTGCACTCTAGCCTGGGTGACAGAACGAGACTCCATCTCAAAAAAAAAAAAAAAAAAAAAAAGCCTCTTCTTTTTTGTGCTGCCTCAATATCCTATGGGAGGTCTGTTGTATAGTTTATATTGGGATTTCATCAGTTTCTAGCGTTCAAATCATTTACATAGATCATATTAGTAAAGATCAGAGACACATTGACACAGTATTATTAAGGCTGAGCTAAGGAAGGTGATAAGGCTTTGAAAAACTGTTCCTTAATAGAAAAAAGAAAGAGGTCCTGGGAGAAGCAGATCTTATGAAGCTCAAGTAAAACTGAATGCACCCTGTTCATTCATCTCGCGAATGCACGAAATTCCGTAAAAACTCACTGGTCTCAACCTGACTTAAGGGAGATAATTTGCCCAGGGCTGAGCTTAAGTGGACTTTGCATAGTTTAGGAAGGAAAGTATTTCTCTGGAAATGGATCCTGTAAACTAGAGAGTAGAAACTGACTTTAAATCATTTAAAAGAACAAACTGTTTTTTTCTATTTATACTTCACATTGCTGCTAATTTCAAATGAGCCTTATGTGTCCATTAGAGCAGGCTACTAAGTTGAAAATCTTAGCTTGGAATTTGATTGAGGATATCCTTTCAGAGGAGAAAACATTTCTTTTCTGGAATTGATTTAACTCAGACATTTCTAAGTTCTGGGGAACATTCTTCCTGCTTGTTTCATATTGTCAGAGCATACACTCCTTCAAATTTTGTTTGATCGAGAACAGAGGTCCGCAAACTGTTACCCGAGGCCCACATCTGGCCAGCTGCTTATTTTGGTAGTCAGCAAGCTAACAACAGTTTTTCTTACTTTTTTACATGGTCGGGAAATAAATCCAAAGAAGAATATTATTTCATGGTGCATGCAAGTCATATAAAATTCCAATTCTGGTGCCACAGATAAAGTTTTATTGGAGCATAGCCATGCTTGTTCACTTATATATTGTTGATGGCTGCTTTTGTGTTACAAAATGTGCAGTTGAATAATTGTAATGGAAACTCTCTGGCCTATAAAGTCTAAAATATTTACCATCTGGCCCTTTACAGAAAATGTTTGCAATACTTGATCTTGAATACAGACTCCTCTTTAACCCCGACTCATATCCTAAAGCTTACACCAGAGGCTCCAAAGCAGTTCTTAACCACCTAAACATGGTCTTTATGAGAAAGGGAGGACCCCAAACTGCAAGTGATGTATCTAGATTTAGGAAAAGAAAGGAGGTGTCAACTACCTTTAATCCTGCTGGGCCTTGTGAGGCCAGAAACAGTTCCCTGGATATAGTGATTATACCCTTGACATTGGGATTTAAGCACAACTAAACTCAAGAGCATGTCCTTCTCAAATATTTCAGCAGTCCTGATACAGAAAGAGATATAGGACAAAAACAGAGCTAAGTGAAAATTAAATCAACCCTATGTCTTCTTAGCTCTCCTTCTTATCCCACTTTCCTGTTTTTGTTTCTCTGCTGTCCACCTGTCAGGAACTAATCTGTCATTGACAACGTACCCCTTCGTGTGAATTAAGTTACTGTCTTTTTTCTACGGGTGTCTATCTTTTAATCCTTATGTCTAATTGTTACATAAAACATTTTTTTCTATAAAATAAATTTTAAATGCCCCCTTGAAAGAGATATTGGGAAAGTTACCTTACGGGGGGTGGGGGAATGAGATTGTGGATTGCCCATTAAGCTGTGGCAAAAGATGGATGGAGAGAAAAGATGCACGTTGGAAAATGTCTCTTCCTAATGAGAATCATCTTATCTCTTTGAATCGGATATTTAGTATGCCACTGATACTTTCATCTAATTGTCCCCACATCCTGTTTCATCTGTTCATATAGTTGATAGAGTGATTTTTTTTTTACATAATGTCATGTTGTTCAGTAAATAGTAATAGTGATGGTGTTGGTACTTCTGCTAACACTTTTGGCTATTTCTCTACTATTTTTTTTTTTTGGTAGGCAAATCAAGAAAGAGCATTGGTTTATAACTCAGAGAGGCAGTACTGTGGCCATGTCAGTAGTGGATGCTACGTGTGCCCCATCCAGATCCCTTTATTAAATAAATGCTAGCCAAGTGAGTAAAAGGTACAACTTCCACAAATAAAATCAGTAGCTAAATTAAAGAGAGAGGGGGTCAGAATTATGAAAGAAGGGGGAATATTATGAATAAAAAATACAGTGGACAATAGTTGAGATGAGGACCAAGAGGCTTCACATAAATGCTGGCTCCACATTTCAACTGCAAATGACATACTGTGGACTTACTGCCCTAGAAGCCAAGTGTTTCCATTATAGATTCCACACTGAATTTCTTGGCATTTCTTTATCAAAAGGCTGTTGTCTTCTTCTTACAGCTGTGCACTGGAATCTACCCTTGAACAATGTCAGTGGGCCTGGGAAATCAGAATTTTGAAACCCATTGCTGTGCTCCTGGTGGGTTGAGCAGCTGGTCTGGAGGAATTTCTGACAGTGCCAACTTAAAAATCTGTAGATTGTTACCATCTTCTAGATAGTGATTACCAAGTGCTGGCTTGATGAGGAACTCACTTCAGCGTCCACTTAGGGGAGAAAGAGTGATTCTCCCACAGCAGGGGCATGGTCACATCCAAGCCTGACAACCCCAAAGGGTATCTTCAGTCGCTTTACTCTCATCTCTCAGAGATAAGACAATTGAAATGAGAAGCCTTGGCTGCCTTAAAACATTCGGTGATTTCTTTGTAACTGCCAAGAACCAAGCCCCTTTGCAGATGCCCCTGATGATGTCTCTAGCCTCCTACCCTACTGTTTTCCCACTCTATCATATAGCAGGACTGTATAGCTTGCAGTTCACTAAGGTAAAGTTTCTCATGCTTTTCAGCTTTTCAGATGCTATTCCCTTTGCTGGAAATGTCATTACTCTTTCTCCACTTGCCCAGCCCCTTTTCTTTTTCAGAACTCAACCAAACATCACTTCTTCCAAAAAGCCTTCTCCAGTGCTTTTCATTCCCTTTGCTTAGGTCTGTGATGGGTACCTGTCTGTATGCTCCTGCAGCCTCCCACAAATCCCTCTAAAACAGATAAGCTACAGTGTTATAATTTGGGTTTTGGTTCTCTCTCTTATAGCAACGTGCACCATTTCTTGAGAAGAGAAGCTGTTTCTTTCTCTTCTATACACCGGCATCGCCTGACCCACAGTAGGTATGAAATAAATATTTGCTGGATGAATAAATATTTGAATAAATTTCAGTTTGGTCTGTGAGAAAATCAAAATAGCAAATAAGAGCAGAATGTTCTGTATTACTGGTAGCTGTGGCTAAAAACAAAATTCCACCTTTCTTCTTCCAAAATTCCTGAGAGCTACTGGGTTGTCACTGTCAAGGCTTATGTTGCTATGAAAATATGCTTTGCTGGCTTTATGTTTCTGCCTATCACCCCTGCCTCCTGTCTCTTATGGCATGCAGCAAATTCATGGCTTTGACCTTAAGCAGGGTTTAGTTGGGTTTATAAGAGTACAAAAGCAGAGAGAAAAGGGAGAGAGAGGAGAGGAGAGAGAAGAGGGGAGAAGAGAGGAAGGAGAGGGGAGGAGAATAGAGTGGAGGAGAGGGAAAGAGAAGGGAGGGAATGGGAGAGGAGGAGAGGGAATGATGCCTGGTACACACTAATTTTTTTAAATGCCAACAGACACGGTACCTTTCGTTCTTCCCTCCTCCCTTCTTTCCTTCCCTTCCTCCCTCCCTCCCTCCCTCTCTCCCTCCCTCCCTCCCTCCCTTCCTCCCTCCCTCCCTCCCTCCCTCCCTTCCTCCCTCCCTCCCTCCCTCCCTCCCTCCCTCCCTCCCTTCCTTCCTTCCTTCCTTCCTCCCTTCCTCCCTCCCTCCCTCCCTCCCTCCCTCCCTCCCTCCCTCCCTTCCTTCCTTCCTTCCTTCCTTCCTCCCTTCCTCCCTCCCTCCCTCCCTTCCTTCCTCCCTTCCTTCCTTCTTTCCTTCCTTCCTTCCTTTTCTATCCAGATTAAGCGGAATTGAAGACTTTCCAAGGGAATGATTTCCCTTATGCCTTAAGGAAAGAATTGGGGTGTTAATGCAGAGGTGGAAGGGAAGAATCAGAAGATTCTATGGAAATGCTGACTCTGAAGTAGCCAGGGTCCCTAAACACTCATGAAGCTCATACCACATACTTGTCTGCCTTCAGGGCACTGGGATTCAGCAGTGGATGATGGAATCAGTCCTTATATTCTGCTCACTGATGGGGAGGCAGGCCATAGATATTATAGTAAACCAATACTTGCATAATATCAAGGCAGATAAGTTTCACAAGGAAACCTAGAGCAGCTTGAAGGGGTAGATCAGGATGGGGGTGCCTTTTTAGGCTGGTAGTCAGAGAAGCCCTCTGTTCTGGGTCATATCTGAGCTGCTGAGTGAAATGAGGGAGCACGCTCTGTGAAGTGCTGGGAAAAGAGTGGTATCCAGGGAGTGGGAGCAGCACACTCCAAAGCCCGAGGGTGGGAGCAGGCTCAGAAAGCTTAAGGAACAGTGTGAAGGCCCAAGAGGCCATGGTGAAGTGAGCAAGGGAATGAGTGGCAGGACTGAGGTCAGAGGATGGGCTGGCCGTGCCAGATTCTGTAGGGCCCTGTAACCCATGGCTGGGTCTTTGGGCGAGAGGTGTGATAGGTGGCCAGGTTATGCATATTTTTAGTATGGTGCCACATCAAGAAAAAGACTTACATTATGGCCCAATCCATCAGTAAAACCCTGGAATTCCCCAGGAAAAATTCTTCAGGGCCACTGATTCTTCATTTTTCTCTGTAAGCCCCACAGACATTGAGTGGCGCCTGGCAGGCTTCTGCTATTAAGAATCCAGTGATACAGAGCTGGAAGGTTCTTGCTTCTGATGGTTGAACCTAAAACTCTGCAACATTTCAGGACTTATAGCCACATGGCTCCTTCACCCAAGAGCTCTCGCTTTTCCTGTTTTCTTTCTTCCTCTATGCTTACCAAGGTCAGGTGCCTGGGCTTCTACTTCTTTAGCTATTCCATTTAACACATCTATGTTTGCCTCTTATGTCTCTGTCCAAAAGCGTCTTCCCATTGTAAGCCTTTCCTGATTCTCTGAAGTTAGATCCAGTGTCTCCTGAGCACTGGCTGCACCCTCTGTACCCTCGATCGTAGTGAGCAGAATGTTATCTCAGTGTCTGTTTGTTCGCTACACAGTGAGTTCCTTGGAATTAAATACCCGTCTTCTTTGCTCTAGTAACCCCAGAACTTAGCACAGAGCATGGTGATAGTATTTTATTGACTGAGTGAATGCAGAAGGCTTTAAAAGTTAGAATTCAAGGAGGGAAAGAAGCGTCTGCTTCACCTTAAATGAAACATATATATTTTTTCCTGTGGAGAAAGGGATGGGGGAAATAGTCTGTGGACAGTGGAGAAGAACCAATAAAAAGAACTTTGCACATTTTTCCCACACTGAAGAATGTCTTTAAATACGAAACATGATATCTTTGAAATGGCATTAAGGAGGCGTGGTGGGGAAATGCAACTGCTGAGGCTTTGGAATGCCAATATGGGGCTCTCATTCAGAAACAGAATAATTCTAGCTAGTAAATCTCCTGGTTATAGCCACATTACCTCCTTTCTCTAGTGGAGAAGCCCCACACCTCAGGATCTTAGGGAGATAAAACTTCTTCAGTGACTGCGCAGGTGTGAGGTTTTCTCACTGGAGGAAGGAGGCAATGTGGCCATCACCAGAAGGTGGAATGATTGAGGGGCAATAGGAATCTCTCTTAGATACAGCATTTATCAAACTCAAGGGAAAGCTAAGGGAGAGGGGCAGAGGAAGGAGGAGGAGGAAGAAGAGCAGGAGTGAGGGAAGAGGGAAGAAAGAGAGAGAAAGAGAAAGAAAAGAGAGGGATTTCATCTTTTGGGCATTTCTGATTCATTTGTTGCCCCTTGACACTTTATAACAAGCTCATGTTTATAAAGCTGAAATTTAAATCTCTACTATAGATTTATTTCTTCTTGGTTCTATCCCCGCCCCCCACCTTATTTTTTAATTAAACTATTCTTTCAGAGCATCCTTTATAAACATCTTATAGTTGGGTGGGAAGCAGTCAATGCAGAGTCAACAGAATTGACCACGTAAACTCATTTCAGACTCTGGCAGGGACTGCTCATTGTCTGCCAAATTTCTCTCTTACAAATGACCTCAATTTTATGTGGAAGTAACATGTTCAGACAGAAGACTACCTTTCCCTGCCTCCCTTACAGCTAGGAGTGGCCAATGAACTATGGGGAGAAGTGATTGGTGGGGTTTCCAGAAAGACTCACCCAGAAGGTGCTCCTCTTTGGGAGTTTTGGTTCTTCCTCCCTTATGCTGCCTAGAACACAGATGGAATGGCTGTATTACAGCAGCCATGTTGTGACACTGAGATGACTTTGAGAATGGAAGCCAAGGACTAAAAATGGTGGAAAAGAAAGAAGCAGCCTGGGTGCCTGACAATTTGAAACTACTAAGTTATCCCTGTACCTCCCAGCTCCAGATTCATTTTATAAGAAAGAAAACCAACTTCTATCTTAAGTAAGTGACTGTGATTTGAGACTGAAGATATTGTGAGAAAGACTCTTCAAGCCATTTCCAAATATGTCCACACTTCTAACCCTTTTCTTGCATATCAAGCTTCAACTGGAATAACATCCCTTGCCATAACACCTTTGCCAGCTCTCCTGATTTCCTTGGATCACTCTTTTTCTCGAGTTCTGTCTAGCATTCTGAGTATCTAGTCTTCCGCAAGCACTATGAGCAGGCACAAATGAGTCCACATAACAATGCTGACTTTGGGAACTACTTTTCCTCAAATATCAGTACGGTACAATGTATGCAGTAGGTACTCAATACATGCTTACTAATTAAATTGGAAGTAAAGACTATTACTTGCCAAACCCTGGAAAAGTAACATTTTCCACCTATACATTTCGAATATTTGGTGGCCAAAATTGAATAGGCTTATTTTTCATAAAGGAAGAAATATTTTAAAAACCTGGTTGTCTCTTCAGTTTAGCCACCGAGTAACCATGGCCTCAGGTTCAGTGAACAGGTTGCATGGGCCAGAATGGACACAAGTTGCATGGGCCACAATGTCAGGATTAAGCTGTCGTCATAGACAAACTAGGTTAATGTCTTAATGACTAAGAGAAAAGAGAAAATGAGAGGGCACCATGGAAGTCTCAAAGGGCCGTGTGCCACTCTTCAGGGGTAACCTTGGCAGAAAGCAAAAGACCTGGAATAAAAACAGTTTGTAGAAAATAACAACAACAAAAAAAATATTATTACCAACATCTTGGTCATCTTTAAATGAAGTAAAATGAAAAGTAAATTAATTATTAGGCTAAAAGAAGGAAATAAACAAGAAACAATTGAAAAGATGCTGTGATGCACAGTTAAGAAAAGAAAACAAAAATCATAGGTAAATGCAAACACAAACCCTGATGTTTAAAGTTCTCCTAGGAAGAAATATTTTAAAACCCCTATTTCCCAGTGGGGGAAATTTGCTGTATCAGTTGACAGGAGGTAGAAAAGACGAGTAAGCAGCCCTTTCAAAGTGGTGTTCAGGGGCTTCAGAGATGGAGAAAGTGGCTTGCTTTTGCATTTGGCTTTCTCATGTGAGGACACCCTGGCTGAGGAGATCTGCTAACCTCAGAATCAACCTAGAGTTTGGAGGAAGCTCAGGGCAGACTCACCAGTGGATGCCTTCACACGTGCGGGCTTGCTCTTGTGTCTGCCTTTCTCGGCTGTCAGGAGGACATTGTACTCCTGTCCTGGTTCCAGGCCTCTCAGGACATAGGAAGTGGTGTTTCTTGGAAGCTGCACTCCCACCCACTGGCCTGTGGGGAGACTGTAATTGAGGCGGTAGCGGTCAAATTTGGCCAACGGTGTCTTCCAGAGCAGGGTCAGGCTGGTCTCTGCAGTTTCAGAAACCTGAAGGTCCTTGGGCGTGTCCAACTCTGGGAGGAGAACAGAGAGATGAATGCTCTTCAGGCTGCAAGACAGGGCTGCTTCTGGGGCTGAAAGTCAACTGCATCTGGGCTGGAATCCTAGGTCTGCCACAGAGGAGCTGAGGGACCACAGGAGAGTCACATCTCTGGGTCTCTCTTTTTACTTTTGTAAAATAGGTCTAATTATACATCACCCACATGACCCCATCGGAGTCTGAGAAGATTGAAAATAATGTCATGGAATATCCATTCCATAAAATGCTGCTCAGATTTAAAGCAGTTAAAAGGAACCAACTATTGATAAAAGAAGCAATTTAGATGAATCTCGAGAGAATTATGCTGAAGGAAAAAAAGCCAGTTTCAAAATGTTACATGCTGTATTGCTATGCACTGAATGTCTGTGCCTCTCTAAAGTTCTTATGTTGAAACCTAATCCCCAATGTGAAGACATTTGGATCTAGGGACCTTTGGGAGGCCTCATGAATGGGAGTGGTGCCCTTATAAAAGAGACCTTGCCCCTTCTGTCCTGTGAGGACACAGTAAAAAGATGGCCTGCTGTCAGCCAGAAAGCAGGCCTTCATCAGACACCAAATCTGCTGGCATCTTGATCTTGGACTTCGCAGCCTTCAGAACTGTGAGAAATAAATTTCTTCTGTTTATAAGTTACTTGGTCTAAGGTATTCTTATTCTTGTTACAGTAACTCAAATGGACTAATATGTGTAGGATCCCATTTATGCAGCATTCCTTGAAATGGCAAAATCATAGAGATGAAGAACAGATAAATGAATGCCCAGGGTTAGGCAGAGGGGCAAAGGGAGGGAGGTGGCTGTGGCTGCAAAGGGTAGCATGTGGGATTCTTGTAGTAAGACTGTTCTGTATCTTGACTCTAGTGGTGCATTCACAAATCTACATGTGTGATAAAATTGCATAGAACTAAGTATATACACACACATACGAATGAGTGTATGCAAAACTGGTGAAATATAAATAGAGTGGACAGATTACGCCAATGTCAATTTCTCAGTTGTTATATTAGTCTACATTTATGCAAGACGCTACCCTTGGGGGAACCTGGGTGATGGGCACAGGGGATCTGTCTGTATGCTTTCTCACAATTGCATGTGAATCTACAATTATCTCAAAATCAAAAGATTAAAAAAAAAGAATTGGCATGTAAATGTCCGGCCTTGCATCCCGCATAATGTGGAAGCTCAATGATGATCCATCTCCTCTTTACACACTAGCCTCCTTCTTCCTCATAGTGCCTGTGGGGAGGTAAGCTGGGGGCTGGGGGAGAGGCAGAGGAGGAGTTTTCTTTTTGCAGTGCAAACTTCCCAGAAAAATGGAAAAAAAAATCTTGAGGAAAGAATCAATGACCTCAAATCAGGTAGCCCCTCAGCATCCTCACCTACAAGCTGCGGCTACAGGATACAACAGGTAAGTGCAGGGCCTGGACTTAAACTACAATCCTGTTACTTATAATCTGCTTGACAGGGGTATAAAAGTTAGGTGTTTTCTCAGAGAAAACCCCACAGTTGTGTTTGGACTAGATAATGGTTTATTTAAAAGATGCAACTGATTACCAACTTACACATGTTCATGAATTTCTTACAAAGCCTGGTTCCAATTTTTCTTTAAAAAATCCCGGCTGGACATAGTGACTCACACCTGTAATCCCAGCACTTTGGGAGGCCGAGGTGGGCGGATCATGAGGTCAAGAGATTGAGACCATCCTGGCCAACATGGTGAAACCCCATTTCTACTAAAAATACAAAAATTAGCTGGGCGTGGTGGTATGCACCTGTAGTCCCAGCTACTCGGGAGGCTGAGGCAGGAGAATCTCTTGAACCCTGGAGGCGGAGGTTGCAGTGAGCTGAGATCATGCCACTACACTCCAGCCTGGTGGCAGAGCGATACTCCATCTCAACAACAACAACAACAACAAACACAAAATCCCCAGTCCCCTTTTCCATACAGGGGATGATGTTGGCATCATACAGATGGACCGTACTTATGTTCCTTTTGAATTTCAACATTGGGGCTAGATGGTACTACAGGGCCCTTTTTCCTCCAGGCTTCTACTTTTTCTCTTTAAATAGGTTTTGGCCACATTGACTCTGTCTCATCTGCCCAGCACCAGCTCAGTGGGATGGGAATTCCAGGTGTGCCCCACCTGTGGCTGCGTTGATGGTCGCTGGATTGCTCTCCTTGTCTTCCTTCACAGCAGAAACTCCAATCCCATATTCAGTTCCCGGCCTCAGACCTAAGGAGAGAATGTGCAAGTTGAGATTCATCCTGAAATCAGAGAGACTTTCAGAGGATGATAAAAATGGCTTTGAGTTGGTCTCTGGAGGCTACAACAAATTTTCGGAATGTTTTACAAAAGAACTCACTGCAATCCAATAAGCAGTATTTCAGGAAATTGGACTTATTTCTGAGGGTTGCAAATGGGGACATGTGGGAGCAGGTGCCCATCCTTTAAGGGCCCTCTAGGGCTGGCTGGCTCAGGCTTGCAGAGATGCAGAGCTCACCTGTGAGTGTGGTTTTGGTTGTGGCTTGTTGGCTCTTTGGAACATCAACCTCAGCGTGGTCCCCTCCAGAGATGGGGGCATACTTAATTCTGTAACTGTCAATAGCTGCCTTGCCATTCCTCCATTCCAGGGTGATGCTGTTATCTGTCTGGGAAACACGTCGAAGATTCCTGGGAGCATCGAGGCCTGTTTGAGAGAAGGAACATTTGTATTGAACATATCAGTCACAAGAGAGCAGGAGTCTTTGACAGCTCAAGCTGACATATGAAACGTGCCTGGAACTGGAGAGAAATTACAAAATTCTCAGCACACTCATCTGTCCCCATAGTGGATGTGCAAATCTAAACAAGTGCTACAGATTTGGCACCTTTCCCTATTATGGATGAGTGCGACACTTTAGTCATTTGTGTTTTTCTCAGACTTTGTGGTTAAAGAAACAATGCAAAGACTTAAAAATAAGCTCATGAGTGTAAAAACTGGTCTTTTGCATTTTCTCATCATATTTCATTCTTTATTTTATTTTTTTGAGACAAGAGTCTCGCTCTGTCACCAGGCTGGAGTGTGTTGGTGCGATCTCGGCTCACTGCAACCCCTGCTTCCCAGGTTCAAGTGATTCTCCTGCCTCAGCCTCCCGAGTACCTGGGATTGCAGGAGCACACCACCACGCCCAGTTATTTATTTATTTTTTTGAGACGGAGTCTCGCTCTTCACCCAGGTTGGAATGCAGTGGTGCGATCTCGGCTCACTGCAAGCTCCACCTCCTGGGTTCATGCCATTCTCCTGCCTCAGCCTGTAGCTGGGACTACAGGCACCCGCCACCACGCCTGGCTAATTTTTTTTGTATTTTTAGTAGAGACGGGGTTTCACTGTGTTAGCCAGAATGGTCTCAATCTCCTGACCTCGTGATTCGCCCGCCTTGGCCTCCCAAAGTGCTGGGATTACAGGCGTGAGCCACTGCGCCTGACCCCAATTTTTGTACTTTTAGTAGAGACAGGGTTTTGCCATGTTGGCCAGGATGGTCTCCATCTCTTGACCTCATGATCTGCCTGCATCAGCCTGCCAAGTGCTGGGATTACAGGCGTGAGCCACCACGCCCGGCCTCCTCATCATATTTCTAATAACTCACAAAGTACTTACTGAGCTCTGAAAAATATTTACTGAATGAAAAATTGACACTTTTGAACTTTTAAAATAATGCCGTAGGCTAAAGTGTTAGGAGGCTCATTTGTCATATATGTTTTCCATATACCATATTTTACTTTAAAAATATTTATTTGAACTTTATTTTAACCAGAACTTTTGTCTGAGAATATCAGACCAGCATCTTCTACATATGTCCCCCACCCCCAAAAGTGCTTTGGAAGGTTATTTGGAATTTTTTTTGAAAAATTAATTAATAAATTGCTACAATATTTTAAAATTTACAGGAGTAGAAATACCCCTTTCATTTTTCGTACTGTAAAATGAGCCTGGAAGATACCCCAACATGGAGTGGGATGGAAATCTTTCAATCTTTCCTTTACTATATCTGTTAACAGGGGGAGGCCTTTTACCTGTTGTGAAGGTCTCTTTGGCTGGGTTGCTTGACATGTCACCTCTGCGGGAGATGAGGGACACCTCGTACTCAGTGTCAGGCTTCAGGTTCCCGATGGAGTACTGGTTCTCGTCCTCTGTGAGATCGATGGTGGTACGGTCTCCTGGCACGTCTTTGATGCCGTAGGTCAGCTCAATGCCATCGATCTCAGCCAGGGGCTTGAACCAGGTGATCAAGGCAGTGGTGTCTGTGACATCTTTCACCTCGATCTGGCTGGGGGCATCCAAGCCTATGATGGGCAGAGGACAGAGAGGCTTCAGAGGTTAGGGCCATTGCCTGAGGCTTAGCAGAGAGAGGACTTTGTAACTCTCCAGACCTGTGGGTGAATACTTATACTAACTGCTTGACTTTACTTTGCCTTTCTGAACCTTAGTTTTTGGTTTGATAAGCTATAAGTAGGGATAACAGCAGCTACCTCTAGTGTTTTTTGTTTTTGTTTTTTTCAAATCTTAAGAGAGATAAAGCTTGCAAAGCATCTAGCACAGAGACTGGCCCATGGATGTCACATGAAAAAAAAAAAGGTTGTTCTTTTGTTATTATTATTATTATTACTGTTCTCATAAGTTGAGGAAACATGCTTTGGGGATACTTTATTTGAAAAGATGAACTTAGTCTCTTTAAATTTTTAATTAGGCAAAACTTCCTGGATGTTTCCTGAAAACTTTTCCATCAGAATTACCAAGCAGAAAAGTGAGGCAATAGACTGTCTTGACAGTGTATGGAAACTTATTTTTGATAGAAAGAATTCACGCAAGAAAGTCATTGCTATTTCAAGCCTTGCCTGTTTTTGCAGGCTCATCTTGACTTTTTCTGCCCCACCTACTCTGGTGTTGTACTCTGATAGATGCTCAGAGCTCTGGAAGCACATTATGCTGTTGGGCACCGCCTGGTCTCTGTACATGCTGTTCTCTCATTTCTTCTTTCTAAGATCATACTTCCCTCTAAAAATCTCCTATGCATCCTTCAAAATCCCACTTAAATGTTGTCTCCTAATGAGAAGCCTTTTTTTAACCCGGCTTCAGTCAGGTAAACACATATTCCCTCCCTGTGGCTGCCACTGTCCTTGAAGAGCATTCTAATATCATACGTGTCTCATTGTTTCATAACAGATTTCTGTACAGTTTGAGTCAATTTAGGTAGGGTTATTCATTGATTGAGAGAGTGAGTCTTTTAAATTCCCAGCAGAGACAGGCATATTCTGGGTATTCAGTGAATCTTTGAATCTTTCTTTCTTCTTCTTCTCCTTTTTTTTTTTTTAAATGTGTTTTCAGCATTGGTTCAGTAAACAATAACAAGTGACAGGAAGTGGGCTTTATACAGGGAATGAAAAGGAACAATAATTTACAGCAGATTGTGAGAAAACTGCAGAGTCTGTTTTTGAAGTCTAGGTGTTGACACATCAGTCCCAGCTCACAGATGATGTAAAATGCACAATGAAAATGATGTCGCAAAAATGGACAGAAGCTGCCTGCTCTGTGTTCTTATAGGTGCTAGCAAGCACCCAAACCGTACCTACTACCTTCCTTAGTACCCCTTGCATTAAAGAAGTTGGGTTTCCGTCAAGGACACTGATATCCCCCTAGATTTGGGACCCTTGAATAGCAGAAACTAACAATGCTCTGTATTTATCAGGTGCAAAGATGGTGCTTTGTTATTTATGTCTTGAGTCTTATGACGACCCCACAAGGAGAATACTATAAACCCATTTTTCAGCTGTTGGATCTGGAGCTTAAAGAAATAGATTTTTCCAAGGTGATGGTGAATGGTAAAGATGGAATTCAAACTCAGAACTGATTGAATCCAAAGCCCATCCTTTTCCCCCTTTACATGACAACACCTCTCAAACATATTGACCTCAAAAGTAAGTATAATACCACCTTTATATAGATGCCAGACAGAAGGAGCCAAATGTGTTCTGAACTAGAAGTTTAAGGCCCTTTACATCTGGAAAAAAGGTTAAAGGTTTAAAGGTTTCAGGTATATGTGGTAAATTGTGGCCGGCCGTGGCGGCTCATGCCTGTAATGCCAGCACCTTAGGAGGCCGAGGCGGGTGGATCACTTGAGATCAGGAGTTCAAAACCAGCCTGGCCAACATGGTGAAATCCTGTCTCTACTAAAAATACAAAATGAACAGGTAAATATTTGTCCCCCTATGTTGAAATTTATGATTATGCAACTTCAAATGTTGGAATGTTTGTTCTAAAATAAGAAGAAATAAAGCAGACAATTCCCAAATTTAGATAAACAAAAGAGCAGTGAAAAAAAAAGTTCAGTGCACCTCCTCCATAGCAACTAAGCATTTGCTTTGTCTTTTCTTTGTCTTTCTGGTGATCTAATGATTTTTTTTTCCTGTTGGTACCTGCTTTTCTACCTACCACAGAGAGGTGGTGTCAGGATGATGGAAAACACTTGCTTATGAAAGAGAAAATCCTTTGAATTGGCTCTGAGCTAGGCAAAATGTGCAAATATTTAAATGCAAGATGTTCTTTCTTGTCATTAGCAACTGATTTAATTTTTCCAACAACCCCCTGCCAAGAAGAGTCGATTACTTAAAGAGTTGGCGCATATGTTATCTTGAAGAAAATAAAGAGGTTTTCCTATATGGAAGTGCAAAATTATGCATTTTTTTCTTTTTAAAAAATTGCAGCTGTGCACGGTGGCTCACGCCTGTAATCCTAGCACTTTAGGAGGCCGAGGCGGGTGGATCACTTGAGGTCAGGAGTTGGAAACCAGCCTGGCCAACATGCTGAAACCCCATCTCTACTAAAATACAAAAAAATTAGCCAGATGTGGTGGTGGGAGCCTGTAATCCCAGCTACTTGGGAGACTAAGGCAGGAGAATCACTTGAACCTGGGAGGCAGAGATTGCAGTGAACTGAGATCGTTCCACTGCACTCCAGCCTGGGTGACAGAAAAAAAAAAAAAAAATGTTTCCTGGTGGAGCAACTCCAAATTCAGGTCTTTTTCTCACCAAATGATCTAGTACTGCTAAATCCTATTCTACTCCCAAGAACTTCTGACATCATTAGTATTGAATGAAATTTTATTTAGGTTCCCATTGAAGAGATGGAATCAACATTCTACATAAACCAGAGCCTAGTCAATGTTAGTGGAAATGGGGTTAAAGTTATAAAACTTACCCTGGCTTAAAGTTATGCCCCTGATGGTGTTAACTATGGGATGTTAAAGTGATTTAGCTTCTTTAAGCCTTAACATTAATATTTTCCCTTCCTCTGTCCTACAACTGGGTGCTAATATTAAACTAGTGACATGATGCTAATTAGATTGTTAGCAATGGGCTTAATTATCTTCAGGTAGTCACACCCCTTTGAAAGGAGATTTTGAAACTCCTTTCATCAAGAGATGGATCTGTTTCTCTATTCCTTAAATATAAACTGGCCGTGGGATGTGCTTTGATAGAAGTGATCTAATGCCAATTTTGAACCTGTTCAATAGCTGTGTGAACAGGACCAGCATCCTGGAGAATGAGAGGCTCTGCGAAACAGAAAGACACCATCCTGGCTGAGGCCATCCTAGGCCAATCCACCCCTTAAGCACACAGATACATGAGGAGTGCAGTCAAGAACAGATAAGCTGCTCAGCTGAGCCCAAACCCAAATCACCAACATGCAAAGAATTGTTATTTTAAACCACTGTATCTGGATTTTTAAAAATGCAGCAAAAGTTAAATGATGTAGATGCTATATGAGAAGGCACTTTCTCAACCAGGAGGTGCTATGAGGTACAATCAGCCTTATCATTCTATAAGTATTAAAGGTGATACTCACGTGTGGTGGTCACCCTCTTCAGGCCAGGGCCCCGGGTATTGTTTTTCACTATGTGCAGAGATATCTCATACTCTTGCCCAGGAGCTAGACCAGTTTGCCGGTAAGAGGTCTCTGGCCTCCTCAGGCTTTTGGTGATCTCTCCCTCATCTTCTTTATTCTGAGAGATAGAGGCAGCTTGGTAAGAGTTAGGGGAGGTGCCAGTCTCTTAATTTATGTGATTCATTCACTCTGCATTCATTCATTCCTCTGTTATTCTTTCATCGATTCATTAGGCACTTACTATGCATCAGATCAGTATGTAAGCTACTGAGGATACAGAGATGATAAAGACATTTCTCTAGTTTGTTTCTCCCATTCGTAAACTTTTACCCCTTTGTCATGCAAGTCAAATGACAGAATGTGAGAGCCAAAGGAATTCTGAAGGCACAAGCTCAATCCCTCCTTGGGTAGACTGAGGCCAGCATCAGAGGAGTAGGGTGATTGTTGGATAGTCACACAGCTGGTTGGTGGCAGAGCCTGGGCTTAAATTCAGAGAACAAGTTCCCTGCTTCACATGTACTTTTGGGCCTGGAGAGAAGGGTTGCTCAAATCTGAGATGTACCTTTATTTTGAGGGAGAGACTGTTTCTTCTCTTCTTTGCCTCTGAGTAGAGATTTCTAAGGTGATGATGGACAATTGGAACCTTGAGGTGACAACTTCTATTTGTCTAGGGTGTCAGCCGTAAGTGCTACACTTACTTATTAAAATCAGGGAAAAACCAACATCCCTTAAAATATAGATGCAAACACAAATGATGCTAATGAGAGCCTTGTCCTCCACCAAAAACTAAGGAAAATTAGTTGATACAGAAGTCTTCAGAACCCTTTGGTCATCTTTCAAATCCTTGAGATCAAATGGATCTGCTCTTTTGTACTCCTTACCATATTCCGGAAGATGATCTCCCAGGTTTCAAAAGCAATGTCTAGAGGATCCCACTCCACTTCCACAGATGTCTCCTTGATGGACTTGAATTTCAGGCCTTCAGGTGCAGGTAAGTCTGTAAGTAACAACATAAATAGAACGTAAGGATAGGGCAGGTGTGTGATTGGGCAACGCGGCCACGATTCCACTAAACCAGACTGGATGTCTGCAACAGTCAGGGGCTGACAACCAGAGCAGGTGTCCTTTTAAAGCTTCTTCTGGGATGAGGTCTCTATGAGGCTGTATAAAAATTAATATTAGGAAAAATGGTATGATTAATTTTGGCAATTTCATATGTTTAAATCTAAAATGAACGCAGGCTTTGGAATCAGACAGACTTGGGGTTAGAATCTAAGCTCTACTATCAATGTGAACTTGAGCAATTGCACACAGTGCTCTAAGCCTGAGTTTCTTCACTTGGAAAAAGAAGGTAAATATGTCTACTTCTTGGGAATGCATTGAGGAGTGAGTGATATACTCCACTCCAGTGTGTAGACTGCTGGGCCTGGTTCGTGGCATGCAGAACAAGTTGAATAAATGGCAGCCAATGTTATTATTAAGGAAAAAAGGGTCAATTTCTAGCCAGAGCTTGCTTTTTAGATATGAAGGTAATTATACTGATGCTAAACTCATAAACCAGAATGTTTCCACTTAAAGAAAAATAGTCAGTGATCTCCACTGAAAAGTAATAGAGTGGTTTAGAACATAAACCTGCCAGGACTGCCAGGGTTAAAGTTTTGCCTCTACTCCTTGTTAGCTGCATGACTTGGGATAAGATGCTTAACCATGCAGTCTCAGTTTCCTCATCTGTAAAATGGGGTTAACAATAGCTCCTATTTCATACATATACTAACTCATATAATGAGGACTCTTTTTTTTTTTTTTTTTTCTTGAGACAGAGTCTCAATCTGTCACCCAGGCTGGAGTACAGTGGCATGATCTCAGCTCACTACAAACTCTGCCTCCTGGTTTCAAGCTATTCTCTGCCTCAGCCTCCTGAGTAGCCGGGATTACAGGCATGCACCACCAGGCCCGACTAATTTTTGTATTTTTAGTAGAGACAGGGTTTCGCCATGCTGGCCAGGCTGGTCTTGAACTCGTGACCCCAGGTGATCCACCTACTTTGGCCTCCCAAAGTGCTAGGATTACGGGCATGAGCCACCATGCCCGGCCAAATGAGGACTCTTATACTAATATGTAGACTGCTTACAACAAAGTCTGATACACAGTAAACACTTGCTAAATGTTACTTGTAATGATTTTCTCTGGCAGGAAGTATATAGGAGAGCAAGGAGAAAGATTTGATGGAAAATGAGGGATTTCTTTAATAAGTGATTCTATGGACTTAATTCTAGGCTCTTATTTGGTATAACTGTAAAGAACAACTATAGGATTGTAGGGGCCGTGGCGAGGGAGGGTTATACACTGGGTGGGCTGACATCAGGTGAGGCTGCCCAAAAGAGTTCTGCTCACTCACACGTGGCCACCCTGGCGCTGACAGGAATGCTCTTCTTGTTCTCCAGGATGGCAAATACACGGATAAAGTACTCCACACCAGGCTCCAGCTCCTGGATGATGGTGGACGTCTGGTCCCCAGGCACACGGAACTGCATTTCCAGACCACCCTCGTGGGTGGGCGTGTACACGACAAGGTACTCTGTGACCCGCATCTCATTGTCCCAGGCCAGGTTGACCGTCTCTTCCGTCACTTCTGTCACAACGAGGTCTTTGGGAGGAGACACTGGCAGGAATAAGAAAGGACATCTGGTGTCAACAGTGTGTCCTCTAAAATCTCTCTAGGTTTGTTTGACCTGTCTTTTCCACTGTCAGCCACAGAGGTCTGAAGATCTTCTGTTGCCTCTAAAATGCAGATGGCATCAGGGACCCCCTGCTGTGATCCATCTTAAGACCTGTGGTGGCTGTTCCTTAGTCCATTTCCTTCAGGCTGGAGTCCCAGGTCAGCAGTGTGCCCTTGGGTGTTTCTGGCCTCTCCAACTTTCTGTGCTTCCTGGGTCTTAGCTCAGATGCAGGCTGTTGGCATGGGAAAGTGCAGTCTGAGCCTCACTCCCTGCTCTGAACTTTGAGTTACGTGTCCCTAGCACTGGGAGGGTATTTTGGGCATATCTGGTCCAACTTTCTTATATTATAGAGGTGAGTAAGACAGAACGCCTTGACCAAGCTTGCTCACCTCATCAAGTTTAGAACTTGTATCTCCTCCCTGCCAGCCTGGTGTTCTTTCCAACCAGGCTTCCCTGCTTGCGCCACATTGAACACAAAGCCATTTATTTATGTTTAGATACCAATAACTTTAGTAAAGGAAAAAATTCTCCATTATGACAATGATAATATGGGTAGATGAGAGGAGTACAAAGAAGACACTCATTAAATATGAGCATTAATTTTCTCTCCTGTGTTTTCACTTAACCAGGGTTTACTAAGCACTTAATATGTACCAGGTCCCATACTAACTGCTAGAAATAGTGCCCTTTTAAGGATAGGAGCTTGCAGTCTTTAGGATTAAAAAAACAAAACAATCAAAAAAACAAAACCAGTTACAAAAGACAATGAAAAGACAGGTCAATCTTGTAGATAATAGGCATTTCGTCTTTAGCCAAGTATGCATTTGAAACAGTTGTTTTTATGTAATCTCACTGCGTATTCAATTTAGCTGAATTTTTACATCCATCCAAATACAGAGATTTTGTTTACTGTTGGTTTGATGTCAGTGGAGAGTAGGAAATAAAGTTGATATTTAGCAAAAGAGAGAGTATCCCTTTATCTACCTCATCTTGAACACTAGATGTGTTCTGGCCTCTCCAACTTTATTTTAAACTCTATGTAGATGAGTTAGGCAGACTTGAATACCAGCTCTGTGATGTGTCAGCTGTGTGTCCCTGGGACAATTATATAACCTCTCTGAGCCCTTCAGCCCTTAAATAGGTCACCTTGTAACAACGGAATGACAGGGCCCCCTTAAAAAGTCATTATGGGTGTGTGTTTAAATGGATATATTAATACGTACAAAGAATCAGTGTGCATGAATGTTTATATATATAAACGTAGTTTTCCAACCCATACTAGGAGTCCACTCCATCATGGCCATTATATGCTGGTCTGCGCCCTGGCACTCACCCTCTGAGCAGTCTTCTCCGCTGTAGCCCTCGTTGCAGATGCAGCGGCCCGAGACGCATTGTCCTAAGTTGTTGCAGTCACTGGGGCAGGAGTGCTGGCCACAGTCCAGGCCTGTGAAGCCCTCGTGGCAGATGCACTGGCCGTCCACGCAGCGGCCCTGGCCATGACAGTCACTGGGACATCTTTGCTCCTTGCAGTCTTTGCCCATAAATCCTTCATGGCACACGCACTGCCCATTCACACAGCGACCCTGGCCATGGCAGTCATTTGGACAGGAGAGTTCTGCACAGTCAGGGCCGGTGAAGCCGTCCTCACAGACGCACTGTCCGTCCACACAGAGGCCCCTGTTGCTGCAGTCCCTGGGGCATTGGCGATCCCGGCAGTCTTCCCCTGTGTAGCCGTCATCACAAACACACATGCCATTCACACAGCGGCCGTGCTGGTGACAGTCATTAGGGCAGCTCATGTCACTGCAGTCATAGCCCTTGAAGCCTTGCTCACATACACATTTGCCCTCGACACAGCGGCCCCGACTGTGACAGTCATTGGGGCACCGTAGCTGGCTGCAGTCCTCCCCAGTATAGCCCTCATCACACACACACTGCCCATTGACACAGCGGCCATGGCCACTGCAGCCATTGGGACACTTGAGCTCCCCACAGTCAGCTCCAGTGAAACCATCATCACACTCACACCGCCCGTCTACACAGCGGCCACGATTGTGACAGTCAGCAGGACACCTCTTCTCGCTGCAGTCCACACCGGCAAAGCCCTCATCACATACACACTGCCCCTCCTCACACCGGCCCTGGGTGTGGCAGGCATGTGGGCAGGTGGGTTTCCCGCAGTCTTCACCTGTGAAGCCTTCTTCGCAGTAGCAGGTGCCATTGATGCAGCGGCCCCGGTCGAAGCAGTCATTGGGGCAGATGAGCTCACTGCAGTCTTCGCCCGTGAAACCCTCATCACACACGCACTCATTCTCCACGCATCGTCCACGGTTGTAGCAATTGTTGAGACACAGAGGCTTGTTGCAGTCATCGCCTGCAAAGCCATCGTGGCACACACACAAGCCATCTACACATGTGCCGTGCTCCTCACTGCAGGGCACTGGGCAGATTTCACGGCTGCAGTCAGCCCCGGCGTAGCCTTCGAAACAGATGCAGACTCCATTTACGCACTTGCCCTGGTCATTGCAGTCGCTGGGGCAAGCCAGCTGGCTGCAGTCCTCGCCCGTGAAGCCGTCGTCACAGATGCACTGCCCATCAATGCACCGGCCTCGAAGGTGACAGTTGCCTGGACATTCGGGCTCAGAGCAGTTGGGGCCTTTCCAGCCAGGTTCGCAGACACAGCCACATCCTTCAGTGCTGAAGTTGCCCCGACCGCTACAGAAGGGCCTGGTGTCCAAGCGGCCTGCAACAAAAGAAACAGAAGTTCTCAGCCAGGCTTAAGCAGCCACATTTTTCTGTATCTACCCAGGGCACCCAGATTCAAATTCAGCTGAAGGACGGTTGCACCCTCAGGCTCCATCTGGCTTGAGAACCATTTGTTGTAGTGTGTGAAATCAGATGAGACTCACATCCTGTTATACCAGGTAGGAATTCATAACCTGAATTCCCTGAAATTATAGGCTTGTATGCCAAAACAGTGTGTGATTATGCATAGGGGTGTGTGTGTGTGTGTGTGTGTGTGTGTGTGTGTGTGTATTTCCACCCCTGGGGAGCGGATTCATAGTTTTTGTCACATTTTCAAGAAGTCTTACTATTCCTATGATGATTATGAGTCACTGCCTTGTGAAATGCATTAGGCTGGGGCTATGTTACTATTTCTTTCTTTTCTTTTTTTTTTTTTTTTTTTTTGAGACAGAGTCTTGCTCTGTCGCCCAGGCTGGAGTGCAGCGGCGCCATCTTGGCTCACTGCAAGCTCCGCCTCCTGGGTTCATGCCATTCTCCTGCCTCAGCCTCCTGAGTAGCTGGGACTCCAGGCGCCCGCCACCATGCCCGGCTAATTTTTTTTGCATTTTTTGTAGAGATGGGGTTTCACCATGTTAGCCAGGATGGTCTCAATATCCTGACCTCGTGATCTGCCTGCCTTGGCCTCCCAAAGTGCTGGGATTACAGGTGTGAGCCACCACGACTGGCCACTATGTTATTATTTCTTTAGTGCCTCATCAAGGCCAGGCACATAAAAGATGCCCAAGAAATAGTTGTTGAACTGAATGTAATTCTGACTTTTTGATTCAATATCTATGCCACATTTGGCAAGGGATTTAGACTATCTGGAGCTTAGTTTTCTTATACGTGAAGTTGGGCCAATAGCCCACTTCCCTGGGGTATATCCGAGTTAAGTAAACCCCTTAAGAGCTCACTCTTGTGTCCTTGTTATTTTTTTCTGTTTTATTTTCCAAAGTTTTTTGTGGAAGGTTGGCTCAAGTTGGTATGTGGGTTTATATAACCAAAACATTCTAATTTTCCGCAACTAAAATGAGGTAGCTAATGGCTTTCTAATTCTATAAGGACACCTTTCAGTTTGGCTCTGTCCCCAGAAAAGTATAGTGCCTTTATCTTTTATTTCTTTCTATCCTGAAGGCTAAGTGGAGGTCAACTTAAAGAATGTGGGGTCAAGGTTGACATTACTCGAGCCCCTTGAGGCCTAAATATTGCCTTAGCTCAGTTTGCAGAAGTCATTGGTCTGATCTCCATGGAGCTTAAGGAGAAGAAACAAAACCCAGTTCTATATTCTCTGCACTAGAGTATATTCACTCTGTAGTCTCTGTACGTAGAAACAGCTTGTATTAATATATTTTATCTCATTCTTGACAGCAGGAAGAAAGAATTTTTTAAAAAAAGCTGATTTGTAAAGTGAGAGTCTAAGTATGTACTATCTAGTATGGTGGCCCTTGGCCACATGTGGTTATTAGGCATTGAAACGTGGCTAGTCTAAATTGAGATGTTCTGTAAGTGTAAAATACACATCAGATTCCAAATAGTATAAAATAATAGACTGAGAAGTATCCATTAATAATTTTGATATTGATTTCAGGCTGAAAAACCAATATTTTGGCTCTGTTGAATTAAATAAGAGATGACTAAAATTATGTTTACTTGTTTCTTTCTCCTTTCTTTAACATGACTACTAGAAAATTTAAGATTACATGTGTGAGTCATATTTTCATTAGACAGCACTGCTCTAAACAATCATTTTAACTGACTACTTAGCATTACTCCTACTGTGTATTCTCATCTGCATTTTTCCAGGGAGTTGACAGAAGTGGAAGATAAACTAACTTATGCCTAAAGAAAATGTTTTTAAAAATTGCCTTAGAAACCTAGAGCCTGTCCTGCAGAGCCGTAAGACTATTTCACTTAGGGTGGTTAGGTTTACTCTTGAAATAATTGTTGAAGAACATTTTGGTAATTTTTTTCTGAGTGGCAGAAACAGATTTTCAGCTCTGATTTGAAGTTGTTGAAACTCATGTAGCTTTATCAACTTTAGTTATTGGAGATAAAGACATAATTCCAAAGCAGCAAAATTCCTTGAAATAGGATGCATGTGGAAACAGGGCATCCATGGGAGAGTATGAGCTCTGGAGACACACAGGCACATGCAAAATCCCTATCTCTCTCTCTCTCTCTCTCTCTCTATCTCTTTTTTTTTCGGATGGTGTTTTGCTCTTGTCACTCAGGCTGGAGTGCAATGGCATGATCTCAGCTCACTGCAACCTCTGCCCCTCGGTTTCAAGTGATTCTCCTGCCTCAGCCTCCTGAGTAGCTGGGATTACAGGCATGCACCACCACACCCTGCTAATTTTGTATTTTTAGTAGAGATGGGGTTTCACCATGTTGGCCAGGCTGGTCTTGAACTCCTAACTTCAGGTGATCCGCCCGCCTTAGCCTCCCAAAGTGCTGGGATTACAGGCGTGAACCACTGCGCCTAGCCAAAGACCCTATCTCTTATTGCTCTTTGTGCCATCTTGTGCCAGTGGGTTAATCCCCTTGAGATTCATTTCTTTGATCTGTAGAAGAGGACTTATCTTCCCCTCATCTAATCTTTACCTTAAAGGGCTGTTGGGAGGATTAAATGAGATAATACAACAGTGCCTGTTACACAGAGGGAGCTTATATGATTGTAATCATTGTAATTGCTATTAAATTGGAACTTTTTTCTAATTCTTATAACTCAGCACTATCACAGGCAGCACTGTGCATTTGTAAGAATACTGAAATGTGAGGAACTCTACTCCTTATTGGAGGACCTTCAGGAATCCCATCCTCTTTCCAGGCCTCAGTTTCTCTATTTGTAAAATGAGGTGATGGGGCCACAGCAGTACCTATCAGAGAGTGCTCTCTGGGGTAGAAATTTCATGGCGTACTCATAGGTTTTGGGGTAGAAAGTGGGTAGATTTCATGGTCAAATACGTTTTAGAAACTTATAATTAAGGTAAAATAGGGTTTTTCAAAGCAGGACTTATCAGAAGCCTGAAAATTCCTCTGAGAAGCAGTTGTCGCCGTGACTCCTCCAAGCAGGAGAGAGATGGCTGCAGTCTCCACACTTATTTGAACATAAAATCTCTTTGTAATGAACACTCTGGGAAGCTAGTTTTCTAGTGAGCCCACTTTGGAAGCAAGTGATGGATGCTGCTATGCTCTTCATTTCTCCATGTTTGCACAGTGTGGGACTGGGCGGGCCACCAGCTCATACCTGTGGCAGGCTGGAGACAGCAGCCTGCTCCTGCAGTACATTGCTCCCTCAGGGAAGACACCAGGTTCTCCAGCTCCTCCAGTCTGCTCAGCAGCTCCTTAACATCAGGGGCTGCGGCACAGCCACAGGCCCGGCGGGGGATGTTGATGCGATGTGTGAAGACAATCTGGTTTTCCCCATCCACTGTGTGCTCCTGAAAGCTTTCGCTGGGCTCTGAAGGCGGTGCCAGGTCTTTCTCCCCACTGGCTGACTCCAGATCCACCGAACACTGGGATCCCACTGGCAGCTTGATGTTGTAAACGTGGTTAAACACCACTGGCTGGTTCTCTTCTGGCAGGGTGGCGTTCACCCCACTCTGTCGCTTGTGCCGGATGACTTTCTTGAGGACCCCACCTTCGGTAGCGAGGGCAAGGAAAGCAAGAAAGACACCTGCCAACAGCTGAGTCATGGCCCCCATGGTGGAGGTGGGTTTGGCTGGGTGCTGCTGGGGCTCTAGGGCTCTAGGGTATCTCACTTTCAGCAGAATTGGGGATTTAGAAGCACAGAGTAGACTTCAAATCAGTTGTCCCTGATCTTCTTGAAAGAATTATTTTCTACAAGCAAAGATGAACAAAAAAATTATGAGTATCTACTATTGAATATATTGAATATCTACAATTCCAAGTGAATTTTGATTTTATATCCCTGTATTTGAAGCTCTCCTGATAATTTTTCATTATATACCCTTGAAATAACATACAATGGTCTCTAAAAGAACTTTGTCACTTGAAGGAATGATTTCACTCACTATTCAACTTCTGTAAATTTAAGGAGACAGAAAAATAGAGAGAAAAAGGTAAAATATTGAAATAAAATAGACATAGGTTTGTATCTTGGCTGTAGCTCTGGTCCCTTGGATACGTTATGTAATTTTTCTTTGCCTTATTTCACTTTCTGTATAGTGAAGATCATAGTTGCTAATGACAGGGTTAAAAGAATGATGTAGAAGTTATTTGTGTATTCATTAATTCCTTCAGTATTTACTATGTCTTCTGAGTGAATTATTATAGTGTTATAAAGGCCCTGGTCCCGGTAGATGTTCAGTAACTCTTGCCTCTTATTGATTTTCAAAACTGATTTCCACACCATCTGCTGGTTCTCTTCTGTCATGAGAGGCAGAGGTTAAAATAAAGGACTCTAGGAGGCAAACAGTTTTAATCCCAGCCGAGCTTCTTACTAGTTATATGACTGTCAGTATAGCATTCAGTCTACTCCTCTGCACCTCAGTTTCCCTGCTCCTTGATTTATTTCCAAAACCTTCAAAAGTCCAGTTTTTAGAAGAGCCTGACAGAATATTCTTGAACCAGTTGTCTAAACTGAGGCTCACAGCTCAGAAAGGATGTCTAAGAGCCTCTGATGTCTTCTCCAATCAGCAAGTACTTATAGCATTTTTACAGAGGTCTGAGGGTGGTAGAAATAAATATAAGACCAAGTGTATACATACCATCAGGGGACTTAACAATAGAATTAAGAAGAAAATGGAATCATCCATCCAGTACTTAAGGAGCAAAGCAAGAAAGAATGTATAGGATTTGTTTTGTGGTATAGTGTATAACTGCCTATGGGGTTTGAAAATAAAAAGGAATGGTCAAGAGAAAGGTGGGGCATAGCTTATGGGAAAGGGAGGGTAAAATTTAAGCTGAGCCTTAAATAGTGAGAAGAATTAGATGGGAACAGAATATGGAGGAGAATATGCTACCATGAAGCAATTCTCACTTTGCCAAGTTATCTTATTCATCTCTCTTAGAGCTATTCACCTGTATGAGCAATCAGGTAGCAGAGAAAAGGGGACTTGTTAGAGGCAGTTGAGAAACTAAATAAAGACAGGAAGAAATGGCAGTTATAATATTTACTAAAACAATGCTATGGAGGCATGTGAGAATGATCTATACACGATATGAAGTCATTCATGGTTTTCTTTAATTAGGAGATGCACCCGAGTAAAATTCAAATGATAATTGAAGAGCTATTTTATTTATTTATTTATTTTTGAGACAGAGTCTCACTCTGTTGTCCAGGCTGGAGTGCAATGGCATGATCTTGACTCTCTGCAACTTCCGCCTCCCAGGTTCAAGTGATCCTCCTGCCTCAGCCTCCCAAGTAGCTGGGATTTCAGGTGCACACTGCCATGCCTGGCTGATTTTTTGTATTTTTTTTTTTTTTTTAGTAGAGTTGGAGTTTCACCATGTTCCCCAGGCTGGTCCCGAACTCCTGAGCTCAGGCAATCCACTTGCCTCAACTTCCCAAAGTGCTAGGATTACAGGCATGAGCCACCGTGCCTGGCTGCTATTTGGTTTTTAGCATGTCATTTACAAATTGACATTTCCCTATGCCCATGATATTCTTATACTCGCACACTGTAAGTTAGTTATTTATGTCAATTAGTGGTGGTGCTTGGATTATTCAGCCTATAAGAAGGTTTCTAACTTTTTTTCTGGAAAGATTTTATCCTAATGATAGAATGCATCAACATGATCCCAACTGACCATCTCCTTCCTCATGACAGAAAGCCTTTGCAAAACTTAGAGAGGAATTGTGGCAAGGAAAATTGAACTGGGAAGCATTCTATATGACTGATCAGGGGCCTAAGGACTGAGAAAGCACTAGTGAATTTAACTAAGAAGGTCGTATCCACATACCTACCACATTCTAATTATATTCTTATTGACACTTTACCAACTGTCCCTGTAATATCTGCAAAAACAAAACAAAACAAAAACAACAACAACAACAAAAACAAAGAAACAAAAAATACCCAACCCTCTTTTGAGCATGCTTTCTCATTGAAATTAGCTTCTTAACTAACAATGTGTGGGTCTGTAATGTAGGTAAGGCCACTGAATGAAGATTATTATAAAAAAGGAGACTTGGCATGTTCTCTCCTTTCAAACCAATTTGGCCATCTTATGTGTTTACTGGACAAATATTTATTGGCTGCATAGTCTACTAGAATGGCTGCTCTAACTCTCTTCACCTTCACAAAGTTCTACTTTCCTACCCCTTTTCCATCAATTCTTAGCTTTTTTTTTTTTTTTTTAGAAAGGGCCATGGGCCAAGTTTGAAATGTTTTTGGACTTCTCCCCAACACTTTTCTGTGTGTTGCTAAATGACTTAAATTTCCATCTAAAAAGCCATTATAGTTGCTGATTGAGACTCCAAGGCAAAGAGT
This sequence comes from Homo sapiens, assembly GCF_000001405.40. Taxonomy (NCBI): domain Eukaryota; kingdom Metazoa; phylum Chordata; class Mammalia; order Primates; family Hominidae; genus Homo; species Homo sapiens. The sequence continues at coordinate 115,093,770 of NC_000009.12, forward strand.
TTAGGGTAATAATGACCAGAGTGTGAGTAGAGTGAGGATTTCTCACTGTGTGTTTAAGAGACGTAAACTGGTACCACCAAATGTTGCATCGTTGGGGGAAAGAGTATGTTATTCTTGAGCATTGTGTATTTCCTATTGGCTCATGGTGGTCTGAGGGCAGTGGGTGTTTTTGTACTTTGGGAAAAATCCATTATATTTTCAGTGTTGTAGAAAATGGTTAGGCTTTGGAATTAGGCATACCTGGGTTCAAATGTCACTCACTAGCCCTGCAACTTTGACAAGCTACTTATCCTCTCTAAACCATGACCTCATATATAACAAAGGAGTCAAAACCTTTCCAGAGAAAATTAAGGATTAGAGACCTGTACATAAAGTACCCAGCATGGTGTCAAGCTCGTAGTAGGCACTCATTAAACAGTAGTTCCTATTTTGTTGCGCTCCTGGGGAACAAAACCTAACAAGAGTCCATGTCAATAGCCTCCTTTTACTTAAGCCTGAGCTTGACCGCCTAGTTGAATACAGTCCTAAACTCAGCAGCAACTTGGATCTAGATCAAAGAGGAGCTGCAGAAATCACTGGTGGGTGAGGAGGTAAATTTACTAGAACTAGAAATATTTATATGAGAGAGGGAAAAAATAGGAAGCAAATAATGACCTTTAAGAATGTAAAATATTCTCATGCAGACAACTGGCTGTTTTAAGTCTCCTTTGTGGATGAACCCAGGGAAACTTACTTGAGATTGCAGTTGGAGGTATTTAGGTCAGACATGAAGAATCATGTTCTGATAGTAGGACTTTTATAATTTCAGAATGAGCAACTTATTCTACAGAGACTCTTTAGAAAACACAGATTCTAATCTTTATAGAAAATTGATCAGCAATAAAAGGTCTGGAAAATATCTTGTAGGAGGAAGGACTACAGACCTGGGCAGGTTTATTTTGTAGTTGAGAAAACCAAGGTTGAGTGGGTCAGGGTTACCATGTAGAAATCCTGGCAAAGCAGGCACTGGCTTGCCTCTTGTAGCCCCTAAGGACAGAACAAGTGCCTCTGTGTGTGTGTGTGTGTGTGTGTGTGTGTGTGTGTGTGTGTGTGTGTGTGTGTGCGTTTATGTGCTGGGGATGATGCAGGGAGGGAGGGTTGGTTATGAGAAGACAAATTTCAGCACAACAGGAGAAAGACTTTTCTAGTTGGAATTGGTACCCAATAGAAAGGTCTTCTTTGAGAATGTAGCAGGTTCCAAAGCACCAGAATGTAAATAGAATGGCATTGAAGGGCACAAGTTTTATAGGCAAATTGTCTTAGGTTTGAATCACTGTTTGATCACTTCCTGTTCCTTGTGCAAGGTTATTATCTGTGACCATAAGCCAGAGTACTGTCATCAATAAATGTGTTAAGGGAGTCCTCATAGGATCATTGTGAAAAGTGCATGAGATAATGTATGCGAAAGAAATGGCAAACAGTCTTTGGTAGCAGTAAGAGCTTAATAAAAGGAAACATTTGTAATGAAAAATATGGACTTTAATGAATGTTTTTCTTTTCTAGGATTTTCTTTCTCCTAACCTTTGAAACCCCTACTTTGGCATATGTCTGTTTTTAAGCAAAGACAAGAGTTCTACAGCAAAGTGAGAACTTTTCCTCTCTCAGTGATCCCAGAAAATATGCATGTCGTGGTATGTGTATATATATATGTATATATATATGTATATATATGTATATATATATGTATATATATGTATATATATATGTATATATATGTATATATATATGTATATATATGTATATA